>NC_000001.11:216309587-216934587 GCF_000001405.40 Homo sapiens | reverse complement strand
CTCTTAGCTCTCATTCTCGCTTTTCTGCCGCCATGTAAGACATGCTTTTTGCCTTCCACCGTGATTGTGAGGCCACCCCAGCCATATGGAACTGTGAGTCCATTAAACCTTTTCTTCAGAAATTACCCAGTCTCGGGTATTTCTTTTTATTTTTGAGATGGAGTCTCATTCTGTCTCCTAAGCTGGAGAGGAGTGGAGTGATCTTGGCTCACTGAAACTTCCGCCTCCCAAGTTCAAGCAAGTCTCCTGCCTCAGCCTCCCAAGTAGGTGGTATTATAGGTCCCTGCCACCACGTCCGGCTAATTTTTGTATATTTAGTAGAGACGGGGTTTCGCCATGTTGGCCAGACTGGTCTTGAACTCCTGACCTCAAGTGATCCACCCACCTCAGCCTCCTAAAGTGCTGGAATTACAGGCGTGAGCCACCACCCCCAGCCTCTGGTATGTCTTTATCAGCAGCGTGAGAACAGACTAATACACAAATATCATCTAACTTTGGGAGAAAGAGTTGGGAGAAAGGATGATACACAAAATAGTCAATAATAAGGTTAATAAAATACGCATACTGAGCTGCTAAATGTATAGTATTCTTCAAAATTGCTAACAGAATCGGGCAAGGAACGGGCCAGTGGGGTGCTGACATCCTGCAAGAAGACATTGCAGGGTTGATAGGCCAGGGGTCAGTGGAGGGAAGATGGGGGAGCAGACCAGGAGGGAGGCAAAGCTATAGTCCAAGGGAGAATGCAATTGAGGAATACAAGTGCAGAGCTCTTGAAGCAGAGAGTTCAGTGATGCACCAGAGCCTGTTCTTACTAAGAGAATCACTTGTTAAATTTCTAGGAATTTTGTGATCCAGTTATAATTTAATTTTCTTAAAAATTGAATGATATGAACATATAATAAGTCAGTATGTTAAAACCAAAAGTAATAAATACTGCAAATTAATCACTTTCCAATTATTCTTCTTCACCACATTTTGGTCTTATCCATGTTCTTGAGGTACGGAAAGTCTGGAATACTGCACTTCTCTGCATCTCCTCATCAGCTCCATGTTCACCATGTCATGTTGGTAGCTCAAATCAGCCATGGAGGGAGTATTTACACCACAGAAATTGACAGTGCCCCAAATTTTCAAACGAATTTTTTTTTTTTTCATTTGAGAGCCAGTTCTTAAAATTTACCAGATGAGCATGGGGTGGGAATAGAGGTGGGGCTAGAAAATTAGAAAGCCTAAGTGAAAAACTTTGAGAAGGCAGGGCTACATTAGAAAAGTGGCTCCATCTCATTAAATTAGGCCAATGGTTTATAGTCCATTTAGAAATAATTGGGAGCCGTTGTCTTCCTTTAAATACTTTTTTATTATAATTAGCATATATTGTCAATATAGAAAATTTGGAAAATGGGAATAACAATGACTATAATATTTTCTATATGTTGCACACTTTTTAAGTGCTTTAAATATAATAAATCATTTAATCCTGGAAACAGTCCTATGAGGTAGTTGCTGTTATCCTATTTCAAAGATGGAGAAATTGAGTTACAGAGAAGATAAAAGCTTTGGCCAAGTAGAAGAGCTGTGATTTGAAAGCAGGAAATGTTTTAATTCTTGTGGTCTTACTCCTGTAGGATAGTTATCTAGAGTAGGATTGCTAAGCCAAAGTGTATCTATATTTTCAATTTTATAAGAAATTGTCTGTGGATCTAAAAAAATTATATAAATTGGCTGGACATGGTGGCTCATTCCTGTAATTCTAGCACTTTGGGAGGCCAAAGTGGGAGGATTGCTTGAGGCCAGGAGTTTGATACCTGGCTGCATAATGTAGCAAGATCCTTTTCTCTACCAAAAAAAAAAAAAAAAAAAAAAAAAAACAAGTTTGGTGGCATGTACCTGTATCCCTAGCTACTCAGGAGACTGAAGTGGGAGGATCACCTGAGCTCAGGAATTCAGGAATTTGAGGCTGTGGTGAGCCATGATCACACCACTGCACCTCAGCCTCAGGGACAGAGCAAGAGAGACCCTGTCTCTAAACACATACACACAAACACACACACACACCCCTACCAAAATTGTGCGAGGACGCAAATCCTAGTTACCCATGGTTCTAACAGACCTTACTTTTTGTCAATTTATTATCGGGAAGTAGTATCTTACTTCAATTTGCAATTTTAAAATTATTAATGAAGCTGAAGATCTTTTACAATTTTATTGGTCATTTGTAACTTCTTTACATGGATTTACTGCCTTGCCAATTTTTTTTTCTATTGAAATCTTGTCATTTTCCTTCTTTGTTGAAACTTCTTGTGTACTAACAATATTAACCTCTTTTTCTTAAATGTGTTCTAAAAATGATTCCTTATTTTATTTTTACCTTTTTTTCACCCCCAAAGATGGAGTTTCACTCTGTCTCCCAAGCTGGAATGCAGTGGTACAATCTCAGCTCACTGCAACTTCTGCCTCCTGGATTCAAGCAATTTTCCTGCCTCAGCCTCCTGAGTAACTCGGATTACAGGTGCACGCCACCATGTCCGGCTGATTTTTATATTTTTAGTAGAGACCACGTTTCACCATGTTGGCCAGGCTGGTCTTGAACTCCTGACCTCATGATCTGCCTGCCTCGGCCTCCCAAAGTGCTGGGATTACAGGCGTGAGCCACCGCACCTGGCCTTATTTTCACCTTTTAATTTTGGTTTGAATTATCTTTCATGATAGAAAAGAAGTCAAATGTATTTATTTTGTGTTTTTTTTTTTTTTTGTGGTTTCTCATTTTTCTGTCTTGATTAGATTGGCTTCTCCTCTGAAAGAAAGAAAAATAATCTTTTTATTCTAAATATTTTGTATGTCTTTTCAACATGATCCCTGCTTCCCACAGCTCATAGACAAGTTGGAGAGATGACTGCAGAGCACAGGGATTTCTGCTTTGTGTGATCAGTGCAGTAACCAAGGGTGTTCAGAGTCCCAGGAGAACCCTGAGGAGGGCACCTGGGCCAATTGGGCCAGTTGGGAGGCGGGGTGCAGCTGGTCCTCCTGAGAGCAACATCCCAGCTGAACCTCTAAGGCTGAGGCAGCAGGGGTGGGAAGATTTCCAGGGGAAGGAAAGAGCAAGTCAGGGAGCTGGAAAACTTTGGGAAGACAGAGTCCATTTTCCAGAATAAGGAAGGAGCAGTTTCTCAGTGTGGGTCAAGGGAAAACATTTTTCATAGGAAGGGAGAATTATTTTCCTGAATTTCTCTTATTTTACACAAAGGGTAGGCCAGAGAAAGGTATTTTAAGCTGAAGACAAAGAAAGTTCTGAAGGTGAGGTTAGAAAAAATGAAATAATAAGTCAATAAGGGTAAGGAATACCTTCCCCCAAAATGATTAGGGATGGACAAGGGACAAGGATCCTCATATGAGAATTAGGAGAAACGTGCATGTCATCTTTAATATCCATGTACCTTCTCCTAGATGCTTTGGGACCAGACAGTGACAGGTGCCCCTTCACTGAACTTGGCCATTAGCCTCTCAACTTCCAAGTCCCACATCAGCCACACTAGAATAATATCGCTTAACATGCCAGCTTTCCTTACAAAAATCACATGAGTTCCCATTATCTCTGGTGAGATCTGTCCTCATTGGGCAGTTAAGCTCTCCACAGCATTATCCCATCACCCACTTCTAGTTGCTCTTCTTCACTTTAAAAATCGTAATCATTGTGGAACCTTGTGTGTTCTACAGGCAATGCTTCCCATTTGCAGTTCCTTCTTTTTGGGGCCTTCTCCATTACTCTTTGACAAGCTAACTGGAGTCCCATTTATCTTTCAAGGCTCAGCTTAAATGTCACCTCCTTCCTGCAGCCTTTCCTGACTCCTTGAGCTAGAAGAAATCTGGATGTTGAAGTGTCTGTCAGTACTATTTAAGACTCATGCTGAAACAACAATGTATTATAGTACTGTATTTCTACAGGTTCTTAACTAGATTGAAATTTCTGGAAGGACAAGAACTATGTCTTATACGTCTTTGCAGTTTCCAGGTCTTTAACACAGTGAAGTCTCATCCACCCTGACAAAGACTAGAAGACTAAACTTATCTCTAGAAACAGACCCATGGGCAGCAGAGGCAAGGGCAGAGAGGACGCCCACAGAATAAATAGAATGTAAAGTCAGTCTGAAAATGGGGGGTTGAAGCTTGAGGAGAGAGTAATTCTAAATAAACCTCAGAAGGAAGTGAGCTGGGGAATGCTCAGGGGATGAATAAATGGATCACCTGGTATTCATGGGGGAGGGCAAAGTTGAAGTTAAATAGAATGAATTGGTAATGAGCCATGTTCACATCTTCCTTTGCACTTGAGAACCAAAAAGCAATATGGATATAGAAGAGACCCAGAATATCTGAAGCAGAAGGAAGGAGGTTAGAAGGGAGATTAAAGATGCAAGAGAAAAATAAGGATGTGTGAGAAAAGGGAGAAGTGAGTCAGAGAAAGGTTCTTCAAAGGGGATGTGAGTCAGAAAGGAAGATGACATATTAAACTTGGCAGAATGTCCATGAGGTGAGGACAGTGGTGAGGGGTCTCTCCTGGACTCAGAGAGGAAGGATGTCCAATGAAATCAGGTGGTGACTAATAACTTAGATAAGGTAAGAGTGATACAGTATGGGTGTTAGGGGGTTTCCTGAGGGCTGGAAATCAGGTACGGTTTCTATGAGAACATGGGGAGGTTGATGGCAGGACTGGCATGGCAGTTGTGCTTGGAAAGGGATCACAGATGTAGCATTTTATAGTTGAATAGCATCATAAAGGAGGAAGAGACCTGGGGGGTCTGGTCCAATATTCTCATTTGGCATTTAGGACAAAAAGTCTAAAAGTCTTAATGCCATCTCCTAGGCCCCCTGTGGTCTGCACTCTGCCCACCTTTCAGGCCTCATCACGTACTTCTCTGCTTTCCTAAACTCCTGCAAAGCCAAACCACCTGTGATGCACTAAGCCTTGCATTCTTTTTCATTTCAAATGCCATTCTCTCTGTCTGGAATGTTCTTCTACATACTCCTTGTTTTTTTGCCCAACTCTTATTCAAATTCCAGGTCTCAGCTTAAAAACATTTCTTCAAGCACTCCCTCTCCCAGCTCCCCTCCACACACGCACTGGGTGAAGTCTTCATTATATGTTTCCAAGCATTCATTTCCTATGTTTAAAATTTGATGGGAGATGTATTGCCTTTTTGATGGCCCCTTTTCTCTTCTGGGTTGTGAATTCTATTGAGTCACATCTTTTAGTATTGTACTTGTCACAGAGTAGTTGCACAATAAATATTTCTTAAGGGAAAGAGGGAAGGAAGGAAGGAAGGAAGGAAGCAAGGAAGGAAGAAATTTGAGTGACCAACTTTTACCACCAATTGTTAACAGAGCCTGACAAGTGTCTTCTGAAACAATCAGGTGTGACTTGAACATTCACATTCAAACTTGGGAGACCAGTGTGGTTTTTTTTCCAGTATTTTTTTTTAACTGTGGTGAGAAAATTAACTACTTTAGCCATTTCTAAGTGTACATACAGTTCAGTGGCATTAAGTGCATTCCCATTCTTGTTCATCATCCATCTCTAGATATTTTTCATCATCTCAAATTGAAACTCTGTACCTATTCAACAATAATTCCCATTTCCGCTCTCCTCCTATCCCTAGCATCCCCCATTCTTTCTGTCTCTATGAATTTGACTACTCTGGGTGCCTCAAATACGTAAAATCATACAATGTTTGTCCTTTTGTATCTGGCTTATTTCACTCAGAGTAGTGTCTTCAAGGTTCATCCTGGCTGTAGCATGTATCAGAATCCTAATCTTTTCCAAGGCTTAATAATATTCACTGTATGTAGCGACCACATTTTGTTTTTCCATTTGTTTGTTGATTAATATTTGGATTGTTTCCATAGGAGACCATTGTTTTAAATCCTAAAATACATAATCCTCCATGTAATCTAGTAACCTGGGTGATGGTCAGTGGCATGCAGCTGGAGGATTTAATCAGGGAAGGAAAGGATAGATGGAAGAATCATCAATGTGCTTAGGAAACTCATAAAAAATGTCCACGAACATGGAGGCTGTGACAGGAAGAAGAGGAGATGTTCCCAATGGGTCATGGCAGTCTTGACGTGAAGAAGGCAATGAAGATGGATGCTGTGAGTTTCTTAATGATAGTAAATATTGAGAAGTGGGGTTGAGAGATGCTCCTCTTTTTAACCTTCCCTTGTTATTGAAATGGAGGAGTGGGATGGCTAGAAGGGGCAGAAAAAACTGAGACATCCTCTGAGAGGAGACACTGGGGAAAAGAGGTGAGAAAAAGTGGAGGCTAAAAGGGAGTTTGCCCACAGATATTTTACAGGGGAAAAATTCAATGGTGAAGGAAGAGTCAATCAATTCAAAGCCATTCTACAAATTTCATGCAGGGAGAGCCCTCAGCACAAGATTGATGCATATCTATTCTATAATTAACAACAATATGAAGGAAGAGATTCCACGGTCACCATTAGGTTCCAATCCCTCATGGTCAAGACTTTCTTCTTTTTAACTAGACTATTTTGAGCCCTTTTCTTCTCTTTGTCTTTTCAGTAACTGGAAAAGAATTACTAAAACTCACCCCATGAAAATCCCTCATGTGCCTGAATTCTTTCGAAGTTAAAGATTGGAACTGGATTAAACTCTTTTCCCTTAACAACTTCTTAGCTACAGTTTTCTAAGCCTTTAATGCCCTTTGAATTGTCTGCTCTAAGTTCTCTTGGGTTAAAGTACACCAGTAAGAATAGCCAGATTTCGTCATATCCCATGCAAAGCTAGTGCTCTCCTTCATGATCTGGGAGCCCCGTCCCGCGGTGCCAGCATCCAGTATGGCACCAGTCCTGCCTTGGAGTAAAAGAATGCCATATTCCTGAAGGAAATTTCTCAGCCTGCAGAGAGGGGCCTATGGCGTGCCTTAGCCATCAAGCTCAACCTCTCAGCCTAAAGGCAGAGCAAGTCACTTTCCAAGATATGGCTGGCCCTAAGATTGTGTTAGCCTTTTGGAAGTATTATCCTTTTTCTTTCTAGTTCAGAAGCTCAGCACGTTGGCCCATTTCAAGTTGCCTCTGATCTTTAACTGCTGCTCCTCAGCCCCTTGGATCCATCCTTGGGGATATTCTCACTGGTCACTTTGCAGAGCTCCCTCAGGCCAAGAACGCCTCCCTCCCTTTGTTTCTACTTAACCCTTGCCCTTCAGGGTGGTGAGGGGCCGTCTTCAGGCTCCCTCCCTTGTAGTCTATTATTACTTGCAGGTGATTAGCAGGCAGGTCCCTTCTAAGCAAAAAGGAACATTGCCCCAGGCACCGCATTCCCATAGGCTCTTGCCATTTTGCTACAAAAGAGAAAAATCGAGCCTTTGAAGAGTGTATATACACTATTCATGTACTTAGAAAGAGAGGAGTGTCTATAAAATTTCAGGAACAGCATTGGATTTTACTCAGTTATCAGACGGCAGAACTCTTGAGTTATGGTTCGGATTGCTTTCAGAATTAAAAAGAAGCAGTTGCCATTTCTAAGCATCTAGTCTTTTAATAAAAGTTTATTTGAGAATTTCTCTCTAGACACTAATCCCCCAACAAGCTGTATTCCAGTGAGACAGAGTGTCCATGAAATATAGTAATTGGAGCTCTGTTGGGCTATTCTTCGTGCAGGGAGAGCTCGCTTAGTGACAGCATGCTGCATTCAGCATTCAGCATTCAGCATTCAGCATTCCACCCGGCGCTCTGGCTACTCATTTGACCGGATGAAAGCTTCCTTCTCTACCTCAATCTTCCAGGCTTTTTTGTCACCT
Source organism: Homo sapiens (assembly GCF_000001405.40). Classification (NCBI taxonomy): domain Eukaryota; kingdom Metazoa; phylum Chordata; class Mammalia; order Primates; family Hominidae; genus Homo; species Homo sapiens. The sequence goes on along the minus strand of NC_000001.11, from coordinate 216,926,776 downwards.
ACACTGCTACCTTCAGATCCCCCAGGGGAAATATTATATGCTTCTTTCAACATCTTGAGCTACTGTCCTCAGCATTAAGTGAAACATTATACTTTTTTTTGTATCTCTATGGCTGCAAGTGCAATGTCCCTCTCAGACCACAAAAAAAGTAGCTAGTTGATTTTCCAGAGTTTTAAATGGCTAGTTTCTCTCCTATTATTTTTCATTGAAAAATAAAATTTTAAAATTAAATGTAACTTTTTCCCCTTCGCTCCTCTGCCAAATAAATATTGCCAAACCATTTGGTCTTTGGACTCCATGGATTCACATTTCATGTGTAAGAGTCACAGGAACGAAACAGGAGTGATTTTTTTTTTTTTTTTTTCATAGGTGTTATCAGTTTTCCTGGGATGGAAAGTGGTTGAGCTGAAGTACCTGTTCCCACAGAACAGGCCAGGGAACAAGTCCTCTGTCTCCTCAGTTTCTTTGGCTCTGGATTTAATTTTTTACTCAGTTATGAGAGTGTGGTGTGTCCCTTAGAGCACCTGGCCAAATTCATCTGATCTGGTGTTTCCCAGGTGTGTGCAGATCTGCGGAAGCAGCAGCTCGAGGGCAGGGGCCTGGCATCTGTGTTCTAATAAGTGCCCGAGGTGCTCCTTTGGGTCTGGCAAGTCTGGAAAACACTGGTCCATCCATCCCAGCGTTTTGCTTGCAGATCTGTACCAGATTTCAGGGCTGTCTGAGGGCTGTGGAGTTGTTTGTGTGGCCTTTTTCTCATGCTCGCTCAGATTGTTTTCTCCTGAGGTGATCATGAACTGTGAAGAGCAGACCCACTTTGGTTTTTTCTGGAGACAGAGTCTAGCTCTGTTGCCCAGGCTGGAGTGCCATGGTGCGATGTTGGCTCACTGCAACCTCCACCCCCCGGGTTCAAGTGATTCTCCTGCCTCAGCCTCCCAAGTAGCTGGGATTACAGGAGTACACCACCACGCCTGCTAATTTTTGTATTTTTAGGAGAGACAGGGTTTTGCCATGTTGGACAGGCTGGTCTCAAACTCCTGACCTCAGGCGATCCTTCCTCCTCGGCCTCCCAAAGTGCTGGAATTACAGGAGTGAGCCACCACACCCAGCCGAGCAGACCCACTTTGAATAAACCAGGAAAAGAAGGAGCATTCCGCCCCCACCCCAAAAAAACAAAAACCCAATCCCTGTCCCCCCAAAAACAGAAAAACCTCAGGGGCATGTTCTTCTCTTGTATTTGAGAATAACCTTAGAAGATATAAAATTGAAATACTCCTTCCGGGAACCGCTGCTGTCTCGCTTGTCTCAACATGTTTGTCATTGTTATTGTTGTTGTTGTTTTTGAGACGGAGTCTCGCTCTGTCCCCCAGGCTGGAGTGTGGTGGCGTGATCTCAGCTCACTGCAACCTCCGCCTCCCGGGTTCAGGCAATTTTCCTTCCTCAGCCTCCCAAGTAGCTGGGACTGCAGGTGCACACCATCATGCCCAGCTAATTTTTGTGTTTTTAGTAGAGACGGGGTTTCACCATGTTGGCCAGGCTGGTCTTGAACTCCTGGCCTCATGATCTGCCCGCCTCGGCCTCCCAAAGTGCTGAGATTACAGGCATGAGCCACCACACTTGGCCAACATGTTTTTATAACAACAGTCATGCAGCCTGTTGAGCCATCCTGTTTAAGTCCCCAAACCTTTGTCTCCCTGCGGGAGAACTGCCTGTGGTTCCTATTGCTTGATAAGGTGGCTCAGAAAAGGGACCTGTTTCAAGGACCTGGAAATCTTCTTGGGTAAATAGTAGCAGATGATACAGAAGAAAACCAGGAAGCTTTGGGGTATGCTGGGGAGAGCTACTAGATGTAAATATGCATCAGAAAGACCATATACTTTTATTATCTATGGAGTAAGTCAGGCTAGGGGCTGAGGAACAATTGAAAAGAGTATCTTGGGTACATAATGAAGTTTTAGAGTTTCTCACCTCACCCGCTACGGCTTCCTGTTTGCCCAAGTCACATTTCCACCCTGTCATAAATACACCGTGGCTGGAGCTGCAAACTCTATCAATAACAACAAAAAGCCATGACATGAGCCTTTCCTGTATTTGCAACACTCTTTGGATTGCCATGGCAACAATAGTTTTAATTATGGAGAGGCAAAATGATAACTTTTATATCAGATGTGGCTCACTTTTCCCTGTGGACAAAACTCTGATTTGAGAGAGGCTTTGCATGTGGATTTTCCTTCTAGGCTGGATTTTATTATCTGCTCTAACAGACAGCTCTTTTGCTTATGGAATGAACCAGAAGAAGCCAAAGCCCTGGCTGAAGGGGCTGCTGGACACTGGCCCTTGTGGAGGCGAATTGGACCCTTTGGTCTCGGAGGCAGCCTGATGTGCTTGTCACATGTGCATTTAAGAACCAAGTGAGCCATTGCTCTCGAGGGCTGCTTTTGGCCTCCCCTTTCAACCAGTGGAAATCTGCATGTTAGGATAGAGACTTGCGTGAAGTATCATCTGGTAATCATCCTTGACAATGTTCAGGATTATGCTGGAGGGACAAACAAGTAATTCCATTGCAGTAGCAGTCATGGAAATATACAAATCATAGCAGCTTTCCAATCAGAGCTGTGGAGGGGGAAATGTGGGAGAGAAAACCTCTTCCTCTGTCTGCTCCCCCTGCCCTTCATTTCTGGATCCACTTGCTCACTCCTCGAATTTCTCTTCAGGTTTGGAAAGGTATCACACCATCTCTAAATAATTCTGGGCTCCCTCATTTTGAAAGCTCTTGCAAAGCTAAATAATCTTCTTCGTAGGTAAACATAAATCATTGTCTACCTTCTTTGCTCCTTGAGTAGACCTTTTGATACATTCATTAATTATGGCCACTGCCTGGTGGTGCAGTAATGGCTGAGTCACTGCCGTGAGCATCTTTCCTGGAACGCTCCCATTTCTGACACTGAACCCGAAAATCCAATTCAGTGTTAAAGAGGCCCTTCATTGTGACACTGGACAGCCAGGTGGTCAGGCAAGTAAAAGAAATATGCCTGAAAAATGCAGCAGTGTGGTTGTAGGAGTGAGGGTTGGAGAAAGCGGATGCATGGAATGTTGATGGAATGATGCTGTCCTTAAAACCTGCTGCCACTGTTTCTAATCTCTGGCAACCTCTGGAATAAGATCTTGATCCTCTGCTCGGATCTGCCGACTCCACCAACAGTCCAGTTAATCACAATCCCAGCTTTTGAAGGCTAGAATGCCCATGCAGAACTATGGAGTAACAGGCACCATGGTTCTCATTTCTAATCCTTTCCCACATTATTTTTTTGAAAAAAAAAATGCAGAAAAGTCCCGATTTTTGGTAAATCTTGCTTAACGAATGACACAGTCTCTGTGTTTGTTTTGTTTCCATATTCAGGGAGCTTTGCAGCTATGATTTTGATTTTGGAGTTTAGGCATGTTAATTAAGCCTTTGTATGAAAGCAGAGGGGTTCTGTTTCTTGTTTGTTAGTTTAATAAGATTTAGTGTTAAGAATGGCACTGAGAATCTGTCAGAATTAGCTTGGCTGCATATGTGTAGCTCAGCGCTTTGAGACCCTTGAAATGTCTGTTTTTAGGACATAAGCAGGGGGCTAATGAAAAGGCTTTGTTGATTTTAACGAATTGCAAGCCACTGTAGCCAAAATAAATATAATCTGCTTTTTGGATTAGTTGTCACAGATGATTTTACCTACTAACAGTGATTAAAGAACCCGAGTGGACCAGAAGCATAGCTGCTCTCTGGTGACTCTTGTTAAAATAGCAATAAACAGAAGTAAATAAAGACTTAGGGCATAGTTATCTTTAATAAACAGTGACAACAAATATACAGTGTGCAGGCGTGAAAGGGTAGGAGTGGAGGCTTAGGGAAGACTGGGGTGTCAAATACCCGTATGGCGCACAACAGTATGGCTCTTGCTGCCACAAAAACTTGCAATTGTTAACAACAACAGAAAACCCACAGGAAACACTAAAGTGCTTGCTGGTATTGTTCATGTGTTGCAGTTGTGGTTCATTAGAAAGTGGTTAGAAACCCAGGGCTATCTTCTTGTTTCCCAGCTCCTTTTCCAAAGCCAATCCAATTCATTGCCATTCTGCTCTCATCTTCCTTCGGACTCGGGGACCAAAGTTGAAATCCTGCAACTATAGGATTAGAGTATGAAAATGAAGGAAGTGTTAATTACTTGTGTAATTATTAACCTTCTTGCTGCAGTAATTCTACCTAGTTAATGAACAGGCAACCAGCACTATATCCTTCTTTGTATTTTTCTACCCTGATGAAAAGAATGACTTGCCCCCATGGACAAATATGATCCTTAGATTTCCCCAGGAAAGTCTCAGTCTTGGTTTTCCCTCATTACTGCTTAACTGCAACTCGAACTAAAAAGGTTGTGTCTGAAACCCTCTTAGGCAGGGCCTGGGAGTGCTGGCTGAAAGTTGCCTTTAGTAGCCAGAAAAATTATCAGGTGAGAGAAGCTACAGTTTTTCCTATTATTTTTAATTTTATCTAATGTTTTAAAAAATGCTGTGTACGCTTCATCTGTGATGGCAAATCAAGTGACAGTCAGAGCCTTCCTTAGCTTCTCTTTGCCCTGGAGGGTAGATATTATTGTATCTGTTTACAGAGGCAGAGACTGGTGTGCCCAAGGTCCATGGTGAGACATAGAGAGAACCAGCAATAGATCATGGCCTTCCAGTTAGTTCCTGGTGGTAACCGCGGTGTTATCCCACTGTTGACTGGCCCAAAGCAGTGCACACCCACTCACAGTTTCAAAGATTACAACCTTCACCCTCCAGAACTAGTAGCTGTCATTATTAAGGTTTTACCATGTGCCAGGCACTGTCCATTATAGATAGCATGCCATTTGATAATGCACAATAAATGTGTTCATCTCATAAATATTTCTTGAGTGATCCCAAGTACCAGGTTCTGCCTTAGAGATGCAGCAGGGAATAAAATTAATACAAATTGCTGCCCTCCTGAAGTTTTTATTCCAGTGGAAGGAGTTAAGACAATAAATGCAATATATTTTAAAAAATTCATTGTATTAGAAGGTGGTAAGTGCCATGGAGAGAAAGCAGGAGAGTAGAGTTGCAATTCAAAATAAGATGAGTGTAAAAGCCCCACTGAGCAGGTGATCCTGGAGCAGAGACTTGAAGGAAGTGAGTGAGCAGCCACCTAGGTGTCTGGGGAAGAGTGCAAAGTGAAGAAGTGCAGAGGCTGTCACCAGAGTGCCGTAGGAGGGTTGGGGGCTTCAGAGTTAATAAGAGGTCAAGTTCGTAGGAGTTCGCAGTCCATTGTCAGGAACGTGTCCTTTACTCTTTGGGAGATGGGGAGCCCTTGGGAAGTTTTAGACAGAGTCTTGGCAGTATATCTCTTACATTTCAAACCTTGAGAAGTAGGTAATGTTATCCTCGTCTTACCGATGGAACACAGAGGGAGCGCAGAGTAAGTTCAGTTAAGTACTTGAAAAAAGTCACCATGCGACTAAGAGGCAGAGAACACACTGTCTTACTCCTCCACGCTTCTACTACTCTCCACCTCCTGATGAAAGATGTGTCTGGTATCTACGTGATGTCTTTCTTACCATCAAATGGGAAAAAAATCTTGCCAACTTTATTTTTTAGATGATATACTCTTTGAATATCTGGATTCAAAGTCATGTAGTAATTGGACCATTCAGGATACCATTTGCATCATTAAGTTTAGTTTCCAAATGAGACAGCAGAACTTAGGGAAATCTTTAAGTTGGGTAAAACTGCTTGAGGTCACATAAGCAGGTAGTGTTGGGTCTGGGATTTAAACTTAGTTCTGCTGCCCAACTCTGAGTCGTGTGCCTTGCTCACAGCATAATGCTGCCTCTACAACACTAATAATTTTAGACACTAAGATGCGTTAAACATATGTAGCGAATGAGATGCCTGTAATAGTGACCTTTTCATGCAGCTCCTTCCCTCAACTTCTTCCTTCATGTTCCAGGACAGATCCTGGGGCAGATGTTCAGTTATCTGCTGGATCATATTGACATTCTGTAGCTAGAAAAGGCAGCAGTGTAATAAGTGAAAGCATTGTGTTGAAGTAAGTGTTTGGGGACTGTCCTTAGATTTCATTTGTCTCGGGAATGTATTTTCCAAATCCTACAAACCACCACAAGATGATATAAGTCTCTTTCTTTGTACATCAGTAACAATCTATTCTGGCTTGTTTCTTTTATGGTGAACTTGAAAGATAAAAAGACGTCATTAAATATTCTCATCTAATTCTTATAATGAATGTGAAAGGCTGTGCCATGGCCAGCAAATGCAGGCACACAATTGTCCCTACAGAAAAATATGCGCACACACACACACACACACACACACACACACACACACTCCCATACATTCACACACAACTAGAGTTCTCTATTTTCTAGGTCTTCTTTGTAATTTTGACTCATGTTGATTATCTTGATCAACTCTATTTGAATGATTTAAATCATTATTTTCCCTGACTGGAGTCCATACCAGCTTCTGGACATGACTTTTTAAAGAAGGCTTTACGTCCACAATCTTTAGAATTTTGACAGACTAAACAAACACTTTTTGTAGTGCGAGCACAGCATTGCTCTTTTCCTTCACTAAATAACTTTGCATTTCAACCTTGTATTTTCTGTGAAGGAAACACTGCCATGTGAATGAATGATATATTATACAACTTCATCTTGCTGCAGGCAAGTTCTTCCCCAGTGCATTTCTGATGTTCTCTTGTATCGTAGTGCTACCCTTTTGTAGGCTTCGCCTGGCATCTGCCACCATTTCCCTGAATAACATAACAAGATGCCAGTGATACTCAGTCTTAGACTTATTAGAATAAAATTTAATGCAGGTGCTCTGTTCATTTTCCATTGACTCTTACTTGGGTGTCTGGCATTTTGAAATAAGAGGAAGTAATTATCTTGTTCTCCTACCATACACTGACAGGTGGGACGGACCCAAGCAAAAGCATGGTTCTGCTTAAAATTCAAATTAACACCCGGGTCAGGTCTGTAGTGGTATGGAAACATGATATTTCTCCTCCATGCAAGACTAATTCGGATATGCAATGCAAGTTTTTCTTGTCTGATTTCTAGAGAGGGGGCCTAGCTATGGTGATAGGCTGTTTGTTTTTTCCTTGAATTCTGTAAGAGAAGAATAAATAGAAAATATTCTGTTTTAATGCGTTATTGAAGAAGCAACTTTGTTTACTAGAAAACATTGTTAACCTAGCAACGGATTTATACTGGTTGGTGTTCAAATTTCAGAGTTGCTTTTCAGCCCAAGCCTGAGTGTTCTAGCTGTATGATTGGTCTCCTCACCAAAGCCTTTGAAATATGATGTTTCTCAGCTCAACCCCGGAAGTGCTGTTCCTAAAATGATTAACATTTTGACAAATTGAATATAAAATTATCCGTGCCACATGGATGACATTTTCTCTATGAAGGGAAAGACTAGTATCCCTTGCTTAGCAGGTGACTTGGAATTAGCAAACCCTTGGCTCTAGGAGAAAGAGCATGAAACCAGAGCCAATGAGCACGTGAGGCCTCCCGTTTGTGAGTTTCAAAGTTATGGCAAGCTAATTTCCCATAGTTTCCTTAGTGGCTGGATATAAGTACTTTTACTCTGAAATGGAAACATTAGATAAGGAAGTGAATTTATACAGGTTTACATTCTTTGAAACTGACATAAAAATATGTAACAGCTAATACCAGATATTAAGTATTATCATTAATATTTTTTGTAGTTTATAAAAGTTATATTATGCATTTGATATTCATAAGTGTGTGATGCAGGTAGTATAAGCATCATTATCCTCATTTTTTAGATTAATAAATGAGTTCAGAGTTTATCTGATTATATATATATACACATATCTATAATATATATATTATTATATATATATCTACGATCAGAAATGTTACTCTGGTTTTCAGGTTCTCTGATTTCAAATATAGGGATTTTTAAACAATATAACCTTGACTTTTATAAATTTTTTTATTTTTAGCTAACATTCTGCTTTATTATAAATATTTTAAAATTTTAACTCAAAGCACAATCAGTTTATCACTGAAATTTGAGTTATGGAAAGGTTCCATTAGGTCATTATCGTCTTTATTTTTAAATCTCATAGTGAAAAGTTAAATAATAGTAGAGAACAGGAAGAAGTCTCTAGAGACAGGAAGAGGATTTGATGAAGTTTGCATGTGAGGAATAAGCTGAGCATGTATATATCTATGTAGAGAAGCTTGCACTATCTAGAATTATAGAGAAGAAAAATTTGCAATTTGTTTCAGCCTTAAAAATAGGTAACACATAGCAGGCTTATTTTCCCCACACCAGTTTATAGAGTTGAGGCAGAATCAGATGACCGAGACAGCAAGGTGTTCCTTTGAAAGAGAGAGCAGGGCACATATTGCTTTTCCAAACTCTCTGTGTACATACAGCTGATTCCATTCATTAGCACATTTAACATGAAGAATATGAGAATGTGGAATACTTAAAATAACCTTAAAAGTCCATATTTGAAAAGAGGAATTTTCCCAGGAGTAAACAAAATTAACTGTCCCAGAAGCTGATGTTTGGAATTGAATTACAAATGCCTTTGTAGATTTTAAATTTCGCAAAACATGTTCTAGCATCATTTAAAAATAACAACTTTAAAGGGCTCATAAATAAAGACATAAAAGGCGTTTTGACATTTAATACAAAAACAGCATTTTGATGAACTGGGTAAAAATGAATCAGAGACATATGGATTACATATTTCTTATAGTGCGCCTGAGTTTTAAAATTGAGGCAGTGGAAATCTGGCAAAATATTTTTGGGGAATTTGCTACATATACTATATTTAAAAAGAGGTGAAGATGAACTCCAGACTACTATGATTGCTCATGACATTGAATTTGATAACTTTTAATTTGCGGATAAGAAATTCTTGTGAAATAGCTCAATCTGTCTATGTGTTGTAGAAGTGAGTGGTTGGAGACAGTGAGTACCAATTCATTTGATCACATAATCGTTCAACAAACACACAATGCCAGGTTCTGTACTAGGTACTGGGGTGACTTCTATGATGGCTAACGTGAACTGTGGACTCTGCTCTTGTGGGAAAGGTAGACAGTTGTAGGAAGGGACTCACAAATTTCTGGGTGTTACAAATTCCAAATACTTTGGGATATATGAAAGAGACCACTTACAGAGTATTTACTGGGTGTCAGTCACTGTGCTAACCACATCACATTCATTATCACGTTTAACTGTGAGATCTCTATAAAATAGGAATTATTATTTTCCCTTTTAATGGATGAGAAACATAACATCAAAGTGTACAGATCAGGTGACTTGTTGCGTGTCAGTGGTAATTGGCTACATTGGTTGCTCACAGTGAACCATGTCTTTTATACTCACACTCGTATAGTCACTACTCCTTGAATCAAGGCTGGCCCTGGGATTCACTTTAACCACTAGACTGTGTCAGAAATGATCTCGTTCCAGTTCCAGACCTAAGCATTAAGTAGACCTGGCAGATTTCACTTCTGTAATCTTGAAAGCCCTGTCACCTGGTAAAAAAAAAAAAAAAAAGAAAGTCTATTTATGCTGCTGGAGAGACTGTATGCTGAGACTGTGTAGAGAGACACAGGAAGAGGGAGAGACCCTGAGATTCTAGGGGAGGAGAGAGAGAGGTTCAATTGAGCCCAGATCCCAGCCAACTAGCCAGCTGAATGCAGCCACATGAGCAACCACCAGTAAGATGAACGGAACGGTGCCACTGAGCCCCGCCCAGATTATGGACTCCTGAGCAAATACAATGGTAGTTGTTTATAACCACTGAGTTTTGGGTGGTCAGTTACATAGCAAAAAAAAAAAAAAAAAAAAAAAAAAAAAAAAAAAAAAAAAAAAAAAAAAGACCAAAGCTGAGTGGAATTTGAACCCAGATCACCCTGGCTGTAATGTATGTATATTTTTTCTCACTGTGTTTGCTCATGAGAGGAGGGTGAGGAGTGGAGGAATGGGATCCCGTGGTATTTGAGCACTTCTCAAAATGGTCTACATCTGACATGAATGAATTCTGAAAAAGAAAATGTTAGAAGACTCTTTACTTTGTACTTTAGAGGAAAAGAGGAACACAGCAGTGGTATAGGACCCATCCCCAGGGCCTTCTTGCTGCGCGTGCCTGGCGGTGCATGTATCAGAAAGAACATGAGCATGTGTCCCCAAATTCTCATTCCTCATCCTCTTCCTGGGCAAATGCCATGTAAATGTTTGTATTGACTTTATTTAGAATTATCAAACTAATAACGGATGCTAATGAATTCCTGTCTTTCACTTGGGAGTTTGTAAAGTTAGCACTGACAGGAACTTTGAAAAGTACACAATTCAACACACACATACACACATGCGGGGCATGATGAACGGTGACATGAAACAAATGGTGATCAAAAGATTTGAAACAGGGGCAGCATGCAGCGGTCAGGGAGAGCTGAGGGTCCCTGGCTGATAACACAGGGGAGCACTTGAAATGATAATTTTCTGGCAAGTCCACGTTTGAAGTGATGTCATCTTTTTTATTCTCTCAACTCAATTGCTTCTCTGAAGCTCATTCTTTCCATTCTGATGAGGAGCAAAAATGTTACATCAAAGGTTAATGCTTGAATTGGGGCTGAAAGGGAGAGGAGAGTGGGTGGGCACATGTACACACACACACACAGTGGTAGAGAAAGAATCACAAATGACTAAAAGTTCTTAAAAGTACGATATAAAGGAAGATAGCCATCTTCCTCCCTCCCGTGGCGAATAGTTCACAAGATCTCCTAGAGTTTGGATGTGAACTGTCACACTGCATGCCAACGAGGGTACTATCACTGGCTGTTTCCTTTGGAAGCCCAAGGTAGTACAGTGTGTGAAGAAGGACGCTGTGATACCATCAGCACTTCTGGTGCACACAGCAAGCTCCTGATTTGCCGAAATAGACATTCCTGGGTTCTTTTCTCAGCATTACCTGGATGTCAGTTAACACTGCTCTTTTTCCAGTCTTCCTCGGGAGACTGTCTTCAGTAGATGCAGCCTTGCATCCTGTGCATCTGCTACTGTAACAGCGGTTCAGATTTCTCTTTGTAATCAAGTACTCATTTCCAGGGTTTGTTTGTTTGTTTGTTTGTTTGTTTTAGCTATCTTGGCTGTTTTGGGTTGGATGGTAGATTGATTTGATTTTGTATGAATGCAAAATGTTGTGTTCAAAGTGTTGAACTTTGAATGTTCAAAGTGTTGAAAGAGCACCTTCTCCCTTCTTCCTCTCCACCCCATCTGCAGCCTCCTTAAGGAGAGAGGAATGTGTGGTGGTTTTTCTCATAGGTTGTTTTTTCCTAGGTTGTGGTGGCATATTTGGACTCTTCATGCCAACCAACAGATGCGAGGGTGAGGGACCACCTGGCTCTTGGGCATCCTTTCAGATGCAGAGCAGTGGTGACCTTGCTGCTTTATGTATCTTCTTTGTCTTCTTCAAGTTGCCCCACACAGTGGTGAGCCAGAAGCTTCCTGGGTAACTAGTAACCACAGAATGTGTGCTGCAATTCATGAGGTGGTGTGGCAATCTCTGGCAGTCACACCAAGGGAAATCCAGCAGATGGAAGAGATTCTGGGGACCCTCCCATGTTTACTGATGGAGAGTTGAGGGAGAAATTTGGAAATCGTGTACATACTTTGGCACACACTGGTGACTAGCAGTACTATTCTCCCTCCAGTTTCTTCAACTTATATTTAGATCTTTGAATAAAGGTCTGGGAAACTAGTACTTAAAAACAAATCCCTCCTGTGCTGTGAACATTTTTTCAGAGCCTGAGACTTCTGGATGGAGTAAGGAAAGAGGTAAAGGGTATGTTTCCTGTTGCCTGTCTGTCTTTTGAATCCCTCTGTCCTCCGCCCAGACAGTGGTTATGGTGGCCAGTGCTTCATAGACTGCATTAGGATGGGAGAGATGGTGACCTCATGCAAATGGTCAGCACTGCCAGATTATTATGTTGAGCATCAGGAACACTGGCATCAGGTACGCTACTGGCTTGGCAGAGGAGGTATCAAGGGGTAACATGTGCAAGATCAAACCACTGGCACTATTAAGTGAGCACTTTTGAAAATTGTACAATTCAGTTTCTTTTGGTAATGTCAGCAGACAATTGGACATGTTTACATGGTCAAAGTCTTTTTTTTCATACTGAGATGTTTTATGTGAGCGTTCCTTCTGAGAAATGCTGAAAATTTTTAGAGAGTTGCAGGGCCACTGATGGTTTGAAAAATGGCCTCTTAGCAATGTGTTTAACTTACAATGGGAAAAAGAGTGAGCATTTTTATAAGTAACATTGTATTTCATTTGTGTGATGAGGCTCATATAACAATCAATGTTAAATATGCGATACTACACTAGAGTCAAGTACACATATGAATATGCTGCTAATACTAATAAAAAACCAGAATTTTCCTCTTCAGGAAACATTACAAATATTTGTTTATTAATCCCCCGTGTCAGAGCTGAGATTAGAACTCAAGCTTTTCCTGCCAAAGGATTCGCTTTATCTTCAGCTGATAGCAGAGCTCATGGAAATAGCAGTACAGGAAGACAGTGTAAAGTTAAAAAAAAAGGATGGGGGGAGGGGGAGCTAATATGATTTTTAAGAACTTGAAATAGGTTTTTCTTGACCAGGACCTACTGGAATGAACTTTTCCGGTACTTTCCATGTTGTCATTTCTGTTTGCAAAAATAATAATGTAGTTTGCTGTTTATTAGTATAGAAATAAAACGCATTGATTTTTAAAAATTTTCTCCTCATCCTAATTCCCCTAGATATAACTGTGGACCTCTCAAAGTCAGAAAAGGGTAAAAACCTTGCAACTACTGCTGTAATTATAATGATAGCTAATTTCTCAGGCTTCCTCAAGGTTTATAATTATCATTAATAACAATGACTTACAGCATATAGAGTTTTATACATTGTAAAGTGCTTATCACACGCACTACATCATTTGATATTCATAACCACCTTCTGAGGTAGACAGGGAAGCTATTTTTATTCCCATCTTAGAACTAGGAAACAGATGCAGCACGCTTGAGGAATCGGCAAGGGCCGTAGAGTGAGTAAGCTTGGAAAAAGTGCAGCGCTCACGCTTGGACCCACGTCTCCTATCTTCGAAGCCACAATCCACTGATTATGTGAAGCAATAATGATACATTATTTTAAACCCTAAATATTAAACATAATGTTTTCTACACTTTCCTTTGATATCATTGGAAAAATATAAATATAAAGGATGCATATTCATTCATTCCTCAGTATCCATGAAGGATTGTTTCCAGTAGCCACCCCCACCCCCGACCGAAATCCATGAATACTCAAGTCCCTGATATAAAATAGTGTAATATTTGCATGTAACTATGCACATCCTCCCATATACTTTAAATCGTCTCTAGATTTCTCAATATAATGTAAAACTATGTAAGTAGTTGCTATAATGTATTAGTTAGGGAGTAATGACAAGGAAAAAAAGTCTGCACATGTTGAGTAGAGATGCAACTATTCAATTTTTTTCAAATATTTTCGTTTTTCTGTCTTTCTTTCCTTTTTTTTTTTTTTTTTTTTTGAGACAGAGTCTCGCTCTGGAGTGCAGTAGTGCGATCTCGGTTCACTGCAACCTCCACACCCTGGGGTTCAAGTGATTTTCCTGTCTTAGCCTCATGAGTAGCTGGGATTACAGGCATATGTCACCACGCCCAGCTAATTTTTGGTATTTTTAGTAGAGACGAGGTTTCATCATGTTGGCCAGGCTGTTTTTGAACTACTGGCCTCAAGTGATCCACCCACCTCAGCCTCCCAAAGTGCTGGCATTATAGGTATGAGCCACCATGCCCAGCCTCAAATATTTTCAATTAATGGTTGGTTGAATCCAGGGATGTGGAACCCAAGGATATAGAAGGCTGACTGTGTGTATATATATGTAATTGTGTGTATAATGTATTCAATAAAATATATACCTATATATGCACACACACAGTGTCAGATGGACATACCTCATGATTTGTAAAGTATTATTGTATCAGTAGTATCTAATTGAACATGTAGTAGGTGCTTATTTAATAGGATGTAATTACATATTATTTACTAGTATGAATAAAATCACAAATGTGTTTGGGGAGGGACAGATGTAAAAGAGACTGACTTGAGTGAAGATATGTGTATCCCCCAAATATTTAAAAAATATAAATAAGCACAAGGAAAATAGGCTTTGACATTACACAGGCCTACATTTGAATCCTACTACTGCCATCTTGAATGACTGTAAGACTTCAGGGAAATTAATGTCCTTTTTTCTTTACCTTTCCTTTCCTTCCCTCCCTCCCTCCCTTGCTTCCTTCCTTCTTTCCTTCCTTCCTTCCTTCTGTCCTTCCCTCCTTCCCTCCTTTCCTCTCCTCCCCTCTCCTCCCCTCCCCTCTCCTCTCCTCTCCTCTCCTCTCCTCTCCTCTCCTCTCCTCTCCTCTCCTCTCCTCTCCTCTCCTCTCCTCTCCTCTCCTTTTCTTTTCTTTTCTTTTCTTTTCTTTTCTTTTCTTTTCTTTTCTTTTCTTTTCTTTTCTTTTCTTTTCTTTTCTTCTTTTTTTACAGGGTGGGTCTTGCTCTGTCTCCCAGGCTTGAGTGCTGTGGGACAATCTCAGCTCACTGCAGCCTTGACCTGCCAGGCTCCAGCAATCCTCCCACCTCAGCCTCCAGCAATCCTCCCACCTCAGCCTCCTGAGTAGCTGGGACTACAGGTGCACATCACCACACCCAGCTAGTTTTTTCTGTGTGTTTTTAATAGAGTCAGGGTTTCACCATGTTGCCCAGGCTGATCTCAAACTCCTGAGCGCACGTGATCCACCTGCCTCGGCCTCCCAAAGTGCTAGGATTACAGGCATATGCCGCCACACCCAGCCTGTCTTTTCTTTTTTTAATAGACTTTAGGTTTAGAGCAGTTTTAGGTTGACAGCAAAATTGAGAGGAAAGTACAGAGAGTTTCCATATACCCCTCCCTGACACTAGCACAGCCTGCTCCATTATCAGCTTCCCCTACCAGAGTGGTACATTTGTTACGATTGATGAACCTGCACTGACACATCATTATCACCCAAATCCAAAGTTTACAATAGCATTCTCTCTGGGTGTCGTGCATTCTAGGAGTTTGGAAAAATGTACAATGACATGTAGCTACCATTATAACATTATACAGAGTAGTTTCACTGCCCTAAATATCCTTTGTGTTGCACCTATTCTTCCCTCCTCCTTGCCCAACCTCTGGCAGTCAATGATCTTTTAATTGTCCCCACAATTTTGCCTTTTCATATTATTGGAATCATATGATGTGTGCCATTTAAGGTTCCACATTTAAGGTTCCTCCATGTCTTTTCATGGCTTGATAGTTCGTCTTTTTAGCACTGAATAACAGTCCAGCGTCTCGATGTACCATAGTTTATTTATCCTTTCACTTACTGAAGGACATCTTGGTTGCTTTCAAGTTTTGGCAATTAAAAATAAAACTGCAATAAACATCTGTGAGCAAGTTTTTGTATGAAAATAAGTTTTCAACTGTAATGTACTTTTGCCAAGCTTTTTTCCTTTTCTTTGCAACTGTTAAATAACAATTAAAAGGCCTACAAGATAAGATGATGTATATTAAATAAATAAATGTAGAATAAACATGTGTAAAGTGCACTGTACTGAAAAATTATTCAATAAATGATTACTACTAATAAACTAAAGTAACAGATGTATGGACCTAACGTTTATGTTGAAGTGTAGAGTTACCTGTGCTTGAATATTTGCTTTCTAATGTAGACATGCCTATAGTCTCAAAGCTTTCTTAGTAGTGATCTTTGCAATTCATCTTTTCAGAGTCCAATTCTTATCAATGTACACAGGCAAGTTTTTAATATAGTAAAAATCCTATTAAGGAGTGCTTCACTTCACACATTTGGTTGGCCCCACCAATAGAGTCTCCATATAGTCAGTGATGTATAATGCCATGCCCCTCATCGTAACAAAGAAAGCATTGTCGGCCCCATTTCCTGACATCAAGAGTATAATAGCCTTCTGTCAAACTTATTCAATAGTGTCCTATTTATTAGAAATGCCAAATTTTTATCCTCTGTCCAGTCCTGTGACTTGTGCTGAATTAATGTGAATTGCTTTTGTAAGGTCAAGGCTTTTATGAAAATATAGTGAAAGTTTCAAGGAAGGTGGTGATGGCAGATTTTTCTTTAATTCATTGGAGTGCTTGTAATAAAACTAATGAATGGAAAGGACTGAACACTTTCAATTAGCGGCGTATAGTAAAATCCTAAAAATAATTAGTGGCTGAGATGATGTGCAGTTATTTAAAAATACTGTTTCTAGTTTGTAAGGATCTTGGTTTAGTTTGCTTTGGAATCAAGCCATGTGAGAGAGAGAAAAACCCACAATGTATGCGTGTGTGTGTGTGTGTGTATGTGTGCCTGTTTGTGTGTGTGTGTGTGTTTCAGCCAAACTTTTTCATTTTCATGCAATAATATAATGGATAGTAACTAATGGTTTTTAGTATTTTATTACTTGACAATTTTTTTCTTATATTCATATAAACTCATTCCTTACAACACTGTAAGGTTAGTATTATTATTCTATTTATCTTAATGAGGAAATAGGATGTATCTGATTGAAATTATCCCCTTTAAGTTTATATAGCTAAAATGTTTTAAAAATCAGGGAGTTAAGCCAGGTTTTATGACTCTACATCCAATGTTCTTTGTTCTGAATCACATTCATGTTTCTGGGTTCTTTTGTTTTTGTTCATTTGTGGGTTTTGCTTGTTGTTATTAATGGTGCTAGTTTCATTTCTGAAAAGAGCCCATAACAATTTAGTGCTTTTAGGTTTAATTGAATCTGTCCCTCAGATCTCTATTCAACAAATAGTGGTTCTGATAACATTTACTACGTGCCTAATATATTGGGTGCCTAGTATAAGCTTTGTGCTTGGTCTAGGAAGTCACAGATAAATTAGGTAAGGAGGCCGGGCACGGTGGCTCACACCTGTATTCCCAGCAATTTGGGAGGCTGAGGTGGGTAGATCACTTGAGGCCAGGAGTTTGAGACCAGCCTGGCCAACATGGAAAAACCCTGTCTCAACTAAAAATACAACTGTACTCCAGCCTGGGTGAGAGTGACACTTTATCTAAAAAATAAATAGATAAACAAACAAATAAATAAATAAATTAGATAAGGCTTTTATCCTCAAGGAGTGTTTAGTGTACCTTATGATGTCAGTTCTTTCTGGCCTAGTGTTACCTGATGGGAACTGGTTACTATCCATGGTATTGTGATTTGGTAACTCATAACCACCAGGCCACTCCCTGTGCTCTTACTTTCATAGACAGGGGAGGGCTGTAGAGGTCTTGGTGAAAACTGAAATTTTGTGAATCTAAATTGCATGTGCTTTTGATTGAGATTTTATAGTTATCACTGCCTCATAGATGATGATATTCTTCACATATACATTTGAAGGCACCCAGTGAAATATTATTACCGTCAGTTTAGAGTCTAAGGCTCAACAAAGTCACACCATTGGGTCTCATTTTCCTTTTCTGTAAATGTGATCTAGTCAAATGTTTCTCAGAATTTCTACCCATGTACTCGAAAAGTAGAGGTCGAGGAAATATATGTGTGCTTTGTGAGGATCTGGCCTGAAATGACCAGTAGCAAACAAAAAAAAATTTTTAATCCCCTCTTTATCTGTTGTATGCATGTGAAATTTGCATTCTACTCCATAAAATATGTTTTAATATTGAAAAAAAATTGTTCCCTAAACCCAAATTTAAGAGCGAAATCTGTGGTGTAGAGGATGCTCTATGTTTTTTTTTTTTTCTAGGAGTGTGTACCCTACGGCACATTGCCTTGTACCTAGGGAGTGCCCAACAACATTAGGTAAATTCCAAGTCCTTCCAGGTCTCACTATTCTGTTATGTGATCTTGTGTTTTGCCCAATATTTTAGTTTGTCTTTCTTTGTTCTCTCTCTTTTTGTCCAATTCATTATCTTACTTTACTCCAAGATGATTTGAGGGGACTCTCACAAAGACATATGGTATAATCTAAAACCTCTGAAAATCAGGGTTAAAAAAGCAGACTGTCCTAGCAAGCTGAAATTGGTGTGTGTGTGACAATACCTATATTATGGTCCTGCAAATTTGCTGGAAATAGACAATTGATTTGGCTCTAAACTGCTTCCCAGCACCAAAATTCTCAGCCCTAAATTTTTGCCTTGTCTGCGTGATCCACTCTTAGGAGAATCCCAGACTATCCTAGCCCTGACGTCTGAGGGCAATTTCTCCTTTGGGTACACATAAGGTGGACATGCTCTGTAATTGCCAACCATCCTGATTAACACTCCCATGGCAAAGTCCATGCAGAGTGCTGTTTGCCTGCCTATGATAGCTTCCCTCAGGAAAGCTGGAGGATATAATACCAAGACACAGTGGGCAGACCTCATCCCAGGGTTTCTGCCAGCAAGTCCACTGTGACTTCCGACAAGGATGGATTATACTCTTGTTTCTTTTCCATCCAAATAGCATTCTGGATAGAGTTGAGAGAAATTTGTAATAATATTTTCAATGTACTGTTTTTCTCATTAGGAAAGAACATGAATAAGTTGGAATTTTAATGGTGAGCCTTTTAATAAGCAGTGCTTATAATTTATTATTCTTCTTAAGATTTTATTCATAGTCTTACAATCTTAATAAAAATAGACATAAAAAAGAGGTTTTGGCTTCTCCCTGTGGAATATGTTTTAACATAAGAGAAGAAGGGTACATTTGCACAGGGGACTCAGAAAGGGTGATCTCGATTCTTTGTGCCTGGCTTCCTTTAGATAGATGTGAATTAGAGCCAGCAAGAACAAGAAATACGTCAACCGGCATTGTTCTGATCAAACACTCTTTGAAACTTTTGATTTGATGGGGGAGGTGTCTTAGATTATGCACTCTTTAAAAAGATGCATCTAGAATTTAGATATGCCTGGTATATTCTATTTTGCACACATAGTAAACCACATGTGATTTCAAGTCTGTGAGCTATCTACTGGTGGTGGTAGTTACAGGGGTACAAGGGAAGGCGCTATTCCTTGGCTCTTCAGCGAGGCCAATAGTAGTGATAAAAAATTACACAGGATTACTTAACCATACTTGTTCATTTTGAAGTAGGCTCACAAATTGCTGCTAAGCCCTCACTGTTCATCTACAGTCCTTTTTCCCAGTTCCAGACGTTTGATCACAAGTGCGGCATCTCCCTCCTAATGCTGTGCAGGTTGATAAAACAGTTGCCGAGCCGGAATCCCTAAAGAAATTATTAATTATCTGGTTAATGTGCATCAGGCTGTGGGAGTGTGAGATTAATCACCAGCAGTGGGATGAGTTGCTGAAGTGGATTTTGGTTTTTTGTCTCCTGTCACTCGGTAATGGCTTTTCCTTCCTTCACCATCAGGTGAACAGGTGCAGAGATGCTGTATTTTCATTTTCCCAGAGTCAGTAACAGCCGGTGGCCAGGCGATGCCTTTTCCTCAGTCCTGCTGCATGAGCAGTTTACAACGTAGAGTATTACCTACTCAGAATATTCCAGCTCTTGGAGATTCTCCCAGTGTGACGGGTCCTACCCCAACTTTTTCAGTGTTCCAAATTAATGCACATGTCCACACACATCCCCACCATATACACTCACATACACAAATATATACACATGTGCAGACAGTTATCAATATATACAAAAAACATTAACAGCACCTCTGGATGCTATGCATGAATTCATGCTTAGCACTTTATCTCATTTCTTGTTTTAGAAACATGATCTTTATCTCTAAATGTACAAAAATAAAAAGGGAACCAATGTGTTGAACTACTTCTTTAAGAAAGAGAAAGCGAAGTTCTATACTAGTCATTTGGATGTAGGTAATATTACAAAAATTCCCTGGATTCTTTCTTTACTTTCTCTCTTCTAGGTGTTGGGTCCCATGTCCTAGGAAATAATCTTCATTCAGGTCAATCACTAGTGTGTGACATTAATCTTTTCATTATGATAAGTGTATTTTCACAATGCCCATCTTTTGTTTCCAGGATGTTAATGTGTCTTGGAGTCTATGAGGCAATTTGGCTGGTAGGGAGGGAAGTAGGAGGGAGAGTGCATCCCTAGGGTGAGGCACGGGAGGGCTTTGCTGTTCAATTGAGGCTGTACTTTCCTGGCCATATGTCTGATGGACAAAGGCCCAAATAGCCGGTAGATGCTGGAGGATTGTGTGGGTTGGGAGAGTACAAGTCACCACTTAGCCTCTCCCTCCACCTTAGTCTGGAGACTGAGATTTTTTTCAGGAGCATATTCTGCTGCTTCACAGTCATGTTAAGGAAATAAAACTATCAGCAGCACATTGATTTTAGTTTATTATATTTATATAGAGTTTGATAGTTCTTCTCTTTCATTTTAGATAAATGAAATGGAATGGAGGGGATATATAAGGGAAAGGTAGAGAGCTCGCTAGTTCAAACTAAGAAAAAGTCTGAAATGTCAAGTTTAAGAAAGTATGTTTTGTTAATCACTAGTACATACTGTGCATATCCTCAAATTGTTTCTAGGTAGAGATCTTTCAGAAACTTCTTTAACAGCGCTGAGCACAGTGGCTCATGCCTGTAATCCCAGCACTTTGTGAGGCCAAGGTGGCCAGATTGCCTGAGGTCAGAAATTTGAGACCAGGCTGGCCAATATGGTGAAACCCTGTATTTACTAAATATACAAAAATTAGCAGGGCGTAGTGGCATGTGCCTGTAGTCCCAGGTACTCAGGAGGCTGAGGCAAGACAATCACTTGAACCTGGGAGGCGGAGGTTGGAGGTTGCAGTGTGCTGAGATTGCTCCACTGCACTCAAGCCTGGGTGACAAAGTGAGACCCTGTTTCAAAAAAAGAAAAGAAGAAGAATAAATTTATTTAACAGGTATATTAGTATTTTGTAATTAATTTTCCTTTAATAAATAGTTTTTGGAGTCTACTAATCTCCAAACCCTGCTCCTGACCCTGAAGCTACAGTGATGACGAGGAGACAGAGCCCCAGCACTCACAGACCTCAATGTCTAGTGGAGGTGTTCCGTTATTACGTAAGTATACAAAGAGGACTATCCAGAATTCTAGAGGGTGGTGGTAGGAAGAAAATAAACTGAGGATATGAGAGAGAACAACTGAACAGTCAGAGGAGGGTTGAACTTTAAGGGGTAACCTTTGAGCCGAGAGCTGAACAAGGAGGAGGAGCTGATCCTGTGAAGATTTGAGGGTGGAATGTTCTTGGCAGACTGAAGAGCAAGTGCAAAGGCCTGGAGGTGGGAATGAGCTGGGGTGGTTCAAAGAACAGGAAAAAAAAAAGGCAACATGACTGGAGCCTAGTGAATGAAGGAGTGTCTGGACTTGAGGCTGGCAGGTAAGCTGAGACCCGATTGCATTCAGCCTTGTCGCCCCCAGTAAGGCGTGTGCAATGCATTCTGTGTGTGATGGGCAGCCGGAGTATCTGCTTACAGACAGTGTGTTGAAAGTCTTAAGGTTTATTGAAGTTCCGTCCCTGTAGTATTCCTTGTATCTTTAATTTGCTTGGCTAATCTTTCCTTACATACAGTATGAAGGAAAATTCAGCCTATATTGGATTTTCACAAGAATTCTGAAACCATCCTAGTTTGAATGAAATAAAATGCTATTTTGTGTTGGATGGTATTGAAAGGCTGCCCTATCTGCACTGGGCCCTTAATCTCATTTTGGGTGCAGAATTTTCCTTGGGCAGTTCAGAAGAGGGTAACTTTCTGTTTCGTGCATTCTTCTTATCACTGTTCAGTGCAAAGATCCCAGCAACCTCTTCGAACCCCAGAATGCCTGCCTTGTCGTAGACTTCCAAGCAATGGCTGGGGTTTGCAGTCACATACAATTCAGATGACACATTTGTGTTTCTAAAATCTGAACCCACCTAATGATCACGCCACAGCCGGGGAGTTGTTGGTGGAAAGCTGTCTTCCAGGCTTCTCGTTGAACATCTCATTCTCTGGTGTTTGTGTTGCCCCTCCTCTTAGGGCTTCCTGAGCTTACTCTGATAAGTAAAGCCAAGTTTACTTTGTTAAGCTCAGCAGTTCCCAGCAGTAAAGAGATAAGAAGGGGGGAAAAATAGTATCTTTGGGAGAAAAGAAGCTGTTTCTGTTTATAACAGACGCTAAGTGCGCTTTTCAATGACTTTGTTTAATTTTAGCAATCTCACACTACATTTACCAGAATATCCAGAATATCCCCTAAACTTTGAAGTTTAACAGAGGGTTTGATGAAACTACTTGTCTCTTGCAGAATCATCACATCTGCAGGTAGAACCCTCTGAGTTATTTGAGGAATGTCAGTTTTACTATGTCATCTGTGAGGGTCTGTTGTTGTTTATCTTGTTTAGAGAATTAAGAAATTATTAACTCACTAATTATCAGTTGGGGGGGGTGATGATTGCAGCTGCAGTAAATGCCATACTAAAACTTGTAGCCTTCTGATGAATTTTCAAAGAGGTTACTGCTTACTGAGTCCCTTTGTGCTAGGGGCATTTTTGAAATAATCTTTAATACGTACAGCAACCCTGCAAGGTAGGTACGGGCACTATGCTTGTTTTGCAGGTGAGGAAACTGAATTACTGAATTATCAAGAGGTTCAGGGATTTTCCCTGAGTGGAGATGGGAACCCAGGCTCTTTGAATCAGGCCCACTGCCTCCTCCCTCTTGTGCCCCAGGGTTTGCGTGTCCTCCTTAAAACAAATGCTCAAGTGTCCAAGCAAGAACATAATTGGATCCTGCAGAGAGTTACCTCTTGTCTTTTTAACCAAATAATGATCTATACCTGGTAGCATGCTGCCAGAGCTGCAGAGGGTGGTTGGTATAGATGGCATGTCAGGGGCATTTAGTTTAACCAGGACATCCCCTGTCCTCATCCTCAATTCCCCAAGGCACTTCTTACTCTTCAGAGTGTTTTTTTTTTCTCTTCTGCATCTCTGAGTATTTCTCCAAATGAGATTCAGTCTATCCCCTGAGTATATAGGCCAGCAGGGACCAGCTGTACAGGGTTCCACTGCCTGCTGTTTCCTCTGTGAATCATGTTCACACCCTCCATTCCTTACAGCTGAGCAATCAGATTCTAACCATATCACCTCAGACCTGTAATCTCGTTCTTTCCATTCTTTCCTCCATAGTCCCCCGACACACACACACACACACACACACACACACTTGAACACACACAACCACACATATATATGCACATACAGCCACAGACACACAAACACACACGGCTCTCTTTGTCTAAGTGCCTTTTAGCTTAAAAAAGATCTTGGCCCGGTGCTACAAGAGTCATGATCTTTCAAAAAGCACTCCATGAAGAATAACATGCTGGGTAATGTCTCCTGTAGTCATTTCCCATGACAGGGATTCCCTGCAGTGCAGCATTATGTAGCACTGGCAGTCTATGCTAGATGGTATAGGCCTGGGACACACAAAAGACTAAGAGAATAACAGTGTACACGATTCCAGGTATGTTTTGCAAAGCTCTGAGAAACATGTATACACATACACACAAACATGAAAACAAACACATGTATACAATTATGCACAGGTGTTCCCTTAAAATTGGGCTATGAAAGTAACCCCAGGACTGTGCTTTTCACACAAAGGCCATTCATAAATGCTTGATGAAACAATGACAGCCTTGTACTGTTTCAACAAGTAGGAACGTGCAAACAGGATGGAGTTCAGTTGGCTAGCAGTCACTGTGAACCACAGGCCAAATGTGTCAACAGTAAAGAACTGCCACTAAAAAGGCTGGCAGATCCAATGCTATGCATGTGGTCATGTAGTAGATCAGCATGTTCCATGAGGTAGTGCAGCCTAGGAACTGAGTGTCGTTTCAGCCATTAGTGTTGTGTTCAACATGGAGCTGCATAGCCATTTCAAAAGCTCTTATGCTTCCTTAGCTGGTGGAAGTCTCAGAAGAGATGGGACTATTTACCAGCTCACTACAGAACTCTCAAAGATGCTAAGAATGGGTCCAGCATTGAGGAGTATGTGGGCAATATGTGGGAGCATGAACAGAAGAGACTTCGTGGTTTCTCTCCTCTCTTTTGTCATGGAGGTAGAAATAATTCTCATTATTTTCCTTTTCCTTTTTTTTTTTTCTTTTTTTTCGAGACTCTGTTGCCTAGGCTGGAGTGCAGTGGCGCGATCTGGCTCACTGCAACCTCTGCCTCCTGGGTTCAAGGGATTCTCCTGCCTCAGCCTCCCAAGTAGCTAGGATTATAGGCACCCACCACCACACCAAGATAATTTTTGTATTTTTAGTAGAGACGGGGTTTTGCCATGTTGGCAAGGCTGGTCTGAAACTCCTGACCTCAGGTGATCTGCCCGCCTCAGCGTCCCAAAGTGCTGGGATTACAGGCGTGAGCCACCGCACCCAGCCGATTCTCATTTTTAATGTCAGAACCACCTGGACTGCCATACAGGATTGTTATAGAGAATAAAGAGATGATTCAGAAATTAGAAGCTTAGGAAATAGCAGTTGGGAGAGATGTCTTGAGAAGATCATGTAGATGAACTTCAGATATAAAAAGGAAGTATTGACTTGCCTGTTATTCCTGCAACTTGGGAGGCAATGGCAGGTAGATCACCTGAGGCCAGGAGCTTAAGACCAGCTTGGGCAACTTAGTGAGATTCCATCTCTATAAAAAAATAAAAATAAAAAATAAATTAGCTGGGCATGGTGGTGCATACCTGGAGTCCCAGATGCTTGGGGGGCTGAGGCAGGAGGATCACTTGAGCCAGGAGACTACAATGAGCTATGATCATGCCACTGTACTCCAGCCTGGGCAGCAGAGTGAGACCCTGTCCCTGAAAAAAATAAAAGAAGTATCAGTAGGCACTTTGCCACTAATTACTTTTTAAGAATACAGCTGTAGTGCCAAAGAGAATGCAGGTAAACATTAGAAAGATGGGAGAAGGCTGGTGTGGTGGCTTACACCTGTAACCCCAATACTTTGGGAGGCCAAGGTGGGAACATTACTTGAGCCCAGGAGTTTGAGACCAGCCTGGGCAATATAGGGAGACCTTGTTCCTACAGAAAAACTTTAAAAAATTAGCCAGATGTGGTGGCACACACTGGTAGTCCCAGCTACTTGGTAGGCTGAGGTGGGAGGATTGCTTGAGTCTGGGAGGTCGAGGCTGCAATGAGGTGTGATCACGCCACTGCACTCCAGCCTGGGAGGCAGAGAAAGACTCTGTCTCAAAAAAAGAAAAAGTAAAAGCAGAAAGACAAGGCATAACTTGAGTTACATACTGAGAAGTATCTCTTAAAAATGAGATCTAGTGTCCTATATGTCAGGAAGTTGAGAAGGGGGAATTAATTCTCTCTAATTCTTTACTTGGGGGACCACATAAATTCCCAAGGAGTTTTGTAGCTTCTGACTCTGATTCTGTACCCATCCTGTCACCCCCACCCCCCATGCACACAACAAAGCAGATGCAGTTTTTGGCTCTCCCAGCCCATCTCCATGTAGTTTTTCAATTCCAATCATGTTTTGTTAACATAGGCACATCATCACAGGGTTAAGAAGCAACCCCCAGCAGCAATGAATCTGGGATTGCTTCTCATAGTCTAGCCTTAGTTTCCTCTGGTTTGACAGCTGGGAGCTAGCAAGTGAGAAATTTGGGCTCCCTGCATGAATATTCTAGAAGCTTATTTCACTTGGCAATGTGACACCCTTAGTGCACTTCTAACTTCTGCTATTTCTCTTCATAGTCATTATCTGAGATTCACGAGAACTGGATATGGTTACATGTCCTGGAGTTCTCTCCAGTGTACACTTTGCAATTTAAAGATACAGATATAGTAAATGTATTATGATTACCTGTGAGCCCTTAGTGTAACTAAAGGGGATCAAGCTGCCACGGTTTAAAATGTTATTATATAATCTACCCTTGGTCCACTCCTTAAAGTGTCAAGGTCCTTATGATTTGGGACCAAGAGAGAAAACATGAGGCTGACTCTTCATATAAAAGTTTGAGGTAATATGGCACATAGCTTAGGATTAAATTTATACACTAGGTCAAAATTCTTGCCCCCCCTTAACAGACCAAACAATACACACACTCTTGCATCCACACACCAGATATAATTTTGCTCAATTCTCTAAGTGCTTCAGGGAGTGTTCCCATTACTGCTTGATTCTGGGAGCTTTCCAGTGTCAGCAGCCTGAACACCAACATGAGTGGGCGATATCTTCCTCCATGCTTCTGGGGAAGCAGTAAGCATCCTGAATCAAACCTGAATATTTAGGGTTTTTTATTTGTCTTTGGCAAAGCTCTAAAATTCCAGATTTGCAAGTTGTCGGCCCAGGAGCCCTGGCACATTATTTGAGATAACTCATCTTCTTTGACTCTTCTCTGTAGCTCCTGACCATGAAAGTCTGTAGTTAAGTGCAACAAACACTTATTTATGGGATATCCATGCCTTATTGTTTAAATCTTTTATAATGAGGTTATAAAAGCTCCTGATTCTGTAGGGTAAAATCACTAATTTGGATTTCTTAAGCAGCTTTGGATAGCATATAGAGACGACAAAACTGTTGAATTTACAAAAGCGAGGGATGAAGGAAAACACCTGTCTAGTGCATTGTGATATACAGTGAGTGATTCTGATGTACAAGCCTTATGCATAAGACATAACTCAGATGAAGCAGTGCATTATGGCTCCACATCCAGAGACTTGGCAGGTAGGTAATCCAGCTACCTTTTGGGCCTCTGTATCTGCCAGCATCTGCCAGACTCACCTTCTTGGTGGGCTGATTGGCTTCTGCTGCTTCTGTCACCCATCTTTTGTTTGGATTTTAGCCAAACATTCCCTGTCTTCCCTCATAAGCACATCAATGTTAGCATCATCCCAGTATCTCTGATAGCTTCTGTATGTGCCGTGTGAGATCTGTAACTGCATTGTATGCAGATGGGAAACAAGGCTGCAAGAGGGCTTATGCAGAGCCCCTATAACTGCCACCATGGCTGGTGATTACCTTTAAGTGTTCACATGTTGAAGTCAGAGAGGAATGTTAGCAGACATTCTGTTCCAGGGGAAATTTCAAAATGATCTCCTAAGCGTCCTAGGATTGCAAAACATAAATGAAGTATTTCTCTTCCTCATCTTCAGTGGCCCTAAGCAGACGACCCAATGCCTTTGAGACTGCTTCAAAGCCTTTGTTTTCAAGGCTAAAATTAGTGGATGAAGAGTAGAAATATAACATAAATGCATTTCTTTTAAATCACTTCTCAATGATATGAAAGAATATAAACATCGTCAACATTGTCTATAAAGTTTCGCACTAATAAGAATATTTATTCAAAGACTAAATTCCAAGTGTCCCAGATTATGCCATTAATGACAGTGGTCAAGTAGTGATACAGAAACAAAGTCCAGGTGTCTTTAGTACTTAGCCCTGAAACTTTCTTGTCATTATCTATAAAGTTTCTTAGCCATTTATTTCCTGAGAACAGCCCAAATGTTTTCTTTTTAAAGAATATATGTACAGATGATCATTCAGTCACACCCTGTTACTACTTCTCCTGAGACCCTTAGGAGATGTTTCCAGTCCTACCTGTGACTCAGGATCCTGCCAGAGGAGAGAATGTGCTGTTCTACCCCTGAGGCACTTGAGCTAATGGGAGTGTATTGAGCAGAAGAGGCTAGGGCTCAGTGGCCTTCCCTACTGCCTAAGATTTCCTTTCCACCTGGGACAACAGTAGAAGAAAATGTATCCCAGTGTTCCATAGACATGTTTTCCCATAAAAACAATAGTTCATTTACTTACGTGTTCTATAGCTGTGGTGCAGTGACCTAGAAACCTAGGCTCCATTGATGACTTGGTTTCTATGGAAAAATTCTAAACACTAAATGATCATTAAATCCAAATGCACTTTCAGGGTATAAAAGCTGTGACTACCTCTTGGCCAATGGTGTAACATAATGTATCAACTTCTTTAATTAATTAATTTATTTATTTTTTGAGACAGAGTCTCGCTTTGTCGCCTAGGCTGGAGTGCAGTGCCATGATCTCGGCTCACTGCTGCCTCTGCCTCCTGGATTCAAGCGATTCTCCTGCCTCAGCCTCCTGAGTAGCTGGGATTACAGGCACCCACCACCACGCCCAGCTAATTTTTGTATTTTTAGTAGAGATGGGTTTTCACCATGTTGGCCAGGCTGGTCTCGAGCTCCTGAACTCAAGTGATCCACCCACCTTGGCCTCCCAAAGTGCTGGGATTACAGGCGTGAGCCACCGTGCCTGGCCATGTACCAACTTCTTATAGTAGTCTCGGCTTAAGGGTAATGGTATATGAAATGAGTCCCACCTTCCACTGCCAAATCTTAATGATTCCTTAAATCACTTCAAGGGAATAGTAATTCTCATAAATTGAGTGGAGAAATTCATGGTGCAAACTGAGTTGCTGAAATGTTAAGTCCTCTTGCTTAGTTTGACTAAAAATCTAAAATCAGATCTTTCTGATTTTTTCCCCCTGCACTTCTCAACGGTCCGGTCTGTGTGCTAAGGACACAACTTTATTATCTCATTTCAACCTTATAATTTGCGAAGTGGTGGTTTAACATGTGGATGCATATTCATTGTGCAGATGAGGAAAGCCTATCGTATGCCAGGAAATGAGCCAGGCTCTGCCCAAGGTCTCACTGATAAAGGGTGACAGGATGGGACAGTACATAGACCCACCTCTGTTTCCTTGGCTGCTAGGCTGCCCATCTGGGTACACCAATACTGAGCTAGTAGCTGCTCTCTCAATAGTGGGGTGATAGCTCACTTTTTTTTTTTAAAGGACTGGGTTCTTCAGAAATTGTGTCCCCTGCAAAAGAAATGATTGCCAGTTTTCCTAAAATTGAACTGAGGCAATTGAACCCTACCATGACAGTTAGAACACCACCATCCTGTATTTTGGATGAACAAGGTTATTTCACATATTTGAGCCATTTATTGATTCTTCTTCTAATCTCCTGCTCTCCTTTGCTCCCTTGCTAGTTACATTCCTGTAGGCTTGATTATAAGTCAAAACTGTGTACTTTGCAGGGAAAGCCTATATAAATGGGTTGTAAGTCTGTTTGAAATGGCATTTGTCATTTTTAAAAAATATGTGTGCTTTTAACATTGTAGAGCCATTTTCTCAGTGTAGTCCACAAACTCACTGGCAGTGCTAGTTAAAAATGCAGATTCCTTGATCTGTTTAATCCAGATCTCTCAGGGTGGCTCAGGACTCTGAATCTTAAACACTTCACAAGGTGATCCTTAGGCACATTGATGTTTGAGAAACTACTGACCCAAAAAAGGTCAACTAAGGCAAAAATGGCCAGTGGCATCTCAATTCCCCACAACCCCAAGAGTAATTTAGTGGTTTTACTCAGAGGTACTTTGTATGGCAAATCCACTGGGTCCTTCTCATTTGTACATTTTCTTTCCTCCTCATTCATTTCTTCCCAGGGTTACTTTTCAAACTTCTGTGCTCTTCACAACGGCTGATCAATGAACTTAAACATAAAAGACAAACTTAAACTCTTCTCATCTCTTTTCATCCCCTCCACAGCAAATGCCCTTTCATCTTCTCAGACATTCCAAAATGTGGCAAAAAAAGATGGCTCTGCAACAGATGCAATTCTTTCTAGGTCTCTAGGTAACATTTTAACCTGTGTAATGTTCACTGCACAGCATCTTAAGTAATATTCCAGGAAATACGCTGCTGCTTGTTAAAAAGGATAGGACCCAAGAGATGTCTTTAAATATGCCTGTAAAGTGAGAGGTGCCAAGAGAAAGATAATATGGCTGATTATAGTTATTTACCTTACATTTTCATTCGCTTTTAACTGGGTGTAATTTAGGGGCATGAAATCTCTTATTGGAAGTGTATTTGCATTAAACAGCTCTAATCAACCATGAAAGTGCAGAAACTGAAAAATTGACAGACTGGGTTCCTAGAATCCCAAAGTAGCATTTCTGTAATAGGCATACAAACAAATCGAATAAACATGTTTTGCTTCAGCGATTTAAAGAATATGGTCTTTGGAGTAATTTGTCTTTTTTTAACTATCATTTCTAACCTTTTCATTGCCTATCTCTAGTTTGCAGCTCCCCCTAACAATCTGTGGCAATTTCCCAACCAGCTGTTGGTGTTCTAGTACTGGTGTTTTGTTTCGATTTCCGTGAGCTATCAAATCAGCCTATAAAGGGGATTACCTGAGTGCTGTTGTTTCCCAGGTTTGCATTTAGCAGTGGGTTTGCTTTTATGTTTGTGTTTTTGTTTTCTCAAGATACTTTATTCTATGGAAAATATGACTGAAAAATTGCAATGGCCCTGAATCACGATGCTCAGGCCAAGTATCAGAAGATGTTTCCAGTAACATGAGTAGTTCTTCTTTCCTCCCAATTAATAGCAATGACCCTTAGCATCGATCTGCTAAAATTTTAGCCTATTTTTTTCCAGATATGAGTAAAGGTTTGCATAAACTTTATTTGGGAGAGAATTTGTGTATATGTCATTTGTCGTGATGTAATGTAAGAAATCAATCATTTGTATACTCTTACCCTTGGTATAAATAAAGTCAGTGTTTACACTTGGACTTGGTAGACGAATGAGTACAAGGAGAAACCTGATATTTTACTTTGGATTTTGAATCTCTAGTTAAAGAGAAAGCAAGGAAACCTATTTTTGTGTCTTTTATGGTTAAGTTCTGATTTCCATTTGAACTCACTGCAAACACTAATTATTCTGTATGATGGGGGAATGCTGCCACTTGTTAAGTTATTAAAAAGAAAAAGGGAAGGAGAAAATAAAAACAGGCACAAGATAAGAGCTCTTTTTGGGTCCCTTTTATTTCTTTTCCTTGCCCTCCCTTGTCCTGTAACTCACATTTTCATTCAGGTCAGTCGGACTATAGCTAGTGAATGTGCTTTCACTAACATCTCCATCATTAGAAGGAAAAGTTGACTCTAAGACTGTTTCCAGAGTTGTGAATAATATTTGGACATTTGATAAGTCCCTTTAGTTTATTGGAACTTGCTAAGGTAGAAGAACATTTGTATCCTTCAGAGGAAAATTTTATCTTCCAATTAGAGCTGAAGAAAAAATTCTCAAAGAGAGACTCTATTTAAACTGACTACCCTGTTTTTCCACCATCCTGATAAAATGAAAAAGATTTTTTCACCCTAATTGGCCCTTTAGTTTTGGATCCCCATATATGTCATGATGTGCCTTCTATCAATAAATCCCAGTGATCAATAGGTCTTAATTAATAGGTTTTATGAGTTTGCTCTTAGATGGATGACAGTCATATTTTTAAAAGTAAGAAACAAGCAAAAATTTTCTAAGTAATTTTCCTCACACATGAAAGGAATGGCGACAGGGTCTTATTTGCTGTCAACAGTATTTCATTCACAGTGCACTTATTAAAAAATTAGCTCTGTTTTACACTTCAAGGAAATGCAGTGATGTTTTAGAAAATAAAACTAATATGGATGTCTATCTAAAGATGGGAAAAAGAAAAAAGCATATTTCTGGCATGGTGCAAGGGTTTATCCGCCCCCCAGCCCAATTTGCATGGTTTGTCCACACAAATTGAAAAACAGCAATTATAGGGAATTATAATGGAGATACATAAATCAGAGCTGTACTAGACTTGAAAAGAAATATATTTTAGCAAGTTTAAATCTTTTTAAAAAAAATTAACGTGGATGGGGGAGGAATCAGGATAGAACAGACTAAAAATAAACAGCTGTATACTACTTCATTAAGCTGCTGCTTGGAGTGATTTTCCCATTGATTAGTCTAGGGGCTAATGCTGGTTCATTCCTCATTTCATTGCTAATTAACATCAGTGCTGCTCCTGACCACTTGACCGTGTTCTCTGGTGAACATGTGCTGGTTTGGCAAGTAATCGCTCTCTTCCTCCTCCCTCCCCATACTGCCTCTTTCCCGAGTCCCCAGCTCCCTCGTCTTTTGTTCTTTCTAAAAATAAGATTTTCAGCTAGGAGGGAAGGAGGAGAGCCTTTAAGTTATAGCCTGCTAGTTCCTCTGTAAAGACAACGAACTTAATAAAGAGATTAGATGCCACCAAGAGAAATAAACACAGCTACTCTACCCAAGCATTTGATTGAGGGGCTGTGTAAATATAGATGATTCACTCCAGCTACCATAGGACCTGGCTGGTGTAGTTCATTTTGCGTTTGTCTCGTTGATTCTGACTCTTTCAGAATATTTGCAGGACAAATTACCTGACTCAGGGAGTTATGACCAAAGACCTTTAAAAGAGAAATTGAGCATTGGCTTTAAGGCATCTATTTTTTTAAGACTGTGTACATTTTGGCTCCCGAGTCTGTGAAATGAAATTCACTACCAGGTCATAGTTTCCTGATCTGACCCATAGTTATAGCTTTTGCAGGATGATCCACAGTCAAGCAGAACATAGGTTATAATCGGGGCAGAATACTCAATTTGGCAAACCGGGATTAGAGATGAGAAAAATCCACAGTATAAACACAATGAAAATCACTTGCCTCTGTTCCAGGTCAGGAGGTCAACATTTCCACACACTGAAGCCAACATGCATTTTGGAAAAAACCTTTCCAGAATCATTGAATAATGTGTTGTTTTGACTCAATTCCAAATCATATCATCTCTTTTAACTGAATCAAACATTACATTGCATTTAGAAAATAAGTTTGAATTAGTTTTGATTCCTGTAGTTTGGTGCATTCGATTCCCTTAGTAATCATGAAGCAGCCTTCCTTCAAATGTACCTTTTAGGAGCAGTCACTAAACAAAGTTTACATTTATTTTACTTTGCAGCATGTCATTTTCCTTGCCAACATTGTTTTTCCAATAAGCTTTTTAGTATGTACTTCTACATACTTAGAAATATGTATGTAGAAATACATACTTTAGTATGTATTTCTTGCCTGTGTGTTTACATCTTATACATTTCTATAAGATTTTAAGCTCCTTGAAGGAAGGAAATATGTCCTTTCCTGTTTACAATTAAATGAAGATGTATTGATGGCTTACTGCTTGCCAGACACTGTGTCTAGGACAAATGACATAGACAACTGGATGAATGGAGGGCTGAATATTTCTTTAATAGCAACATAATTATTTCATGATTTATCTTTAAAGTTCATTTTATTTATATCCTTAAAGCTCCTATTTATTCCTGTGTGCCTCATGGGGCCCTGGCACTACATTAGACACTGGAATTTCAGTCTTATCTGATATAGAATGGAGTAATTCTTGCTGAACCTCAAAGGATGGTGTAGATGTTGAGTAAATTGTAAGCTCCCTCCATTCAGGAACTGTGTGTATTTGGCCACCAATAGATTTCCATTGTCTGTGATATTGCCTGGCAGAATGTTTGCTCAATACATGCTGTTAAAGGAAACAGAATGGATGGAGGAGCATTCTAGGCAGCAAGGACTCCATGAACAAAAGCTTGGAAGCCGGTCCCATATTTGTTTTGTTTCAACGAATAGCAAATAGTTTGTTGAGTTTGGTACATATCAAAAGGAATCACTGAACCTAAGTTTGGAAGGGTAGCTTAGGACCAGATTGTGAGTAGTCTTAAATGTGCAGCTAAGGAATTTGGACTTTATTCTTGTGGGCAGAAACTGGATATGGTTAATGACTGATCACGGTAACCTTTATCTGAAGAAAATCGCCTTAAAACAAGGCAAGGTTGGCCATCATATATTAAGAACGCAAAGAGTGAGGGGAGGAGTTGGGCTTTTATTCTGGTTCTAGAGGTGCCAAGCAGGGCGGGTGGTGGAGAGGACGATTAAATAATTCAGATGTGCTAGCTGTAATTGCTGTAATAGCTGAGTGCTGTTAAAGTATGTGAGGACAGTGCTGTGTTCATTGCCATAGATCAGCTTGCCACTGCTTCGTCCTTTCGCTGAATTTAATTTCTCCCTACTTTCTTTGCCTTCTAGACGGTTGGTATAAATTGGTTCAGAACAAATCCTACAGACTCAGCCTGCATGAACTGAGGTCCTCCAAACCCCCAACATCCACTTTAGCTTCCATAAAGAGGATAGAAGGAACTGAAATATTTCCTCATAGCTTGAAATACCACAGCTAAACTCCCCATAATATGATTTTTTGTTACATAGAGGCTAGTTTTCTTTCCCCCAGGAGAGGTAGTATATAAACGCTGTAGGGAACCTTCAGAAGTCAATGCTCTTACTAGAAATCTAGGGCTCCAGGGACCAAAAATCAGGAAGTATGCCCTTTCCCCTTAAAACTGCAAAATAAACAGATCTCTAGGGAGAGGGTCTCCTTCTTGGTAGGCATGCCTGATATATTTGCCCCTAAAGTATCATATTCTAAGATCAGAGTTTAACATTATGTTCTAATTATCTGAATGCCATAAGGGGCACACTAAGTTTTCCATTAAATAATGTTTTCTTTTATTCATTATATAACTTCAAATTTAAATACCTGCTCACAAAGAATCTACTTGCTTAAAAGTGAGCACCAGCCAGGCACGGTGGCTCATGCCTGTAATCCCATCACTTTGGGAGGCCAAGGCAGGAGGATCACAAGGTCAGGAGTTCGAGACCAGCCTGGCCAACACAGTGAAACTCCGTCTCTACTAAAAGTACAAAAATTAGTCGGGCATGCTGGCACATGCCTGTTGTCCCAGCTCCCAGCTACTCGGGTGGCTAAGGCAGGAGAATTGCTTGAACCCAGGAGGTGGAGATTGTGGGGAGCTGAGATGGTGCCACTGCACTCTAGCCTGGGCAAGAAAGCAAGCCTCCATCTCAAAAAAAAAAAAAAAAAAAAAAAGCGGGCACCACACTAAGAGTATATTTGTTTTCCTTAAAAACCTCCTCTTCTTTCTTGATAACTTTATTTCCTCTGCCCCCTAAAAAAGGTCTCCATGAATAAATTCTAAGAGACTAAGATGGAAACTTTATTGACAGTATACCTGTTAGTTGACCCATGTTTTGCTATCTCTATGGTACGGGTCCTGTCTAGGATCTAAGCTGATGAGCACGAGCAAGTGACTGTTGCCAAGCTTGTGTAGTTTCTCAAGACAAAAGCAGGCTTATTCTTCCAGATCATAAGTGAGCCACCTAATATGTACGTGTGTATGTGTCTGCTCACGTATGTGTGCGTGTGCATGTGCACGTGTGTGCATATGCACGTCCCCATGCATGTGTATGTGTGCAAAGGAAAGGATTTTCTATTTGAGGTTCTGGAGAAAAGTAAGTTTCATTAGTTGAGCATCAAGGAGAGATTCAGCCACAGGATTGATTGTAATAAGCTTCACCGTTTTACTAAAACTCCATTACTTGTTGAGCTATTAAGTGATGAAAAGGATTAAGAGAATGTAAAAAAAATCTAATAAAGATGATAACAGTGGAGCATTTTATAAAATTTGCATGTGAATTTATAATGTTATAATCTGTCGGCAGACAGCGTTGTTCAAGAAAAGGGAAAAACTGTACCATACATATAGGCATAAAAAATGCAACAACAGAGTTTCCGGCCAGGAAACCTTTTTTTCCATATGGGCGTCCATATGTTTTTTCTTGAAATCCATATTTTTGGCCTTGATACCCATATGTTAGCTTTTTGCCCAAATAAGATCGTGTAATCATTCTTTATTATTTCTTCTTCCCTAGAAGTTATTACTCGAAGGTTCAGGAGTTGGGTGGGGAAATTAAATGGACGATTTTGCATAGTAGGGACACAAACATTTAAAAGAAACAGTGCGATAGGAGAGACATGCACACAGTTTTATGTGTTTTTGTGTATGTGTGTGAATTTGTATTTATTTTGAAACTACATGTGTGTTTATTTGGTCTAGGCAAGACTCCCATAGTTTGGGTTTTTATATCACAGGTCATGTGTCCCAGGTTGATGCATCCATGTGTCCATCTAGGCAATGGAGAACACTTTCAGGGTGAGGGCAATAAGGGGATGTATTTGGCTGAGTTTATTCTTCTATACATTGGAATTGCTCAATAAATGTTCACTGTAAAACCCTCATTTTGTTATTTCCAGCCCAACAGGAGCAGTGATAGGGTCACATAATTTATTATATCATAGTGGTCAGTTATATTTAAGATTTCCCCTCTGGACCAAAAACTCCTGAACAATAAAGTTGGAATTGTATTGTATTCACTTTTGCATCCGCAGCTCATAGCTTGTGGCTGTATTCCAATAAGTGACTAGGCTCATTAATCTATCAAAGTTCATTCATAAGGACAAAATGATATGGGCTTTATAAAACACCCCAACTCAACAAATTTTCAAGCAATCAAGTTCAGTTTATTGCAAGCATATATTTATTTTTATTTTTATTTTTTTGAGACAGGGTCTCACTCTGTCACCCAGGCTGGAGTGCATTGGTGCTATCATGGCTGATTGTAGCCTCAACCTTCTGGGCACAAGTGATCCTCCCACTCCAGCCTTCCAAGTCACTGGGACTACAGTCATGTACCAGCACATACAGCTAATTTTTGTACTTTTTGTAGAGACAGGATCTTCCCATGTTCCCCAAGCTGGTCTTGAACTCCTGGCCTCAAGTGATCCTCCCACCTCAGCCTCACAAAGTGCTGAAATTAAGATGTGAGCCACCATACCCAGCCTATTAAAGTCATTTAATGTGGAGATAAGATTGACTTTATTCAATCTGCATGCTGGGCTATCTCCATATAAGATTTCAGTATTTTTAACCTGGTTAAAGTAAATAAAAAGAGACCTTTTCATCTTTTCCTCCACTTTCTATACACAGTAAAATAATTATTATACTTAAATGTCTTCACATATATTCACCTAGAAGTCACTTGATTTATTGAGAATTGATTTATCAGGAAAGCGAAATCAGTGGATATGTGAGATGTCCTACCCACTGAGAAATACTGTTGGCAAACAAAACAAAAAAAATGTTAAAACTATAAATACCTGCTTTTGTGGAAATTGCTAAAAGTGGTGCCCTTTTACTTTTCTGACAGCACCTCATTTGGCTTCCAGAGATTTAGGTGAAATCAGAGTATGGTGCACGATGGGTTTGCAAGGAAGACCAGAATGGAGAAACTCCTTTTATAAACAGATTAATTTCATTTTCCTTCACTGGGGGGATTTTTGCTGTCAGCCACTTTCTATGCTCCTTGTCCTGATAGCCCAGCAAGGTCAGAAGTGGGTGTCCATGGCCTCTCAGCCTCAGGACCTTTGATTGACAGCCTGCTGAATTGCTTTCTGCAAAAAAGCCTGCTGCAGTGTGCCTAGCATGTGCAAAAACCCTCTACGTTGACCATTTCCTAGGCATTTTGGCTTGAAATTTGTGCTTCAGCAACCTTCTTAGAAATGTCCAGTCAGAATATGTGTCAGGGCCACCCCTGCTGGATCTCTCAGTGTGGAGAGTCAGCATTTTGACCCCCTCCCACCAAACTGGAAGGATGTCAGCAATCTTTCGCTTATTACATTCGCAGGGAAACATGCTGAGATAACACTACAACGGCTCAGGGTGTAACTTCAGTTGATAGGCACAGGAAGTAAAAGTTCACACTTCTCAGTTCCAAAGGTTTTAAACTCTGAAATTCTGTCCTTTACCTTTTCTCATTCTTCTGAGGATTGGGATGCAAGGATGAGCTTATTTTAAGATTCCTCAGGGCAGCATTTCATTCCTTGACTCTTCTATTCTTTGCCGCATTACCTCACTGCATTAGTACTTGTATCTCCCTCTGATGGCATCTAGTTTCCTTTCCATTCACAGTGGCTGGGGATCATATCTCTGATCCACTTAGAAACACAGTGAACTCTAGCCCTGAGAACGTAAACGCTTTCTCAGTCACATCTATTGATCTTCGGGGCTCTATTTCTGGATTTCCATTCACACACTCATTTGGCATTGGGGATATTGGCTGTTCCTTTGAGGGGCAAGTGTTAAGGTGGGTGCTAGGAACTAGATAAAGAATATTTCTGTGATTCTGTAGAAGCAAGTTTTGATATAGGTATTGGTGAGAGTCTGTACGAATCCCATGACCCTGTAGGTAAAATGGAGAAAGGTGAACTATAGTAAATTTATCTTGCTGGACATGCTGAAAGAAATGAACACTTAAAAAAAAAGATTTTAACACTATAGTTTATTGAAGCTTGTTATTATAAAGCCTAAGTGTAAAATACATGAATAAATAAGACAAACAAGCAAATAGTCTCAGAAATTTAGCGAATTATTCCTAGATTGAAATTCCTTTTTCTAAAGGACAACAGAGCATATTGCTTTGAAGAGCCTGAGATTACTACAATTTGAAGGTAACACATTTTATGATGCCATAGGAAATAAGGAAAAGGAAGCCCAGAATTGGATTTTAAAAATTCTGCAGCTGTAATAACGAATTGTTGCCATGAGAAAAACACCTAAATTAGAGGAGAGTGACTGTCGGTCTTAATAAGAGGCATACTGGAAAGCCCTTCTTGAAATAGAAGTAAAATAAAGGAAAAATTGCATTGTTTCAGGGCTAATTTGATGAGAGGACCTCAGTAAATTGTGATTGCACAGTTAATAAACCCTAGAGCTTTTTTTAGAAGACAAAATTAGTTGTTTGGTGGTAAAAAAAAAAAAGTCAATTACAAATTGTGTTGTCTTCTTTAACCAATCAGGCAGAGAAACCACCATAACAATGAATATTCAAAGTGAATAGAACTTCACTGCATCTAAGATTTAGCTCCTTTTTGTCACCAGGAGACTGAAAACTAACATTTTTAAATGGGGAAAGTGCTTCTTCTTATGGCTTTAAAGAAATGTTTTCTATCCTTTTTATATGAAAGTTCTATGGAGAGATATGAATGCATTTAGGTATATCTTTTAATACAGTTCAATGATGATGAGTACCTTGTAGTTTTTCAGAGAGAGAAAACAAGCCATTCAGAGGAAGTGGGTAGGAGTTTCAGCATGTGGCAGAAAATTCTAAAGCATTTATGAATAGGTCAGTTACATTAACAAACAGAAAAAAATGGGGTTCCATAAACAGAACCATAGTATACATACTCTTTAAAAAATTAAACAATCATCATCACTTTAAGGAACAATTCCAAGTACATGCCAGGATGTACATGCAATATCATCTTTGTATAAAAGCGACAGCATGTTTAACAACCAAGAGTAAATTTTCCTATTTTTCTTGACCTAATTCAGACATGTACTAGCATAGAGAGTCTCAGAATTTAAAGTGCTTGTGTTCTAATAGTTCTGATAGTTCAAGTTTGAAATCAGTTCCATGAAATTAAAAAGCTATTTTCCTACAGTATGAATGTAATATATATAATTTGGCAATTCCAGGAAAGTTTACTTAACTGATATGTAGCTGAAATACTGTATATATTAAACTGTGAGTCAGCGTGGTTCTGTGGGAGGATCTGGGCTTTTGAATTGGCCAGAACAGAGTTGGAAACTCTACTCTGTATGCTTAATGACTGTGGACAAATTAATTGCCACTTGGACGATCGGTTTTAAATCTGAAAAGTGAGGAAAATGATACTTTCTTAAAGAGTTGTGGATAACTGCCCAAAGAATGAAAGCAGTTGTTATAAGGGGCGGGGCGACGTGGCTCACACCAGTAAATCCAGCCCTTTGGGAGACCGAGGCGGGTGGATTGCTTGAGCCCAGGAGTTTGAGACCAGCCTGGGCAACATAGCAAAACCCTGTATTTAAAAAAAGTACAAACAAACAAACAAACAAAATAGCCAGGCATGGTGTTACACGCCCGTAGTCCCAGCTATTTGGGAGGCTAAGGTGGGAGGATCACCTGAGCCCAGGAGGCCAAGGCTGCAGTGAGAAGAGATCATGCCACTCCACTCAAGCCCCAGTGATAGAGTGAGAACCTGTCTCAATC
Organism: Homo sapiens; assembly: GCF_000001405.40. Taxonomy (NCBI): domain Eukaryota; kingdom Metazoa; phylum Chordata; class Mammalia; order Primates; family Hominidae; genus Homo; species Homo sapiens. The sequence goes on along the minus strand of NC_000001.11, from coordinate 216,886,737 downwards.
AATCAATAAATAGAAAGAAAGAAAGCAGTGTTATAAAATATTTGTGGATCCTGGCAATCTAGTAATTAAGATAATGGAAAAACAAAATGCAATTTTTAAGTGGAATAAAAATAGTTGTTAAATGACTTCTTGAAGGAATACAGGCATATTGGAGGATGAGGAAGCTTTTCAAGGCATATTTACAGCACATTCATGGATTATGATGTTGGTATTGCCAATTCTTTACTATACTTTTTTCAAACCCAAAGATGGCTTCTATTTCTTATATGTTTTGTTTGCCATTAGATATATTTCCTCTGTGACTACATCTTCTACTGCATTTAAAATAGTAGACAGTAGCTATCAGTTTAAATGAACATCACCTCACCTTCACCAAAATAGCATTCTTATGTTATCCAGCCAAATAGATCAGGAGATCTGGAATTGTTTTAAGCTCTGGTCAGTTAGGTATACGGAGAGAAAATTCCCTGTTGCAGCTCCAGGTGACCCTACAGGACAGTGCATTGTCTCAAGTGAAATGTAAAATGAAGTGGATGCATATAGTTCAGGTTGGCTGCAGCAGGGTAGGGAAGAAGATCCCAGTTGTGTTCAGCTGGTTGTTCCTACCTAAGGGACACGTCTACTCAGAGATTATTCATACTAGGCTTACTCTAGCAATTCAAAAATAAAAATGAATTACACAACAAGGAAAGTATCTTCAGAAACCCATGACATCAATTGGAAGGTCAAATAGAGGAAAAGGAGTTTTTTTTTTAAAAAAAAGGGACGAAGATGGTTACAGGCTAGAGGTTCTAAGAAGGGATTTTTGTAGGAATGAGGCATGAGTTTGGCCTTAACGAGTAGTGGTTGAACGAGTGGAAGGAAATGGAACTGGGAGTAAGCATAGCTTGTTTTATCTGAGGGAGGGAGGAGGGCCACATGGAGATCAACCTATATGAGAAAAAGATAGCCCGTATATTTGGGGAGCAGCAAAAAATGAAAAATAGCGTCAGAAGACACTAAAGGAAACACAAATATATTTAAAACTTTCCTATGAATCTAAAATGATCTCAGAATATTTTTAAGGAAAATCCCTGGCAAGATGAAATTAAAATTGATGAATAAGGAAATAGATGGAAATCATTAAAAAAAAAACCTTTAAGATTGCATCAACATTCAATAAAAACAAAAATGACTATTAAAAAAAAAATAGTGGGAGAATGGGTGACTTTTCCCAAGCAAAATCTAACTTGGAACCGGGAGCCTTAATTTATAGATGGATAAAATGAAACTGCTCAGACTAGTGGTTCCTCATACTCCACCTGCTCCTCAGCACCCCTCATCCCATGCCTCCTCTCCCCAGACATCTTTAGAAGCCAATCTGTGAAACTCCATCTCATTGTTCTGTACACAGGCATATCCATATGTCTGTAGAGTGAACATATATCCTATTTGTGTATTTTACTATGTACTATATATTCTCATATAGTGTATACCTTATGTGTTCATACATATTTTATATATGATTAAATGAATATGTTAAATGAACACAGATTTTAATATAATTCTATTTTTATTTAAATGAATCAAACATCTCTCTCTTTCTGTCATGTATCTTGCTGCCTTCCTTAAATCTGCTCTGAACCATAAGTCATCTAGCCACTTTTCTCCTCCTACTTGGAATAGTTGGACTATGTGGTGTAGTGATTGATTTATCCTTCCTTTCAGGGACCCAGTACAAGCTGAGAGGAGAGGATTAGCAGAATACAAAGTCATTTGACTTCATCCTATTTCCTGTTCCATAATAGCAAAACATAACACACACACATGCAAAACAAAAACAGAAAAACAAAAGAACAAGGCAGAACATGTGTGTGGAATGTGGCCGGCCTCTTTACATACTGCTGTATCCTGTGGCTGTCACCAATGGTTTTGTTAATTTATTAAGAAATTATTTATAAACCAGAACAAAGCAGCTGTAAACCTCACTGCAATTACAGCAGAGCCCAACACAGAAAGCAGCCAGTCTGTGTTCAGGCATGTTCTAAAGGAGACGTAATGTCCATTTCTCTTTGGATCTTTGACAAAAGGTGCCAGAGAAAGTTGTCTTGTCCTAGACTAGAGGAAACTGAGAAGACTGCTCCAGGTACTGAAGAATGCCCAAAGCAAAGATTTTAGCAGCTAATGAGAAGTTTTGAAGGCCTCTGACAAGCCTTCCCTTTGCTGATATGATTATTCTAAACCTTGAACCCACGAGAAGCCTAAGGAAGTTTCGGGCAGCCACTGCACACATAGACCAAGGCAAATAAATTGATCTAAAAACAAAGATAATGTTATCAGTAGCTGGCACAATGCCTTGAACATAGTAGGCTCTCAGTAAATGTTTCATGAATTGAAATGTGTTTTCTCTGGAATCGTGTGTGTAACAAAGAGTGAATTTGATTTTGTTGGCTTTTGAACATGGCATTTGCCCTGCTATCTAAGTCTTTTTTGCAAATATATCTGTCATGCAGCATGCTGTGTTCTTACTATATATTCATAAAGCAGGAGATTTATGTTTCAGTGTAAAACCAAATTGACAAACCTAGTTTCCTGCAGCAGAGCCTTAAGTGACTTGCTGATGGGATTCTGGAATGTTCCCTCCTAAGCCAAAAGGGGAGCCAAGCAAAGGTAAAACTTTAGGAGAACATAGTCAACAAGGTAAGAAGTTTGGTAATGCTGATTTATAAAGACACTGGAACTTTTAAATGCATACTTTCATTCTGAAGGACTGCAGTGGGGATTTAAAATATGACTATTTAATTTTTTTAAATTACATAAATTAAGTGAACAGCCCATTAGCAGGACGCCATCAGGATCACATGGCCAATTCAGATCAAGTTATATTATCTTGCTTCCAGATTTGAATAAGAATTAAGAAATTACTATTCCAAAGTGGTGTTGGACATTGATCCTCATTTGCAGTGATATTCTTCACAGTAACTACCTGGAACTGACTGCTCTTACAGGCATGCCCCTGAATCTTTGTGGTGCTACCATTAGGGGGTGTATTAGTTGGAGAGCAGCAGCTAATTAATTGTTCTACCTGCCTCTGATGAAACCTTATACTGCAGGGACCTCATGTTGGAGCAGGAAGACATACCTAATGGAAAAGGACTCTGATGAGACAGACTTAGAGCTTTACCTTTTTGTCTACTCCTCTGGATTAAGCTTAAGCTTTATGGCCCCATCGAAGCAATAGAATCTCTCGGATTCCATTCGCTACTGTCTCCCTTCTGTAACCTGTATATTCAAACTCTTTATTTTAAGCAAGTGTTCATGGCAATCACACTGAGCAATGTATCTTTTTTTTTTTTTTTTTTTTTTTTTTTTCTCAGAGAAGTCTCGCTCTTGTCCCCCAGGCTGGAGTGCAATGGCTAGATCTCGGCTCACTGCAACCTCCGCCTCCCAGGTTCAAACGATTCTCCTGCCTCTGCCTCCCAACTAGCTGGAATTAAGGCACCTGCCACCATGCCTGGCTAATTTTTTTTGTATTTTTTAGTAGAGACAGGGTTTCTTTCACCAAGTTGGCCAGGCTGGTCTCGAACTCCTGACCTCAGATGATACGCCTGCCTCGGCCTCCCAAAGTGCTGGGATTACAGGCGTGAGCCACTGCGCCCAGCCTGAGCAAAGTATCTTAAGAGCAAACCCTGCTTAGGATTTAACATGCCTCTGGGTCTGCCATTGTCTTAGCACATTGTTGGTACTCCACATAGTTTAAATAAGGAAAGCGGTAGATTTCGGTCAATATAGACTTATGCTTTTAGAGAGCATTTTTTTTTTTTCAGACAATGATTTCCAAATCGTGACTCTTAAAATAAAAGAGTGAAAATATCAAAACATGATTTCCCTCTTGGACAGCTGACAAAGTATGAAGTGATTAGGTTTCTTATTATATAAACTTGGACATTAAAAATAAAATGAATACATTTTCAATTTTACTGAGATCATTTTTAATGCTACTTTAAAAACTCTATTATTTTTCTTCTGCTTTCTTTTTAGTGTGTTTAAAAGCTACCTTCTACCCCCACCCATTTTCTGCATTGATATTAAGTTTATTATTTCCAAATACAGTTGAAATCCTAACTTCTCTGTGAGATACTCTTGACTACACAAATATATATGTTTATATTGAACAATTCAGTTCTTATAACAACTCACACTTTGCACTTTCCATTTTGATGGTCTTACTGGGACACAGTCTGTATTTTGTTTATTTATTCCAGCATCTAGCATGTTGTTGAGTATATTCTAGGTGCTAGGAATTACTTGGCTTTCCTTTTTTCATTACTTCATTCAACAGTGCTTTGCTGTTCTCCTGAGAAAGTTAATTTGCAAGGCACTCAGAATCCTTAGTCTCTCCACTCAAGGAATTTACACCTTGTTCAGAGCAGTCTGGTGAGCCACAGGAGGATGGATACTCTGGTAGCTGACAAAGCTTGCATTTTGTTTCAAAGCTGATGGACCATCTAAGGAAGTGAATAAATCAAGGAATGTATAGCTCAAGGTCCTGGCTATGCACCCATCACCCACATAACCTTGGAAAAATCACTGACACTCTCTGAACTCAACTACATCATCTGTAAAATGGTGGTTATAATTATAATGCCCACCTGCCCATAACGTGGTTGTGAGGGCTAAACAAAGGTATCACAGGGAGAGTGCTTATGTGAATCAATAAAACACCATACAAAATGTCATTTAGAGGTCAAGTCCAAGCCTATTTTCTTAAGGATTAAAAAAAAAAAAACCCAGTGCATAGCAAACTCATTGCATTCAGAAGACTCATCAGCACAGTTTTGGAATTCTGTACTTTGAAAACATGACAACAGATGCTAATGTATGGGGCTATAAAAGTCAGTTACCAGATGGTTCACAACACATCTTTCCTATTAGATTTATGCCATAAATCTTCATTCCCCTTGAAACATTTGCTTGAATGTGTCCATAACTTTTTATCCTCCTTTCATATATTTGTGTAGTACACATCTGGCTTCCTTAACGTCGGATTATCATTAGGGTCAGGTATTCTTTTCCTTGACCAATATGGTAAAATGAATCCCATTTTTTGTTGTTGTTGTTGGGGGAGCTGGGAGGTAGCAACAGAAGGGTAGGCAAGGATGGTGATGGGAACCCTAGATACATAGAAAAAAAATTTTTTGTTCTTGATTTTTCTTTACTCCTCCTTTCGTATAGCTACCAGACCTGTCTCCCCACCAACCCCTAGCTCCATCCCCACTCCCCCTTAATTTCTGTGTAATATTAGAAGAGGACCAGAGGAAGTTGGTGTGGCAATTCATGGGCACAGGAAATGTAGCTTACATCTGTTAATATCTCTGAAAAATGACTTTCCATTGTTATTGATGCTTGCTAACTATAGTTAATTTCTTCAGATGAGGACGCTATATTTGACAAGCTACCAATCTTTGCAATTATTTTGAGGATAATCTGCATCTGCTTTCTGTAGTCTTTATACATCTGGAGAATATCCTGTCTTAGTGAGGAAATTATGGAATATGTTGAAAAAAAATTGAGGGTTTATTTAGGAACTGGTTCACTCCAATATTTACCAAGATTTTCTTTGGTATCATTTATTCATACTCATTATAAAAAGCATGTAATGTACATAAAAGTAGAAACATTTAAACTTTGCCAGTTTAATTTATGCATTTTTTTCTTTTATGTTGTGTTTTAGGGATTTTCCCCGTGGCTGACTGCAGAACAACTCATTTTCAATTAATATTTATATTTTATCTTTAGGTTCAATTGTTTTAAGGTAGGAAGAGAGCATATTAAAAGGCAATAATTATTCTAGTGTGTTTTCAGTAATAGTGGGTCAGCAATGCTTTTTATCTTTGTAAAATAGTTACAATTTGTCTTTCATTGAAAACTTTTAATATAAATAAGAATATATTTTGAGAATTCCAATTTTTCTCATTTGTGGATTCATACCTCATATTCCTTAATATACTTTCCTGCCATATTTAGTGTTTTACTGTTACAGATTATAAATCAATATATCCAATAGCTTCTAAATTAAATAAAAAGGAGAGAGTAACTGATGTTGGTGTTATAAATGTAAATACTAATATGTTAGGAACATTTACCTGATTAAAGTCAAATGAAACATTAATAAGTGTGTTAGAAAATTATGAATGCAGTGTTGAAACTACATTTGGATATAAGCTAATAAAAACTGGCTTTGTAGAAATCTTTGGGTGGCTGCCTTAATGATGGTATCAAGTTATTTTGCTTTTCAAAGCTTTATATTCCTCATCTGTAAGATAAATGCTAGACAAAATTATCTGCATGGGTTTTGTTTTTAGCATTAATGTTATCAATCCCCTAAATGAGTGTTCTGAAAGTATTTAAGGTGCATGAAAACTTTTTTTTTTTTTTTTTTTTTTTTTTTTTTGAGAGGGAGGCTTGTTGTCGCTCAGGCTGGAGTGCAGTGGCACAATCTTGGCACACTGCAACCTCTGCCTCCTGGGTTCAAGCAATTCTCCTGCCTCAGCCTCCAGAGTAGCTGAGATTACAGGCGCCCACCACCATGCCTGGCTAATTTTTGTATTTTAGTAGAGATGGGGTTTCACCATGTTGGTCAGGCTGGTCTCAAACTCTTGACCTCAAATGATCCAACCGCCTCGAACTCCCAAAGTGCTGTGATGACAGATGTGAGCCACCATGCCCAGCCTAGTTTATCTTTTTAAAGTAGTTTACTTTTATTTACAATAATTTTAAATAAATACACACCTTGTCAATACAGAGGCATTTAAGATGAACAACTATATAGTTCACAAATATAAAGTTCAGGACATCCTAGTTAGTGATGTATTATTGATTTCATTGGTGCCACCAAGATATTTTGCCAGTTTAAATATGGTGTAGCTACACATATGTATACCATATTTGGAAAAGGGCAGTGGGAGATGGAGACAGATTAAAAGAGGGAAGACTGCTGCTAAATTCTCCTACTCTAGAGGGAGGATGATATTGGGATTGAGGTAATAATGGAAGGTAGCCATTTTATTGCTCAGAAAATTCTATAACAGTGCTTCCATTAACTCTCTGGTGATATTGTCACAAAAGGAGTAGAAAAGAAGAAGAGAAATGAAACAGCAAAATAGAGATCCTCTCTTCACTCTGCTGTGTTTGCATTAATGCAGCATCGTGGCAGCTGGTATCTTTTTTAAACTGCCTTTTTCTTCTTCTTCTTTTTTTTTTTTTTTTTTTTTGGTGGCCTTTTTTTCCCCTCAAGAGTAAGCCGACCAGATTTTCACTTTATGAAACTGGGACAGCCTAGCAGGGGATGAGAATTTCCATGAACCATCTTCTGGGGATAATAATATCAGTAATCAGAGACTGTCATGGCAATTGCAGAGAGAGATGAATTGCAGTGGACAGGAAGTCAGCACTGTTTTGTTTGTTTGTTCTTTTGAGAGTGAGTTCAGTGCTCCATAACCATTTACCAAAAAGTTGAGCTTCAGTGCAACCTCCTGTAAACTCTTGAACTCCAAGTTATTTAGAGACAAAGACAGATGGCAAAGCAGATTTGCTAAAGAATTACATAAATGGGCTATATTTCAATAGCTATATGTTCACCTATTTGCCTTTAAAACTAAACTATCCCTGCTAAAGCCAAATTGTTGGTTAAAATCCAGTTTGTCTCATCTCACATGTAGTCTTTGGCCTCCATGCTCACCTAGCGCTTTTTTGTCCATCTACATAGTTGTAATTTAATCTTTTTTATTCAGAAATGTATTATTTGGCCTATTTTGTCTCAGGTACTATGCCGTGTACTGGGAAATATAAGGATAAATACGATGCGTAAATCTGAAACTTATGTGGAAGAATAAAGATCTCCTAGCCATTTATCCATATTTTTATCAAGTTAAAATTTAATACTTTTGCAGTATTTTTTAGTATTTTGAACAGTATTCTTCAACAGCCTATTTTGAACATTTTGAAAAGACAAGCAACCAATAGTACTGAATAAAAGCACAGAGAAACATAAATTGTGAAACGTTTACTAAAGGTGGCACCAAAAAATTAACGGGGAAAAGACAGACTGTGTATTGTTGCTTTTTGAAAATGTTACTACATGGAGGGAAACAAAACTGGGTTTCTTCCTAATGCCTCTTACCAAGACAATCTCCAGATGTATTATAGAGATAAATGTGGAAGGTAAAACTATGAAAGAAATAGAAGAAAATGCAGGAGAATATCTTCATGATCTACAAATGGAAAAGGAGTTTTTTAAATCTCAAAGGCATAAATTAAGGCAGACATTAACTTATTTATATAGAATTTAAGTATGTATATTTAACGAAGAACATATTAAAGTTAATACTCAAGAGAACAAAATAAATTATTTATAGTGCCTAATACTGATGAGGGATTAGTATCTAGTGTATAAAAAGAAGCCTGCAAATTAAGAAGAAAAAGATAGCAATCTCAGTTTAAAAGGTAGGCAAAGTATATGATCAGGCAGTTTACAGAAGAGGAATCCTAAAGAAATAGCTGGCATAGTTAGGGCTTAAACTCATTAAGTGAAATGCAAATTCCAACAACATGAATTAAGTAAAAATTAGAAATAGGTATTATAAAACACCATGTTGGCAAAAATGTGGAAATTTGAGACTCCTCACATAGGTTGTAGAACTGTAGACTGCTGTAGCCAGTATATGCATACTGCATGACCCAGCAGTTTTATTCCTGATATGCCTCCCAAAGAACTTCTCACACTGTCCATGACATACATGCAATGGTGTTTGTTGCAGTATTAAGGAGCTGGTGTGTCCATCACTGGACGAATGGATACATAGAACTTGGTAGGTGTACATGTGGAGTACTGCTCAGAGGTTAGAAGTAGTGGTCTAGGTGTGTACATAGCAAATGTGGATGGATCTGTAAAGCATAGTGCTGAATGAAAAAAATAAGGAAACATAATGGATTACACAACACAATACCATTTACATATATTAAAAACATACATATAGGCCGGGCGCGGTGATCTGCCTGTATGTATGTATAGGCACCCGTAATCCCAGCACTTTGGGAGGCTGAGGCAGGTAGATCACAAGGTCTGGAGTTCGAGACAGCCTGGCCAATATGGTGAAACCCTGTCTCTACTAAAAAATACAAAAAAATTAGCCAGGTATGGTGGTGCGTGCCTGTAGTCCCAGCTACTCGGGAGACGGAGGCAGGAGAATTGCTTGAATCTGGGAGGCAGAGGTTGCACTGAGCCGAGATTGCACCATTGCACTCCAGCCTGGGTGACAGAGTGAGACTCTGTCTCAAAACAAACAAACAAACAAACAAACAAACAAACAAAAAAAAACACCATACCTATAAAAAAGCATTGCATACTTTGCAAGAATACCTAACACGTATGAATGAGAATACTTGCAGTTTTGTGGGAGGGGAATGAGAACAAATATATAACATGAGATGAGTCTTGCACAGACCAATGATGAGGATGGTACAGGTGGTGGGTTAGAGATGATTACTATCCATAAGGAGTTCATAGTATAGTGAATGAGATAGATGAATACATAATCATAATGAAACATGATGAGTACAATTGGGGGATCTGAACAGAGTATTAACATGTATTGCTTTTCTACTAGACTAAGGTTTTCATTAGGGCAAATATTGTTTTGTGGTAATGTTGTTTACACCTTTATTCTTCCATGCTTCATAGATCACACACACACACACACACACACACACACACACACACATTAGTGAAGAGATTCTCGAATCAGACAACACATTAACATTACTTGGGAAAGTTTGAAAAGTACTTTCCTTCATCTTTGACACTATGCATTTGTTTTTGTTCAAGAAGATTCTATTAAAAGGTGTAAAGTATTTAACCAGGGTACATATTGTTTCATGTTGAGCATTTAACATGACTGCGGGTAGGTCAGTGGACTGCAGCCTTATGACACGGTGCTGGTTAAATCTGCTTCAGGTCAGTTATCTCATGACTGAACAATTGGTTCTATGGGTTCTATGAATAATACTGACCATAATCAATCATCTCACAATTTCCAAAACCATAAGATGCAAGTGTACAAATGCCTCAGCATTGATTGATCACCCCTGAAAAAAAAAGGTATGACAAAAATGATATTATCATTTGAAAAAACAAATAAAAAGTAGATTTCCTTTGTGTTGTTTCCACCTCCCTGAAAATATATATTCTAGATACAATGATCAATTGGTCTTTAAGACAAATGGGAATTATACTGGAAGTTTCTGACATTATAACAGGCTTGTGGGGGATTCTTGTTTGGCAGGTTAGGGCCTTTTGAGACTTTCAAAAACATTCCCCAGGCAGCCCCATATATTTCCTTCAGAATGTCAGTAATGAAAGGTAGCTCATAACTTTATATATGTGACTATTTGTTATTTAAAACTTTTCAAAAATGTTTGTAGTACTTACATTTTAAGATCTATTGGGTCTCTTTGAACCATTTAATTAAAGGTTGGAGCACTTGCAGTTAAAAAAATCTTATCAGAAAATAATATTTTAATCTCTCTGTGGGATAATCCAAGATTGTACTGTTCCAGGAAACATATACCTTTATTTTATTTCATATTTTAAGGCTTTTCTTATTTCTTCTATGCCTTCAGCTTTATCAGTTTAGAAGGGAATCTTCCAGTGATTACATTGGTCATAAGCCTGAAGGGCAAGGTTTAAGAAAAGTCTAGGGAGCATTGTCATTATAGTTTTTCATTTTTGCCTGATATCCATTCTAGATGATGATATTTCCCTCTAAATAAGGCTGTTTGTGTCTTAAAAAATACCTTCCTTCTGGAACTGGAACGCTCATATCTGCCGGTGGGAGTGTAGATTGGGAAAACCACTCTGGAAAACTGGTAGTATGTACTAATGCTGTACATATGCATAGCCTGTGACCCAGCAATTTCACTTGTAGGTATACACCCAACAGAATATGCACCAAAAGATACATACGAAATATCTTCATAATATTATTTATAACAATAAAACGCTGGAACAAACCCAAATTTTCATCAACATGAGAATGAAGTAATAAATGAATATAAATAAATATAATATAAATATAGAATTCATATATAGGAATACTATATGGCAATGAAAATCAACCACTGTGCTATATGCAATAAGGTTGGATCTCACAAATGTAACCTTAGGGAGAAGAAGCTAAACATATAACATGCGTTCTGTAGGTTTCTATTCATATGAAGTTCAGACACAGATAAAAATAATCTGAGATATTAGAAGTTAGCATCTTTGTTTACCTTTTGGTACCTTTTGGTTACCTTTGGGGAAGAAGGTAGAAATAGTGATTTAGAGGGTCTGAGGGGACTCTGGGGTGCTGGCGATACTTTATATGTAGATCAGGTAATGGATAAAAAGTGTGTTCACTTTGGGATAATTATTCAACTTCTAAAAGCAAGATCTGTGCACTTTTCTATATAAAACTTAATTTTAAAAAGTTAAAGTGTAAAAAATAAAAGCCAAACACTGTCTTTTTCAGGGCTCGTATTAGGGTTCTCTAGAGGAAGAGAATGAATAGAATATATGTATATACGAAAGGGAGCTTATTAAGGAGAATTGACTCACATGATCACAAGGTGAAGTCCCACCACTGGCCATCTGCAAGTTAAAGATTAAGGAAACCGGTGGTGGATCAGTTCGAATCCCAAAACTTTAAAAGTAAGGAAACCGATAGTGCAGCCTTCATTCTGTGGTCAAAGGCCCAAGAGCCCCTGGCAAACCACTGGTATAAGTCCAAGAGTCCAAAAGCTGAAGAACTTGGAGTCTGATGTTCAAGGGCAGGAAGTATCCAGCATGGGAGAAAGATGAAGGCCAGAAGACTCAGCAAGTCTGCTCTTCCATCTTCTCCTGCCTGCTTTATTCTAGCTGTGCTGGCAGCTGATTAGATGTGCCCACTCAGATTGAGGGTGGGTCCACCTCTCCCTCTCCACTGACTCAAATGTTAATCTCCTTTGACAACACCCTCACAGACACACCCAGGAACAATACTTTACATCCTTCAATCAAATCGAGTTGGCACTCAATATTAATCATCACAGAGTTATATGCTAAAATGATAAAACTATAAAGGGATACAAGAGAATGGTTACCTTTAAGGTCAAGTTACTGATTGCCTCTGTATGGAAGGAAGAAGGCTAGGCATGGAAGACACAAGAGCTTCTCAGGGAATAGTTTGTGTGTTAAGTTTTTAAGTTAGATGAGGGTACACTGGTATTTATTATATTATTCTTCAAACTTTATAGCAGTTTTATTTCTCATATTTTGTGTGCATAATACATTCAGTTTGGAATCTGAAACTTTTTTACCTGAGTTTTGGTTTTGGATATAATGGAATAAGCACAATTCACCCTATGTCTCCTACTGAATTTGAGCTATGAGAGCTGGACAGAATTCAGAGTCACTATGTGAGAATTTTGAAAGGCAAAGAGTAGGAGATCAGAACTGGAAATACCCCTAAGCTTGTAGTGAGTTTATCATTGTTCCCCTTCTGGTAGCTTCTAACTTGATCTCATAGTTGAAACCCAGAAGTGGACAGGGAGAGGTCCAGGAGAAGACCTCTGGTTTGGCTTAAGGAGTGGTAGAGGCAGAGAGTGGCCTTCCTACCTTCCTCCCTTCCTTCCTTCCACCTCTCTCCCTCCCCACTCCCTCCCTCCCAACCCACTCCCTCCCTCCCTCCTTCCCCCTCCCTCCCTCCCCTCCCCTCCCCTCTTCCCCCACTCCCCTTCCCTTCCCTTCCCTTCCCTTCCCTTCCCTTCCCTTCCCTTCCCTTCCCTTCCCTTCCCTTCCCTCCCTTCTCTCCTGTCCGTCTCTTCTTTTTTCTCTGTTCCTTGCACCCAGGCTCCAAGTGCTAACAATGATGGCAACAGGTGCCTACAGGGGCCAGATGTCTGAGGAAGAGGAGACTTCTTCTCATTTCAGTGGAGCTGTGGTCCCAAGAGGGTGGAGCACATCAATGTTACTTTCCCTCTCTGTCTCTGTCTCTCTCCTTGCACTGTGTGGAAAAAATGTGGGCATATGTGGCTGAGTAGGATAACTAAAGCCCCAGATTTCTAGTTGGAGGACTGAAAAGAGGACCCCAAGAAAACAGAAAATTAAGAGAATCCATTGGTTAAGAGCTTGGGAAAAGAACCTCATAAAGATGTTTATGAACTCCTGGCCGGGCCCGGTGGCTCATGCCTGTAATCCCAGCACTTTGATGGGGACTGAGGCAGGTGGATCACCTGAGGTCAGGAGTTCGAGACCAGCCTGGCCAATGTGGCGAAACCCCATCTCTACTAAAAATACAAAAATTAGCCGGGTGTGCTGGCTGGCGCCTGTAATCCCAGCTACTCAGGAGGCTGAGGCAGGAGAATTGCTTGAACCAGGGGGGCGGAGGTTGCAGTGAGCCAAGATCATGCCATTGCATTTCAGCCTGAGCGACAACAGTGAAACTCTGTCAAAAAAAAAAAAAAAAAAAAACTGAAAAGATGTTTATGAACTCCTGGGCTCCCCAGTGGAGTGAGAATCCAATCCTAATTTAGCATATCAAAAACTTCCAGAATTAAACCAACAGATCCACCTGCACCTATGACCATACTGGACACTGGGTGGTGCACACACAGGAAAAATCTGAATAACTGCAAAAACTTTGAAAACTGACCTAGTTTTGAAACCATAGCCATGAGAAGGTCAGTTGGAACTTGTGGACTGAAACTCATCAATTTGATTGGTTGGTAAAACAAAAGTATCACATATTCCATAAGAGTTAAGCAAGACACATAGTCTCAAAACACATTAAAAATGTCCCAGATACTATCTAAAATTATTTGGCCTAAGAAAAACCAGAAAAATTTCAACCTACATCAAGAAGGCAATGAACAGATACGGATGTTTTGAAGATACAGATGTTGGACTTTTCTAACAGCCTTTTGGAGAAACTATTATAAAAATTGTTCCAACAAGCAGTCACAAACACTCCTGAAACAAAGTTAAAGTAGAAAACCTCAGCAATAGGAAATAAGAAATAGAAAGAAAAATCAAATGGAAATTTTAGAATTGAAGAATACAATAACCCACAATAAAAATCTTATTGGGTCTGCTCAATAGGAAAATGGCAATGGAAGAGGAAAGAATCAGTAAACTCGAAAATAAATCAGTAGAAATTATCCAATCTGATAAACAGAGAAAAACCAGACTGAGAGAAAAAATAAACAGTCTCAAAGATGTGTGGGACAATTTTTAAAAAAAAGGTTTAACATTTGCATCGTAGGAGTTCTAGAATGGGATGACAAATAGTGTGGTGCTAAAACACACTTGAAGAAATAATGGCCAAAAAATGCCAACACTAGGAGAAAGAAAATAACCCATAGATTCAGGTTCAGTGAAAATCAAACAGTATGAATCCAAATAAATCCATGTTCAGACACATCATAATCAAAATGCTACAAAAATAAAGACAAAAAAAATCTTGAACAAGAGCAGAGATAAATTATGCATTTCCTATAGAGGAACAATTTAAATGACTGTAGATTTCTCATCAGAAACCATAGAGGGTAGAAGGAAGTGACACATATTTTAAGGTGCTGAAAAGAACTGCCAAACCAGAATTCTATATTCAGCAAAAATACTGCTGAGAAATGAAGGTGAACTAAAGACATCCTCAGATGAAGGAGAATTAAGGGAATTTGTTGCCAGCAAGTCAGCTCTAAGATAATTTCTAAAGGAAATTTTTCAGATAGAAGAAAAATAATACCAGAAGGAAATTTGGAACAAGGATGAAAGAACAGCAAAAGAAATAGTAAGTATTGGGGTACCTATAATAGACAATTCTTTTCCTCTTGAGTTCTCTAAGATCGTTTGATAATTTAAAGCAAAACATTTAACATTGAATGATAGAGTTTTCAATGTATACAGATCTAATATATATGGCAACTACGACATAAAGAGGAAAGGATAAAGGGGACTATAGGATGATAATGTTTCCACATATTGATAAAGGAATCAATTCACCAAGCATATGTAACAATTCTAAATGTGCACTGAAAATACAGGAAGCAAAAACTAACAGAACTGAGAGTAGAAATAGGCAAATCTACAATTATAGTTAGAGACTTCAAAACTCTTCGTTCTGTAATAGTTAAAACTAAGAGAGAAAAAAATCATCAAGACTATAGAAGAACTGAACAACACCATCAACCAATTGAATCTAATTGATATTTTTAGAGCACTCCACCCAGTAACAGGAAAATACACATGCTTTTCAAGGGAGCATGGAACATTCATTAAGATAGACTATATCCTAGTTCATAAAACCAATGTTTAAAATGCAAAAAAATGAAATAATATAAAATATGTTCTCTGACCTCACAAAATTAATGTATAAGTGAATAAGAGAAAGATAGGAAAATGTCTGAACAAATATTTGACAACACATTTCTAAATAATCCATGGTCAAAGATGAAGTCTCAGGGGATTAGAAAATATTTTTAACTGAATGAAAATGAAAATGCACATATTAAAATGTATGTGATACAGCTAAAGCAGTGCTTACAGGGAAAGCTTATAGCATTATATGCTATTAGAAAATAAGAAAGATCTTCAGTTAATACTCTAAGTTTCCACCTTAATAAAATAGAAAAAGAAGAGCTAAATAAACTGAAAGTAAGTAGAATGAAGAGTATACTCATAAAGATATAAGCATAAATTAATAGTTTAAATCAGAAAGACAATAGATAAAATCAGTAAAAACAATGAGCACGGTTTTAGAAATCAACACAATTGATAAATTTCTGGCAAGATTGACAAAGAAAAAAATGAAATACACAAATTGTCAATATCAGGAATAAATAGGGGATATCATCACAGATCCTACAACCATTAAAAGGATAATAAGATAATACTATGAAAAAAATCGATGTAAAGGAATTTGGCAATGTAGATGGAATGAACATATTTTTTGAAAATCATGAAGTACTACCAAGATAACATAGGCAAACCAATACCTGTTAAAGAAATTGAATTATTGTTAAAAATCCTTTTGCCAAAGAAATCTCCAGGCCCAGGTAGTTTCATTGGTGTATTTTACCAAACTATTATGGAAGAAATAATGCCAATTCCAAAAAATTTCCTTCAGAAAATAGGTGAAGAATGAACACTTCCCAGTTCATTTTACGAGGCCAGAAGAGTAATCCTGGCCTCCAAAGAGTAACCCTTGTACCAAAACCAGACAACAAAACAGACGAGAGAGAGAAATACAAAGAAATATTTCTCATGACCATAATGCAAGCATTCTCAATAAAATACTAGCAAATCAAATGAAGATGTAAAATGAATAACATGTAATAACAAAGTGAGGTTTATTTTGTAAACCAGGATTGCAAGGCTGTCTCGATATTAGATATCAATCAATGTAATCCTCCAGAAAAAAAAAAAAAAAGCACATTGACAGGTTTATGTCAATTGATGCAGAAAAAATGTTTGCCAAATTTTAACATCTATTCATGATAAAATTCTCTGCAAAGTAGGCATAGAATGAAACTTCTTCATCTTGATAAAGTCCATCTACAAAATATCTACAGCTAATAGAGTTAATGGTGAAACACTAAATGCTTTCTCCCTATGATCAGGAACAAAGCAAGGATGGTCTACCTACAAAACTTCTATTCAATATTGTACTAGAAGATTATTGGAAATAAATAAAACACAGGCGACTTGATTTTCTAGGTAGAAAATCCCAAGAAAATTCCAAAAATCTCTTAGACATAATAAGTGAATTTAGCAACTTTTCAGGTTACAAGGTTAACATACAAAAATCATTGCATTTCTATATACTAGCAATGTACAATTGGAAAGTGCACTTAAAAAATTTAAAAAAATTATAATAGCTCCAAAAATGAAATATATAGTTATACATTTAATAAAATATTTCCAGGATCTATTGCTGAAAACTACAAATATGGATGCAATAAATCACAGACTATCTAACCTAAATAAATTGAGACATACACTATGTTCATGAATCAGAAGATTCAACAAAGTAAAGATGTTGGTTCTACCCAATTTGATCAATAGATTTAATGAAATTTCTATAAAATTCCTAGGCGGATGTTCTTGTGGACATAGACAAACTGATTCTAAAGTTTTTATGGAAAGGCAAAGGAGCTAGCATAACTGAACTGATTTTGAAAAAGAATAAACTTAAAGGAATCATACTTTCTGATTTTAAGACTTACTATATAGCTACACTAATCAAGACCATGTGGTATTGAAATAGACAATTACCAATAGACCTCAACAAGAATCCAGAAATAAACTCACATAAATATGACCAATTATTTTTTGACAATGGTACAAAAGCAATTTTGTCCTTTCAGCAAATGATGTTGGAAAAACTGAACATCAACAGGGGGAAAAAGTTAAACCTTCACCTAAACCTCACATCTTATACAAAAATTAACTCAAAACTTAAAAGTGAACAAAAATCTAGATGTAAAACATAAAACTATAAAACGTTTAGAAGACAACATAAGAGAAAACTATCATTATCTAGGGTTAGGCAAAAAGTTCTTAAACATGGCACTAAAAATATAATCCATAAAACAAAAAATTGATAAATTGGTCTCCAACAAAATTTAAAATGTTTGCACTCTCACTATTAAGAAAATGAGAGGACAATTCTCTTGCTGAGAGGAAATATTTGCAAAGCACATAGCCGACAAAGCTCTCATAACAAGAGTAAATAAGGAATTTACAAGACTGAGTAGTAAGAAAACTAACAACCTAATTTTAAAATGTGCAAAAGACTTGAACAGACATTTTAAGAAAGGAAATATATGAAATGCATATAAACACATGAAAGGACGTTCAATGCCATTAGTTATGAGGAAAATGCATATTAAAATATTAATGAAATTTATTGCATATCACTAGAATGGCTAGTTTTTTAAAGTGTGACTATACCTAGTGCTGATGAGACTGTAGAGCAACTGAAACTTGCACACATTGCTGATAGAAATGCAAAATGAAACAGCCACTCTGGAAAAGAATTCAGCCCTTTTTAAATACAGTTAAAAGTGATCTACTGTAGGATGCAGAAATCCCACTCGTGGATATTTACATTTGAGAAATAAAAAATGGATGATCACATAAAAATCTGTATATAATTATTTATACCAGCGCTATTTGTAACTGTCCAAAACTGTAAACAATGTGAATGTCCTTCAAGGGTGAATGGATAGATAAACTGTGGTGCATCCATCCAATGAAACACTACTCAGCAATAATAAAGAACAAACTATCTGCCTGGCGTGGTGGCACACAGGATCCCGTAATCCCAGCACTTTGGGAGGCCGAGGTGGGTGGCTCAACTGAGATCAGGAGTTTGTGACCAGCTTGACTAACATGGTGAAACCCCATCTCTACTAAATACAAATAAATTAACTGGGCATGGTGGCGCATGCCTGTAATCCAAGCTACTTGGGAGGCTGAGACAGGAGAATGGCTTGAACCTGGGAGGCGGAGGTTGCAGTGAGCCCAGATCGCTCCATTCCACTCCAGCCTGGGCAATAGGAGTGAAACTCTGTCTCAAAAAAAAAAAAAAAAAAAAAAAAAGGATCAATATACACAACAATTTGGACAAATCTTCATGCTGAGTGAGAGACCAGTCTCAAAAAGTGACATACTGTAGTATCCCATTTTATGACATTCACAAAAAGATAAAATTGTAGTGCTGGAGACAGATCAGTGGTTGCCAGGAGTTAGGGGTGACAGGCAATTGGCCTATAAAGGGATTGCTAGTAGGAGTTTTGTAGGGCAGGGCATTGTTTTGTACCCCGATTCTTGTGATATTTACATTAACCTATTCATGTGTTAAGATTCATAGGGCTGTACACCAAAATAAGTGTTGATTATGCTGTATTATAATTTAGAAAATAAAATTTTTACACTGATAAGAAAAAATAACCTTAGCACCATGGAATTACAGTATAGTGGAGAAGAGGTCGGGGAGAGATGATGGTTGATAAAATAAATGTCTCAAATAAACAGAATTGGACTTGGACTTACAAAGCATGCTAATAAAGATGTTTAGAGTCTTTTTTCTTACAAATTTAAGAATGATTGCTTATCAATTTTTCTGCAGTGAAATAGTTGCTTTCAAATTAACAGGGACCCACAAAGATATGTTATCTTAAGTAGTTAAATATCCCCTACGCAAATTTGTTTCACTATTCATTTACTTACAGGAAACTTTCTTCATGAATATATGAAGAGAAATTTCTGCCCAAACTTTAAAATTATTATAAACTTAAGATAATGACATTTGGGTTGACTTTCTGGTTATTGCTGAGAATTTGGCTGTGTAAAAAGGAGAGGTTAGAAAAATATTATCAAAGCAAAAGGAGAATTCTTTTGATAAGTGATTTGAATTAAATTATATCTCCCTCTCAATTATTTTCTGTGCACACTTACAGTTTCTACAAGATGTTGGACAAGTGATTTTGTTCTGTGCCTCAGTTTTCCCATATGCATAATGCAAAGATAGTTATTCTTGCAGCTAATATACTTCCTGAGACCATGTCAGCATGCACGTTGCATACATACTGAAACAGAAGACTCAAAGGCCTTTGAAGAAGAGCACCAGTATCACAAAGTTTCATCATTTTATTTTTTAAAACCAAATATATCTTTTCATCATTTCATAGTTTGAAGACTGATGAAGAAAATGACAGAAACTTGTAATTAGGGAAATGTAAAATATTTAAAGTTAAAAACTGTCTATGTAGCAGAAAATAAAGAAGAGAGATTACTTTATACTCTCTTTTTAAGTTTGAAAACCCACATCAAAAAATGAAAGAAAATCTAACCATGGATGCCAGAGTTTGAAGACTGTAAGAAAGGCCACGTGGAGGAAGAAATATGGACATACTTTAAGCTGTTTTAAAAGATAAAGAGATTAGCCAGGTGTGGTGGTGAGCACCTGCAGTCCCAGCTACCCAGGAGGCTAAGGTGGGAGGATCACCGGAGCCTAGGAGGTCAAGACTGCAATGAGCTGAGGCCGCACCATTGCACTCCAGCTGAGTGATGGAGTAAGACCCTATCTCAAAGAAAAAAAATAAAAAAAAAAAGAAAGAAAGAAACAAAGAAAGATAAAGATATCATGAGATATAGATATTTCTGCTACATTGGAGAGCTAGTATATATGATTTTAATATGGTTGTTTTAAGAAAGTAGATCTTCCGTAGAAACTAATGTACATGCTTGTTGCTTTCCCCTAAAAAATATATATTTCAATATTGATAAGAACATATATGTTAAATAACAATAAGAGCAATCCTTAAAATGTCATTGTATTGCTATAGTTGCACCATATAAAGGGGATGTACATATGTATGATATTGGATGTGAACACTTCAACTGTGGTCACTTACTACACTGTCCAATAAAATGTGTGTATGTATGTACATGGCTTGTATGGAGAACTGTTTAATAAATATGTTGATTACTTGATAGCATGTTTTACAGTATTACTTTTCATAAAAATGGGAGACATGATATTTGCTGCTGTTAAACAGCATGTTCACAATATTTGCATTTACTGAGCAAGAACTAATGGTAACAGAATTTCTGTGTTAACACAAATATCTGGGCAGCTTATTTCAAGCACAGTTTATAATTATACATTCTAAAGATAAACTGAAGACTCTGCAAAATGTCATGTCTGCTTTTGGATGGCCTTTCCTTAAACATTTTTGTTGGCACTACTATAAAGCGTTAAGACTCTGGAACTTGTACAATATAGGAAAAAAGAATGTTATATTAGGTATGGATATAAAAGATGCTAATATTATCCAATATAGGGACTCAGCACATAGAGAATGCAAAGAAAACTTTAGTTCTGATTTCTCAAAAGGAATGCCATTGTAAAAGACAGTTCTAGTATCACGAGAGAAATTCAGTACTTTCTTAACATTATTAGTCAAGGGGTGAAAGTAAAATCTTGAAAATTAAATGGTCCATTGGATTATATTTTTAATGTGCATTGGAATTTTGTATTGTTCCAAGTGCTAAACAAGTGTTCCATGTTTGCTTTTTAAGTTTACTCCTTTTCCCTCTTTTAACTGTAACAAAGTTTTCAAAGACAAAAATGAACAAAGACCAGCAGTCCCAATTGTGCTATGAAGCCAGGTAGGAAGCTTGGCTAGTTCCCACTACAGCATACTTTGTAAATGTGTTTCTTAAACCCTTAAGGTAAGACTTAAAAAAAAAAATGGACAGTTGTCAAGGATGGTTGATTTTTAAGGCTTAACTACCTGAGCAATGTTCATTTAAAATAACATATGAGTCTCAATCCAAATGATCTGAGCTGAGCAAACGGCCGCTTTGTCCTTCCCTTCCAAAGGAAGTTCTGAGGTGCTACAAAATCTATGAGAGTGAAATTTCTTTGGTTAGTGCTCTTTATTCCTTTGTGGTAATTTTTTTTTTTTTTTTTTTTTTTTTTTTTTTGCTGCACAGCTTTAAAAAGTTGAAGTCTATTGGAAACCTTCTTATAAGAAACCTTCCTAGTCAGAGAATTCAACTTTCTTCTTTTCTTCATTCATGAAAATGCAGATCCACTGAGAAAGGGAATAAGGTAAAAGTATCATTTTCCTTTGGGAATCAGGTTTTTCTGTCAGAGGAATAAAGGCCTTTCTTTCCAGGTCAATTCCTGTTGTGCTGAAGGCTGGGAATCATCACGCCCTTTTGGTGTGGGCCCCAGCTTTGAGCCTCTGTGATGATGGTAGAATCTGGAAGTCAGAAGCCCATATCCTAGATCAGCTGCTTTGCTGGGCTGACCTTCAGTGTGATCCTGCATCCCAAACTCCTGACCTCTCCAGAGAACTTGGGGTGTTCTCCCAAGATGCTGGGCCTCTGGGAAGCATCTCCTTAGGTGAACAGCCCCAGATGCCTCCTTCTTAAGTTGGTCTGTTACTCCACGCTGACTATCAACCCCCAAGTGTGAAAGATCACGTTTATTCCTGAGGGAAACACGGAGTTGTTCCTAACTCTACTTTGCCTTCTTAGAACACGTTTGCTTCTGGTTGAAATGAAAATTTTCAGTAAAGTGTTTTGGTTTTTTTTTTCTGTATTATTTTTGTTTTTTTATTTCCTTAAACCTCTGTTTTGGGTGAAGCACTACAGCAGAAGTCTAGTGTCATACAAAAGTACAACTGGAATCTTTGAATGTAACCCTCATCCAATAGCAGACATTTAAAAAATCACTCTTATAAATGTTTTAAATGTGTTCCAAACAGCATTGACCTCCTCAATAGGTAATTTTGTTAAAGGACTGGGCTTTGGCTGTTTTTTTTTTTTTTTTTCTGACTTGTTGATTTAGAGACCAGCTGCCTCCTAGGAAATTGTGATCAAAAGCTATAAAAGCAGACCATAACTATGTCAAATGCATGAGTAGGAATTGGGAAACTTGATTTGTCCTGTGATTCAATCTGGGTTAAAGATTGGTGCCACTTGAAATTACTATCCTTAGGGAAGTCATTAACAACCCCCCAAATGTTTGTATGTGCCTGTATGCAAGTGTATGTTGTATATTTACAATTTCATCCCATGTTCTGTCTCTCCAATTTTATGATTCTAGCTTTGGTGACCTCTGACTCCTCCTTCTCTATTCCTAACACTGTGTAACTTAGAGAGGATCAGGGAAGCTAGGATGTCCCAAATGCAATTTCATTAAATTAAAGAGAAATACACTAAGAAGTAGAAAAAATGTGATGAGTGTGATAAAATGATTTAGTGCAAGATGGCGGATGCAGTAGAGACAAGGAGCACAGAGTAGGAGCTTCCTGTGCAGCAGGGTGAGCAGAAGTATGCCCAGGAAAGTTCTGCAAATAGGTACTGTCTATCCCAGGCTTAAAAGGCAAATTAGAATTAGCCAGATGAAAGTGAGCAGGTAGGACAAAAAGTGTTGCAGAGGGAATAGCAAAGAACAAAGCCCATGACTCCTGAGAAAGAAAAACTATTTTTATTTATTTTAAACCTACAATAATAACTATTTCTCAAAAGGGTATAGGAGAAGAATAATTGAAAATATGGCAGAAAGTGGAAATAAAAGGTTTGACTAATTGGACTATACCCTTGCCCTATTCTTAACTTATTCACTGGTTTGATATTTAATTGCTCTCTAAGAGGATATTGACTGTCTCTATGCCAGTGAATTCTGCAACTAGGTAGTATGAGATCTACTTGAAAACTGTGGAATTTTCAGTAGGAACATAGAAAAATTTTGAAGGAAAGAAATTCTGAGAATAAAATAAAATTTTATTCACTTGAATTCTATTTCATTGTGAGCTTAAGGAAAAAATAAAGCTTTTCAAAAAATGCTATAATTTCTCTATTTTCTAAATTGGCCCTTTATTCTACATTGTCCTATTCTCATATATATCAGTGATTCTAAAAGTGTGGTCCTGGGACCAGCACCATCAGCATTCACAGAGAGCCTGTTAGAAATGCAGATCCTTAAGCTCCATCCCAGGCCTACTGAATCAGAAACTCTGGGCATCGGACCCAACAATCTATGCTTTTACACTCCCTCCAGGCAATTCTGATGGGTATCAAAGTTTAAGAATCACTGGTCTCTACTTTTTTTCATGTATTTTGTACAAAACAGTTTATATTATCTTCTTATTCATTACATTAATTTTGTACATATATTTTCTTTCAATAATTAACTTTTAAATTCCTTATGGACAATAATCTTATCTTTGTTTGTACCAGCTCTATGAGTTATAACTGAAATATAATAAACTGCACATTACAGTATATAATTGGATCCATTTTGACGTACATATACATCCATGAAACCAATACCTTAATCAACGTAATAAACGGGGATCTCACCCCAAAAGTTTTCTTTTGCTACCTTATAATCCTTTTCTCTGACCCCTTTACTGACCTACTTCCCCCATCTCAAGGCTAATCACTTATCTGCTTTTTGCCTCTATGGATAAGTCTGCATTTTGTAGACTTTCATGTAAGTGGAATCCTACAGTATATATTCTTTTTTATCTGGTTTGTCTCAATCAGTATAATTATTTTAACATATATCCATGTTGTTGAATCAGTAGTTAGTTCCTTTTTATTACTGAGGTACCATCAAATTGTATAAGCTACGATGTGTTTATTAAGTTACTGTCAGTGGATTTTTGTGTTATTTTAGCCTGGGCTTTTGGGGGGGTCACGAGGTCATGAGCTCGAGACCAGCCTGGCCAACATGGTGAAACCCCATCTCTACTAAAAATACAAAAATTAGCTGGGCATGGTGGCACGCACCTGTAATCCCAGCTACTCAGGAGGCTGAGGTAGGAGAATCACTTGAACCCAAGAGACGGAGGTTGCAGTGAGCCAAGATCACGCCACCGTACTCCAGCCAGGGCAACAGAGCAAGATTCTGTCTAAAAAAAAAAAAAAGGGAAACTGTTACAAGTCTTTGCATGGACATAGACTTTCATTGCTCTTTGGTAAAAACCTGAGAACAGATCATATATTAAGTGTATGTTTAACTTTTCAGAAAACTGTCAAGCTGTTTGTCTTCCAAAGTAGTATCACTTTACACTCTCAGCAACAGTGTATGAGAATTACACTTGCTCCAAATCCTTAGTTTAGTCAGACTTTTCAATTGTATTCATTCTAATAGATGTGTAGTAGTATCTTGTAGTTTTAATTTGCATTTCCCTAATGACTAATGATGTTGAGCATCTTTCATGTGCTCATTTATCATTCATATATCTTCCTTGTTGAAGTTTCTATTCTAATCTTCTGCCTACTTTTGTATTAGGTTTTTTGTTTTCTTGTTATTGAGTTTTGATAGTTCCTTCTGTATTCTAGATATAAACCTTTTATTTGATTTTATGATTTGCAATATATTCTGCTAGTGTTGGCTTGTCTTTTCCTTCTCACAACAGTGTCTTTTAAAGAGTATACATTTTTAATTTTTATGAAGTCTATCAATTTGATATTTAATGGGTTATGCTTTTCATATTGTACCTAAAAGAAAAAAATTTTGACTATCCCAGATTACAAAGGTTTTTCTCATGTGTATTTATTTTTGTGGGAAACATATAGTTGAATTTCGCTTTTTTATCCAATCTAACAATCTCTACTGTTAAAATTTTTTTTGCTTTTAGTACTTTTAATTGACGTATAATAATTACACATGAGATGCAGTGTGATATTTTGATACATGTATACAATGTGTAATGATCAATATTAGGATAATTAGCATATTCACCACTTCAAACATTTAGCATTTATTTGTATTGGAGACATTCAAAATCTGCTCTTTTAGCTATTTACAAATATACAATAAATTATTGTGAATTATACCCTGTAATGCTATAGAATATTACTTTTTAATTAGAATATTTAAACCACTTTTATTTAATGTGTTTATTGATATGGTTAAGTTTAAATCTAGCATTTTTCTATTTATTTTTTATTTATTTCATTTTTTTGTTTTCTTTCTCTTCATATTTTTACTTTCATTTGGATTAACTGAATAAATTTTATGATTCCATTTTATGACCTCGGTTGGCTTATTAGCTATAACTCTTTGCTTTATTATTTTAGGATTTATAGTATACATGTTTTACTTATCACAGACTACATTCAACTGATACTGTACCTCTTCATTTATTGTTTGAGACTTACAATAATATATTTCCATGTTTCCTCCCTCGACCTCTGTGCTATTCTTTTCACGTTTTGCTCTTACATATATTATAAACCCCACACTACATTGTCGTTATGATTTTTGTTTAAACAGTACATTGTTAAAGAGATGTACTAATAATAATAGCAAATAAATTAACTCACCTAGTTACCATTTCTTGTGTTCTTCATTCTTTTGTGTAAATTCATATATCCATCTGGTATCATTTTCTTTCTGTAACAAGGACTTCCTTGAATATTTTTGTATTGCAGTTTTGCTTGCGATGAATCATTTCAGCCTTGTATATACGTACAAATATATTTTGTTGTTTTGTTTTTAAAAGCTATATTTCAAATTCTCAGTTGACAGTTTTTTCTTTCTTTAAATATATTGTTCCAATATATTGTCTTCTTGCTTTCACTCTTTCCAATGAGAAATCTCTATTTTATTTACCTTCAGGTCTCCATGTAGTGTCTTCTGTCTCTGGCTACTTTTAAGATTTTATACTTTATCAGTCATTCTGAACAACTAGGTTATGATATGCCCTGGTGTCATTTTCTTTATGTTTCTTATTTGAGGATCTGCAGAGCTTCACTAATCTGTAGGCTTATAAATCTCCCTTGCCTCCAATTTGGGGACATATAAAATATAGTTATAATAATTGTTTTAATGTCTTTGTCTGCTATTTTTTCCTTTTTCTTATTTTATGTATGTATTTATTTAGTTTTGACAGAGTCTCGCTCTGTCACTCAGGCTGGAGCACAGTGGCACGATCTTGCCTCACTGCAACACTGCCTCCCAGGTTTAAGCAATTCTTCTGTCTCAGCCTCATGAATAGCTGGGATTACAGACATGTGCCACCATTGCCAGCTAAGTTTTTATATTTTTAGTGGAGACGGAGTTTCACCCTGTTGGCCAGGCTGGTCTCGAACTCCTGGCCTCAAGTGATCTGTCCACCTTGGCCTGCCAAAGTGTTGGGATTACAGGCATGAGCCACTGCACCTGGCCTTTGTCTGCTGTTTCTAACATCTGGGTCACTTTGGGGTCTGTTTCAATTGATTGGTTTTTTCCTTCTCACTTTTGGATGATATGTGCCTGCTTCTTTTGAGTGACTGGTAACTTTTGATTGGATGCCAGACATTGAGAATTCTATCTTCTCATATGTTGGATATTTTGTATTTCTGTTAATATCCTTAGCTTTTTCTGGGATGCAGTTATTTGGAAGTAGTTTCATCCTTTAGATTCTTACTTTTAATATTTGTTAGGTAGACTGGAACAGGGCTCAGTCTACAGCTAATTATTTACCATTTTTGAGTAAAGACCTGTCAGTGTACCCCACCCAATGTCCCATGAATCATGAGGTTTTTCCAATCTGGGTGATGAGAGCAAGCATTATTCCTAGTCTTATGTAAGCACTGGGCACTAGTACCTCTAAACTTTTTAATGATTCTTTTCCCAGCCTTCAATAGTTTCCTTGCATGCATGCACTGTTTAATATTCAATTGAACACTTGAAAAGGACTATCTGCAAATCTCTGGAGTTCTCTATCTTTGCAGCAACATCTTCTCTAGTACTCTATTCTACACTTGCCTTGATTTCCTGAGCCTTTTAGATGTGTCTCCTGAATTGAAGGAGTCTGTTGGCCTCTGCCTGACTTCACCTTTTGCATTTGACCTGGAGCCTCTCTCAAGGAAGTAAGCTGAGATGATCATAGGTCTTACCTTATTTGTTTCTAATCTCTTAGAGATCACTATATCTCTTTACCTTGCTCTAGGATCTTACACATTGTTCTGTATATTTTGTTTGTGTTTTTATTATTTTAGATGGTAGGGTAAGTCTGGTCCTTGTTGCTTTATCTTGGTTAAATGTGGAAGCTACTGATCCTATTTTATGCTTATTTTACAAAGTAGAGTTTCTCACACAGCGCTGGAGGATAAAGTAATAACACACATTCACATTTATTGAATATTTTTCTAAACATTATACATGGACTTATTTGATTCTCACAAAAACCCCTGTATTTTACAGATGCAAAACTGAGGAATTAATGGCTGGCCCAAAGGTCCATGCCAACTAGGGTCAGAGCCAATATATCAGTACAGGTTGCCTGAACTCATCTCTTAACCTGGCTTCACAGAACTGCTCTCTTTTACAAGATGCTTACCATGGAAAGTCACCTTAAGAATGGGTCACAGCTGGGGACATTTATTGAGTGTCTTCTATGTGATCAGTACTGTGATTCAAATCTCAACTCTGCCACTTAGGCCAAACACCAAATCTCCCTAGGCCTCAGTTTCCTCATTTGTAATCAGAGAACGATCATCCCTGCCAAGAGAGTTCTTGTGAGAATGCAATAAAATGCCAAATGTGAAGAACCTAGGATAGTACCTGGCCCCTTTACCAAATCTTGCTGAGTAAATATGTTAGGTCTGCCCATGCCCAGCATTTGAGAGTCACTCACTACTAATCAGAAAAAGATTTCAGTGCAACTCTAGTGAGGTCGTACAACAACTTCATTTAATTAATTATTTTATTTTATTATTATTATTTTTTGAGATGGAGTCTCACTCTGTCGCCCAGGCTGTAGTGCAATGGTACAATCTCAGCTCACTGCAAGCTCCACCTCCCAGGTTCACACCATTCTCCTGCCTCAGCCTCCCAAGTAGCTGGGACTACAGGCACCCGCCACCACGCCTGGCTAATTTTTTTTTTTTTTAGTAGAGACAGGGTTTCACCGTGTTAGCCAGGATGGTCTCGATCTCCTGACCTCGTGATCCACCCACCTCGGCCTCCCAAAGTGCTGGGATTACAGGCGTGAGCCACTGCACCCAGCCTTAATTATTTATTTTAATTACAATGTATTATGGTTTAATTTTCAAAGAGTTTTCATATCCGTCTTCTCATTTCATCTTTACAATTGTGCTTGAAAAAGGAGCTATTTTTCTCATTATTTTACAAATGAAGAAACTGACGCTCAGAGAGGTTACAAGATTTGGTTGAGACCCAAGATTCGCAGGTTTCAGGGGCAAGGTTGCAACTCAGACTTTCTGACTTATTTTATTTCTCCTTATACCATGGGGGAAATGTTAGTGAAAATTTGAAAAGTTTTTTAACAAAATTAGTGAACTTTTATGTGGGTATGTTTATATTCTGTATGTTATAATTAAAGTTCAAATAAAGGGTATTTTTCCAGTAAATGGGCGTGTCATTTTTGGTGAATGAATCCTTATATTGCTAAGAATGAAGGGACTTTTTTTTTTTTTTTTTTAAATCTGGCTTTGTGAAAAATTAGCTTCTGGACTAGACTTAGTTTTCAGAATGCCCTGTGACTCTCTAGCATGGTCCCCAGAGAAGATGAGATACACAGAGTTGCAGAATTAGATTTTTCTTTCTCTTTCTAGACTTTTATATTGTGTGCATTTTTAAAGAATACTTTTAATGTTTATTTTTAAATATGATAGTATGTGGGTGATATTGGTGCATTTCGTTTTATGTGTCCAGAATTTAAACCTGCAGGCAATAGGAGTGTTGAAGTGAAATTGGTCCTAGACAGTTAATAAATTCTAAGCAGAGATGCATAAATCAGCAAAGCGTATTTTTTAAAGTTTTTTTCTTTTTTTTTTTTTTCCCAAAGGGTGGTTAAGGGAGAATAGGAAAGGAATGTCTTCAGAGAATTGTTTTCTATCAGTTCGGGAAATAGAGAAAAGCACTGAGCAATGCCCAGTGCTGGTTAGCAGATTGTCATTTTTAGGTTTGATGTTCCAGGGTTTAATTGTCTTTCATGTGAACAATAGCAGACACTCTCTGGTGTGCTATGCTAGCATGATAAAAGGGGGTCGTTCTTGCATAGCAATGCCTTTTTTTATTATTAGCGTAAAAAATTAGCAAGCTGGAAGTCGTTAGAAGGAGTTCCACTGGCATTAATTGTAATGCAGCCTGAATTTGTTTGCAGACCGGTGCAGCAAGACAATAGCAAGGAGAAAAAAAAGAGCAATATTAATAGCCTTCTACTTATTGTATCATTTTAGTGGGCCTTAATAAGGTGTCGGCTGTCAACTGGAATTTATTTTTAAAAAAAGACATAGTAATTGATGTATTGCAGTAAGTATGGATGAGGGCTCAACTTGATTAATGTATGAGTTGGCTTTTTAAGGCATTTTAAAAAGGCTTCTTAACTGGGTCTTAAGAGACTGGCACAAGCCCACTGTAAACTATCTCTTTGCAGTTGGAAAATAGCCTGACAGCTGCTGATGTCTCTTGTGGGGTTTTCTCTTTTTTCCTCTTCCTGATCAGAGAAAACTGAAGTAATATACTCTTCGTCAATAATTGCAGTGCTTAAAAATCTTATAAAGGGATTTTGACTCTTCTCTCCAGAGATAACTTTCCAAAGGTTAAATTAGTTTTACTTGTGTGTGCTTCAAATATCACCACTTTCAATAAGGAGTGGATTTGGTTTTTAAATAAGCTGCTATTTTGTGGGTTGCTTGAACCCAGACACT
This sequence comes from Homo sapiens, assembly GCF_000001405.40. Lineage (NCBI taxonomy): Eukaryota > Metazoa > Chordata > Mammalia > Primates > Hominidae > Homo > Homo sapiens. Next base: position 216,856,490 of record NC_000001.11, on the reverse strand, counting down.
TTGACAGAAATTGTTTTGATGTCAGAGATGGACTTGTTCCAAAAGCAATTTCAGGTCAAGATGAATTTCTTCACTCTCGAATCGCTTCTGTTCGTTCCAAGTGTGTGTGTGTGTGTGTGTGTGTGTGTGTGTGTGTGTTGAAGAGAGAAGCAGAGACAGACATATTGATTAAGCAACTGGTAATATCTATATGGGAAATGTAAGGAGCATGCTTTCCAGGAAATTTTCCTTTACATCAGTTTGAGATCCATTCATCCATTTTTCTTTATATTGAACACACTGTGTATCAACTCTATTCTATATTTTCTTTTCATAGGAAGTTTTTTTTTTTCACAAGAAACAAAGCAAGTGAGTTACAATTCTAGGGAAGACCGGGAAAAAAAGGAGATAATCGAATACTTTGCCTCTTTGGTATCCATAGGTGTCAACACAATGCCCCAGGTAGTAGGTCACCTCTTTTGATAACAACAAAAAGAAGACATTTGAAGAATTCCAAGCTGGCTGAAACTATCAGGCTATCACTGTGCAGCACTGGAGGAAGCACCTCATCATTATTCAGCACAACTGCCTTCACTCAAATTGAGATAAAGTCCATAAACATGAGAGAAAGAAATGAGAATGGAAAGAGTGGGAGGGAAAACACACTCTGCACAGTCCTTTGCACAACTGCATTTTCAAGCGGGGAACTGTCACAAGGCGTGTCGTGCAGATGCGGCAGCCGCAGGATCTTTGCAGCTGCATTTATCTCGTTGGTTCCCAGGTGTTTTGCCTTGCTGGGGAGCAGGGGAGGGGGCAGGTGGAGACACCTAATTGGGTGGATTAAGCGCAGATGTGTCACAGAGAGGACTCTTCCTTCCACGTGCCACAGACTCAGACTTGTTGGACCTTGGCAGTCTCGTTGCGGCCTTGACAGTATCATCTTTACATTAAATTCAAAAAGCATTTTGTTTTCCACTTTAGCTGGCCTCAGGTTCTACGTTACCTTTTGAATTTGTACAGGTTTTTTAATCTGTCAGAGTTGAACTTTTCTTATCTGTAAAATGGAGAAATAATATACCCACAGATATTTTTTTTCTAACAATTAAATGAGATAATTCACAGAAAGCTCTTATCCCAGTGACTGGCACCAAAGAAGCATTCAAGTCAGCTACAGTAACAGCAGCAACAACTTTAAACTAAAGCGAGAGCTACTGTTTATTGTTTCTTAGATGCTGTTGCCAGGAACATGGCTTTGTACCTAAGCCCTGTTATTGTTCAAGCCAACTTTTGCATGTTTTTGTTTCGGAATATTGAATCCAAGTGTCATATCAGCGGCCCATAGGTCCTAAATGATTTTGAAAAAAAGCATTACCCTTTCCTCTTCAGGGTGAAAATATATATGGGAAAAATTCTTCCAAAATGGAGCCTGACATTGACCCCTAGAGCTTAAAGCCTAACCGGACAGACTCTCCAGAGAGGAGCTTTCTGTTGGTCCACGGGCATTTTCAGAGGACCCAGCACTTCTAGAGGATTGCTCAGTGTGACCAAAAGTTGAGCAACCAAACGTGAGCAAAAATTCTATGCTTTATGAGCATCTTATAAACCAATATTTTATTCAAAATTCAGTGAAACTTAACATGTAAGTGCTTGCTTACCTCAGCTCAATTTTGTCAAAATTTTTTTTTCTTGCCTTCCGGGAGTTTACAATTTCACTGTAGAAATAAAACACAAGATACGTTAAATTGTCAAAATGTGTAGTAAACAATGCTTAACAGAGAAAGTGAGCTACTTTTTTGCAATTATATCACAGCTCTGGTATCCATCAGCCAAGACTATTGTATAGCCATAAGTAGTTACCTCAGGCGCCATATAGACATGATCATTTCTCCTGCCCTAAGAAGTGAAAGTGGAAAGGGTGAGTGCTCTTAGTCTGGGCAGTTAATTAACTGGCTTTTCTACAAAATTTATCAGTTCCTGTTGATCCTCAGACTTGTGTACACATTTGTCTACCTACCTGGTATTCGTTAGATGCTTCAAGGCGTGTAAAAATGGATAAGACAACTCCCTGATCTTCAAGAATATTACAGTCTAGTTAGAAATACATCTAGGGAGTTTTTTCTTTTTTTTCTTTGCTTTTTTTTTTTTTTTTTTTTTTTTTGATGGTGTCTTGCTCTGTCGCCAGGCTGGAGTGCAGTGGTGCGATCTCGACTCACTGCAACTTCCACTTCTGGGGTTCAAGGGATTCTCCTGCCTCAGCCTCCTGAGTAGCTGGGACTACAGGCACACGCCACCACAGCCAGCTAATTTTTGTATTTTTAGTAGAGACAGGGTTTTATCATGTTGGCCAGGATGGTCTCCATCTCTTGACCTCATGATCCACCCGCTTCAGCCTCCCAAAGTGCTAGGATTACAGGCATGAGCCACCGCACCCTGCCACATCTAGGGAGCTTTTGTGGCAGCTGCAGAAGCAGCCAGCTGAGCCTAACTCCCAGCTGATTCACAAAGTAATTGATGGCATTGTGTCTGGGCTCATGCTCTATGTCAGGATTAGCACAGTGTTTCAGTTTCAACAGAAGGCACACATGCTCTGAAAGGTATAAACAGACTTAAAAACCTATAAATGGTGAAAAGTGTATGTCCAATGAAAAGATAAAAAAGCAATTGAATCAGTTGAATCATTTCACCAAGAAATTATTATGAAGTGCTTGAAATGCAGGAAAGATGAAATAAAACAGATGAAAGCTAGAAACAGCACTCAAAGCAACTCGCTGTTGAAGTTTGCAGAAATGAATGCTTTACTGGCACTTGGGGAATAAGGAATGGCATCTTGGAGGACCAGTGAGTTTACCCGGTCTTTGGAAGAGAGGTAAAATGTGATGGGTGGATACACTGAGTGTGGGAGACAGGGGTCTTAGTGAGTCTGTATGTTGTGGGACCATTGAGGGTTCTGGGGCTGCATGAATAAAGACAAGGAAGTGTGTGAAAGAACAGAAAAATGGAGGAGCTAGAGGAAGGTGTGTGTAGAAACTGAGTATAATTGCTAAATAGAACACTGAATTGAAGACAAAATAGGAAAGATCTCAAGTATTACATAAGGGAATTTGGACTTTATGATTTCTCATGTTAGAATTTGTACCATTGAACTTTTTTGAAGTTGGACGTGGCATAATCCACGCTGGATATTTCAGAGCGAACTGGCAGCATGTGAAAAGTAGGTTGATAAAGGCATAGGATCTACTCTGAAAGTGAAGCCTCAATCAGAAGGACTTGTCATTTTTCTTTGCTACCAGTCAGCCAATTGGCCTATATGCACTGCTCTACAGAGTGTACAAAAGAGGTTTGGCTATTTTTACCATTAACTTGATTCAGTCCTTTAGCATAATGCATACCTGTCAGAGTATAAACATTTTTGATATGTGTTTGTGTCCTTGACTAACATGTAGAGTATTACAAAGTTTGGGAACTGTTTGTAAAGGACAGGGGTTCTAATAGGCTGAGAGATGCAGGCTAGAAGCACTTTTATAAAATCTCACAGAAAATATGTAAAACAAGTAGGTAGTACCTGGTGCATATTAGGTTTCCCGGGACCTAGGAAAGTAAGTGAGGCCATAGTCAGAGTGACTCAAATGTGTTTCAAGACAGAGACAGTCAAACAATTAAATCTTAACATGGAAAGAGCCCTGGTGGGAAGAAGTAAGAAGATAAGGTAGGATGAGTCCTATCTCTAGACCTAAATGTCTGGACTTTGGATTAGATTCTCTGACATTTAGGGCTTCAATACCTTAATCTGAAAAATCAGATTATTCAACTGTTTTTGCTCAAAACTTCTATGATTATTGAGCATCCTATAAATCAAATTTTATTCAAAATTCAGTGAAACTTAACATATAAGTGTTTGCTTACCTCTGCTCAATTTTATCTTACATTAAACAAGATAGTATGAACACATTTTTTTTCTTGCCTTTCAGGAGTTTACAATTTCATTGTGGAAATAAAACGCAAGATATGCTAAATTGCCAAAATGTGTACTAAATAGTAAAATGCTTAACAGATAAGTGAGCTACTTTTTGCAATTATATCAGAGCTCTTTGATCTTGTTTATGTCTTCAGTTGCTAATTTGTGTGCCACGGTTTCTTCTCCAAAGAATTTCCTATACAATGTCCTGCTCACCTTGGTTGTGTTCACCATCTTGATTAACTAATAGTGCTTCTTTACTAATATCATTGTAACTGAGTGCCAAGAACCCAGCATATATCAGTACTGTCTATGAAGAAGCCAACCTTTATCACTAATCTCTTTAAAGGTGGTGATGATGAATTTCAAGAGTGAAGGACTTGGACAAAATAATACTTTTAAAGGGGTATTTCTTAAGTCTCAAATAAACCAAGCCTAAACAACCCTTTTGGGAAACTCTTTTTTCTTTGCTTTAAGTCTTTATTCATCTATCTGACAAACTTCTCAGCCGCAACAGGTTGCATGTAGTTCTTTCTCATATTGCTTTTCTTTCTTACTGTCCCTTCTAAGGGCTCTTTGTCAAAGTTTTGAATTCTCTTCTTTGAACCAATCCATTTGGTGATTTTTTTTTTGTATCTTATTATTTTGTAAAGTTGATATCAGTGTGGCCCCACTTGGGTGATTTTTCTACTCTTCCTAAATACCAGTTTCCTAATATTTGTTTGATTGGTCTTGTTTATTTCTATAATGTTCAGGAAAAAATAAAAGGATCCTTAGCCGGGTCAATGAGAGATGCACATTTCTGCAAATTAGCAGCCAACAGTAGTGTCTTAGTTCGGCCTGCTGTAATGAAGCACCATAGACTGTGTGGCTTATAAACAACAGAAATTTAATTTCTTACAGTTCTGGAGGCTGAAAGTCTGAGATCAGGGTGTCAGCATGATCAGGTTCTGGCGAGGGCCTTCATCCAGTTTGTAGACTGTCAACTTCTCCCTGTATCCTCATACAGTGGAAAGAGGGCAAGAGCGCTCTCTGGCCTCTTTTTATAAGGGCACTAATCTCATCCATGAGGGCTCCACTCTCATGACCTAATTACCACCCAAAGGCCTCACCTGCTAATACCATTACCTGGTGGGGAGTGGGGAGGATTTCAACTTGTGAATTTTGGAGGAATACACACATTTAGTCCATAACAAGTAGTTCTCTCCTACACTACTGTGTTTCAAAAGTAACTTAGATGCCGAAACAAGAAAAGCAGCACATGCATCTTGTTGGTTTCAGGTCTGCTGACTCAAAGCACACAGCTTTTAGTAATGAGTGGGCACTCTGAGAAGTGTAGTTATTCTTTCTTTACAAAAAATTATCTTTCTAATTAGTCATAGATCTTTAACCTTTCTTCCAGTCCTGCTAGGATTCTAAGGGTTCAGAAAAACATACTCACGATATCTGATAGGTAGTATAGAATGTATTCAATAAAAACAAAATATCATGTTGGTGGAGGAAGTGTTATACATACTAGATAAGGAGTCTACACATCTAAACACATGCATGTAAACCATACCTTTTTTAGTGCTTAGACACACATTTCTAGAGGGCCGTATCTTCCAGAAAGATAAAACATTTATCAGCACTTTACATGACAGCCTTGATAAAATATTGTGATATTATCTAAGCACATCTCTTTCTTAACTAAGCAATATTTCCATAGATCTTTTGTCCCGTTCATTCTTGGTAAATGATTCATCAATAGATTCAATGAAAAATATGAAACTTATGATCAATATCATCAATCTTATTTCCATTTTGTAAAACAGCACGGTATTTATTACAGATCACAGGAAGAGTTTAATTTCTAGGGGAAATGATATATATCTTTTCATATTAAACTCTGCTACCTTTAATTTTGCATATATTTAAATGTCATCAAGAATTGCACCTTTGATTATTGGAACAAAGGAGATAGGAGTACAGTGTATTATATAATTACTAGGCTAAACATATACATTATATATTTCACTATATCTTATTTTTAGCCTGTTTCCAGACATGGTGCAACTTCTACATAAGGTTTTGGTTTAAAACTACCTGTGGAGAGTTGGATAGTGACTACATCTTTTTAACAATGCAAGTGTTAATAAACTTAATGTCACTCACACCAAAAATAATATGTTTATACTAAGAGTTCTTTAACTAATGAATTGATGTTTTCTTCTGGAGAAGAGGAAACATAATAGGTGGCATTTATTAGAAAGTATCTTCATATTGACAACATTGGTAGAAAGCAAAAATTCAGCTGTCATTTAACAAATATTTTCACCATTCATTTCTTTTGAAGAAATAATTCAAAAGGAGTGATTTTAAAGAAAATATTTATTTGGATGATGCCAATGGTTTGGCTATCTACATTTTAAATTGTGTATATATTTCTATTTGAAGTCTCAGTAAAAATATTTAGCTCATTATAGACATAATAAATGTTCTGTAAAACTGGTAAAAGAAATAAATCTTATCTTGCAGAAGTATATAAAGTGCATTACACCTTTCAGTCTCCATTTATTTAGAATGAAAATTTTAAAGTGCAATTAGAAATATTTACAATAAATCATTCACTAAAACAAGAGAGTTCATAAACTTCTTTCTGCTGAAGAAGATACCTTCCATGTGAATAGTTGAAAGAGTCATGTCCTGTTTTTAACCCAAGACATGGTCTGGGAAAACTGTAGTATAGATGGCTCAATATTACTGTTGTTTGTATAAGCTACTTCAAAGGAATCCAGAAAAAGTGCTATTGGGAAGATACTGAAATTTCTACTAAAGTAGTTGACATTTTTCAATATTTGAGGAGCGTGGGTCTTTTTATTTTCTTATTAATCTGTTTCCTATATAATCTGTATCAAGGAAAGTTTTTCAAGCAGATTGTTCCCAGTAGCCAATGCTGAAATGAAGTAGGACGAATCCTTTTGATCTCTTGGTAGTAAACTGTTTGCAGATAATACCTAACAAGGGCATTTCTGTTCGTTTGCTATCAAATTTAATAGAAACTAGTGGAATCTGAGTTCAGCAAAAGATAAATAAATAAATATATAAAAGCCTTACATAGTTTTTGAATGCATACCTTTAAATGTCGAGAGATAATGACTTGTGTAGCATTGTTATATAATGTATTTCTTGTCTTCTGTTGGGTTCATGTGACGAATTCCAGTTGATAAGCCCCAGACTCTGGAGTCAGTTGTCTGGCTAGTTATTAAGATTAAGATAAGTACTAAGAACGAAAGATACAGTGCATTGTACTACCTTTATGGGTTTGGGCCACCTAGGATTCTGAGTGTAAACAATGAATTAGTTCACCCTGACTCCTTTTCAGACCTGAAGTGAACAATGTAAATATTGGTGAAGAATGATTAGAGATTATTTTTTAATGGAAAATATATTTTAATTACCAAAAATTCTAAAATATGTATAATTGTGGCAATAAGTTTATAGAAAAGAGATTTACTGTCTCATTTTTCTTTTTATATTGGTATTCAGAAATAAGAAGATAATTATTTAATGGGTCATAGGTAGTTCATATCAGAAAGGCATTTCGTCCTCATAAAATACGCCAGGAGGAAAAAATACAAGATATTTAAGTGCAGTTAAGGGACTTTCAGATGAAGGACAATATTAGTAAAACATATATTTCTAATGCATATCCAGCGCTAGTATTACCTATTAAATGTTTCTCGGTGATTCTTCAAAGAGTGAAAAAAGTGCATGTACTGTTCTTTAAAGCTGATAGAATGTTCCAGAGGCACACCAAACAGAGACAAATATTTTCCGAAGTGCAGTCAATTATTCACACTAAATATAGTAAATATGAGCTTTGCTGCAAATTGGTAGGCAACATTTCCAGCATAGCAAAGTTTAACTGTCTATGAGATCGCTGGAGGAGTGATAGAAAGGGGTAATTTAGCAAGCATACCATAGCAACATGCTGCGCAATGTAGAGCACTGGGTAGCTATTAATTTTTGTTAATGAATTTAAAACTAGATGTATGGAAATGGTTATATGAAATGTATACACTGCTAAACAGTTAACTAGCCCTTAGGGCTTAAGTTTAATTATCTCTGTGTAAATCATTTTGAGCAGGGCGACCTAATGAGTCAAAAAAAAAAAAAGCCAAGAAATTCATATCTAGCTTTGTGATGACTGCTGAGCACAAGCCAGACATTCTAAACCTCAGGTAGAGAAAAATTTACATGTCCATGTAGGGCTCAGTCTTTCTGGTGTCTCTTCCCAGGGCTGCATTGCTTTCTTCATTCCCACCCCAGAAGCATACTTGACAGAGGAGATGGGCAAGTGCAGTGTGTACTTTTACATGTCTTTCTGCCTTTGAGTTGCCATTCTAGGTCCTTCTCAGTCAGGATGATTTCACCTCCCACCATTACCCCACGGGACATTTGCCAATATCTGGAGTCATTTTTGGTTGTCACTAAGTGGGTGGCAAAAACCATGGATGCTGCTAAACATCCTACAATGCACAGGACAGCCTCCCACAACAAAGAATTATCTGCCTCTAAATGTTTATAATCCTGAGGTCGAGAAACGCTGTCCTATACCAACATCTTGGAACAGCATTTGTTCATGATTAAAAAACATTAGCCACAGGAGACAAGAATGGAGTGTCCCTCTTCTGCTCCCTGAACATATTATTGTACACTAGAGAGTTAGAGGGCATAGCCACCGCCACTGTGTTTCTTGCCAACCAGATGCCCAATGTCTGTATTTAGGCATGGACCCCTCAGCTCAGCAGTCATGATGCTTTGATAATAGGCCATGAATGAAGAGCAGGTTCACCCAGGGTTTAATATCCATTCATATCATAGTAGAATCACAGACCTGGACATGCCCAGTTTAGAGAGAGACAATATGCTTAAGAATAATGAGAACTGCTCTGCTGACACAGGAGCCTGGACTAAAATGACTCATGGGATTCATCCTGGCTCTCATCATCTCTGGTTGGTTGCCGAGAAAGGATGTGTTGGTGTAGTTAAAAAGAAACCATGACAGAATGCAAAAAGCGTTCATACTCCCCCGAGGAAAATCATTTTGGGAATTAAAATGTATCCCTTTCCTTTCTACTCCAGTTAAATCATGGTACCTTTTGAACTCTCTTGAGAACATATTTAAATTCTTTGTCTGTTGAGAATAAAGATAGCAAATAGGTTGTCTGCCCCTATATAGTTTATTAAGTAAAACTAAAATTGCAACTTAATGCCATGTTAGAGCAGATTTATAGTGTAAATACTAAACATTACTTGAAAACTTTAGATAGGGGTCATTTATACCCTCACACATCTTCAAACTTTAATAATATAGAGCCCTAGTAGCACAAATTGTGCACGGCAGACCTTGATGTACTGTAACTGGTACTGTCAACTCTCCTTTGTGGCCTAAGCAGTAATCATAATACATGATTAACAAGCCTCTTATCTTACTCATTTTACACTAAAAAAGCAGTAGTCACCCTGCTGGTGACTGCCATTGAATTATTTACCTGGAAGGAATGTTGAGTTATCAAAGCCCTGAGAATTCAAGAAATTGTCTTTTCTTAGTTTAGTGACTGCACTGTTGCAGTACTCCTGGAAACTTGCTTTCTGCATCTGAATTAGTTTTATATATATAAATATATATACAAAAAACTATCTTTAAAGAGAACTACATAAGGGGAATGTCAAATAAAACCGAAGATTCAGGTTCAGCTTTATCTGGGCCTCAGTTTTCCTCCTTTTTGAGGAATGTTAATTGGGTCAGGATTCCTCTAAGTTAACTAAATTAGTGACTTTGTTATTGTGAAAAATCAAGCATGCAACAATATTTAAGATGAATAATAGATATTTCAGTATCTGTTACAAATGTTCACCCCTTTGGCTTAGTGATTACACTTTTATGCATCTTGAGAAAGCAATCAGAGATCTAGGCCAGGGGTTGGGTTGGCAAACTGCTGCCCTCAGGCCAAATTCTGTCCGGTGCCTGTTTTTGTGAATAAAATTTTATCGGAACGTAGTCACAGCCATTTATCTACTCATTGTATCTAACTACAGCAGAAATGAGTAGTTGAAACAGAGACCATATGGCTCATAAAGCCTAAAATACTGACTATCCGGACCTCTACAGAAAAGTTTGCCAACTCCTCTAGACAAAGACATATGTTTATTGTTTCCTTGTTTATAAGTAAAAATAACCTAGTAATTTCTTATAGGGCATTGTTAACTAAATGGCAATAAATCCCTATAGTGAAATACGCTCTCCTGTCCAAAATGGTGATCAAGAATACGTAAAGACGTGGAAATATTTTCACAATATAATAAGTGGGGGAAAACTAAATATAGTGTACGATATTGACCATGTAAAGATGTCCAAAGAGAAGAGACCAAAAAGAAACAAACTATGAAGTTGTTATTTAGGGATTTATAGGTTAAATTTTGTTCTTTTTACATGATTTAAATTTGCTACTGTGTTTTTAGAAAATTATTTTTACGATCAGGAATGAATACGGTTAAGTGGTTACTGTGACAAAGGAAAGAAAGACAAGAGACACTGGGAGCCTTCTGTAGACGATTTCCTTCTTGGTGCAATAGAAACGCAGCTTTCTTTCCCTTCCTCTCAAAGAGGAGTGGAGTGGAGACATCCTGAGTGGAGGGTGTATCACTCTTCCAGGAAAGTGGGGTCCTGTTCATTATTATTGCCAGCTGATGCTTTTTAAGTCCAGAGGTTTGCCAGGTTAGCTTAAGCCTAAGAGTAGCGACTGGGAGAATATGATGCCTGAATCTGGATGTTTTGGAAGAAAGACAAGGATAGGATGAGTTAGAAAGTTCCAGAGTAGGAATGTTTTCAGGGGAGGGGAAAACTGAGTCAGGTACTGACATGAAGGCCACTGGATGCTTCAGAGTCTAGAGGGGATAAAACAGTATAGCTTACAAGCCAGGAAAGGGCACAGAACAGGAGAGATGGGGGCACAGCTTGACAGGCAATACCTGTTTTCCAATTTTGTCCAGAAGTAGCTTTTCTCTAAGCCAGACTTTTCTTCAGAGCTCTTCTGTGTCTCCTTACCAAAGCCGATGATAACTACCATGACCAGCTTTGTTTTTCTACAGTAGGTGGAATAAATTATACCCTATCAATGTTATCTTTATACCAGGTGAAGAGAGTTTGTGTCATCTATAACCCTATTTTGATAAAGGCTCTTGCACGTTTGACTCCCTCTGGTTCAATTAATTGCATACACATTTAACAAATATTTATGGTACTCCTTCTACATGCCAAGTGCTGTTCTTAACACTAAAAACACCAAATTGAACAAGACAGAAAAACATTTTCCAACCCTCATTAACTTTAAGTAATAAGATAAAGAAATAGACATTAAACATATGCAAACATACAAACATATGTACGTACATTGGTATTTCAGATGTTGGTTGTCTTACTAAAAAATAGTAAGACAATAAAACAAGGTAATAAGGGAGAGGATAGGGAAAGTGCTACTTTAAATAAGAGTCATCTGGGGTCCTCTGTGAGAAAATATTGGATCTGAGACCAGAATAATGAGGCAGAATTAGCCATGCAAAAACTCAGTTCAATCCAACTAAATAAATATTTGAATTGTGCCAGGTACTATTCTGGTTACTTGTGTTCTGGTAGTGAATGAAACAAAGTTCCTACTTGTACAGTCATTGTTTTTGAGTGTGTGTGTGTGGTGCATATATTACTAATTTGCATGCATGTGTGCACACCACACACACACACACACACATGCACGAATGCTATGAAGAAACATGAGGTAGGGGAGGAAAGAGTGCACGACTTGAGAAGGATGGGGGCGCATCAGTATTATTTTATAGCAGAGTCAGGGAACTCTATAAATTCATATTTGAGTAGAAATCTGAAAGGAGTGAGGGTGAAGTCTCAGAGTAGAATGCCTAAGGCAGAGGGCCTTAATGGAGGAGGAGCGTGGTGCACTTGGATGACAGGAAGAAGCTGCATGAGGACACAGCCTGGTGCACAGGTTGGAGAGCAATCGAATATGACATCAGAGCTGAGCAGGAAGAGCACGTAGGACCTTTTAGACTCAAGTGGGGAGTGCAGATTTCATTCAATTTACCATAGCAAGCTTCGGGGAGGTTTGACGCAGTGATGCTATGTGATTTCCCCTTAGCTGAGGGACTTAATGGAGATTAAGTTGGGAAAGAAGGTCAAAATCCTTATTTTGAAGTTTAAAATATACTGACAATACCCACCTATTTAGTTCTTCCTTAATCAGAACTTTTACTTTAACCAACCTCAGAAAGAGTGAAAGGTTTAGGGAGGATCTGGATCTTAACTCTCCAGGCCTGTAATGAATTTCAAGTGCTATCCTCCGTGTTCATAATGAGGTTCATATGGCTGGAAGGAAAGAGAAGCAGAGCCTTCTTCCTCTCCTTTTCCCCCTTTCCTTATTCCCTTAGTTTTTTAAAGAAAAGAATTGTATTTTCATTGTCTAAGTGCTGCATATTAAGATAACAAGCTCAAAGAAGAGTGCACCCAAACAGTGCATGAGGTAAAATGAGGACAATACTTGGATTCCTGAGGGCTGTAATTAAAGCTATCTGGATTAAAAAAGAGTTATTTCAATTCAGATTTATGTTCCAAGGAAACAAAAAAAAAAAAAGGAAGAAAGAATGAGAAAGTGAAATACAGCAAAAAGAACTCTTAATTCCAATGTATTCAACTCACCCATCAGAAGAAATGGCATTAATTCAGGTACCCAATTACAGTAATGTGGTTCAGAGTACCTCAATAGGTGTTTCAATCTCAAGCCAGGACTAACATTTGTAATCCTTTAAATGCACTTAAGAAATTGATGTTACAGCCCCACAATCTGTTAGGGGCCTTGCTTGCCGGATGATTGCAAAGTATCCCACCATTAATTGGATCATCAGAATGTGATCCGCGTCTTGGTCCCTGGATTATGGAAGACTGACTCTGCTCTGACGTGTTGAACCAGAAGCTCTTTTTGTGAGAGATTTTGACCCTTAATGTAGATAAGTGGTATTTTTCATCAATCTTAGCTTGCATTAAAAAAGGAGAAATGTCAATTCAATGTGGGGCATTTAACGTAATTCAACATCTTTTAATTTAATACCTTGAAAAACTTAGTCTTTCCGACCTGCCTAACACTTCTGCTGATGGAATATTTTGTAGAGCCCTGTGGAAAAAAGGTTGTCTTCTATTCCTTAATAAAATCACAATCTTGAAACTCCCTGCTTGCCATGTTGTAGTAGCAAAAATAGCCTCACAAATCTCATATAAAATATTAAAAAAAAACAAAATTTGATTCTTAGCCCCCTTTCTTGGGACAGTATTGTAAAGATGCATGGAAATTTAAGAAAAAAAAAAGACTATCTCTCATTTATTTCCCATTCATGAGTGCTTGGGCTGTGCAGCAACTAGGTTTTCTGTCCAATTCCCTGATCATCATGAATTTGGACAAGGTAGAAAGGTAGTTTTAGTCTCTTTAAGGCAAAAAGAAAGATTTAATCCAGACCAGCATTTGTTCACAGTCACTAATATTTTGATGATATATATCTCATAGGTCTGAGTGTGGATTCCAGCTTACTGGTTTTTATGAAATTCTACCAGCTCAAAAAAGAATAATATCCCTACATTTGTGTATGTCAGATCACAGCTGGCACATGAGGCAATAAAGCAGTTTTCAACACTCTTTTACTTCTTCAAAGATTTGTGGTATAAATGCACTATCAAAGTCATAGCACCTTTGCTTCTTGGATTAGTAGTATTGCTTTCCTGCCAATGGGTAGATAAAGATGCATGTCTTTACTCAGTAAAATGGGCAGGTTGATCTTTGGCTGGGTTGCCTTAGAAGCATGTCACATACCACTTAATTAGAGTCTTGGGTGACAGTCTGGTTGCTGCCACATCTCCGGGCAGAAAGCACATCTGCCTCTTACATTAAGGACACTATGGATTGGAGAGAGAAGTGGAGTTTGTGACAGAATACATATATTGTCTGCTGATGCTCTGAAGACAAATGGAATCTCAGCCATAGCTGCTGCAACCAGCATCTGGGTGTTCCCTTTCTGACAGCTTTCAGTTCATACTTCAGTGTGCCCTTCTTTCCTAATAGGCTCCCTTGGTAGTGAGTGCCACGCAAGCACAGGATGGATGAAATGCCCTACGGACCTGCATCGGACCTCCCTAGAAAGCAATGTCTTTCTGAACTACGAACCAGGGTTCTCTTAAGCCTCAGTATAAATATATAAATTCAACTCTGAGACAAAAAATGAAAAGGAAGTTAAGAACTTCATATAGAACTAGGCATAGCGAATAGGTTTAATAGCAAAGATTTCCTAAGAGTAAGATGGTCCTGCATCAAAAATGATCTTTGGTTGTTGGATGTTTTGTTTTAGTCTTTCTTGCTACTATGAATAATGAAGAGGCTTATCTTCTGGCCTTACTTTTACCAATCTGACAACAAGCTTCTAGATCAATTAATTTTATTCTCTTTAATGGCCAAAGCTTATTTTATATTAGAGGGTTACTTAATTTAGCCTTGAAAAATGAAAACTAGATATGAAAACTGGACCTGATTATGGAAAGTAATGTCCCTCTTTTTTTTTGTAAATCATCTGTACCATTCTAAACCCAGATATTTTCTTCTTGTTTTTTCTTTCTTTTAATGTAAAAATTAATGAGGAAGTAAAGATTGCTCTATTTGCTGAACCCAGATGAACCAACATGTGCATTTCCCAAAGGTTTTATGTTAGAACCAGACACTTGCCTTTTTTGTCTTTTATTCCAAACTACAGGCTACATCTGGCCCTGCAGGCTGAAGGGGAGGTTAAGAGGTGCTGGCGTGATAAAGTAAACCTGCCATAAGCTACCTGTCTTATTCTTTCAGGTTTTCACCTGGCCTGCCACTGTCCTGAGGAGGCATTATTCTTAACAGCTCTCCAAAGTGGGCTGCAAAATGCTCCTAGACCTTGTTCCTTTATGTTAAAGTTCCATCCTAAATGAAGTTGGCAGCTGTTTTTGCCCAGTGTTCATGTACTTCCACAGTTTGCTTCCTGATTGAATTCCTGTAAAATCCCTCAGGACAAGGATAGTGTACAAACTGATGCTGACCAGATTGCCAGCCCCTGGTGTTAAAAGTTAGATGTTTGCCCTGAAAACAGGTCTGCTTCTGTGCTCTAAGAGCTTCTCAAAACGGAAAAGGCCTGCGGGGTGGAGAGGCCAGTGCTGGGAGTCTACCCTGAGTGTGCGTGTTTCTCTCTCTCTCCTCTGTGCTGATGCTTCTCTCTCACTCCCTCCCCAGAAATTAGAAAAAAAAAATTCTATTTTAATTTAAAGATCCACAATAACCTTTAACAAGGGGGCCACCAATTTGGAGTGAGTTGATGATGACTACAGGTATACCTTGTTCATTGCATTTTGATTTACTGAGCTTCACAGATCTTGCATGTTTCTACAAATTGAAAGTTTGTGGCAGCCCTTTGTCCAGCAAACCTACTGCCATTTTTCCAACAGCCTGTGTTCACCTCAGGTCTTTGTGTCACATTGTGGTAATTTTTGCAGTATTCTGCTGTATTTCAAACTTTCCCATTATTATTATATCTTGTATGGTGATCTATGATCAGTGATCTTTGATGTTATTATTGTGCTTATTTTGGGGACCACAAACCATACCCATATAAGACCAAGAACTTAATCAGTAAATGTTATATGTATTCTGAGTGCTCCACCAATGCACTGTTTCCACGTCTCTCTTCCTCTTCTTGGGCCTCTTTATTCCCCCAGACACAACCTATCAAAATCAGGCCAATTAGTAACCTTACAATGACCTCTAAGTGTTCAAGTGAAGGAAAGAGTTACACACTTCTCACTTGAAATCAAAAGCTGGAAATGATTTAGCTTACAGAGGAAGGCATGTCGAAAGCTGAGACAGGCCAAAAGCTAGGTCTCTTGCACCAGTTAGCCAAGTTGTGAATGTAAAGGAAAGTTCTTGAAGAATATTAAAAGTGCTACTCCAGTGGACACACCAATGATAAGAAAACAAAACAGCCTCATTAGTGATATGGAGAAAGATTTAGTGGTAGAAGATCAAACCAGCCACAACATTCCCTTAAGCCAAAGCCTAATCAAAAGCAAGGTCTTAACTCTCTTCAATTCTGTGAAGGCTGAGAGAGGTGAGGAAGCTGCAGAAGAAAAGATGGAAGCTAGCACAGGTTGGTTCATGAGGTTTAAGGAAATAAGCCATCACTGTAACATAAAAGTGGAAGGTGAAGCAGCAGGTGCTCATTTCAAAGCTGCAGCAAGTTATCCAGAAGATCTAGCTAGGATCGTTGATGAAGGTGGCTACAGCAAACAAGAGATTTTCAGTGTAGATGAAACAGCCTTCTATTGGAAGAAGGTGCCATCTAGGATTTTCCTAGCTATTAATAGAAAGGAGAAATCAATGCCTGGCATCAAAGCTACAAAGAACAAGCTGACTCTCTTGTTAGAGTCTACTGCAGCTGTTGACTTTAAGTTGAAGTCATTGCTCGTTTACCATTTTGAAAATGCTAGGGCTCCTAAGAATGATGCTAAATCCTTCTCTGCCTGTGCTCTATCAATGGAACAACAAAGCCTGGTTGACTGTTTACAGAATGGTTTACTAAATATTTTAAGCCCACTGTTGAGACCTCCTGCTCAGAAATAAAGATTCATTTTAAAACATTACTGCTCATTGACAATGCACCTGATTACCCAGGAGCTCTGATAGATGGACAAGGAGATGAAGGTTTCATTCATCTGTTCAATAGATGAATGAAAAATACATGAAGCTGTGGTTACCCAAGAGCTCTGATGGAGATGGACATGTTGATGAATGTTGGTTTCATTCATATACACAACATCAATTCTGCAGCTCATAAATCAAGAAATAATTTTGACTTTCAAGTCTTATTATTTAATAAATGCCTTTTATAATGCTATAGCTGTCATAGTGATTCTTATGAAGGATTTGGGTAAAGTACATTGAAAACCTTCTGGAAGGATTCATCATTCTAGAGGCAATTCAGAACATTTGTGATTCATAAAAGGTGGTCAAAATATCCACATTAACAGGAGTTTGGAAGAACTTGATTCCAACCCTCATTAATGACTTTGAGGGATTCAAGACTTCAGTAGAGAATGGAAGTGCAGATGTGGTGGAAATAGCAAGAGAACTAGAATTAGAAGTGGAGCCTGAAGATGCAACTGAATGGCTGAAATCTCATGATAAAATTTGAATGGAAAAGGAAAAGCCTTTTACAGATGAGTAGTTTCTTAAGGTGACATCTACTCCTAGCGAAGGTGCTGTGAAGATTGTTGAAATGACAACAAAGGATTTACAATATTACATAAACTTAGTTGATAAAGTAGTGTCAGGATTTGAGAGGATTGACTACAATTTTGAAAGAAGTTTTATGGTGGGTAGTAAAACTTCTTTCAAAGTTTTACCCTGCGTGCAGGATAATCTTTCATGAAAGGAAGACTCCATCACTGTGGTAAATTTCATTGTTGTCCTTTTTTAAAAAACTGCTACAGCTACCCCAGCCTTCAGCAACCACCACTCTAATCAATCAGCAGCCATCAACATTGAGGCAAGACACTCCACCAGCAAAAAGATTACGACTCACTGAAGGCTCAGATGACCATTAGCATTCCTTAGTAATAAGGTATTTTAAAACTGTTTTTTAGACATAATGCTATTGCACACTATATTATGGTATAAATGTAACTTTTAAATGCACTGGAAAACCAAAAAATTCCTGTAACTCACTTGACTGTGATATTCACTTTATTGCAGTGGTCTGGAGCCAAACCCACATTTTCTCTGAGGTATGCCTGTGTAACTACTTGACAATTATTTTCACCTTAAACAATTGTTATTTAAGGTAAATTTACTTGGTTATAGCCTGGTGAGTTGAGGCTAAAGTCAGGAATTTGATCCCTATCTAGGCCAGTTGTTTTTCGTCTTCAAAAAAAAATCACTGTATTCCTCTAAAATTCATTGAATGTCTTACCCATGTGTCCCCCTAGTCACTACAGTATCAGAAAAGGGAGTGTCACTGTTTCAAAGGCATTATCAAAACCAGGGAAAAATGACAAATTTGTAAATGCCAACTGTCAGTGGTGTGATCTTCATGTACTAAAGACAACACTTTTATAGACTGAAAAACCAACTAAACCCAGTTTCTGTTGCCACACTAGAGCTTGTTTCATCATTATCAACGTGAGAACCAATTTTTACTTGATATTGAGAATGTATGATAGGAGTAAACACATAATGATCTCTCTGTTCCCTCGCAATTCCTGGCTTCAGGTGCTTGGCTAGGAGGAGATCTAAGGTAAGAGAAAGGTGTTTCACCAGCTGAGTGCAGATGGAATGCAACAGTCAACTGTCATGGTGGCTTTAGTCTCCATTTCATGCCTTCTCATGTGCAGTTATATATAAGGCATAATTCTGGGGAACAGACTAAAGAAAAGCTCATCTCCCAAACCTAGGCTGTGGTAAAGAGACTTTCATTTATATCCATATTTTGGGCTTGTAGCTGCATGCCACCCTAAGTCTACTCTCTCTATTGGAACAACAACAATGACAAAAACACCTCACAATGTAAAGCTTCTGAAAGCTGGCTGACCTTGTAACCTACTTTGTAAAAAGTCTGCAGCCACAACTATTTGAAAAAATTCTCTTCAACCCTTTTAAATTGTTAATCTTACAAAAGACAGCTCCCCACAGGTCATCTTTCCTCAGGGTGGAAGCCATGGCACTGTAAGCTGTGGTCAAGGTTCGTGGCTCAGGACCCCATCAGCCTGCTTTTTAGCTCTCTGTTGCCTTTCATGAGGAATTCCTCATCTCCAGCCCACTCTCTCAGATTCTCTTGATGACCAGGGGATCTTTGGACTCTCAGCACCAACCCACTGGGCTATCTTTAAGCCAAAATTTGCCAGTCCTAAATCAGTGACTCCCGTCTTCCCCATAGTCACAGCTATTAGACATCAGCACATTTATTTAAATATGAAATGGCAGTTTTAATATTCTAAAAATTGGAGATTTCTATGGAAAAAGTTGTATTTTTTTTTTGATACGGAGTCTTGCTGTGTTGCCCAGGCTGGAGTGCGGTGGCACGATCTTGGCTTATGGCAAGCTCCACCTCCCAGGTTCACGCCATTCTCCTGCCTCAGCCTCCCGAGTAGCTGGGACTACAGGCACTCACCACCACGCCTGGCTAATTTTTTTTGTATTTTTAGTAGAGACACGGTTTCACTGTGTTAGCTAGGATGGTCTCGATCTCCTGACCTCGTGATCTGCCCGCCTCGGCCTCCCAAAGTGTTAGGATTACAGACGTGAGCCACCTTGCCCGGCCTAAAAGTTGTATTTAAAAAAAAAATAGAATATATCTTTACCTGTGACTGGACAAATGCTTATCATGTGTAATTTTATTATTTATTTTTATTATAAGCTGGTTGCATGTTTGATCCGTCCAGTACTAAAGCTTGGAAGCAATTATGTTTCTGCTCTGAGTGTGTGTGTCTGTGGTGTGTTTTTGTTTGTACACATGTATGTATAGCAGCCTGTTTTATCTGGGATTATTCTCAGTTATTTCTCTGCTTTGCCCCTCTTTTGTCTCTGCCACTCAAACCAATTTCAGCCATCTACCAACTCTCATTTGGGATAATAGCCTCTCTTTTTGCCATCGTCTTGTCATATTTGATTCGGCTGCACAAGGATTTTAAATTAGCCAAAATGTTTGCATGCTGGGCTCACTCTGCCGCCACGACTCATTGTGGAGCCACTGCACCACTTGATGCTGATATTGATGATTGCTCAGAAAAAAATAAGCAATGGCTGGTGGCTGTTGTAAAACTCATTTATGCCAAGCTCCTTGTACACACAGAGAGGGAAGAAGAGAGAGATCACCTGTTTTCCTGGCGCTTCCCCGGTCATCCTATTGTGCTGTGCCTGGCTCCCACTGGGAGATTACAGTGTTGGTAGGCCCGTGATTGTAGAAAGAAAAACAGTAAAAAGTAAAATAAAATAATAAAAGATGTGCAGTTAAATTCAATGGCTTACTGCTGATGGGTTTCAACTCACTGGTGAGACAGCAACCTAATTTTCTTGTTTTCTCTTATTCTTCCTGTCCTGAAGTTTTCTTTTTGGAGATGAACAGACAGATTCTTGAAACTTGTGGGTATAATAACAGAAAGGAAACTAGAGGAGAAGGAAGTTTTTGTTTTGTTTTGTTTCTAAAATTGTGCTGTGAATATGTCAGAATTGAGTCTTTACATTCTCCAAAACCTTCCTTAATTATTTTTGTTAGGTTTGAAAATTGATCTAATGATAAAAATATAGGTTTCCAATGTATCATTCTGGATTTCTTTCTTTTTTTTTTTTTTTTTTGAAATCGCAGCATCGGCTGTGTCCCTCACTCTGCACAAGCAGAACCTAGAGCTCCTAAAATATTTCACTTGATTGAGAGGTAAACACATAATTAAGCAGGTACTTTTTCTTAAACTCTGCTTTTTGATACAATGGGACTCTATCGAACTAGGGCCACATGATTTCAGAACAATGGAATAAAAAGTAGAAGCTTCAATAAATCAAGCGGTTTTGTTCTCAAGACATTAAAAAATCGCTTTAGCTAAGTTCCCTCATTAAATGTTGTGATATAAATATTACGGCTGTGTATTTGTTGAGCCTTGTTTGGCTGTTTGACCTGACTCCCGTTCCTGGTAGCCTGTAATTCTTTTAAGAGACTGGAAGTCGTCACCCACTTCATTGGCAGTTCTTTTCCATTGTTAAGTTAAATGGAGGTTTAGGCATCTTCTCTCCTCTCTCACCTCTGGTGGAATGTACCTCCCTTCCAAAACTGATGCCAACCTTTCCGGTTGTTAAAGTGAACTAAATATGGCCTGAGAAGGACTCCGTATTTCTATATTTGAGTCCTTGAGGACGAACTGCAACCTAACTTTATAAGTAGATGAGACTGAGAACCTAACTTGGGAGTGTGCGCCTGTAACAGGCTGGCCAATACCAGCAGCCGTGTCAGTGTCAACCACTCATACACTGTAGAGTGTTCAAACTGTGTTCAAATAAGGCAAATGCTGAGTGTAACCAGTCCAGATGTTTCTGTACCTCACTTCCGATTTCCGTACGTCACTCCCCTTTTTGTGTATATAATCTTCTTCCACCAAGTGGCTGCGCTGGAGTGTCTCTGAATCTGCTATGATTCTGGGGGCTGCCCGATTTGTGAATCACTCATTGCTCAGTTAAACTCCTTTAAATTTAATCAGCTGAAGTTTTTCTTTCAACACGGTGTTACCAAAGATTCAACTCTGATTATCAGTTGGTTCCTCCATTTACATGCCAAAGTTCTCTTATTCCAAAAACAAAGCAAACAGCAACAAAAAACTCCACAGCTGCCTCCCTTGCTACTGTCATTCCTTCATTATCAATTTTATCATGAAAATGTTTCATCTGCCTGATCTCCCCCTGATTATCATAGAACATTTTTTAACCGCTTGTAATCTGGAGTCTGCCTCCCTACTGTACTTCAATTGCTGTCTCTAAGGCTCCAATGACCCTCCAATCACCAAAACCGCTGACTGTCTCAGTGCTTTCTGCTGTATTTAATGGCCTTTTCCTTATCGACACTTTCTTCTTCTTTAGGTCTCATGAGCCTATCTATGCCTGACTTTCTCCCTGTTTCTTAGACAACATTTTGTTTTCAAATTGCTAGCATCTGTTGTTGTCATTCTTCCATGAGTAGGGCCTCAAAGCTCATATCTATGCATGCGATACCCAATTGTACATTCCAGTCTTGACCTGTCTTTTAATTTTCAACAGCACTTCAAGATGCTGGTCAAAGACAATCATTTTTCAAACATTTTTTATCTTCTTTTCCAGGTTATCACCTCCTGACTGTGATTTTGTTAATGACTCACTGTTTTACTCCAATATCCATCTCCATTGAAAAATACCTAAGTCATCTTTTAAAAAAATCAAAAATAAATGACTTTTCTTTATTTGTCCTTTATATTACGGGTAGAGTTATGTTGATTTTTTATTTTATTGTATTTATTTTATTTTATTAGAGACAGGGTCTCATTCTGTTGCCCAGGCTGGAGTGCAATGATGCGATCACAGCTCACTGCAGCCTCAAACTCCTGGGCTCAAGTGATCTTCCCGCCTCAACCTGCTCAGTAGCTGGGACTACAGGTGCAAGACACTGTATTTGGCTAATGTTTTTATTTTTTGCAGAGATGGAGTTTCACTATGTTGTCTAGGCTGGTTTCAAACTCCTAGGCTCAAGGAATCCTCCTGCCTCAGCCTTCCAGAGTGCTGGGATTACAGGAGTGAGCCACAGCACCCGTCCCTAAGTCACCTTTGACTCTAGCTCTTTCTCTTTCAACTTTATAGCTTGCAAAATGTGTGAACTGTACAATGTTTCATTTCACCCTCACTGCAGCGCTGTTGTTTGAACCATGGTGTCCCCGTGATAACTGTGCAGATGAAGAACTAGAGAGACTCATGGTCTCACCTCAGCTTTGATGGTCAATGCACTCTAAATGCCATTGCATAGGGAATAACTCCATAAGTGACAGTTGGGGTGCTCCTCGAGCCAGCCTCAACATATGTGCTATCCGTAGCATTTTACTGCCACTTGCTTGTTCTATGGAGCTATGCATGGGTAGCACAATGCTGGCAGATTTTCCCCAGCAAAATCTCTGAAGAACACTTTTCAGATGAACAGTGATATATGGTAGCCTGAGGGCAGCTATACTCAGAGAAATGTGGTAATTGGATTAACCACCTTGATTTAGACAGATGATCTTTCTCTCCCCTAAATTTAGCCTTAAGCGGTATCTATTGGCTGCTCTTTTTAAAGAGGAGTAGGAAAAGAACAACAAATGATGGTACTAATTGGCTAATTTTGTGTGTCAAATTTGTCACAGAAACGATGAATCTGGATCTTGAAGAAGGACCAAACTACCTAGAAGCACTAAAGCATCAACATACCATAAAGCCTACAAATCTACAAGCAGATATCTTGTAATTATTAGTACAGATAGCCCAGGAAATTGTAGCTAATGCTAGTAACAATACATACAGCCTTGGAACTGGATATCAAATGCTGTGGATCTGACTGAATTCTTATGACTAAATTGATTTCCTCACCTTACACGTTATTTCTAAATTACACATTTTCAAAACACTATGTGGTTGAATAATTCTTTTATAACATTTGAAGTGTAACATTGGGTGTTTTTTTTTAGAAAATATGCAATTTTCCTTGCAGAACGGTCAATCCATAGGTAATTTCTTGAGCACTTACACTGTGAAGGATCCTGACACGCTGACTCTGCTGGAACTGCAAGTGTTAGTGCAGTCAATGCCTTGGAATTGTTCAGTACTGCTGTAATTCTCCTAAATCTTGGAGAATTTTGGGTGTCCTACAGAGAAAAAAAAATAAAATTAATTTACAAAGCATGATGGCAGTAGAGGAATTTTTTTTTTTTTTGACTGAGTCCCACTCTGTCGCCCAGGCTGGAGTGTGGTGGCGCAATCTCGGCTCACTGCAACCTCTGCCTCTGGGATCCAGGGATTCTCCTGCCTCAGCCTCCTGAGTAGCTGGGATTACAGGCACACATCACTACATCTGGCTAACTTTTGTGTTTATTTTTGTATTTTTAGTAGAGATGGGGTTTCACCATGTTGGCCAGGCTGGTCTCGAACTCTTGACCCCAGGTGATCCACCTGCCTTGGCCTCCCAAAGTGTTAGTATTACCGGCATGAGCCACTGCACCCAGCCAGTAGAGGAATTTTAAAAAGAGTAGAGGGAAATCAGGTAGGCTTGTCTCCTCCCAGACTTTGGTGAGTTGGGTGCACCACCAGATGGGCCAGTTTACTCTGTTAGCAAATGTGGCCATTTTGCTGAATGAGCTTGCAGGGTTTCGTTCAGAGTTGTTGAATGTAAGATGCTCCTCAGGCAGTTGCTGTTTATGTAAAGGGTTATACAACATGACCCTGAAGCAGGATGACATTTCAGCAGGTGACTTGTCTCTAGCTCTCCTGGATTAGGAGAATAGTGCTAGTGTTCTCCACCTACCGGAGAAACCTGGCCAAGACTAACAGTCAAAAGGAACTTTCAGTTCAGCTTAGCAGCGTCAGTCAATGTTGAGCAAGGAATTCCTGGAAATGTATATGATAATTGTCCTTTTGTCCATCTAATGTTTTACTTTTTGCTAAAATACCTGCTGTTGCTGAGTAAAGATGAAGGTGGCCTTAAAAGTAAGTGGGTACAGTGAGGGAAAAAATTAATCAAAATGATATTAAATGTACAATGATTCATTGTAAATGAGCTATTGTGTAGCGCTTGCTCATAAGACAAAATGCACTGCCTTGTTTGGCATTAGCATATTGCCAGTTGTATAACATGAGAGAGCCCAGAGGGACCTGTGGGCACCCTGAAGTCTCTGTGTAGCAAAATAAAGCATGAAGAATCATTTGCAGACAGGCAGCTCTTGGCTATCTACCCAGGAGAAGTGTAGCAGCATCTTTGGGGAAAAAAGAACAATAAATAATAGTCTTCTATTTTTAAAAAATGTATATATATTTACATGTAAGTGCCCAGTGACTTGCAAACATCTTTCTCCTCATTCTTGGGCTTTATTTTCACCCCATTTCTGACCAGGCCCCACATTTGAAAACCAAAGAAGGTCTTAGTAATCAGGAATCCTGGTTTTTCTCACTTCATTGCCTGGAAAATTTTTTGTAAAGGATCAGGAATTGGCTATATCCAAATGCATATCATGTTGTATTTAGTAGGAATTATCTAAATTTTTTATCTAATATTAATAGTTTACCTTAAGTAATGTCGCATTATTCACGATTTCTATTAGTATTTAGTAATCTCTTTCTCTTCTTTCCTTCCTCCCTTCCTCTCCCTCTTTCTCTCCCTCTCCCCCTGCCTCTTTCTCTCTCTCTCTTTTTCTCCTCCTCTTTCCTCCCCCCGTTGAATGAGAGGCTGAAAAACCTTTGTTTTCCCTTGTTTTCCTCAGAGCTCTGTCTCCTCAGGCTTCATTTGGTAAAAGCGAGTTTAGATGAGATAATTTTAGTTCTTTGTGTGAAGCTATTTTTAAATGTAATTTTTGCTAATAATGCAATTAGTTGTGGTTTTTGCATAATTTGCAATAAGGTGATGAAGTTTAAGAAGCTTCATTTTATTTTAATTAACAGTTGATCGGTGCTAATAACCAAGCCTCTGCTAACAACACCAGCTTTAACTCTTAAAAAATATGCACCAGACACGTAACTCCTCCTCCTCCTTCCCCTCCCCCCTTTGAAATATTTAATAAGAATGCCATGTATAAAATTACCCTGTTGGAGAGAACAGGAGCTGCATCCCAATATAGATCACAGTGGAAAATCACTCAAACATTGTGTGATGCGTTTCCTCCCCCAACCTCCCCACCTTGCCCCTTTCCTTCCTCTCCTCCCCCTGCTCTTTTCCAATTGTCTGTCTCATAGTTCAGTTGTAGGAGGTGAGAGCACGCCCAGGCTTGGGGGTATTATGACATTTCAGTTTACTGTTCTTAACAATTCCTTTGCACATTCCATTAGCACATTATTTATAGCCTCATAAAAGCATCCCTTTTTTTTTCCTTCTAACATTATCCCTGTATCTCCGATGATAATGCTATCTGAGGATCGAACAGTTATTTTTTAAAAATCTATTCCCTAAGTTGACTCCTCATTGGCTCCCGCTATCCAGCCTCCCCTCCTGTCACACTTAAAAGTCTGCCCACAAATCCTCTCAAGAGACATGGCTCAAATCTAGCGGGTGAAAAAAGTCTGAGTGAGGCTTGGAGCCAAGATCCTGCATCTTACAACCTGCAGTTTCTGAGGCTTCCGAGAGCCCTGAACTCCAGATGCTTGTATAAACAAGACTTCCTAGAAGTCATTACCTCATAACTCCTCATAAGCTTACACCTGACAAGCCTCTCAAAGCGAGAGGGCTGTGTTTTCCCTAATAAATTCCTTTTTGAACCCACTTGTTAGTCAAGCGTTGTGCACACTAACTACAGAAAGGACCCTGTGCCTTGGGCATAAATTATTCTTCTGTGCCACTGTTTCTGAGCACCCCCCAGTTATGGATTACTTCGTTCTCGACTTGACAGGAACATAATTAGAACTGTTGATGAAATCTACCAAATTGTTCCTCCGTGGCCTCAGTGGTCAGGAAATTTGGCTGAGTCGTATTTGTCACCGATGTGGAGGCTCTAAACACTTCATATTAACTACGTTATTAATGTGCCCTCTAATCTGCCCATGAATTGGTAACACTTGAAGTGAGCCTGGCCCTAATGGCACCTTGCAATGAATGCATTGTAGGCCCGCATTAAAAGTTTCAGCAGGGAGAGGATGTTAATAAAATTCCTGTGTGTGTGCATGTGTGTGTGTCTGTGCTGTCAACGCCTTGATGCTTCCATTTAGAAACATGATATTGCTTAGGCCTTTGCTGATACCAGTTTGTGCATTGTCAAGTTGGCTGGTATTTTAGCCACTGCTTTGTTCCATGAATCCCCCTCCTGAGGTGAGAAGGCAGTGAGGTAGGGTGGTTAAGAACGTGGCATTTCAGGCCGGGCGCGGTGGCTCACACCTGTAATCCCAGCACTTTGGGAGGCCGAGGAGGGTGGATCATTCGAGGTCAGGAGTTTGAGACCAGCCTGGCCAACATGGTGAAACCCCATCTCTACTGAAGATACAAAAATTAGGTGGGCATGGTGGCAGGCGCCCATAATCCCAGCTACCTAGGGGCTGAGGCAGGAGAATCACTTGAACCCAGGAGGCGGAGGTTGGAGTGAGCCAAGATGGCGCCACTGCATTCCAGCCTGGGCAACAGAGTGAGACTCCATCTCAAAAAAGAAAAAAAAAAAAAAAACTGTGGCATTTGGAGTGAGGCAGGTCTGGGTTGAAGTCCTAGCTTTTGCCCTTACTATCTACAGGTTTCTTAAACATGCTAACTTTGTTATGCCTCATTTTTTCCATCAGTAAAATGAGAATAATAGTATCTAACTTATAGGGTAGTTGTAAGGAACTAAATGGAGACACCTCTGAAAGAATCTTGCACAGTATCTGGTCGGTAACCAGTGAATGGCCCTTTCGTGTTGATGGTGATGGGGGTTAACAATTGCCTCACCCCTCTTGTCCTCAAAGATTTCTTGCTGTAAATGTGTGTATGTTCATACACACACTCCAGGTGTGTCAGGAGCTCTGGTGCTCTTCAGGTAACAGTTATAGTACTGGAGAAAGAATAAACTTCACAGGTTAGCAAAACAAAGGGGCTGTTGGCTGTAAATTGATTTTCACAGCCATTCTATCAATACGATTCATATTTACTGAGATAGCTTAATCTTCTAAAATACAGGAATAAAAGAAATGTCACTTAAAGACATACATATGTCCTTGTATCCTAGTGTTTTTCATATCTTTAATAAGGACTTGAGACCCTTCTCTGTGTAATGCTGCACATAATAAGATATCCCTAACCATGGGGCATTGAGACATGAGTGGGTTGACAAATGCTCACTGAAATGTGCACCATGATCAATTATTATAAATACCACACAGACTAGGATGATAAGTTAATAAAAGAGAACGGGTAAAAGATGAACCACTAGCAGAGGACATATGGGTTCTAGCATCAATGAGAACACAGCAACAAAGTTATTGGTCACTGAAATATAGCCTTTGGTTTCATCTGTTAACTAGGCATGAAAAATTAAAAACCTAACATTTTATGACAAGTTGTTCTTTGGGGGTTTATTCCCTGTGCCCGAGTTTTCTACTTGTAGAAAATACAAATGCCAGTACTTGTAGAGACAACAAATAATCTCTAAAATATTAAGGTAAAGATCATGGCGAAGGTGTGTATTCTGGTCACATGATTTTGATCTTCCTTGTTTTAAATATTTATAAAACTCTTACTATTGTTATGTGCTTTTAATAAGAGCCCTCTGATACAGGAGCTGTTGGCATCTCCACCAGGCAGATGTGGTAACATATGAAACCTGGTCTCCTTCCATCTCTGTGAAGGAAGCGCTTTGCAAAAAACCCAACTAACCAACCAAACGAACAGGTAAATAAATCCATGCATTAAGGTACTTTCAGGGTTTTAAACCCAAACCAACCAAACAAAAACACAGCTTGTTTTCAATCCTTAAATTTGCAGAATATATATACAAATTTTGCTCAATAAATTACTGTTAAGTGTCACAGGAATCCATTTCCATAATAGCTAGGAGGACTACGAAGATCCCAGGCTCTCCTCTCTCTGGGAAATTGCTCCCAGGTGCAAGCTCTGGTTCTTTCTTGAGCTTGAGAGAAATGTTCAATCCTTGATAGTTTCAACCAGGAAAGAGTTAGTTTTAAGCAGAGAATAATGAACAATGAAATGGTAGGAAATGATTTGTGTAGGCACACTACTGAGAGGTAGAGATGCAAAGAAAATTCAGAAGTTCACAATTTTTCTTGTATGTGAGTACCAGTTTCCAGCCTATGAAATTCTGCTCCTCTTTCAAAACCCTAATTCAAATGCTACCTTATACATTAAGTCTTTCTTGATTCAGATTCTATTTGGAAATAAGCTTACTCTTCCCCAATTTCCCTTCCCATTTAACTTGTATTGTGGTTATTTACATGGTTCTATTAGGTCCTACGTGACTGTGAGTGACTAGCTTTTATTTGCCCTTCATTTTATCCATACATCCTACTTGATACTGTATGCACCATTGCATACCCTTTCTTTCATTTGTACATTTGACCAATTCGTGAGATAGAATACGTATACAAACTGTCAATTTAAGAGGTCAAATGAATTACATGAAATAAGTTTTATATTTATGAAGAGGGAAAAATTATGGATAGCTAGAGAATTTTAAAGAACTTCACTTGCATACGAAGACATAGGTCATAATTATTCCTGTTTTATAGATGATGAAATGGGGAGGCTGAATTACTCCAGGTCATGTAGTTAGTGAGGGATAGAGCTAGGATTTATCTCAGCATTCCCTGCAGTTATTGTCAGATGCTAGAAATCAGAAGACAAACCAGAGCAATGAATAAATACAGTGTAACTATGGATCACATTTGAATATATTTTAAAAACCAGGACAGAATAAGGTGAGTGTCTTAATACAATAAGGGAGAACATTTTACAGACTTCTTTTTCACTAAAATCAGATCAGTATATCACTGTTATTTTTAAACTAATTCTTTTAGTAACAATATAATGCATATCTACTGTAAAATATTTTAAGAATAAAAAACCTGGAGAAGAAAATGAAAATCACTCATTATTCCATTACATACAGAAAGCCACTGTTAACATTAAGTATAAATAATTTTTTCAGGCTTTTTCTATGATCATAATCTGTAGATCTGAACTGTATTTTTCTTTTGGTCTTGAAGCAATCAATGCTTCTGTATCAATGTCTGTGATGGACAGCAGGGATCACCCCCCTGCTCATATAGTTGGGAAAGAGAGATGAGCTTAAAGGGCCCTCATGAAAATTGTAGATACTGAAGGTCACTTCACGTGATCAACTGATTATTGCAGAGCTTACCAAGCCCTTCTATAACCAAAGTGTGTAAAACTGTGAAGGAGCAATTTCAGATTCCTTTCTGAACCAAAGTCCAGAGTAATACTAACGTCATTCTAGCTAAAGACTCTGGGATCAAATCTGAAAATGGAATTTGTGTAGTATGGCCTAAAATTAAGACAAAGACTTTTGGACTCAGAAAGATTCAATTCCTTACCCCTCACTTTCCTTATCTGAAAAATAGAGTCAATGATATTCACCTCCAAGGCTTATTAGTATAGGGATGAAATTAAACCAGGAAATGTTTTATAAATTGAGAAATATTTATAAGAACAATTTCTCATTATATTCAATAATATTGTAATAATCTAATAATGGTATTCTAACAATAGCATTATTGTCAGTAACCTCTGCTTATCACCTATCTTGACTTCTGAGTTGGGTTGTAAACTGTGCTGATAATGGCTGGTGAGCCCAGATCATGCAGCTAACACTCAAAGCTCAAGGTCAGTAGGTGTACCAGCTCTCATTATTCTACACTGTACGTTTGATCCTGATACTACATTTCATCATACCATTTATTTACCGGTTCAGATAAATATATTATATTAGATTGTAACTTTATCTAATGTGCATTGACATACTGATTGCATGCCGTCCGTATGTCCCTATGGGTGTGTGTGTGTGTTTTTTTTTTTTTTTGTCCTTAAACAATTTGCTTGGTTCATAGTGACTTGAGCACTTTATCATTAGAACTTAGTTTAAATTCAAAGTAACTCTACCTGCCTGTCCGTTACATCTTTGAAGATGAGAATTTTAGATAAACTTTGCTGCTCCTCTAGTTTTGTTAGCAAAGAAAATACAAGCAACTTGAGTGGGAGTTTGTACTCCCAACTTGATGCTACAAAGTCAACATTGATTGACCCGTCAACTCAGACAATACGTGGACTTCATTGGTTGGGAGGTTTTTGCCACTGAAGAACTAATAGATTTAGTTTAAATCTGGATAAATCAGAATGGGAAGCCCATCTGCCTGCAACTATGTATCTTTCAGTAGTGCTGGGCTGAAGATTCCCTGTCATTACATTTCCAGAAGGACCTTGTTAGGATGCTAATGCTAAGGAATCATGTGACCTCCAGCTCTTCTCAGACTAGAATGCTTTGTAGAGCATAAGCAATCTCAACTGGTTCATAGCCCAAGGCTGCCCAGCTTACCACTACATACACTTCTAGCATCCATAGGAATCAAACTTATTTGTCTTGTGCATTTATTAACTTATTTCTCTTTCCCATTCGTCTTCCATTTAAGTTATATTAATTTAAATATAACTTAGAACTCACTACCTCAGATTTTCTGGCTGTGCCTTCCTTCTCTCAGCCTCTGAATTGTTGCTAAAAAAAAATTCAAAGGGCTGATTTCTTTTACGATGATATATTGCATTTGCAAACCTCCTTATCTTTGCCTGCTTTATCCCAGCGGACACTTACAACAACCCAATTTGCCTATTACTGTATCCACATTGTATTGTTTTCATTAGGACATTTAAGCAATATTCAGCTGTATAACCAATGTGTGATGGAGCTCAGTTCCAAGCACTGTTCTTCTGAGGCTTAGGCCAATGATTTCTCTATTCAAACATTTCCTTAAGGGGCAGGAAGGTTGTGGAAGAAGGACTTGTCTCTGGGCCCAGAAGCTTTCACAATTGACATGTAGAGGTAATGATGCCTGCATTTCCTGCATACTTTGACATGAAGAGGGGAAGAGGGCTCACCATTACTGAAATGATGTTTATGGTGTGGGACTAGAAACTGATGGCAAAGGGAAGCTCTGGTAAAAAACAAGCAGATGGATCAAGTCTTCAAGGACAGGCCTCTGTCACTGTGACACATTCTGTAGACTACAGACCTCCTGATGTAGTGAATTCTCTGTCTCCAAGCAAGACTACATGCAGACAGATAGTGATTATATGTTTTTAAAACATTGTTCTTCACCTAGTAAGGCAAGGCAGGTAGACAGCAAACTCAATGTGGTTCATGGTTCGTTACTTCCCATCTTCATTTCTCAGATAAAAATCTGCGACAAATTTGCCATAATAAGACACTAGTTTGGTAAACTGGCAAGTGCCTTGCAGCATTTCTTGTGAGGAGCATATGCTAATGGATGCTTGTATTTGAAAGGATGACTCACAGTTAATCATTATAAGAAATAGGCTTACCACTTCATAAACTCTAGGAAAGACTGTTTTCTAAACATTTAAATTGCTCAGCCATTTTATGCATTAAAACCCAATTATAACTTAGTATGTTGGAGAATTTCAAAAGCTATTCCCTGCAGGATCTGTGCCTAAGACTACATTTTATCATTCCGTAGTTCACACTCTGTCTAATACAGGCAAAAAAAAAAAAAATTAAAATGACTATTTATTATTATTATTTTTATTTTTTGAGAGGGAGTCTCACTCTGAAGCCCAGGCTGGAGTGAAGTGACACGATCTCCACTCACTACAACCTCCCCCTCCCCTGTTCAAGTGATTTTCCTGCCTTAGCCTTCTGAGTAGCTGAGATTACAGGCACCCACCACCATGCCCGGCTAATGTCTGTATTTTAGTAGAGATGGGGTTTCACCATGTTGGTCAGGCTGGTCTCAAACTCCTGACCTCAAATGATCTGCCTGCCTCGGCCTCTCAAAGTGCTGGGATTACAGGCATGAGCCACCGTGCCCAGCCTAATAAAATAACTTAAAACACAGCAAGACACTTGAAAAGATGTTGGGCGTTGCTCCCTAATGCGGCCCTAGGAAATGTAGGGGAAAGAAAGTCATTTTACAGATTTTCTGGACTTTGCTTCATCATTACTGGTGATTATATCAGAAAAAAAGATAAATAAGAAGAATGCATTGTAGTTGGAACCTGCCCTCAAGTACTGTAGAGCTCAGCCATGTCCATTTTGTGAAGGGTATATACAAAACAGACTTCCCTTTCATTGCAATGAAAGGCAGTCAGTCAGTAGCTAAGGATGTGAATATGGCTTTAATCCTTTCTGCACTATAAGTTATAAAATCATAGGCCAGGAGCCAGTAGAAGTTTTGAAATTTTCCTGAGAAACTATTTTAGTCTAATGCCTTGCATCTTGTAAAGAAAGCTTGCATTCCTATCAGAAATGGGTGGCTCTATTAAGTCTGAAATGAGAAGATAAACAGTTCTGTCGAATTAGAAAACCTGAAAGTTGAGACAAGCTAGAATTCAATGTGTTTGTCAGCCTAGAAAGGAAAATGGAAATAAAGTTAAGTGATTTAAATTTTTAAAAAAGAATGAGTTTTCTCTTGTGTTTTTCCTTTTAGTGCCAAAAGGAAACCCATATCCAAGCAGTAACTAAAGTAAGATTATGAAATTCCAAAGGAAGAATGAAACCCAGCATCTCCACACCACTGCAATACCAATCTCCAAAGAAACACAGATATTTTCTTCCTAAACACAAAGAAAACAAAACAAAGAATCCATTAGTTTCACTTGAGAATATTTTATGCAACCTTATATACAACAGTACTGTGGCCTCTTTCTCTAGCTATCAGTATAAAACAATCAATTGATTTCATCATTGTAAATACATTAAATAGTAAAATAATTATCTATTAGAGTTGAAAGAGGTCTTTGCATCCAGTCTTACTCCCTTCTCTTACAGATTCAAGACTTTGGAGCTTAGGAAGGGTCTGTGACTCATGCAAATTCTTTCAGATATTGGGAATATTGAGATGAAATCCGGCACCGAGATGTTAGTCGAAGGTTCTCATCACAGGATAGCTTTCTGAAATACCTTTCAGTTTGGGAGGAAATAGGAGAGCTGGAAGGCTAAGCTACAAGTCGAAGACATTCTTTCCCTTTTCTAATTGGGTAAACTCATCTTCAATCTCAACAATAAAAATTAAAAAAGAAAACAAAGCAAAACTATTAGATGGGAGCATTGTTTTTGGAACCTTGTCTAAAATTAGTACAGTGTCTTCTATGTGGAATCTAAATGAAGATAAGCATCTGGGTTGTATGGCTTCCTTATCAATCTGTAAGATTGTATTAAGGTTCCAAATAATACTGAGATTTGCTAAGTAAAGTCCTACTTGTCAATAGCTTCTCTTGTTGGATATTTAAAGTTCAAGAGCTTTGTTTGCTTTAGTTAAGTGCTCTGAAGTGTTTCAACAGCTATTGGCCCATTTATATAAACAAATGAAGGAACCTGAGACTCAGGAGTAGCAGAAATCCTTGATGACTTAAAGATAAGCCTTCCACACACCTGCCTAATTCACTTTGTTACATAACAACAGGTGTGTGCCAATGGATTTGCCTTGGAGAGGAGGACTGGGAAACATATTTACCACTTTAAGGCCATGATTCCTTCTTTAAATTTATTGATTTGTGAGCATTTTTGTTAAGAAGTACAATGACAACCTTGATGCCATTATTTGTTTTCAAGAGATAAATTTTCTTTGGTTGTTGGTCATCTCTTTTACAGTTGAGACAGTTTTAGTTTTTCAGCTGGGTTTGGTAATTGATTTCCTCCAACTGTTAGCTATTTTGTATAGATTATTATCTATTCAGACTTTAATTAGAGAGTATCGGTATTTATTTCTTAATGAAATCGCATTTTGCAACAGTGACTTTTAGAACAGCTACTTGGACAGAGCTGCATATTTACATGTAGGCTGGGCACAGTACATTTCTATGCAGAGGTTGAAATTCACCATCAAATTATTTCATTTCATACAACTCTAAAAGAAAAATACATCTCCATCTTTATAGAGAAATGTAGAAGGTCCCAATCTGAGATACTGTGATTTATCATGTCAGAGTTACCAAATACTTAAAAGATGAATACGTTTGTGACAAAGATCTAACCCCCCTTCTGCTTGGCCAGGCAATGGAGAGTTACCTAGGGACATCAGAATATGGAGGTCAGCATCCCAAGCTTTGAACCCACGTAGAGCCAGTTTTAAAGCCCAGCTTTTGTATGTGAGTAGTTGTGTGACACTGCACTATAATACTATCCACCAGAAAATAGCACTGTAAGACACAAGTGAGATAGGCATTAGGTTGAATCATAAGGAAATTTCATTTTTAAAATTTTTTAAATGTTCTTATTGTTTTTTAAATTAAATTTTATTTATTTATTTATTTATTTATTTATTTATTTATTTATTTATTTATTTATTTTTCCTGAGGCAGGTTCTTGTTCTGTCGCCCAGGCTGGAGTGCAGTGCTGTTATCATGGCTCATTCCAACCTCAAACTCCTGGGCACAAGCCGTCCTCTCACCTCAGCCTCCTGAGTAGCTGGGACTACGGGAATAGGCCACTACACCCGGCTAATTTATACATTTTTATAGAGACAGGGTCTCACTATGTTGCCAAGGCTGCTCTCAAACTCCTGGGCTAAAGTGATCCTCCCACCTTGGCCCCACAAAGCCCTGGGATTACAGACAGGAGCCACCGTGCTTGGCCTAGGAATTTTTAATATTTAACCATTAAGATCCCCACAAATAAACCCCCACAATTTCAAATGGTTCAGTGGGATGGGTAAAATATTTAGAATATTTCCCAGCAAATAGAAAATCCCACTAAATAGAGACCGCAAAACAGGGAAAGTATGGTCTGGAAGGTGGGAAACTGCACGTCCTAGTGAGGGTAAATGGACACATTTGTCCTGGAAGGAGGGAGCAAGTAAGGTAAGAGCGGTGACAACCGTAGTTACCAATGGCTTCTCTTTCCAACTGTTTATGTCACTTGGCCTAACCCTATGTATTCTTATTAGCTCAGACTTTGTTTTTTTTAAATACATTAACACACATGCAGCTGAATCTATAAAACTAGGTCAGGCTCTGAAAACTTCGTAATGTAGTTTATTCCTGTTCTAGAAATATTTTCAAAAAGTCCAATAAAATATGATCAGTCCACAAAGGCAGGGAAAGCAAAGTTCGTGCAACCATAAAGAGGATAAGTAGACAAGAGAAGGAATGCTTTCATAGGAAAGGGAAGACAAGCCTTCATGAATGGAGTTGGTGTTTGGTATAGAATTTAAAGGTTAGCAAACTTTTACTACTTTCTCTGCCCCATCATATGTGACACCCTTGACCTGTTGTCTACAGTTATAAATAGCAGGTAATTTATTAACCCTAATAAGAACGGGTGGCTAATTGCAAAGCAATGTATTGTTTGTTAGAGGCTTTAGCCAAAGGCTGGATATACTCAGCAAAGAATCTCAGAGCAGCTGAACCACCTGCTGTGGGTTGACACATCTTGGTTCACACAAGAACTTGAGAACACTCCTGAATTTTTGAATGAGTGCCTAGAGTCGAAAGGCTTACTGGCATGGGAATTTGAACTGAAAAAAAAAGATGATATCATGTCGTAGATAAGATCACTGTGTCATGATCAGAATTGAGGAGTTTGCTCTGACATAAGGCAGAGGGAATGTCAAAGACATTATGTTTGATTTTTCCTACAATTTACATAACCCTTTATGAGTTGTTTCTCTTTTCTTCTTGCCATTCATCACTCCATATTTTGAATATTTTTTTCTCAAGCTATTTCATGTCTTTAAAGGGGAATGTAAGAATAAACTTAAAACATTCAATAAAGAATAGAAGGAAGAAAACTGAATTCTCAGTTTATCTCGACTCTGAAATGTATTATGTATTGTGAGTGTTGAATGAAAATGGTGCACATCACTGCTACACAAATGACAAAAGTCTGGAATATGAGAACTTCCTTAAAATTTTTCTTTTTATTTAAAATCTTACCAGGCTATGTTTTTATACTTATTAAATTTGGATGTAGTGAGATCTCTCTCTGTAAAGAAACGCTTATTTTCTCCCCTAAATGGAATGATGAACGCTTCTTCTCTCCTCTGCCATATGCCCCTTTGAAGAGTTACATGTCTCTCTATTACTTGGCAATAATGGGAATTTTTATTTCTACAGTTGTATTGTTTTGGTCTGCTCCATACCCTGTAAACATTTCCATTGTTCTACAAAGCTGTGTACTCTTTTCTGTTAGGGTCAGTGTTTTAGGTGGGAAAACAGGCTGGTTTTCTCCACTTTATTTTCTAAAATGGTGTTACATCCCTCTGCTTAGGATTATTAATATTAACAAACCATGTCCACAACTGGTAGAATTGTCTAATTTGAATAGTGAACTGAAAAACACTGAACATAGCCAAAATAAAACATTTAACTAGCTTCCATCAATTCAATGACAATGACAAAAAAAAAAGTACTAAATACCCACAAAGTACAAAGAACTGTGATCAGTATTGCAGGAGAGAAAATAATGGAAAAAAAGACTCAGCCTTTGCCCTGAAAGGACTTAATCCCGTAAAAGACATGCTTATATGGCAAAGGACCATTCCATGAAGTGAAATGTGATTTGGGCCATAAGAAATTTGCTGTTAACATTAGCACAAAGTAGGGATCAATGCTTTTGGGTGAATGGAAAAGAAAGTCGCTTAAAAAAGGAAGAAGATATACAGAAAACTTTAAAGAATAGGAAGGATTTGAAGTAGTTTTTGTTTTGTTGGTTTTCCTCCTTGTTGTGAGACAATAAAGGGTCATTAATGAAAGAAATAAGCATATGCAAACAAACCGAAAGAACAACAGATGCTGGCGAGTTGTGGTTGTGGAGAAAAAGAAACACTTTTACACTGTTGGTGGGAGTGTAAACCAGTTCAACCATTGTGGAAGACAGTGTGACAATTCCTTAAAGATCTAGAGGCAGAAATACCATTTGACCTAAAGGAATATGAATCATTTTATTATAAAGATATATGTACACGTATGTCCACTGCAGCACTATTCACAATAGCAAAGACATGAAATCAACCCAAATGCTATCAATGATAAACTGAATAAAGAAAATGTGGTATATATACACCATGGAATACTATGCAGCCATAGAAAAGAATGAGATCATGTCCTTTGCCGGGACATGGATAGACCTGGAAGCTGTTATCCTCAGGAAACTAACACAGGAACAGAAAATCAAACACCACATGATCTCACTTATAAGTGGGAGCTGAGTGATGAGAACACATGGACACATCGGGGGAACAACACACACTGGGGGCTGCGGTAGGTGGAAGGGAGGAAGTGAGAGCATCTGGAAGAATAGCTAATAGTTGCTGGGCTTAATACCTGGGTGATGGGATGATCTATGCAGCAAACCACCATGGCACACATTTGTCTATATAACAAACCTGCATATCCTGCACATGTACCCTGGAACTTAAAATGAAAGTTGAAGGAAAAAAAAAAAGAAACCCACAGCAGCCACTGGAAGATAGCTGCTAATTCTTGGCAATGAGGGCATGAGCTAAGAGGATGAGGACCATGCCAGGCATCTTGTTGAACAGGGCATCTGATGACCAGTGTGCCGTTTCTTTTTCCTAGAGTGTCAAGTGCCCTCCAGAAGTGCCCATGCCAAACCAGATGATGGTTCCTTATTCCTCTACAATTTTCTAGTCCTTGTTACAATATTGAATAATGCCTGATAGGCACTCTCATCTCCCTGCAAGGGAAGGTGAGTGAAGCAAAAATAAAATGCCAACCTTAGCTCTTCTCAGTATTTAAATGCAATATTATATTATAGTATCAATCCATTCATTGGTAATGAAATGACAAAAAACGTCACTTCATTTCCCCCCATCAATAATGACAACTTTTCTTCTTCCCAAAAAGCTGTTTCAGGAGGTTTTAGTGGGATGAATAAATGTATTCCTTTTTAACACTTTTGTTGTTTAAAAATGCTATTGTTTCATTTGAGGTGTGAGGAAATGTGCTAACCCTGTCATTGTTGGTGCAGCAGTGCAGAAATGATAACTGTATATAGTTTTTTCTTTTTACAAAAATAGAGAGGAGCAAGAAGGAGACAACTTATTTAAATCCCGAATACAGTCAGACCTCATATGCATTGTTAAAAAAAAAAGCCCTGAAGAATTGCATATGGATTAGAGGGATGAATATTCTATTATTTCAGTCTGTTCTGCTGATCTTCTTATTGTGACTTTGTGCTTCAGAAATCTGCTAGGAATTTGGCTTTGCCGTAGTAGGCAGTAATTTTAAATGTGTATCAAGCACTTGATAGTGTATGATTTGCGTGCTGTTGCATTCCTATTCCCTAAATTTTCCACCAATTTATTACTTTTTTCATACTGTTTTAATATTTCAGGATGATGAATATATACAGCATCATTAAAGGTAAATAAAAAATGCATGAAATTAAAAAATGGAATATTAGATGTTTCTTTGCTGTAATCCCTCGGCCCAATAGGAATGAAATGTCTCTGTTCTGTCGAGTAATCCCTAAACATGATTAGGAACCTGGGAGTGTCCACACAGCCCACATAATATTTGTATCATCTAAGCCTATTTATGTAAGGTTTGAGTAAAAGTTGTTATTAGAAGACCTATAAACCCATTTTACAATTCCGAAAGATATGCTTGCCTCTTAATCTTTTCTACCTTTATTATTTTTCCTGGAGTTGATGACAATGTGTTCCTAATTCATTTTTCAGAATGCTATTATGGTACATCTTTTTCATACTCAGATGATACATTGGCTATTCTATTGAAATACATTTTTAAGACCACAGATTGAGTTCAGCAGTTCATTTGCATCTGGTAGCTCTTTTCTCAATATTTGTAGAAAGGAGAAGAGTTCATTTCCTAGGGTCTTTTCACAACTTCCAGACATTATTTGAATGTGTGTTTAGGGTAAGTTTTGCCAAAATATTTCGCCTTTTAAGAAAGTCTGCTCCATATTGACCCACAAAACCTGTGTTTTTTTTTTTTTATCATTTTCTTTCTTTAATAACAATGGTTTGCACTCTTTGATGCTTTCCTACAAAATTGTTTAAATTTGGTTGTGATATTTGAAAGAAGGCGGTCAGTGTTTTCTAATGAGAATATCTGGTTACTGAAAGTTTAAGGAATGTTTTCTCTAAACCTTGAGTAGGATAATGAAACCGTGATAGATGCCCCACATTGTTTGAATCACTTATTTGGGAAGATATTTTTCTTTATTAGCAAATCTTCAATGTTTGCCTTCTTTGAAAGCCTTCTTTTTAGGGGGACTTGTTTCAAAACATCTTAAAAGTCGTATGTATGATTCGTTTATTTCTCTTCCCTTCAATGAGATTTTAGTGGATACAAAGCATCTCTTAACTCAGTTTAGATCTTTTAAATGTGCAAATATTGATCTAGCAACTGCATGTCAAAACTCTTGAATTTCAGGAAACTTAGGCATGCACCATTTGCAACTCTATTCCAGATATGT
Source organism: Homo sapiens (assembly GCF_000001405.40). Taxonomy (NCBI): domain Eukaryota; kingdom Metazoa; phylum Chordata; class Mammalia; order Primates; family Hominidae; genus Homo; species Homo sapiens. Next base: position 216,816,576 of record NC_000001.11, on the reverse strand, counting down.
TAAAGTACTCGGGTGTGTTTCTTAGAGTGTGATTCTTTTACTGTAGCTTAATGCTTATTTGCTTTTGGCCTAGCCACAAAAGGCATTATGTTAGTATTCACTGTTTAACCAACATCATGGAATGTGAAGATCAGTGGCTCTTTTTTTTAAATTGACAAATAAAAATTGTATATATTTATTGGGCACAACATGTTTTGAAATATGTGTACATTGTGGGATGGTTAAATTGAGCTAATTAACATGTGTATTACCTCACATACTTATCATTTTTAATAGCTCCTATTAAGTCCACAATTATGAGATGTGTTATTAAATGACCACGGTTTGTAATGAACACCCATGAATGTGATATATTTTGAAACCATGTTCCATACAGTACTCCAGGATGTGATGTGATAAGACCTTTAAACCTTTGCTCCCATTTCGGCGAGTTAACTCTGATGACCCACGATGAATGCTGGTAGTGAAAGAGGTATTTCTTTAGCATCTGTGCAAGTCAAGTTCAAGTTGGCTTTTCCTACAGACACCAGGTTTGAGCAGAGGAGCTGCAGCGTTGTTCCTTTACACTTTGCATGTGAGCCATTTGGTATCCAGGCTGCCAGCAATCATAAACATTTTCCTCTGGAAGCCACTTCCTGTGTGTGTGTGTGTTCCCCAATATGCAGAAAAACAAGTGACACCAAATAACATATGGCCAATAGACCCCTGGATGAACTTGACTCCTAGGCAGGCATTTAAGAGCTGGGGGCGGGGAATAGTTTTAAATAGTCTACACCCTTATGCTACAAAAATTAGCCAGGGAGCATGTGCTTTCGTAATGGTCCTGTGACAGGGCTGCTTCATTGTGTTCAGTGCGGCGGAAATCTGAGCCTCCCTCCACCAGCTGCGCTGAACCGAACACAAATGTCTCGGGTTCAGTTGGCAGATAAAGCACTGTTGTGTCGCAACTGCAGTATGTGGGGGCTACCAGGTGCAGCCAAGCCAGGGAGGCCTGAGCCCGGGTGGTCTTTTTCCCAGGGCAGGTGGCACAGAGCCCCAAAAGGAGAGAGAAAAATCTGGGCCACTATTCTGGAAATTTTCTGGATTAGGTGTGTAGCATATCCCACTCCACAAAGCCCTTCCAGATAATGCCAAACCAACAATTTAGAGGGCAGTGTTGTCTGTGGGTTAGAGCTCAGCCTCCTCAGTTGGCTCCCAGCTGTGTGGCCATTTACTTAATGTCTCTGTACCTCAGTTACCTTATTTGTAAACTTTGGATGATAATATTATCTACTAAGAAGTAGATACTAACATTGTACAAGGTAATCCTTTTAAAGCCCTGAGCATGGTGCCTGGCACATAGTCAGCACTGAACAATGTCAGCACAGTGAAGCTCTCATTTTCAGTGTGTGCAATGCTTTTGGTTTTATATATGGAGAAACTGAGGCTGTAAATAATGTGCTCACCTAAGACCACTTGGCCCAGAATAGATTTCACATTTCCTGGCTTTCATGCTATTATGCTAACCGCTAATCTATGCTTCTTCCCTGCGTCAAGCCCTTAACATTCCTATTCTTGATTAAAGTGAGGGGAGGATTTAAGAAAATAATGGTAAGAAATAACCTCATAGAGATTAACTTAATCTGCTGCATCTCATCTTTGGTGCTGAACATCTTTGAAATAAATAACAATCTGTTTTCAATCAGTATCTCCTCACAGCTAAAATTATCAAATTTTAAAAATATAAGTTTTACGTTCTTGGGGAAATTGGCAAGTTTTGACAATAATTATTTTTGGCAACTGTGGAGTCTAGTATGTTTCTGAAACTATCCACCGACATTTAAACGGGCTCTGAGCCTTGGACAGAAAAAGGCAGAGAAATGTTTACAGTTTATAGTTGTGAAGGTGTGCTGGAGTATTTTGCCTCAAGCAATACAGAAACTCCTGGGATGAGCAAAAAGCGCATTTCAAAGTGAAAGACTGAGGAAGGTAGCAGAAATATTACATGGTTAGGTTAAAAAACATTTATAAGGCTGGATTTAAAAGCATAGAAAATGAGAAATCTTTATGCTGCTTCTATTAATAATGAGTTGTGTCTGTATTCACAAATTAGTTTGCAAGTTAATATTTGGATTTGGCTAAACAACTGCTTATTAATTTTTTGAGATGAAAAAGTTGAGTTCACCAGTTATTTGAGTGATTTTGACCAGCAATTCCCCAAACAAGCAAACAAAACTGTTTATATAACCATCGTATAATTCAACTCCCTGTAGGTTGTGAATTTCATTCTACAGATGGAATTCTCTTCCACCCCAAAAATAAATACTAAATAAGCACAGGTCTGCTGCTCATGTCCACAGTGCAGTCAGGCTGCTAATTTGGTTTGATTACTAGATATGGCCCAGTGGTCCAGGGGTGTTTCTTCTCAGCAAATGACAATAGCATTGTGGTGGGGAGAGAAGCATCATTTTTTTTTTTCCCATGACCAAGGACTTAAGCCTTTTGGGCACATTAGCACTACTTTCAGCAGTAATGCAAAATGGGAAATAATTGGGTTGAGGAGCTCCTGGGATATTAGTGGTGCTGCAGGCAGGAAAGCAGGCATTGGAAAATAAATGACAAATTAGCATGCTTAATCTCTTTATTGTGAATCAGATGCCACAGCAGAGGCTCATAATACATTAATAAACACCAGTTAATGCAACTGAGATACTATTCCTCAAATTCACAAGAGTGGTAAGAATTCTTTCCTAGGGGAATGAGTGTGTTTTCTGAGTGATGTCCCCCCGACATAAGCAGGACTTTGTAGTACAAATCTAGGGAAAGAAGAATAACAATTATGTGTGTATAGTGTGCAGGCACTTATGATCACTTTCATGCATATCCACCTGTCTGAGCTTCACTATGACATCCCTGAAAAAGGCAGGTTTTACTATTTCACCACTTTACAGACAAGCCACAGATGGACTTAAATGACTTCCAAACATTGCTCACCATTGGTCAAGCGAAGAATTGAATCTTAATTTTCTGGCTTCAAAAAAATATATGTTCTTGCCACCCTATCACCCAACCTATGTAGAATTAAAATAGATACTAGTTATAAATCTGTATTATACAGATTCGATATCCTCTGAGTTGGGACATACTCCATGACCCATTATAACTAAGTTCCATAATATTACAAGTATAACGAGATTCCTGAATATTATTAAGTTACTGATACCACAAAGTCTTCCTTTACATGTCCTTTATAACTCAAAAGAGTCCCATGACATTTCCCATATGGAAACTCTGAGACACACAGAGGGTCACAGCTGAGCCACTTAGTGTCCAGAATTATCACTAACCAGGCTTGGCAAGGTTATGACTTGAGGTGCTCTGACTTGTAGCTGATCATATCACGTGTTTAACAGACGAATGTATCTGAGTCGTGGGTTTTCTACTCTAGCATTTCCAGAACATGAATCAGCCATCACAGCTCACGAGATCTGTTAGTGACTGGGCATCTGTGTAGCAACTGCATCCAGCTTAATTCTAGTTACTCCTCTAGCTTGTACTCCACAGCATTCAGCTGTTCAGCTGCACAGCATTCTTTTGTCTCAGTTAACATCATGTTTTGTAATTATTCCAATACTTGTTATGGAGCCTGATATTTTTGTATATGGAACCCCTTCTGTCCTCATTTATATCAGCCCTATCCTCATTGCTATATGGCATAGAAAATAGACCCTAAATTCATGTTTTTTGGTCAACTGACCTGAGGGACTTTGGGCAACAATGAGTTCTTCTTGGATGTTTATTCAAGAGGATGTACTATACCATCAGTAAGGATATGATCACAGTAGTAATGAGAAAGAGAAATGAGTATCTGGCCAAGGTCATGGAGAAAACAGGGTGGATTAAAAAGATGAGCAAGAGCTGGAAATCATAGAAATTGAATTTATATTTGAGCCAGAGTTACCAAATTTATTTCTAAGAAAGAAAGACTGATTGCTAAAGAGAGGAAGACAAAACCTAGTATATAGTGAAGAATGCCAAAAACAAACCTATATTCTTATAGCATCTATGAGTGCTATGTCTGTGTGGTCAAAAATAGTTATTCTTTTTTTTTGCCATGTTCATTATGCAATCTACTACATGAACACACAGCTCTGCAGAAATTGGAGACCAAGGGACTCCCCGAAATAAGTAAATAGAAAAATTACCCATTGAGTGGTTGTGCAGATATAACCTTATTTTTAAATTTGGTTTTTGCAAAGCAGTTCAATGTATATCTACTTATGGTTGTTCAATAAAAGCAAAAATTTCCCTATTCTTTCAAATTGAGCTTTAAAGAAATATGTTAAAAACAGACAAGGTTAAAAAAATCAAGGATTTACTTATTTTATATAGTAACTCTTTAAGCATATGTTTGACTCTTTAACGTAATTGTTTCTTTTGGTATCTTCTCTGGAGAGTGGGACTTGGAGATTTCCAGGGTAATTATGCCTCCTACCTTTCTAAGGACAGTCTGTTACTGTTTTCCCTAAATAACCTTTGATCATATAATGGATAAACAGTATTACCTCTGTTTTAATGACCTCCCTGATTTGACAGTGGCCGGCCGTGTGCCAGAGTCAGCTCCTTGGACACTGCTTTTGTTCTACATTCCTCAGTACTATGACAAAAACTATTTACGTTTTGCCTGAATAGCTTAAACACCATTTTATAAGACTTTAGATTGCTTTTGAACATATTTGAATGCATCTTTAGCCATCACTAGGCTTAAAATGGAAACCCTTTTTTCAGCTTATCTGTATTAAACACCTGTAAAAATCAATGGTACTGTATTTTTTTCTTATAATGCTCTGTTCCTTTAACTAATGCCAGAAATAATGCACAATTTATTCTAGCGTGTTCTTTTCCCTTTGCCTGATGTTCTCCGGTAGTAAGTGGCGTAGTGTATAAGAACTCACTTCTGCTGACTTAATAGTAAAATTGCCAGGTTGATGTTGAAATTCAACCAATTGGAGCCTAATCCTCAAGAAGAAATTTGCTGTCTCTCCTACTGATTGTCATCCGTCTTCTTCATAATGAATATGCAGAAAGTTTATTTTATTTTTTGCAAGTGCGCGTACTTACATAAATGACCAATAGGAGAGGTTAGAGTTAATGAGTGATTTTTTTTGAGCATTGTTATGTTTCCCTAAAATCAGAAGTCATTACATTTATATTGAAAATATTGAGTGGTTTGTATGAGCTTTATGCCAAACTAAGATTAGTGTGCTGTAGCCCATTACAAATGTGGACGATAGACCATTTTTTATGAGTTAGAATAAAAAATATGGTAATAATGTCTTCTCATCATCATAAAGAGATGATAACGACTAAATGAAATATTTATATTATCTCATCTTATTTGATAGGTCCTATCTTCTCCCATACCAAACATTTCCTCAAGAGCAACCATCATCTCTTATTTAAAAAGGAAATCTTTGTAGAATTCACATTCTTCATATTTGTGCTAAATCCAGTAATCCAGTATTTTACTCATTGTTATTCTCTTTAGTTTCTGAAATTTATTTTTGCCTCTCAAAACAGTGCCCAGTGATCTGGTATGATCAGGGCTGTGCATAAAGGCAGGTTACATTTTAGTTTCTCTATGCCTCTTCTATTGGTCTGTTCCTAAATATATTGCTTTTTGGAAAGCGAGGCTACTTAAAAATGGATATATGTATATGTATATCATAACGTTATATATATGTACATATATACACACATATCATAGAGTTATATATATGTATATATATCATAGTTATATATATTAGTTAAATATACATGTATATATATCATAGTTATATATATCATAGAGTTATATATATACATGTGTATATCATACACACACACACACACACATCCATTTTTGTTTAAGAATTAGCTCTACTTTCCAAAAAGCAATACTTGGAAGGCAGATTTTATATATAAACTATATACCATATAGAATATCATGGAGATATATATATTATATATATAATTTATAATATATATAATATATATATTCTGCCTTCTATTACTTGACCACCACATTCTGTATACCACTGTCTTTTTATCAGATATATTTTGAGGCTTTCCAGCTGTTCTCTAACATTGTGTCTCCTCCCCTTGTGTACTGTCTTGCCATCTTCCCAGCTGGATACTTTCTGGACTTTTACATTTTCTTTGAGACTTAACATACAGAAACACTGACATATATGCCACTGTGAAATCATGTAAGGATTAATTTATAATGCTGCATGCTCTGAACATAGATAAGCAGGTTGTAAGCAAGAGCAAAAGGAATAGATGGCATAGAAAAAAGGGCCAAGCGTTTCTGCCATTTGCGCAAAGGCATGGAGGCATGTCTTGAAGTGTCTGGTGCAGGTGTGGGGAAAGAACTTGAGTCCTGGTGATCTGAGTGCAGGAAAGTGGTGATTTGGCCCTGCTGCTTCTCTGTTTTCGCCACCACCACTCATAAAAGATTCTAAGAGCTCCTAGGAACAGTTTGCAGGTGTGTAGCTGTGTCATAGTGCTTTCATGTGAACTGAACTGTCCTTTTTTCCTCCCCCTTTCTGTCTCTCTCTTCCTCATTCATTCCCTGAGCTTATGCACTCATCTCATTGATGTCAGAGAAAAGAAAAAAGATTTGAGGCTTGCTCAATTTGTTCTGACATAAAGAGATGTTTAGCTCTGTGCAAGGTGGTAGAGGCGAGCCAAGTGCCTGACTGCCATTTCAAGAATGTGCCTATGAGGACAGCTCATTTCATGCCCCTTAGCTGTGCCACATCCTGGTCCTTCCAGAGAGCCCTCCTCTACCCTTACGTCTGCAGTAAGAGCGGCAACAGTCCTGTTGGCTTGAGGGGCCCACCTGTTAGATGGGCTGGTGAAGACGTTGCTTTCCGTTGAGTATTGTTTTCTGCACATGTTCAAGGTTTGCTTAAAACTGAAGAAAACATTTCTGAGGAATTTTAGGTTTTATGGAGAACAACATAACAAAATACCTTGTTTTCTAAACACACTGATTTGTCTTAAAATGTTCTTAAATTTCAGGAAAGCATTTGGAATTCAGCATAAAAATGTTGCTATCACTCAGCATTCCTTAAATCCCTCATCCTCAAGACCTCAAATGATAGAAATGTAACTCATCATACTGCTTCATAGGATGGAGCTAGCTATTGTCCCCAATTCATTTTGTTCCATTTTTAATGATGACAATTGGAGGTGTTCTCATGGGGTTTTTTTTTTTTTTTTTTTTTTACTGTAAAAAAGCAGTCAGACCCTTGTTCAGTTCAGCTTTTACAATAAAATTTTAAAACAACAATAAAAACACCAAACAGCCTTGTGCATTTGGAAGGAGTAGAATTTTAGAGTCAAAGTTAGTTTCAGAGCCTTGGCTTAATTGTCCTTTCTAAGGCTTCTTGACTTATCACTAACATTGGCAAAAAGATATAGTTGGAAAAATAGTACACACCTTGCAGGGTTGCTATGAGAACTTGATGAGGTAGTACAAAAATTTAGCGTAGCACCCTGTACGAAAGTACATAGACATGTAAGCTAGCACAGTGCCTGGCAACTAATAGTGACTTAACAGTTTCTTCTCTCCCTCCTTTCTTTCCTTCCCTTTTAACTCTTTTCTTCTTTCTTTCCCATTTGAGAAAAAAAAAGAAAAAAATAGGAGGAAAATTCTTTGACAGAATTATATCATATGAAACTTGATGTTCTGCTTAATGATTTTTATCAACTGAGGAATGGTCAAATTGGGACCTGAGCTGGGAGCAAATAATATTACAAGTAAACCTTTGCACTTGTTTATGATCAAACCTGATGTTATAGTCCCCACATTTAAAATTTTATATTCAGGCCAGGCATGGTGGTTCATGTCTGTAATCTCAGCACCTTGGGAGGCTGAGGTAGGCAGATAGCTTGAGCCCAGGAGTTCAAGACTAGCCTGGGCAACATGGCAAAACCCCATCTACAAAAAATACAAAAATTAGCCGGTGGAGTGACACCTGCCTGTAGTCTCAGCTGCTTGGGAGGCTGAAGTGAGAGGATTGCTTAAACCTGGGAGGTTGAGACTGCTGTGAGACATGAGCATGCCACTGTACTGCAGCCTGGATGACAGAGCTTGTCTCAATAAATACATACGTAAATACATATATAAATAAATTTTAGATTCATTGATGCTCTCTCATTGAGACTTACCCAAGACTCTCGTTCAGACAGGACTTTTATTCAGCCAAGCCTTTTTACATGGATTTTGTCTTGTCCTTCCAAGTAACCCAAGTTCAGAAGTGTAGCACCTCATGTTATCTATGAGCTCTGCCTTAGCTTTACAGTAATATAATAGCAACCAAACATCAAGAATTCTACATTTTCTTATCAGCACGAATCCAAAAACTTTTGGAGCATATTTGGATGTTTCTCCAAATTCCATCAAAGAGACCCCTCCCTGAAAGGAGTCTCAATTCAATCTGTCAGGGCCAGTATAGAAAGAATTCCACACTGGAACGGAGGTTAAGTATGTCTCTAAGATTTCACTCAACTATAGGGTTCTAAGACCTTTTGATTCCAAAACAGGAGTGTGTCAGACACACTAGAGTCTCCATGCCCAGCTGTGAAATTAGCACATTTCTTTTGTTGTTAGCTACCTCACATACTAAGCCCATGACTCTATTGGGCTTTGTGGTTTGTCTGAAATGTAGAAAGGGACTAGTACTATACTTGGCACCAAGAAAGCACTCAGCAATGGTTAGCATTAATACTATTTAATGAGCCAGGCTTCTTAGATAGCCATCCTCATCTTGGTTCTCTTTCACCCATCTACTCCCTGTAAAGACCATAATTACAATTCATGATTTTTTTTTTTTATTGGCAAAGGGTAGAGAATCTGCTGCAAAGAGATTAAGAGAATACCGGAAACTTACTGTTCTCTCCCGTCTAACACAGCTGAGATCTGCCTCCTTTCTGTCAGATATCTGTACCTCAAGGTTCTTTACCCTGCATTACCAAAATGAGAAACCCATATTCCAAAAGAAAAAACATTGCCCCCTTTATTTAATATTTTCCATATCATATTTTAAGGATTTTAATTATATCAGAAATAAAAGAAACTATGTTGAAAGATGGAAACAAGTTAGAACAGAAAGTCTAGTTTGTAAATTAAACTGATCCAAAAATAGCAATGTGATATGTTTTTCTCAGACTCTTGATCAACTTTCTAATATGACTATCAGACCTGAACCACATCCAGAGAAAAATTGAAGGGTTTTTAAGCACCCACAAAATGGTAACACATTTCTCATAGACAATTATGAGATCCCCAAGAGAACCTCTCCCAACCGTCTTTGCGGGTGAAAGGATGCCATTCGACGGTGGAACAATTGTATTAGACTTCGAGGGACTTCCAAATTGTTCTCCAAACCAGAAGCTAGTTTGCTAATATTCATGTCAAACCATGGCGTAAGTCTGCCATGGACTTGATTGTTAATTGTCAGTTACTGATGGTAGCTACTCCCAGAATGCATTAAAGCTCAAGAAATTCAGAATTGGTTCCTTAATCAAGAATGTGGAATTGCCAAGCTATCACATACGAGAGGAAGCTACAGATGAGTTACAGAGCCCTGGCCTCACAGATAGGATTCCTTTACTAGCCCACAGGTGCCCATTATGCATTCTGTCTCTACCATATTGAGGTAAAGGCAATAACATCATTTGATGATGGGTTTATTCTCTCCAAATTTCAAGATTGAAAGCTGACACCTGAATGTAATTCCCAGGGCAGCCGAACACTGTCCAGTCCTGGCAAGATGCACAAAAACATGTGAGACCCCAAAGAAGTCTATTAGGGGATTTGTTTCCTCAAGCTCAGTATTTCTTACATTCGAGTTTTACCCGATACTTAATTTAACTCCACAAGTAATATAATACACTGGGGCAGGACTAGAGTGAGGTGAATGGTATTGCAGCCTGCACGTTATGCCTGACCTTGCAGCTGGGTATTAATTTGAAGTAGTGGAATTAAAATTTTCTATTCTTTTGCATCGTCATGCCTCACGTTGATAAGCACAAAGAAATGTAAATAAAAAAGACCTATTTCAAAACCTTTCGTACAACCTTTTTGTTTTATGACAAAAGACAGTTAATTAACATACTAGCAGTAAGCAGCCTTCCCAAACTCAAGCTAATTATGTATTCTGTTGACCGTGACTCTAGTCATAAGGTAATTGGCTTGCAGCAACATGACATTTCAAATCATCTCTTGAAATTACATCAAAAAGCCAGCCTGTTTTGTTTTGATAGGGGAACAATCAATTTGATAAGTGGTAACACAGCTCATTGTTTCACATTAATTAGACTAATTGCTGCATGTTAGCCTCTGAAATAGACAGAACTTGGAGAAGACAAAGGCTGCGGCCTTTAGCATGCAGGGCATGTGATGGTTCCACTTGCTTGCACATACTGTAGGCAGAAAACAGAGCTATTAGGAGGCAGCCTTGCAGGAGGCTGGATGTTAACAGTAGTCTGAAGTGTTATGCTTTATATACTGGCTTTCAATTATAGCATCCAGGTTCCAAGTCCCATAGAGGAAAGAAAGGATGGCTCTGAAGAAATGCTGTTTCCCAGCTAACCACGTTTGGGTTCTGAGGGAGTTATAACAGCCTTCTAGTCATCTTCTCTCCTTCAGAATCCATACACTCTTATGTCCCTAGCAGGGAGGCTGTACTTATTTCCTTTTGTAGTATTCTGGGCTTAAATGCCTTGACAAACAGACTGAAACAAAAACAAATAAACAAAGCCAAAACAAAACCGAACACCTAAAGGTTAAAAAAAATCCTTTTTTTTTTTTTTCCAATTACAAAACAGTGTTCTAACAGACAGAGATTCAGCAAATTGTCACTGCGGAAGCCTAACACTTGAGCACGGCAAATGCCTTTCAGTTTGACAGACTGTAGACTGTACCTTTGTTTATTCTCAAGACCACCAATTTGACCAAATTGGACAGTGTGATATTTATGACAACAGCACATGTCAATCTCAATTGGCAACGAAGGGAATTTCACTTGTGACCCGCCTGGACTTGTGATGCTCACATAGGTTCATGGTATCGTGTTACTGGGTGTCTGATGCAATGGAACAGAGCTCTTTTCCAAGTAAGAGGCATCCAGCACTTTAAAAACCCAGATGCACTGTCTCTGTCACTCTGACACTGTCTAGTTATCCACACACAGCATCGGAATATTGCTAGCTAACTCAACAAATGTGCAAATCAGGGGACTGTTGTGTGTGTACCGATTCATGTCTATACTGTTTTTATTGGTGAAGTAGGAAATTAGTCTAAATATTTGATTCTGCAGTTGCATGTCACCAAATTCAGTGAGGTTAGATGTTAAATCATCTTGTTGGCTTTGGGCTGAATTTGATCTAAGAGACAAAAGTCTCAAACAACAGACTACTTACTGCCACCACATCTCGATTCAAAGAATAGTTTTCACATGTTCGTGGTGTGGAAAGGACTTTCTGTTTCTCACTAATTTCTTCAGCTATACCAAGAGTGGTGTTGTCTTTGAACAGGAAGGACAGCAAAAATAAACATAACAGTTTTTTCATAAGATACACAGCTGCATTACACATCCCAAAATTGTAAGTACAATGTTCCTCTATTTGTAAATGCTATGGGCTTTCATTGAAATTGCAGAGGGAAATGTGACAATGAAATTCTGACCTGGCTTAGAAAATGAATTGGAAACATTTAAAGGAGAAAGATTTGCTTCTGTAATATGAAGGTATCTCGGTTGGGGAAGGGGGGTATGTGTGGACATTTGTACCAAAGGAGAGCATTTCAATTCTTTTTATCACTCCCTCAAAGGAATGATCCTTTTGCATGAACTTCAAAGCACAAATTTGTGCAGCAGGTTTAATTTGGTCATTTAAAAAAAAAAAGTGTGTGGTGTAGCAGAAGCAAGCAATTAAATGATTGCTCCTACAAGTTAATAAATCTTCAACAGCCTTTTAAAAAGATACAAGGATTTGTGATTTAAGAGTGCTAATGTGCTGTTTTCTCTCTAAAATCCCAGGGCTTATTCGGAAGGTAAATGATGAAAAAAAATTTTAAAAAGTACCAAGATTGAAGCCCCTTAACATTCAGTTTAAGTGTTGGTTCCACTTGCCTGAGCACAAGTTGGAAGTAGCTTTGTTAGGATTCTAGCCGGCATCCTTGCTGTCACTACTGGTTCTTGTATAGTCAAGCCCCACTCTGTGCAGAGCAAATCTTTGCTCAGTTAAGCGAGCGTCAGTCACTGGTAAGCTTGGCTGCCGGCCCGGGGTTGTTAGGCTTTTCCATGCTACACCTGAATGAGATATTGACGAGACATTGCTACCTAAACAGAGTTGAGAAACTGGATAAATAAATAAATTAATTAAATTGTCACAGGGCTGAGAGAATAATTTTGAAAATGCAACTTACACTTCCAGTGCAGAAACAGATCAAGGGAAGTACTGCTTGCTTGGTGTGAGAGGGTATACCATTTGGTGGTGTGAATATTTTTTTTTTATTCTGCCTTAAAATTGTGGATTTGGAAAGGGAGGGCAGATGGAGGGAGAGAGGTACTGGCAGATTAACCTGTGTTAGAACCTTTTGGCCAGTTACTTGTTTAATGTGAGTAGGCTTTGCCCTATTATCTACTCAACAAAAGCTCCCCAAAACAAAACGATGTGGAATAAAGTTACAAGGCTTTGGAGTGGGAATAAAACTCTTAACAGTGGGTAATTTTTACTGGGGAGAAAAACAAGGATCAGAGAAAATCAAGTAAAAAAAAGACATAAAGTAGGAATAGTTTTTAAATAGGAATGGCTGGCAGAGCTATTAATCACACGAAGGGCTCGGAGCTGCAGGGATTGTGTGAGTACAGCTAAGACCAAAGGCAGAGGCTCGACAGAGAGCCCTGAATACACCACCAAAACCCCCAACCAAAATGTAAGAGGAATGTCCTGTTCAAATAAGCTAAAAAAATGTCTAGACAAAAATCTAAGGGATATTAGTAAATATTTAGATTCTTTGGTGCTTACTGTTGAATTAATATTCCGTTGTGATTGTGGCAGTTCTTATTCTCATCTGTAAGTGGGAAAAGTGGATTTTATTGATGGTCATATGTTGGTTATTCAGCAGCATTTGGTGATGGGGCGGGGGACACTCAAGAGTCTGAACACTACTGAGCCTTTGTTTTAAGAAACTATTAATTGGAGGTTTGCAGGGGGAAATCAGAAATTACTGTAGATTCTGAAGATTTAATAACTTATTTTAAAATAGATTTTGTACTCGTGTAGTGTGGATGTGCTATTTTAATTGTATAATTTATCCTTAGAACTGTGTCTGTATTGAAAAGGGACATTTCTGAGTGTGCCAGCATTCCGTTCCCTCCACATCCACCCCACGTTCTTACCAGAGAAAGCTGTTGGGGGACACTGTGGGGTAATGTCATTGGAATGGTGAAATGTGGCCCTTCTCACTCCAGTTTTTACTAATATGAGCCCAAACTCCCTGGCTGATGTCACAGAATCTGGACTTTCATGGCCCAGGCAAACACGAACCCATAGAAAGAAATGAAAATACCAAAAGACGATTGAGCACTCACTAAAACAGCATGGCATGAGAAATTGAGGGAATGTCTTCAAGATATGTAAAATCACTTTTCCTTTTAGTATTGCTTTTCCTCTCTTAACTTTGGTTTTATAATCTATAAGTGGGGATACTAATATCTAGCTCATAGATTTGCTGAGAAAATTAAGTGAATTAAGTTCCCAGCCTGGTGCTTAGCACATATTAAGTGCTTCTTGGTCATCATTTTGATAAATGGGGGATATTTAACTGGGGTAGTAAAGGATGGGCATAAACATCTGAAATTTTCTGTCTAATACAATCAGAATTCATGGATGTGTCACCTGTGCAGTCACACAGGGCCCCATGCTCAGAAGTGCCCTGTGCTTGGTTTACTACTCTGCTGTTGCCATCTTGAAATTCTGAATAATGTTTCAACAAGATGCCTGATATTTTCACTTTGCACTGGGCCCCACAAATTATGTAGCTGGTCCTGAATATAGTTATTTGATTTTGTTCATGCATTTCTATTTCTTTTCCAACTACAACTTTTATTGGATATTTTAAGCTAGCTTTTGGCAATATCAGACACTTCTCAGTGAATTCTCTCTTTTTTGACTTTTCTTACTGCCATGCTTCTTCTAAAAATACCCAGTTTGACCCAACCAAACTACAATTCTCCCACTTCCTTTGTCCCAATGCCCCATTTTCTTGGGAAGATGTGCATTGCTATTCCCTCTTCCCTGGGTAAAACTTGCTTGGCCTCCATATGGCTCAATTTCCACACTTCCTCAAACAGAAAAAAAGCACCCCTCAGGCTTTCCACATAGCATCACAGCCTAGTTTGATGCTTCTGCAGTCACTACACTGGATGGTTTGCTCTTTGGGGGAAGGGACATTGTCTTTTTTTAACCATTATTCTGACACATAGTCAGTATTCATGGTTTGTTGATTGAATAAATAAGCAAACTAACTGATTACCAGAGCTAACAAGTGTACAATGAACTCATTTTTGTCTCTCCTTTTTATAAAATGTTCTCTGCTTTCCATCTGCAGAGTATTTTTGAGTAATGGGATGCCTCAAATGTATGCAATAGGAACCAGATGGAAAAACAGATAAGCAGGATTTCCTCTGAAGTAGAAATCAACTCCTAATTATCAAGAATTGGTAACTCATACAACTCAATAGCAGGAAAACCATCCAATTTTTAAAAGAATGGGTAAAGGACCTGAATATACATTTTCCCAAAGAGGACAGAAAAATGACCAATAGGTATATGAAAAGGTACTCAACGTCACTAATCATTAGGGAGATGCAAATCGAAACCACAATGACATATCATCTCACACCTGTTAGGATGGCTATCCTTAAAGACAAGAGATAAGAAATGTTGGCGAAGGTGTGCAGAAAAGGAAACGCTGTACACTCTTGGTGAGCATGTAGGTTGGTGCCCCCATTGTAAATACTGGATGATCTCACTTATATGTGGAATCTTTGAAAAAGAAAAGTTGAATACAGAGTGATAAAGAATAAGACAGTGGTTAACAGGGACAGGGGGCAGGGGGTTGTCGGAAATGGGGTAGGTAGTAGTAGGTCACAGGATACAAAATGGCAGATATAGAACTAGGAGTGCTGGCATGCCTGTAGCCATAGCTACTGTGGAGGCCAAGGCCAGAGGATTACTTGAAGACAGGGGTTCGAGTCCAGCCTGGACAACATAGCAAGATCCCATCTCAAAAAAATTCAATTAACTTTTTTCTGAAATAGCAGATATGTTGGATGAACAAGTCTAGACATCTAATTTATAACATGAGGACTACAGTTAATAATATTGTATTTGGAATTTTTGCTAAAAATGTAGATTTTAGGTGCTCTTGCAATCAATAAAAAATGGGCAACTGTGAGATGAGGGATATGTTAATTTGCTCCATTATGGTAACCATTTCACTATATGTATATCAAAACATATTGTATGCCTTAAAAATACACAATAACATTAAAAAAAGAATTGGTGTGAAATTGAATGAATATCATTGTATACCACACAATCAATTAAATGAAGTGTTTCTTATAATTCCTATTCAGTTTGTTAATATGTTAATACCTTCAAACCCTTATCCTAAGGTCGGAATGCATGTTTCTTTAGCACAGGACTTTATAAACTCATGGATTTATAAGCCTTTAATACATGAACCCACAAGATAACAGAGAACTCATGTAGGGATGAGTTTGACAATGGGCAGAGATGGGAGTTAGTAAACTCTGTGAAATGGAGTACTAAATTTTATGAGCATATGCAGTTTTCTTCAGAGAAAGTCCCCAGCTTTCATCAGATCCTCAAAGAAGCTTCTGGCACAAAAGTAATTAAGGACCCCTGCCTTGTTATTTCAATTTGAGAAAATGATGTTTCTTTCTTATTAAAATACAGTACTGTATATTATGACATCATTATTAAAGGGATGCTTTCGTGCCTTTTAACAACCCCCTATATATATCCCTGTTTATTAACTGTGTATTTTGGATAGATGTTTCTTAAGCGGTCTTATGTGTTGGTTGAAATATTTGTACTTGCTTTTCAAAGTTGTCCACCACTTCCCTCCCTTTTCTGTCCAGCCTGTGTTCTTGCTGCTTTTGCAAATTTTTCAGTGTACAGTGGCACACCATGAAAAGGCAATTGAGAAAGCCCATGTGCCATTGGTTCCTTGGTGGTTCATTCCTTTTGTTGTTCTGGATTGTTTTTAGAATTCATATCATCAATGTGCTGGGGGCATTGGTGACAATATGTTAATGGTTTCCTGACTGGGCAGACAGCTGTGTTGAGAGGTGTTAAGTTTTCAGTAAAATCATCTGTTTTATTAGTTCAAATTTACCTGCAATGTTAGCTTATTTACAACCGAATTTTTAGTCTACATTTCTTAATTTAGCACCTTCTGTTTCTTTTCTTTGTTTTAGCATAATTTTATTTGAGTGCTGAGATTCCTCTCCCCCTCACAGCAATAAGTAAGGATATTTTTATTTGCAAATAAATGTGGGGTTTTTTTGAGGGGGAGACTCCCCTTCCTCAAGAACATTACATGGTTCTAAGGCTACATAAGTGATAATCCCAAATTACTGACTAATGAGACATGTGCATCTATCATTCCAGATAAATTCACCCAGTCCCGTGGAAGTGCCTGGAATGTTTCTGTTTTGCTTTTTCTAGTTTGTGTTTATGAATGTATGATGTGCCTGGGATTGGTAGAAGCAAAATTTTGTCCCCTTGGTTTGTAAGATTTTGCAAACCTTTTACTGATATGAAAACTTAATTGTGATTATATATGCCAGTGTTCTTGGCTCTTTCTGTCATTGCATATTCCTCATTTTCTTTCGTATACATTCTTTCCAGTCCATCTAGAGTCTGAATTGAGAAACCATTCATAACTTCTACATTCTTATATTCAGTCTTCTTTTGTATGGATTAACCTTACCTCAGCAGGTAAATTGTGAGCTCCTGGAGGTCAAGGGTCCCTCTTCATTGTGCCTCCCTGCTTGAGTGATTATAATCGTCACCTCCTATCCTGAGGAATCAAAATCATCATTTAAATTGTGGTTGTGTGGGTGGTGTCTTGGGATGTATAAAGCTTGCTGGGGAAATACTTTTAGAATATGGAAGAAGAAGCAAGACAGGACCATTCTGAAACCAACAGAAATAGTAGACCAAATTCTGCTGAATGTGAAATGTTTAGGAATGAAAAATCAATTTTATGTTTATCGGAATTCCTGAGTCAAGAGAATATTCTTCCCCTTTTGTCAGTGTTTTTGAAAGGGTCTGATAGGAATTGCAATGGTATAGGTTAAGTAAGATAAAGTCACATTTACTGAGTGGGCTCTTTGGGGACAGCATACATCAGAGCATATAGTCTTCTTGGTCTAGCAAAGAATAATGGTTATGAAAATTAACCATTTAGGGCTAGAGAAGGTCTTGGAAATTGTATAGCCAAGCCTCTTCATTTTGTCAGTGAGGGGATTGATTCTCCAGCTGATTTAGGTCTAAATCTGTGACAATGATTTATATACCTATTCATGATCACTTAACTGGTATTATTAATGGCAATTAATATGAGTCAAGCAGTGGTTTAAATGCTTTGCATATATTAACCCATTACTCCACAACAGCTCCATAGGTAGGTGTATTATTATCCCGCTTGTAAAGATGAAGAAACTAAGGTAAGAGAGTGTAGTTCACTCAGCTAAGATCACATATTTCAGTCTATTTGTCAAATCTGTTCAATTTTCTCTATCACCACAATCCCTACTCTGAGCCAAGCTACAATCACCTCAATCTGGACTTCTGCAAAGGCCTCCTAACCAGTCATCCTACATCCACTCTTACTACCTATATAGATTCTTCCCTTCTAACAATCTATTTAAAATTCCAGTCTGGTCATGACACTGCCCTGCTGTTGATGACCATAAGTAGCTTGCAGGATTTTCAGGAGGCAGCCCTTCCTGGCTTTCTGGAGGCCTTTTTCATCCTCTTTCCCTTGTTCACTGTACTATAGTGCTTCCTCTCCAAACTCCCTCACATGCCAGAACTTTGCACATGCAGGGCCTCTATCATGAATGCTCTCTTACTTATAGTGGAATTTGTTCATATACTTACCATTCAGATCTTAAAGTTCACCTCCTCAGGGAAGCCTTCTGTGACTCCCTAGCTAAATTGGATGGCACTATTACAAGCCTTTGGACCCTCAGGGACTGTGTCTGTTTGGCTTACTGTTGTGTTTCTAAAGCTAATACAATGCCTGGGAGGTTGCAGACAAGAAGTATGTGTTGAGGAAGAGAAAGAGAAAAAGAAAAGAAAAGAAAAAAGAAAGAAGGAAAGATGGAAGCTCTAAGGTCCCAGGAATAATTAAATTTCTCTCTTGGTTCAATGAAAAGAATCAGGGTTTTGCATTACAAGATCTGATGCTGGCTCTAACCATACTGCTTACTTTTGGGAAAATGCACAAATTGAGGAGGAAGGACAAAAGAGGGGTCAAAAGTGATGCTGAGAAAAATTCCAAATAATCCCTATAGATACTCTGCCCTATAGGAGGTGGAACATGACTCCCCAGTCCCTAAGTGTGAGCTATACTTCCTTCTAAAAGTACAATATAAAATAAGGGGTGGAAAAGAGTAACTTTACAGTGGAGAAGCTGGCCAAACACTACCTTAAGCAGGTGATCAAGGTCAGCATCAACAGTATTAAGTCATGTTGGTAGTATACACCCTTGATACGATGTGATGAAAACAACATCTAGGTCTGTGGTCTCCCTCCCCAAAAAACCCACAACCCCTGTCTGATCCCAAAAAACATCAGGCAAATCTCAGTTGAGGAATTCTACAAAAGACCTGACCAGAACTATCAAGGTCATCAAAAACAAGGAAAATCCTATGGTAATGGGATTTTTTTCCCCCCTTTACGTAACCTGTGTTTTCCTAATAGGAATTTATCAGACTATGTGGGTTAGTGGATCTGGAGGGATGGGTATACTGTGAAGTAGCTATCGGAACTAACTCCTGGTACTGCAGAACATAGTTCCCGCTTATGGAAACTGAGAAGGTATTTGGTGACATTCAGGAGAAGCCTAAGGAGTTACAGCAGCTCAGTGTAACATGACATCCTCATCCTCGGTGGGATCCTGAAACAGAAGAAGAATAGGTAAACATTAAGAAGATCTGAATAAAGTATGGAGTTTTGTTAATAATAATGTATCAATATTATTTTGTTATTTGTGGCAAATGTACTATCCTAATGCGAGATGTTAACAATAGGAGGCCGCGCACGGTGGCTCACACCTGTAATCCCAGAACTTTGAAAGGCCAAGGCAGGTGGGTCATGAGGTCAGGAGTTCGAGACCAGGCTGACCAACATGGTGAAACCCCGTCTCTACTAAAAATACAAAAATTAGCCAGGTGTGACAGCACACGCCTGTAATCCCAGCTACTCGGGAGGCTGAGGGAGGAGAATCGCTTGAACCTGGGAGGCAGAAATTGTAGTGAGCCGAGATCGCACCACTGCACTCCAGCCTGGGCAACAGGGTGAGACTGCATCTAAAAAAGACAAAATAAATAAATAAATAAATTAAATAAAGGAAGTTTATTTTTTAAAAAAGTGATGCTGACATTTTGAGCTTGGGTGACTGGGAAAGAGTGTCATAGAAGCAGGAAGATCAACCAAGAAGTTTCTGGCTTTGAGCATAAGAAAGTGTGGAGAGGGCTGGTGGTAAAATCAGAACTTAGGGTTAAAGAGATGCCAGGAGCTCAGGAAGATGGAAGATAAGGTTCCTCAGGAAGTGAGACAGGGAGAAGAAGGAAAGAAATTGGATTAAAGCTAGAAGAAACAGTAGAGGCCAGTGAAGGACTTTTTCTTTTTTAAAGATTTGGAAGACTGTGTATTTATTAATAACAGAGAAGAAGCCGCTCAAATGCTGGTTTCATTCATATTTAAGAGTGAGGCACTACAATAGCAATCCTTAGATGCAAAGATAGGAACTGTGAATGGGTTCTTTCTACTTCAGGGTGATCTTCTAGGGAGCCAGTTTTGCTATTGTTGTTGTTGCTATTGAGGGCATCCCAAAATATCGGTGTCTCTGTGCCTTTTCTCTAGAACATTCTTTTTCTCCAGAGCAGGGTCCTCCAGTGTTCGCCTTGGAGATATACAATTGCCCAAGGGCATCTGGGAGCCCAGTGGGGAAGTGGGGTAAGGGTGTACATGCTTTCCTGTAATGCTCTCGTTTTCAGCAGGGTGTCCCACAGCACCCCTCTGCTTCTTCCTCACCCCACTGCTCCTTCTATTTCTGTTATCAGAACTTCTCTAGCTAATTTTTTACAAAGAGAAAATAGGGAGGAAGAATGCTTGCTATGCCTTTTAGGAAGTAGGTGGAGGATGTTGAGGCCAAGTTTCAGCCAGCCCCACTTGTTTTCAGCCCCAGGCCTCACAGGCCCCTGCCCTACACCAATACCTGATATGCAATGCCCCATGATGCCCGAGATTTTGGGGAGAAGAGTCCTGCTTCTTGTTGATATCCCATTTGGTCTGTGTTTATGGTTCACTTCCTGTATACCTCTTGATCAATTACTACCCTGCACTCTGCTTTGCAACTTCATATACCATGGTTCGGGTTCACCTGTGACTCCTATTTCCATCAAAGATGGAGAATGTATTTCTGTTTTTGTCTCCTTGTTTTACAGATGATTCCTGAGAGGAAGGAGACATCACAATCTTTACCTTCTTAATATCAAAATTTGAAGATTCAAAATTTAAAATGCCTTTGTTTTCCTAGAATTGTATTCATGTTTTAAATATATATATTAAAATTTAGAGGCCAGGTGCAGTGGCGTGCACCTGTAATCCCAGCACTTTGGGAGGCCGAGGCGGGTGGATCACTTGAGGTCAGGAGTTTGAGACCAGCCTGGCTAACATGGTGAAACCATGTCTCTACTAAAAATACAAAAATTAGCCAGGCACAGTGGCACATGCCTGTAATCCCAGTTACTCGGGAGGCTGAGGCAGGAGAATCGCTTGAATCAAGGGGGCTGTTGCAGTGAGCCAGGATCACGCCATTGCACTCCAGCCTGGGTGACAAAGTGAGACTCTGGCTCAAAAAAAAAAAAAAAAAAAGAAAAAGAAAAAAACCATAAAATAAAATAAGTAAAATAAAATTTAATGTATTTTTCATCTATTTGTTTATTTTAATGAAAAAATAGATATACATTAAAGAACACAGCTGTTCATTTATTTTTCCAGTGAGCCCGGTTAGTTTAAGGTTTAGTCTTTAGAACACATTACTTCGTGTCTTCAGGTCGGTACTCACATTTTTGAGAAGTAAGCAGTCTTTGTCAAGTGATGCAAGAATCAAAGCTTGTTTTCTGGAATGGAAATTAACTGAACCTGAGGCCCTTTTTTGTACCACCCCATTCAGTGCTTTTCTCTTTTAATATTTTAGTGAATTTCTTAGATGACAAAAATAAAAAATGATTCTGGCTGTTGGCTTCCTGAGCTGTATTTAGTTGTCAGCTAGTTTAGGGTGGAGACAAGAAAGACAGCATTTCCTGAGTCTTTTCTTTCCCTGAAGAGAAGAAGGCTAGAGATTATCCTGGTTCATGTTCCCTGAAGGTATAGCTTGTGCAATCCAGGGAAATTATTTCCCAGTGAAAGGCTGTCCTTTTCATTCATGCAACTTGAACTTCCCTTTGGTAAAACTTTAACTGTGCTGAGCAAAACCTTTGCTTTTCTTCTTTCTACTCAGTGAACCCTTTTCACTAACACTCTGGAGTAATAATTCTAATAACTCTCTCCCAGAGGAGATCATTGTCTAGGAAAGGGGCTTAGTCAGTGGGAAAAAAAAGAAATGTTGCTCTGTTAGTAAATGTCAGCTCAAGCAAGCGCATCTCCTAAGAGGTTTCCAAATGGATGCATCTTTATTTCTCTACATGGTAATGGGATTATTTTACTCCTTTATGTAACCTGTGTTTTCCCGATAGGAACTTATCAGACTATGGGGGTTGGTGGATCTGGAGGGATGGATATACTATGAAGTATCTATCAGAACTAACTCCTGCTACTGCAGAATATAGTTCCCACTTATGGAAACTGAGAAGGTATTTACTCCCGGATTCCCCCCAAGCGGTTTAAGTTACCAAGTGATACTTACCTTTAGGAACTTTTTCCCCAACTCATAATGAGTGTAAATACTGCTCCCTAAACCCAAGACCTACGGGAGTTTCTTTCTTTTACACTTACGTCAGCCTTTAGTCTTTCCCATCATGCTGTCATGTCTTAGGTGGTGAGGCCAAGTTTTAGTTTGTAATCATGAATGCTTATAAGGCAGAAGGCCAAGGCTTCCTAAATTGCTCAGTGAGGCTCATTGTAAATTTATATTGAACTCTTAATGGTAGGAGCATTTAAAAAATTGGACCTTCTGAAAAGTGATCTCATTTCAGAATTTTTTTCTCTTCTATATACTCTGGGTTAAACCACAGTATTAAAAAAAAAAAAAAAAAATCCTTAGTTAAGCCAGAAGTCTGGAAGTGTAATTTTCATTGAATTTACTTTAATGATAAAAACAGGAAGGAGAGGATCATTCATTCAGAAAATGGTTATTGGATCTGTTATGTCCTTAGGCACTCTGCTAAACCTGTAGATGAATAAGATGTGGCTCCTATCCTCAAGTCACTTAAAAATTAGAAGAAAAGCAAAACAAAACAAAAACCTATAGTACCTTTTGCTTTGTATTAGGACACATAACAAATTAATTGAAAACTTTAACAGCTTAAAACAACAAATATCTATAATCTTATACAGTTTCTGAGAGTCAGGAACCTGGGAGTAACTTAATTGGGTGGTTCTGTCTCAAGGTCTCTCATGAGGTTGCACTCAAGGTGTTGGGCAGGGCTGCAGTCATCTGAAGATATGACAGGGCAGGGGAATCCACTTCCAGGCTCCCTCATGTGGCTGTAGCTGGAGGTCTCAGTTCTCACCATATGGATCTCTTCATATGGCTGCTTACAACATGGCAGCTGGCTTCCCCCAAAGCAAATTACCTGAGAGACAGAGAAAGAAAGGCCAAAACAGAAGTTGCAGTGTCTTTTATGACCTAATCTCAGAAGTGACATACCTTCACCCCTGCTGTATTCCATTGGTCACACAGACTAATCCTGGTACAACTTTGGAGGGGCCTATGCAAATATATAAATACCAGGATAGGGGAATCATTGGGGGAAATCCTGGAGGCTTACTACCCCAGTCATCCATCCAAATACTGACCTGCTCAGTGTCCAAGATTAGCAACAAAGAAGCATGATCAGAAATATCCAGATTTTAGCCAACACTGTGGGACCAAAAGGGCAGTAAAATTTAGAGATGGAGTGGTGGACATAGAGGATAAATATGGATTTTCCAAAAGGAGCAGGAACCTCAGATACCTGTCTGGGAAATTTGTTTTATAGAAATTCTGAATTCTAACTGTATTGCATGATTCTGATTTTACAAAGAAAGGGATTTAAGGTTACTGATCATATTCCTATCTGCAGCAGACTAGGAGCAATTCTTTTCACTAAGGGATCATGGTGCCTTATGAAAATGGAAATGGGAACAGCATGAAAAGCTATATTGAATGAGTCCCCTCCATGGCTCCTATGGTATGGCATCGAAAGCAACTGTAGCTAAGCAATTTTTCTTCATGTGCCACTACATTTCATGCAGAGTTTGTTGTAAAATAATCTAAGAAAAAGTTTTGTGAGTGCATTTGCAAAATTATTACTAATCTGGACTGAAGTAGCATATTCTACTGCATAGTTCTCTTCTTAATGACTAAATTATTTCATGTAAAGTAGTCTATTAAATAGCATTTATTCAATTTGTGGAAATATGCCAGAGCCTGTATGCATTCTTCCTAATGCCACTGCCTCATCTTTACTTTTAATATGTAAACAATGCCTAGGCAGATTTGACTTTTACCTCCCCTTTTTCCCTGAATAGTTGTTTTTGAAGCAATCGTTGATGGCTGTAAGTATCTAAGCATCTTGTCTCCCCTGGCCTTCCCCTGCTTTAACCTGGCAAAAAAAACCCTGGAAATATATAGAGAGTAATAGCTAGAGGGACAGGAAGAATAAATTATGTTGGTATTACTTTTAGTACTGTACTTATGCTTAGACTGACTTCTAGTTCTTGCATAATACAGGACTAGGTCTGGAGAAAAAGGCCTGATAGAGGATATGATATAAAATGAGATATTTAGCAAATATGCATGAATGTCACAGAGATAATGAATGAGGCTGACCACATGCTTCTTGTTATTATGTATGCACTTAGGTAGGTCCTTTTGGTTAAGCTTTATTAAAACATTCCACTTTAAATTTGATATTTTAGATGCATATGTTATTTATAAGATATACTAATTATAGAGAATTCCAGGAAAACTTAACCCTTCTTCTTAGAGATTTAAAATAATTTTTCTTATATTTCTTATTCTGAGAACAAAGAGAAAATCTACTTGATGGCAATGGGACTAATTGTAATTTTTGTGGAAAAGAAAAGAAAAAAAGGAAGGGTTGGTTCTAGGATTTCAGCAAGGTATTTAGTACAGCATCTAGGTCTGAATTTCCTTATCTGCAAAACTATGCAGAAGATCTATTTGATTTTTCTGTTTTTTCCTAGCTCTAAAGTTTTATCCAAAAATTTTCACTAGCCGACTTTCTTGTGAATATGTAATTTTTATTCACCAAGTGGTATGATAAAAATGATAGTGCTTATAAGTACAAACTATGAATAATAAAAAATGTTCTTACTTATAAAGTGAATTCCAAGATTACTTTTGTAAATATATCTTAGAATGTGATTGTGAGTGTGGGAGGGTCTATGGCTCCAATGTATTGATGATGAAGGGCATGTGTCTGAGAAATTAAAGTGATGATTTCCAAGGAATCTTTTCAGAGATCAAATCTTTCCTCTGTGTATTAGATCATTCCTGCACTGCTATAAAAAAATACCTGAGACTGGGTAATTTATAAGAACAGAAGTTTAATTGGCTCATGTTTCTGCAGGCTGTCTAGGAAGCATAGTGGCATCTGCTTCTGGGGAGTCCTCAGGAAGCTTGCAATCATGGCAGAAGGCAAAGGGGGAGCAGGCCTATCACATGGAGCAAGCAGGAGAAAGAGGGAAGAGAGTCGGGGAAGGAGGTGCCACGCACTTTTAAATGATCAGATCTTGCACGATCTCACTCACTGTCGTGAAGACAGTACCAAGCCATGAGGTATCTGCCCCCATGATCCAAACATCTCCCACCAGGCTCCCTTCCAGCACTGGGGATTACAATTCAACATGAGATTTGGTTGGGGAAAATACCCAGATTCTATCACCCTGATATGTTGTTCTCTGTGATACAGAGTTCACTGCTTACACTTCTTAATCTAAGTAAAGAATGCTTTTGACTACAAGTAACAGAAATACCAATTAATGTTGAAATAAGCATTTCATTTTCCCCTATCACAAAAATCTTGGAGATAAATACTTCCATTTTTGTTCAACTGTTTCACAATGTTGAGGTTCTGGCATCTCTCTGATTGTCTTGGCCTTTCCATTAAGAGCACAAGATGGCTGTCCCAGATCCAAGCAATGCACCTCTATACAACAATGTCTCAGGCAGATATCTGTCCTCTACCAAACATGGATAAAGAGGATGAAATTACTACAACTGATCATGATTCATTATTCTTATTTTCAAGTCTTTTTTACTGCCTACAATCTGGTCCTCAAATTTATTTTGCCAGCCTTATTTCCTATTACCCTTCTACCAGATTCCACTACTATAGCCAAACTCTCTTCTGCTATTCTCTGAAAAATGTACTATATATTTTTAATCTTACACCATGATTTTTTCCATCTTTGCATATCCTCTTTGCAAGTTAAAAATCCTATCCAAACCTTACTAAGATTCATCTCAAGTTCTTCTCTTTAGTCATCTCTTGTCACTCCAGCCAGAAGGAATTGTTCTTTCCTTTGAACTCCTATATTAGTTTATCTTTTATGTTTGTATGAAAGCATTTTATAAAGTGACTTATGCCTTATTCCATTAGGTTAAAAAAAGCAAATATAATTGTGTCCATTTTACAGATGGGGAATGGGCTCAAAAGAAGTGAGTGACTTTCCCACAGCATCATACTACCCAGTGTTAGATTCAGGACCTGAATAACCTGGGGGTAATAAGTTTCTGTGACAGTCTCCAAAATAGTGTGGAGTAAATAATATAAATGCCTATTTCTCTGTCATGTAACAGACTGAAGTGACTATGGCAGGTTGTCAGGCAGCTCTGTTCCTCACAGTTATTTAGGAGATCCAGCCTGATGGTAGTTTTGTCATCTTCAACCCATGACTTTGAAGGTCTCATTGGTCTTGGTCATTCTAACCAAGGAAAGGGGCAGAGAGCAAAGTTCAGGTCAGGACATTTTCTGTTGAGTAAGTGAAGTGGAAATTGCACTTTTGCTCATAATTCATTGGTAGGAGCTTAGTCACATTGCCCACCTGGCTGGTACAGTGGGAAGTGCAGCCTTGCCTTGGGTCCAGGAAACAGGGTGGAACAGATTTTGATGGACGAGTAGCAGTGCCTGCCAAAGAGCTGGAATACAGATCTTACACTTCCAAGTCTGGTGGCCTTTCTCCTATATGAGGCTTTATCTTTTATATTTCTACCAGTGAAAGAAAATGTGAGATTGTGAAGAATACTGCATCTAAAAGTTTATCTAGTTCAGCCTTGCTACAGTTCCAGAAAAGGCACTTAATCTCCAGACCTTAGCTTTCTCCTTTGTGAAATGAAAATATTAGATTCCAAAATCTAATCAGTTACAGGCATACCTCGGAGATAGTGCTAGTTCTGTTCCAGACCACGTCAATCAAGCAGTTAGCAAAGTAAAGCAAGTCACACCAATTTTTTCATTTACTGATTATGTTTATACATAGACTGGTCAAAAATGTTATGCTTATACTATGCTGTGGTCTATTAAGTGTGCTGCAATAGCATTAATGCCAAAAAGGTAACATCCATGCCTTAAGTTTTAAATATTTTATTGCTAAAAATGCTAATGATCATCTGAGCCTTCACCAAGTCATAAACGTTTTGCTGGTGGAGAGTCTTGCCTTGATGTTGATGGCTGCTGACTGATCAGCATGGCAGTTGCTGAAGGTTGGGGTGGCTATGACAATTTCTTAAAATAAGACGACAATGAAGTTTGCCACATTGATTGACTCTTACTTTCATGAATAATTTCTCTGTTGCATGCAATGCTTCTTGATAGCATTTTACCCACAGAAGAACTTCTGCCAAAATGAGAGTCAATCCTCTCCAACCCTGCTGCTGCTTTATCATCTAAGTTTATGGAATATACTAAATCCTTTATTGCCATATCCACAATGTTCACAGCCTTTTCACAAGAAGTAGATTCCATCTCAAGAAACCACTCATCCGTAAGAAGCAACTCCTCCTCTATTCAAGTTTTATCCTGAGATTCCAGCAATTCAGTTCCACTTTCAGGCTCCATTTCTAATTCTCTTGCTATTTCTACCACAACTACAGCTCCTCCCTCCACTGAAGTCTTGAATTCCTTAAAGTCATTCATGAGAATTGGAATCAAGTTCTTCCAAATTCCTGTTAATGTTGACATTTTGACCTCCTCCCATAAATTACAAATGCTGTTAATGGCATCTAGAATGGTGAATCCTCTACAAAAAGGTTTTCATTTTATGGACTTTGGTCATATTCATGAGAGGAACCACTGTCTATGGCAGCTATAGCCCTACAAAATGTATTTCTTAAATAATGACCTGAAAGTTGAAATTACTCCTTGATCCATAGGCTACAGAATAGATGTTGTGTTGGCAGACATGAAGACAACACTCATCTCCTTGTCCATCTCCATCAGACCTCCTGGGTGACCAGTACATAGTCAATTGGCAGTAATATTTTGCTTCTGCTTTTTCTAAGAAGGCCTCAACAGTGGGCTTAAAGTACTCAGTAAATCATGCTGTAGGCAGATGTGCTATCATCCAGGCTTTGTTGTTGCACTGATAGAATATAGGAAGAGTAGATTTAGGATCATTCTTAAGGGCCCTAGGATTTTCAGAAAGGTACATGAGCACTGGCTTCAACTTAAAATCACCAACTGTATTAGCCCCTAACAAGAGAGTAGGCCTGTTCTTTGGAGCTTTGAAGTCAGGAATTGACTTCTCCTTCCTGGCTATAAAAGTCCTAGATGGCATGTTCTTCCAATAGAAGACTGCTTCATCTACATTGAAAATCTGTTGTTTAAAGCCACCTTCATAAATTATCTTAGCTAGATCTTCTGGATAAATTGCTGCAGCTTCTACATCAGCACTTGCTGCTTCACCTTGCACTTTTATATTATGGTGATGACTTCTTTCTTTGAACTTCATGAACCAATGCGTGATAGCCCCAACTTTTCTTCTGCGGCTTCCTCATTTCTCTCAGCCTTCCGGAAATTGAAGAGAGTTAAGACCTTGCTCTGGATTAGGCTTTGGCTTATGGGAATGTTTTGGCTGGTTTGATCTTCTATCTAGGCACTCAAACTTTCTCCATGTGAGCAATAAGGCTGCTTCACGTTCTTATTATTCATATGTTCACTGGAATAGCACTTTTAATTTTCTTCAAGAACTTTTGCTTTACATTCACAACTTGGCTAACCATTTGGTGCAAGAAGCCTAGCTTATGGCCTATCTTGGTTTTCAACATGCCTTCCTCACTAAGCTTAACCATTTCTAGCTTTTGATTTCAAGTGAAAGACATGCAATTCTTCCTTTCACTTGAACACTTGGAGGCCATTTCGGGATTTTTTTTTTTTTTTTTTTTTTTTTGATGGAGTCTTGCTCTGTCACCCAGGCTGGAGTGCAGTAGTATCATCTCTCTCACTGCAACCTCTGCCTCCCAGGTTCAAGCAATTCTCCTGCCTCAGCCTCCCAAGTAGCTGGGACTACAGGTGTGTGCCACCATGCCCGGCTAAGTTTTTTATTTTTAGTAGAGATGGGGTTTCACCATGTTGGTCAGACTGGTCTCGAACTCCTGACCTCATGATCTGCCCACCTTGGTCTCCCAAAGTGCTGGGATTACAGGTGTGAACCACTGCACCCAGCCTTTTTTGGGGTTTTTAAATGGCCTTATTTCAATATTGTTGTGTCTCAGAGAATAGGGATGGCCAAGGACAGAGAGAGAGAGACCAGAGAATGGCCAGTTGGAGCAGTTCAAACAGACACAACGTTTATCAATTAAGTTTCCTGGCTTGTATGGGCACAGGTCGTGGTGCCCCAAAACAATTACAACAGTAACATTAACGATCACCGATCACAGATCACCTTAAAGTTTGAAATGTTATGAGAATGACAAAAATGTGACACAGAGACGGAAAGTGAACACATGCTGTTGGAGAAATGGCACTGATAGACTGGCTTGATGAAAGGTTGCCACAAACCTTCCATTTGCAAAAAGTGCAATATTTGCAAAGCACTGTAAAGTGAAGTGCAATAAAACAAGGTATGCCCGTACTAAAATGTTATGTATGTCACTTATAATAAGTTCATTCACAGATGGTTTTTAGGTGTCCTAAATGTGCAAAGTGGAGTCTTAGACACTTAGTGTGTATTTCGTCTATTGTATAATTGTATTTTTGCCTAGATAGTGTGTGTCAATAAATATTACCTGGCTAACTCCAATGCCTCTGTAAAGAAATCAGACTGGAATTTGATGATATTAGTGCAAAGCACATATGTACTCGTTGTAATATAGCCCGCATTCTGTTATTTGCTTTATGGATTATCCAGAGCTTCCTTTAGTATTAGCTAAAATTATGTTTTTGGACTATATGTGGCTTTATTGATGCTTATTTTCTATATTATCTTATGTAGGAGTTTGTGTATGTGTTTCTGTTAGTTTTACTTTCTCAATGTATTTGTTTGCTCCATGAGGGCAGCAAACATTTTAAATTTATTTCTTTGGTGTTAACCCCACATTTACTAGTCCAGAGCTTAATACATGGTAGGTCACTCAATACACATTTTAAAAATCAAATTATTTGCCATTACATGTACTTACTTTATTTCTGTATGAATTCAACGTTTGAGATCATATTCCATTATATTTAGTTTGCTCTCAATTTCTGTTAAATATCATTGGCTTTTGTTTTCCTCCTGTTATGAAGCCAGAAGGGAAGGAAGTCTATTGCAGGTCTTCATCCTTGCAGCACATGAATCTCTAAGTGAATTGCAACAATTAAACAATATAGAAGAGAGAATCCCTTAGTACTCCTGGGCCTCTCACATCCCATTTTAAAAACTGTGAACAGCAGTTTTCTTTGATAGACACAAAGAAATAGCACACCAGACATTTTGCACTTCCCTGGTGGCTGACCTTTAGGGAGCAGCGGATAGACATGTTCTGTTCCATTCCATTGATTGTACTGTTCCTAAACTCCCACCACTATGATCTAGGCGTGCGATGTGTTATCCTTGCTTCAAGCATGCAGCAAAACATGCAAAATGTTATGATTTGTTGCCATGCTGACAGTGTCAACTTAACTACGGCTGACAAACAGTTTTTAAATAGAACATGTCAGTTCATTATAGTATTTTCCATCTGTGTTTTTTTCCTTTCCCACACTTAACATTGAACATTTGAAGAATGTTGCTACAAAGGTTTAGTTTACACTTCTGTCACTTAGGTTAATGACTTGCTAAAAATTATATTTTGGAAATGAGCAAAAAAAACAAACAGTGATTTTCTTTTTTTAAAGGAGACCCTTCTCTTGCGGAGAATGCAGTTCTCACAACCATTTTTGGTTGTTTGGTTTTTATTGCATAACAGTCTTCTTTCTCTTTTTGCTTTCTTCAGTTTCTGTCTTGATATTGCCACTGAAAATAGCTTTTCCCTCCCACTCTGAGCAAAATTCCTACTGCTCAGAGGTAGGGGCTTGCTGTATGAGGTACAGGCCAGTGCAGACTGTGCCCTAACACCGTGATGTCTAGAATACTGACCACCATAAGGGCTTACCTCGCAGTGCTTGACATTTTGCTGATGGTGCAAGCTGCGTGTCTATTCCTACACCCTGCTCAGCTGCTTTCCCTCCTCTCCTCCTAAAGAGAAAGATTGACATTGCCCAATAGTAACTTTTAATGCCAAAACCACATTAAGTGCCTTAATTGTGTTTTAAATGATGCCTTGGGTCTGTGTGCACTTGTAATAAAAATACAGGGTGACAATGAAAGTCTTCAAAGTCTGTTCCAGTGATGGTTCAATATTGCTAGCTTTTGTGTCACTAAAGATTTTTAAATTCTAAAGAAATTTGATTTTTTTTTGAAAAAAGTCTTGTTAATACTCTACTTTTTATTCTGGGCACTGAGGGTATTCCTTGCTGTTTTCGTAGTTTAGGCTTTGGCTGCAAATGTTTGGACATCAGCTCAGACCATCGTCTCGGAGGGAACATTTTGCAAGTGTTATCTCCTTGTTCACAGGAATCCAAGGTAGACCTAGTGGAGAATTGTTTAGTGATAGAAACTGAAATAGCAATATAAAGAGGGATGGTCAAATTATGTAAAATCGGAGTGCATGAATAATTCAGTGCTCACTTGAGTGTGATTTTTATTTTTATTGTTAAATAATACTAGCATTTCCATGAACTAATAACACAGAGACTAACCAACTGGTAAGCTTTTTGTTGGGGGTTTGGGGCAAAAGGGAGGAGGAAGGAAGAAAGGAAACTAGGGCCAAGTAGTAATTTTTAAAAAATTAAGTGTGCTCAGTAAAACATTGATACAATCATCTGTTTTATAATTCTTTAACTCTATGAAGATAAGTAAATGAAACCACAGAGAAATTCATTAGTACATATTTGTTTATAGGTAATCTGGAATAAATTGTTATGTTTTATGAACTTCCTTCTCTATTGAAACTCAGAATCTTAATCTAGTGCTTTATATGTATCTTTTACCCATATATTCTAGATTGTGTATGTTGTGTTGATAGAAATAAAGTATATAAGGATTTCTTTCTTTTACTATGACTCATGAGAAGTAACTCAGATAGAGAATTACTATGGAGTAGAATGAAGGCCTCTGCGTATAACTTATTTTAATCCAAAGCAAAAGTATTCTTATCTAAAAAGAGAAAAATCTTGACAACAATTAACTATAACATCGTGGATATTTTAAACACTTTAGGAGAGAAATGGAAAATGAGAAAAAGATGTTAAAATATTGAGAAAACACTAAGCATTGGATATAGGAAAAAATAAGACATAAAAAAAAAGAAACTCTCAGAGGAATAATATGGGGTAGTAAGAAATTTTAGCTGGTATAATGAATGGCCAAACACTGTTTTTAATGGCCTTGTTTAATTGAATGAAATGTAATTTGCTCAGGAGGAACTGCCTTAACTAAGAGATCAAGAAAGAAAAGCAAGAGGCATGGTGCAAAGCAAGTACATGGCACCCAAAATGATGGGGAAACCATCGATATTGCAGACAAGTGCAAGCTAATATGATTTTGAAACCACAACAGTATTCTTTTTATTCTAATTCTTCGAGAGAGGGTGCAAGAGATTTTGTAAATCGATAATGGGAAATATTTCAGACTGAATCCAGCCTTGAAAACGTCGGAAGAGTCAGGACAAAGCTTAAGTAGGAGTCCTATGGGAAGAATTTTGGGAAGTCCCTTCTAATGTAGTTTTGTCATTCTAGATATTACTGCAGTACTGTCACGGTCCAAGAAAGGGTCCTAGGAGGACTTGAATTCCTTCAGGAATTTGTGACCAATTGAGGAGGGAATAGCTTAACCTCACCTGGGGACCTCAATTCCCAAGTGAGGTTGGGAAACCGAATACATAAGCAACTAGTCTTTTAGCACGAGAAGATATATTTATAAATGCACAACAGAAACTAAAGTTGCAATCAGAAAATGTGATTTCCGATGAGGTAAAGTAATTTAAGCTATTTTTTATTTTAATTAAAGATTAAAGATAAAAAAATTGAAACTGTAAAAGAGAATTTCTGAAGGAGCTGTGTTATAAGGCAGATTATACTGTTGCTATGTATATTAATGCTAGTAATTGTGCAGCTAATAAAGTAGCATAGCTCTCACAAACATCTCGCATGTGTGGTAGTTGTCATTAGTCCTTTTTCTCAGACATGGTCACTCTGTGGAGGGTCCCTCCTGGTAAATGTGTTGTTCTAAGGGAATAGATATTGGAACTATTTATAATGTAGTTGAGACCTATGACCAGGTAAACCAAGGAAATAATTTCTAAGTTCTCACCTGAAAAGCATTTTCAAATTATATG
Source organism: Homo sapiens (assembly GCF_000001405.40). NCBI lineage: Eukaryota > Metazoa > Chordata > Mammalia > Primates > Hominidae > Homo > Homo sapiens. The sequence continues at coordinate 216,783,131 of NC_000001.11, read as the reverse complement.
GATCATCCCCCTGCCCCATGGAATCCCAGCCACCGTGAGATTCCGATATGCCCCCTAACTCTTCTGAGTGGGAATGTAAGGTTGTAGTTATTTCATTTCTTCTCTATTTCATCTTCTGGGTAATTACACATGAGGCTATTTATAATGAACAGAGGGCATCCAAGTAGGATTTTTTTAAGAGAAGGAGAACAGTATCTCCCCAAATTTCTCATTGATTCAAAAGATTGAATACCTATTAAAACTGACAAGAGATATTTTTTATTTTCAGCCACACATTTCCTGTCACCTCTAGCATGCTTATTTTATTTATTTTTAAGGTGGAAAATGTTTACTGTAAAGCTATTTTTGTCTAGATCCCACAGTTTGGTAAAAGAAATCAAAAGGAGGTCTCAAACTCACAGTGGGCTTTCATTAATGACGATCATTAGTCCTGTTCTGAACTATTGACAAAATGTTATAGCATTCTTGAGAGTGGAACTTGCATTCTTTTAAATAAAGAACTAGTTCATTAAAGGTTCTTTCTAATGAAAATGACTCAATTCTGCTGTTAAGTGCTAACCTTAAAAAAGAAAAGAAAGCTAAAAGACAGCTTACAAAAATGCATATTGTTTCACAAAGATCAATAAGTTAAAAGGTGATTGAGGCTTGAATTTTTTAGTTTCTAAAATGTCCTCTATCTTCTCTGTGTAACAGCAGAAAATGTTTGCCTGCATTTTGATAACCAATATGGAAATTAGATATTAATATATACAGGGAAAGACAGAGACAGAGAGAAAATACTTATCACCCCAAGAAGGAAGGAATCATGCCATTACTCACAGGTGGCAATGCCATGAGAGACTTACTCAGTCATCCTGTAACAAGTGCAAATCTGTCCCTGGACCAAAAAGAAAAGGGATTTAAAGGGCAGATATACCAGCCTTATTGTATGTAAGAGCTCTTGTGTGTTGCTTGAAAGCCAAGGCCTTTGTAATTGGTCTGTAGCTAGTTACTCACACAAGACTTGCAAATAACAGAAAGAAATGAGAAATCAGTTTCTTTTTTGAAGCTGGAAGAAATGGTGTGTCATAATTATTTTGGAAAGGGAGGCCTAGCTTTTAAAAAGCTTATTAGGGTTTATTCTCTAAAAATCTCCTCTTTGTCAGCTGAGGTGACCGCAAGGCCAGGTAACCCCAAATGAAACTTATCGACCTTCAGACTTTTCAATCAGAGGCTTGTCACCTTGAAATCGCCAGCATTTGCACATGGCATGTCTCTCTACCACTGTGCAGTACATAAATATGAAACTGGCCAATCTGCCTGCTACTTTGCACAATAATAATTCTTGGGAATTGTCTAGAAATGAGTTAAACAGTAAGGCTTGCCACTCCCCTATGGTTTTTGTCTTACCTGATTACATGCTTGGCTTTCTGAGGTAACCACGAAAGGAGACAGAAGTGAAGAGAGGACCATTTGCTCATGTAAAGGCGGTCTCTTCTGCATTAGGTACCAGGGGTGGTGTGTGTGCTGGCTGACTTCTTCTGACTTGCTCTAATTAGTCCACTAAGATATAAGCTCTCTTGAACTGTGACGGTATGTTTGGTATAGCGATTGGAGTGCAGAAGACATTACGTAAATGTTGACTGACTTGTTGATGGACCTCTTCTGCATATGCTCACACAGGTAAATCCATTGTTGGATGTTGAGAAATGGGAAGAATTTGAAGGCCATTTAGAGATACTTGCAAATGTGGTTATTTATTATCTGCTACTTTTAACACTGCTCTTAAAAAGAAAAAACTAAATACATTTATCTCATTTCTCTATGGCCTTACTCTCCAGCAAAGATTGAGGCAAGCGATTTTTTTTTTTTATTTTGGTTGTTCAGGGATGCATTCCTAGCACTGCACACAGTGCCTGTCACATAGTAAGTACTCAATAAATGTTTGTTGAGTGAAAACATGAATATGTTGTGCCAATAGTGAAGATGTTAAAATAGTAATATATACTATCATCTTCTATATACTTATTAGTCACAAACCAGGTGTATTTCTTATTTGTTTTGGATAAGAGATTGACATTGCTTATTAATTTTAACTTGGGTTAAAAATAAGCACTTAGTTAACCATATTAAATGATACCACAAAATTATTTATTTTGAAATTATACTAGTTGAATTTAGCGCCAAAGTAGAAAGGTACAGGATCCATATATGTTGTTGATAAATAAATGATCTTTAAATAGAGTCACAATACTTAGTTGTGTCGTGAACATATGAAGCTTTGTTTCACATTTTAACCTCTCATGCTAGGGCTACAATCAGAGAGGACATAAGGCACGTGAGAATGCACACAGGTCTGGGAACTTGGTTCTGTTCATTGCCTTGGCACTAACTCACTGTAGGTCCTCGAAAATCCCTTCTCCTCCCTGGACTCTGTTTTCTCATCTGTAGGAACCCACTCCCTCTATGTGATTTGTTATACAGATAATATAGATTAAAGGAGAATCATCTGGAACCAAAGGCACAGAGCCTCAGATCTCCCTCCACTCTAGTTTTCTGTTTGATAACATGAAGATATTGATAGTAACAGAGCCACAGAATTTCTGTGACAGAGAGATAATGTACACACAGTATCTGATTTCGTAAGGGTTCAGTACATTTCAGCAATTTCTAGCTCTTATTCCATATCTAAATATGTATGATTCCATGAGAAATTGTTCCAATCTATCAATAACTCAACTTAAAAAATCTCCAGGCATTCCCAGGGTCCATCCTGATAACTTCTGTCAGGGAAAGAGAAGAATTGCTGGGTTTTCCATTTCAAATCTTATACACGGAGCATTTTCAATTTTGAAAATGTCAGAGCTTTGACAGTACTCCTTTAAAAGCAGCTTTGTTGTTTTTAAATTACATTTGTTAAGCTTGGAATCCATAATGTGAATGATAGGCCCTGGTGGTATTTATATAAAAATTAAAACTGTCAAGTTGTATTAAGGTTTAATCATTGGCTATGGCACATGAGCCACAATTTCTTTGCATGAGCCCTCTTGACATACTTTTCTTTTTCTTTTTTTTTAGATCTCAGCCATAGAAACATGCACATGGCCTTTAAAAAATTTCCTGAATGAGTTTATGTAGAAGAAGACAAGGCAGAAGAAACTAACAAACATGCTTCTATCTTAGGTGTATAGAACATGTTGGCTGCTAGTCACTTTATACATGGCATCTTGTTTGATTTTTAATGTGAATCTAATGGTGCATTATGATGCCCTTTGAACAGATGAAAGTACTGAGTGTCAGAGAGATAAGCCAGCTGTCCAAGGTCATTCCCCAAATACCAAATCCTAACCTTTTAATATGTTTTTCTAACATCTGCCTACATGAATCACACCTTCCCTTTTGTGATCCCAAAGATACTTCTAATTACCTCAATATTTGTGACTAAATTGTTAGCAAGAAGTGCTAAAATAGTTTTAAATCTATTACAACTCAAAAAGTAAGACTGTAACCAGTACTTTTTAAAAACAGTGCAAGTTTTTCTAAGGCAGACTGCATTAGGATATTGCCCTAGCCATTTACAAATTTTATATATAATATATAATTATATATATAAATATAAATATTTATATTTATATTTATAAATATATATTTATATATAAATATATATTTATATTTATAAATATATATTTATATTTATATTTATAAATATTTATTTTTATAAATAAATTTATAAATATTTATTTTATAATATTTATAGTTATTTAAATATAAATACATATTTTTATAAATAAATATAAATATTTTATGTTTATAAATATAAATATATATTTATATTTATAAATATAATGTTTATAAATATAAATATAATGTTTATAAATATAAATATATATTTATATTTATAAATATAAATATATATTTATATTTATAAATATAAATATATATTTATATTTATAAATATAAATATATATTTATATAATTATATATATATTTATTTTATATATATATAAATATATATTTATATTTACATATATAATTATATATATATATATATAGTTTAAGCCTCCACATAATAACAGAGATAGAAAACAATATGAATAACCACTAAGGAAGGGATCTTTACAGTTCAGCTCTGTATTCTGGCATTGTTTCAGCATTGACATAACAGAGTTGATGAGTGACTGAGGAAGAGGCCCATGGCTTCAGGTTAACATTGCTGATTCACTGTGTTCCCCTGAGAACCTGTTGCATAGATAGGTTTCTTTTCAAAAGCTTACTTTCTGTCTCATCTCCAGTATGTTTATCAGATGTTAGTAATGAGCTTCATTTCTTAGTATTTCCTCCTTTCGGAACAATGAAGTTAGATACTTCTTCCACATAGGTTGAATCCCAACTGGATGGCTCTCAAAAGTAGAGGAAGGCTTACTATTTCTAATCAAGTAGTACAATTTTGCAGTGGGTGTACAATACATTTCAGCCAAAAGTATGGCTCCTCCTGCGTGTCTATAGTCTGTTGGGGCCTGTTGACTACTTCCTGGTCAGGAAGTACTTCAGGGTCACAGGGAGCCCACTTCTGACCTCTGCGATGGGCCAAGAAAGGTAATTAGAGACTGCTGCTTGACTGCCAAGTGACCCAGGGATCTATAGACCCTGACTGTCAGGGCCCGACACAACACTTCTGTAGTGGATACTGTGGTGTGCTGTTCAAACCTTCTTCCAGGACCAAGAAATTCATTCCCTCTGCTACCAAAAGTGATGGTTCACAGTTGAGTCCCTCCCCAGGAATTATCCATGCCTCTCCCAAGGCTCTAATGACTGATCTAAGTAGAGGTACAAAGGACCAGCTCTCTTGTCTCAAGTAAGGACAACTCTGAAGAGGCATTTGAACTTTGGAGCTCCTGGCGGGATCCACTGCATTGCACTTAAACTCCTCCCTCTGCCGTTTTCTACTTCCCTCCCCACTCAGTTCTTAGGAGCACTCTCTAATAACACCCCACCCCCAGCACACAAATCTCAGAACTTGCTTCCCAAGAAAGCTCACCTATACAAGCTTCAACAGGTTTCTCTGTTTGGTCTGTTTTATAATTTCTATTGATCCGAGACCAGATAACTCAAATGACTCCTAGATTCTTACTCTTTAATTAATCTGAGCATGATGCTTTTCTGATCATTAGCAGTGATAGGTACCAGGTAGGTGAAGGCAGGTGGCAAGGCTAGGTTTGACTGTTGATAGCAAGCCTGGTTGTCTTCATAAGTCAGCATGGAAGAGATAATGGAATAGAGAGAACTTGTATCATTCCATGATAAGATATGTAAGTTAAACAATTTATCAGCTTTTTAAGAAAACATTCCTGCATTCAGAAAAGTAAATGCCAAATTTATGTGTATGTGTTATGTGTGTGTATAAGAAAGAGAGAGAAAGGAATGTGGATTACTTACAATAGGACTATTACATTGTGTTAGATGTTGGGACCATAGAAATGAAAAAGACAAGATGCCCATTTTAAAGATTAGGAAACTGAGTTCCCCTGAGTATCCAATAGGAATGTAATTATTCAGTGATTGAATCAAAACTCAGACTTAGATTTAAGTCTAGCACTGTGGTTCTTACACAACCCCTTGCTGATTCTTATCCATCATTTTCAGTGATCTGTAACAGATTACAAAGAAAAACCTCTTCAACAAAATGAGTGGAATAAAAAGTGAAACAGCAGTCTGGAAGTGTGATATGAGATCATAAATATCTGTGGCAGCTCTTCATTAGCTCTTGTTGAGAGAGTTTTCGTGTTGCGCTGGCTGACAGCTCAACTGCGGGGACACTGTTGGGAATGGGAGGAGCTGCTAGGCAGACTCTTAGCATTGCCTCGGAACACCATCTCTCACAGACTGAAATCTTGGCTCCTCACTGCTGGAGGAGTAGATCTGTAGTGCTTTTAAATTTTGTTACCCCATAATATACAGTGCATTTTATTTATGTTAGCGTCATCTTTTATACAGAGCTGTCACAAAATATGTCACTGCTGACTACAGCCTGGGTAGGCAAGCCCCATCTGTGAATTATGCCCTTCCCATGGATCATGCCAGTAGTACCTCACTGGGAAGAGAGTAGGATAAATCCAGAACACTGATAGATACACTTCAAAAGGTTAAGAGAAGACTAGGTGTGGAGTCCAACCTACAGTTAAAAATGCCTAGAGATGCCCTCGTTTGTCTTCCAACTTCTTGGGTCCTCTCCTTAGCACATGCTATACCCAATGGTTGTGAAGGTGTGTGGCTCTTCTGTCCCTGTCCCCATCTGGCCACACTTCTAGTGTTGCCTCAGTGCTACCCTTCACTGGCTTCCATGACCATCACTACTTTCTTCTTTAATGTGATCAGGACTGGGGGGTCTTGAGATTAGTCCTTGTCTCTTGTGATATTGTCTTGGAAGCCATGGAATATTCTTTTACCTCCTGAACTCCATAAAATCCCTTACTACCAATGTATTTGAAGATGGTTCTATGGAATGTTGTCCATGCCAACATACTGTAATATTTGAATGGATCTTGACCTTTAGATGTAACCATTTAGCATTTTTTTATTCCATAATTAACTGTACTAGGAACTATGCTATGGACACAATGGCGAATAAGACATAGTTCCAACCCTCAGAGAGTATGAAGTCCAGTGAAGGAATGCAGACCCATGAACAGGCGATTATGATAGTGTGGTAAGTGCTAGAACAGGGCTAGGGTTGGGATCCTTGGGACCACCTCGGGATGCAACTCAGGTGCCTCTAAGTCAGCCTTTGAGGCGAGGAAAAGTCCTGAAGGACACTAGGTTAAGTCAGGGAAAATGTGTGTTGGGAGTAGAGTGGGGAGTGGTTGCCGTATGTGCAAAGGACAGGGTATTATGGGAGAACTGCAAGCCACAGATTATCATTATTATGGTTTGTTATTAATAAGCTTGGTAGGGAAGGGAGTGGTGATAGTGAGAAAGGATTCTAAATGTAGGCTCAGGCCAGACCAAAAAGCACCTTGTATAACATGTTAAGCACTGTGCCCTTAATCTAAAAGTAACAGGGAGCTATTATAGGGATTTACATAGAGGAGTGATAAGAAGAGCTCTCCATTTTAAAGTGATCACTCTGGTTTTGTTGGAGAGAATCAAGGTGAGATTATAAACTGGAAATCACTTATAGGAAGCCTTTTGCAATGGTGTTGGTGAGAGGAAAGAGTAGCTTCAATTAAGACAATGGCAATGGGTAAAGAAAAAAGAGTGATAAATTGGGGGTGATATTGTATAAAAAAATAGCTTGGCACGGTAGCTGACATCTGTAACCCCAGCACTTTGGGAGGCCAAGAAAGGCGGATTACTTGAGCCCAGGAGTTCAAGACCAGCCTGGGCAACATAGTGAAGCATCATCTCTACAAAAAAATACAAAAATAAATAAATAAAATAGCTAGGCATGGTGGTGCACACCTATAGTCCCAGCCACTTGGGAGGCTGAAGTGAGAGGATCACCTGAGTCTGGAAAGTCAAGGCTGCGATGACCAGCCTGTGCGACAGCGTGAGACGCTGTCTAAAAAAAAAAAAAAAAAAAAAAAAAAAAAAAAAAAAAAAAAGATGTGACATTTTATTTAGGTGGGAAAGACTCCATGCTGTCAGGGTTGAGCAATTGGGAATAGAGTGGTGTGGTTCACCAACATGAGAAACACAGGAAAAGGAATGGTTCTGGGGAGGAGATGATGACTTTTGAGGTGCTTATTGAACAGTCACGTCATTTCATACATTAGGCCACTTGTTATATGGTCGAAGAGCTCAAGAGCTAGAGATAAAGATTATGGAGATAATTAAAGTGACGAAATGAGTGAATTCCTATAATAAGCATGGGAAAACCAAGAAGAAGCCGATCTTAGAACCCAGGAAACCCTCTTGTTATACAATAAATAGATGAACAACAGGTGACAGAAGGCAAATGGCAAACTGGAAATAGGGCGATATTGCTATGTTCACATTTTTACTACAATACACATATCATATTCAACAATTAAAAACTAAGAAAAGAGGCTGGGCACGGTGGCTCACGCCTATAATCCTAGCACTTGGGGTGGCCGAGATGGGAGGATTACTTGAGTGCAGGAGTTTTAGACCAGCCTGAGCAATATAGTGAGACCTTGTTTCTACTAAAAATTAAAAAAAAAAAAAATAGCCGAGCATGTTGGTGTGCACCTGTAGTCCCAGCTACTCAAGAGGCTGAGGTGGGAGGATTGCTTAAGCCCGGGAGTCCAAAGCTTCAGTGAGCTGTGCTCGTGCCACTGCACTCCAGCACTCCAGCCTGGTTGACAGAGCAAGATTCTGTCTTAAAAAAAAAAAAAGAAGAAATTATTCACTGTCTTACTGTCTTATTACCTTAATTAATTGTTTCTATATTCCTTTTTAGACTCTGTTCGTACACAGTCACAGTTTTCACACGCTTTTAATCAGAGTGTGGATTTAGTGCTACATTTGAGCCTTTTCATTAATATGTTATAAGGATTTTTTGTTTACTTCAAAGTCTTTATTTATGAACAATGGCTTTGAAACATGACAGTGCCTTTAGGAAAGTACGCAGTGGTATATTTGAAGGGGGAGAAGAGACAGTTTTGGAGGGTCGAGCAAGAAAGATTTTCATTGATAATATGAGAGAGTAACATGATGATAGCACAGCATGACTGATGTACAGAGGAGACTGAAGTTTAGAATTTCATGTTGCTTTTGCAATTCATAACCTCCCACCGCACTGCGTAATGGAACGTCATGTGCTTTCACATCCATGACATGAGCAGCACTCTAATACAGGCTAAACTGTGGCCCCTGCTGCAGACTTATGACATGGGTTAAATCATCACCTTGAAAGGAACCTAAATGATTTCTCAGGCTTCCCTCTACAGAAGGTAAGGAGGCAGGGAGAGCTACCAAAATACCAGTTCTATTACCACTGACAAGTTCTGACCGAGCTCTCTAAGGAAGCACTGAGGCTAGTGCAGTGGTCTTGATATCAAGAAGTCCATGTTTGGGTTCAAATCTTAGCTCTTCCACTCCTAAGCTATGTGGCCTCTATGGCTGTGAACGCATTCATCTTTAAATGGTGGTTAATGCTCTTTATATAGAACTGTTATGAAGAGTAAATGCAGTGGTATATAAACAAAAGATCATACTCTAAGGTATTAGTAACCACTTTACTATTTTTAATAATAAAATTATAATTATCTAGTACTTATATATAAAATCTATTCAGTCCTTGGGCATATTGTGACTAGAATGTTATCTATGACAAGGAACCCATCAGGGGCTGTACTGCCTGATTTATAAAGGCCTTCTCATTTCTAAAAGTGCATGATCCTATTAATACCTTTTACTCCCCACTGTTCATCTTATCTGTTGTAGCCTCAAAACAAGCTGATCTGCAGCTGCTTTCTCAAAAGATCCAAGTCTGACTATTTTCCCTTATATAAAAGATAGCTCTATCCTTTTTCTTCATGAAAGACCTTAGAGAACATGTGTTGGGGATTTGTAAATGTTTTTCTATCTTTTGGATATTTATTGAAGCCCTGAGACCTTCTTATTTTCTTTTTTGTCCCTCTTATTAAGTCTATGTAATACCACTTATACAAAGCATTTTCATAGTTGACTACAATTGACAATTTTTTCAAAAGTGGGAAGATCCCAAAGGTGTTCGGTAATCTTCAGTGGGATCAGTGGTGCAGAAATAAATTCCCTAAGTAAGATACCATATCTACATCAAGGCAGTCCATGAAGTAAAGAAAACTGTATGTTGCTTATATTGGATCATTGCATTTCTGGTGGAAGTTTTAAACCAAAAGCAAGCTATATCTGTGTGCAAAATGCATGAATTCCATGGTGAATCCCTTATCTGCTTGGTAAGCTATCCAATTTTCTAATTCCAATCTCTTGAAAACAAACACAATTTACGCTATCTTTCACTATGAATATTACAGAAAGGCATACACATTTTAAGTTCAGTTTTTTCCTTTACTTGATTGAGATTCTTTGGTTAAGATTTCTTTCATGCCTTGATTTGTTTGTTTGACTTCTCTGCCTACCCGAATGGTCAGATCAAGGGCAGACTAAGACCATTAGAAGCCATGTTGAGCGTTAAAAGGGATGCTCATCTCCTGATCTCCTATCTAGAGGTAATTCCAAATAAAAACAATAACAAACTAACTGGTAGTTTAAGAAATCAATAAAGTTCTGATTTTTCCCCCAAAGATTTTTTTTCTCCTTTTGGAAACACCAAATATCAGCTTATTAAAAAAAAAAAAATGTGCTAGTGCTCCTGACTTGCAGCTGCCCAAGTACATTTCTTAGCCTCTCTTTGGGTAATCTGACAGTGGGTCAGATCCACTAAGCTATTTGGGAATCTAGTTCCAAAGCCAGAATGGGTTGTTAAGTGAAAAACAAACAAACAAACAAACAAACAAAAAACTCACTATGCCATTGTTTTCTAAGATTAACTCTCTCTGAAGTAGGTCACTGGTAAATAACATACACCTTTCAAGCTAATGATGCTGTTCTCATGTATTGAGGAATGACAAAGAATATGTTTTGACAGCTTGAAAACTTATGTTAGAGAAGCAGCTTAGGTACATCAGTGTTCATATGTTAGTGTCACAATTGTTTTTCTCACATTGTGCTCTAGCTATTGGTTAAAGGTAGAGTGATATACATCTAGAAGTTTTTAAAAGGCTGTGGAATTGAGGAATCTTCCCAAACTTGTCATGTGCAGCTTCTACCCGAGCTGCTGAATTCTGGGATGTTAGAGTAGAGAAAGAGAGAGCAGAGTTCTTTTGGGAGCTCAGCATCATAGATCCACCGTTTTAGGACTGGAAATTCACAGTCCATGCAGATTTTGCAGCCAGCTGTATGAGGACTGCAGGTATGCTTCGCTTGTTTCTTTTACTATTGGTGTGAACAACGTGTAGCTGTGGTTTTGTTAGATCTGAATGTGAATGCATTTAGATGGGGCCTCCATTCTTCAGCTCACCATGGATCCCTCTACTCTGTATTGCTTAAATCTGTCGGGTACCTGTCTGGATCCTGTAGGTATTTGAGTGTGTGAAGCTGCCCCCTTTATAGAACTCCCATCAGTTTATGCTGATGCCATCTCCTCTTCATAAACAGATTGTCTCAGAGGCTATGAGAAGTTAAATGTTCACCTCAGGTCATAGACAGCTAGGATCAGAACTCAGGCCCCTGAATAATATACTACAGCAGTGTCACTTTCACCACACACTTTGGGGTTTGATATTTAAATTTTTACCTCATTAGCTATGTCTTTCAAAAAAAAAAAAAAAAAACACCACAAACTTAAAAATAAAAATACTGTAATTAAATTTACCACCTGTATTTCTAATGCTATCACAGGAAAAATAATACCACAGTACAGTAAATAAACACAGCAGTGCTGTTCCACATTGCTTCCTCAAAATATTTCTAGGTAGAGGCCTATTAATTGTTCTTGCAGTACATAAGGAAGCTTTTAAATACAGTATATGAGCATCATCAAATAAAGGCTTTTTTCCCATGGCAGGAATCTTTTAGATGCATATTTGGACATAGTTGTCAGCATCTCCCAGTTACAAAATTTTGACAAATTCTGAGTTTAGATGTATATTTCACACACCATTAGAATACACTAGAATATATTATAAATTCCCTTAGGGCGAGGTTCTTCTTCCTTGTTCTACATATTTTACTTATTAGATAACTGTACATACATGCTATGGCAAAGATTATAAGGCATTAAATTAGAAATGTGCCTAATTTTAATTTTCCAATTGAATTTTTTACATACTGTTATAAGCATATGTGTATTTGTGCTAAAGCATTATTGAGCATCTTTAGCAGATGAATAAAACTAATATAAAAAGCAAGTATCATTTTCTTCTGTTATTTATTTTAAAAATTTCCACTAATTGAATTATGATAGTTTTGTTCATTTGGCAAAGAAATGTGCCTTTGAGATTATTTGTTAAAAAGTGGAATTGAAGTGCATGATGGCCTCCTGGCTACTTGGGAGGCTGGAGCAGGAGGATCCCTTGAGCCCAGGAGTTTGAGGACAGCCTGGGCAACATAGCAAGAACCTGTCTTTAAAAACAAGACAAAAAGTGGAATTGGTGAATCAAGGCTGATGTTTTATCTCATCCAATACCTAGCTTGGAGTAGGAATATTTGATGAATTAGTGAATGAGTGAATGAATGAATAAATGAATGAATGGAAGGATGGGTGAATGGGTGGGCAGGTGGATGCATGGTTGGATAGATGGAAAGATAAACGGATAGACAGGTCATTGTGGTAGGGACTTGACAGTGAATCTACTATCAGCTTTTGAAAAAAGGGCAGGAAATGTTGAATAGTTACGTACAAAATATAATCCAACAATGAATCAAGTATTTTTTGTTGTTGCTTAAAATGTGGTTTTTTAAAAAGATGAGATAATTCATGTAAAGTATCATGTATTATGCTTAATATTTTAACCTGTTATTTATTGTTATAATCATTATTATTTACTCCTTTTTTCTTTCAATTAAAAATTGAATGTCTGAGAAATATATATATGCAGAAATATGGTCAATGAAAGATATCGATCTTCTACTCTGATCTGATGTTAGGTGGAGAGCAAAAAGAAATATCTGATCTATCTCCCAATGCTAAAAGGCCTTGGCTCATGCTGGAAATATGTACTGGTGAAGAGATGCAAACATCTATAGAGTAAACAATTAATAAATGCTAATTAATGCAGAAGAATCCAGGACAATGGAACTAGCTCTCTGGTCTCTTCCTTTTCTTACATGTTTAAGTCTCCTGTGTGTTTATAAAAAGTTAAACTCATCTCTATCACAGGGTACTTTTGAATCAGTCCTATTTTTTTCCCCTCTATAGACCACCAGATTTCCTAAGTGATGTGCACCCTTGAACTCCAGTTATTAGCCCACCAAAAGACTCACCAGGGTTTTCCTATTGCCAAATTGGGTGACCTTTGTTTCTCATTTCTTCTCCTTCCTTCTCTCAATGTCTGTGGTATTTTCTATCTATCTTTCACCCACTTGCCTAGCTTCCCTTGCTCTTTTTGCCCTACCCTAATTCACTTCTCAGTTTTCCTTGTTTGGTAGCTCTCTTTGTTTCTATTCCTGAAAAGTGGACTTATCCTTAGTTAATATTCCTCTTTATAATTTCTCTATTCTCTTCCTTAACAATATTGTCTACCCACCATCTCTGTGCAAGAGTAATCTAATATCATAGTTTCCATACCACCTCATATCTTTGTGTGATTTCCATATTTCTGAGTACAATCTCAATTCAGATGTCCAGTTAGCATTTCAAATTCAATGTTTATAAACCTCTATTATCAGTCACTTGAAAATTCCTGACAATTTGTCCTTAACTTGCTTCCTGATTTTGTCATATCTTGCCATATCCCTATGGCTAGTGTGCCTACCTCTAATAGAAGAGAATTCACATTTTTTCTCACTCTATTGAAGTAAACTTATAACTGTTTCTTGACTATGTAAATGCTCCTGGTCAACTTACATGTGACGGCTTCATGTATGCACTAGATTGTTCTCCTCACATAGTATTATCTTCCATGGCTCACCAAGACCTGTAACTATGCCCATAGTTTTAGCTTAGAAGTTGAGGCCTTTGATGACCTTAAATGATCTTTCCCAATGTCATCTCACACTATTTGCCAACATACTTAAATAAATTTGGTTTGTTTACTCTTTCAGTTCTCTTCATGGTTACTTATGTCATCCCACCTACCTGGAATACCTTGTGAAAACCCATTATTCAATGACTACTTCATAGAACACCCCTGGGAAGCAATCCCTGATCACTCTGTTTGCAGCTGGTCTTTCTTTCATCTGAAATGCAATTATACTGTTCATTCTTATTTTGGGACATTAATCAAACATTCCCTGCCATAATGGTCTTCACTCTCCTCAATTCTCCTGCTAAATTCTAATCAATTGATTGTCTCCTGAAGTAATCCTAAGCTGGCTTCTGAGGTCAGGAGGCAATCTTTTAATCATTATTTTTTTTTTGGCCTCCTTTTCCTAAAACATCTATTCCATGCTTCTCATGTCAATAACATACATTAGGCATTTGTTGAAGTATATTATGATTAAAATGTGACTTAATGTCAGTTCTATTTTAAGGCTTAAAATACAGGGGTGCAGCATAGACTCTAAACCATATATATGGGGGGGATTTAATTCCTGACTCTTGTTCTTAGTAGAGTGTAATCCTAGACAAGATATTCACTTTTCTGAGGTTGAGCTTCCTTGTATATTGAATTTATTTATATAATATTTACCTCACAGAGGCTGGGCACAGTGGCTTACCCCTGTAATCCCAGCACTTTGGGATGCCAAGAAGGGAGGATTGCTTGGGGCCAGCAGTTTGAGACCAGCTTGAGCAACAGAGCTAGATCCCATCTGTATAAAATATTTAAAAAATTAGCCAGATGTGGTGGCGCATGCCAGTAGTCCTAGCTACTGAGGAGGCTGAGGCAAGAGGGTCACTTAAGACCAGGAGTTCAAGGCTTCAGTGAGCTATGATTGTGCTACTGCATTCTAGCCTGGGTGACAAAGTAAGATCCTGCCTCTAAAATATAGATAGATAGATAGATAGATAGATAGATAGATAGATAGATAGATAGATAATGATAGATAGATCTATCTATATCTATTTACCTCACAGGATAATTATATGCAGTCAATGAATAAAGATGATTTATCCTTTCTCCAAGAAATGTTTTTAAAGAGGGCTTGTATGAGGAAACTATAGATATTAGGATATTACAGCATCATTTGTTCTCCTGAAATTTCACATCAACCCTTTCTCAATGGTGTATGAGTGTTTTACATGCTATAACAGGGCAGCATAGTTCAAGGATATGTCTTGGAATTTGGAGAGGCAGATTCCTCAATTTGAGAATAGAATTTTCCTTGTTAGCTATGGCCTTAGTCTGGTTGCAGAGAATAGTACCTGGATTTCCTCAACTGAAAGTGTGATTATAACCCCTTCCTTTCAGGATTTTGGTGAGGGTTAGAGACAATGTATGTTCAATGCCTAGCACATAATGGGCCAGCCACTTTCAATAATAAAACATACCAACAATGTGGGTAGGTGCAAAGAATTTGTTGACTTTTCACCTTGACTTTAAAAATTTTATTTTAGTTAATAATCTCAGCTATAGCTTCCTAATGGGTTACTGTCTTCTTATGAAAGAGTTGTGTTGGGAACAAAGCAACTGACAGTTTTAAATCACCTTCTTTTCTTAATAGGCCACACTTTTTCTACCCATTTTGTCCCCACATCTCGTCCTGGGAGCAAATGCATACTTAAGTTTTGAAGCCCAAACTAAATACAAGCTACTGTAATGAGAAAATTCATTTGAAGAAAAAAATTGTGTAAAGGATTCTCTTGTGCCATTTGTACATTCACATAGCCACAGGCATGTGACTGCTCTCTAGTTACTCAGTTATCTGCTTTGCACTGTATAAGTTTTGTATCTGTTTAAGTAAACTGTACTAGTAGCAATCAAAGGCTTAAAGATTGCTTATGTGTTTCCAAAATGAGATATATTGAAAATTACAGACATCATGGAGCTGTAGCTGACAAAAACTCAGTATCTTGTTATCCAAATAGCTTTAAACTCATTGTTACCATAACCCATGATAAACATTGCAGGTGATTAGATTGCAGTTAACATATCTAGATGGCATTTGAGTCCGTAGGCTCAAAAATCCCCCCTCTTTCTTTCTGTATGCCCTTATTTTTCAGAAATAGTGTCTTTGAAATTTTGGCCAATACCCACTCCTTTGCGTGTGTGTGTGTGTGTTTTTTGTCCTTTCTTTTCTTTTTTTAGAAGCCAATGTAACTTCAAAAATATGAGTAACTAGGAAAGAAAGGAAAACCTTGTTAACTACGGATAGTTTGCTGAGTCAGCATGATGAGACAAATAAAAAAGAACACTTTGAGTCAGGTTCACTACTTATTATGACCTTGGACAAGTGCCTTTCCCTTTACTGTACCTCAGTTTTCTTGCCTGTTAGAACAGGGAGTTGGATTATATGATTGTAAGATCACCTCTAGTTCTTAAGTTCAGTGGTTATAAATGATTCGAGCTTCATCAGGTTTTATTTGTAGGGGAAGAAAAATTTCTTTAGCTCAGAAAAAGATTATGTAATAACCACAATCAAATATATAACATCTATGCTAACTGAATAATGGATAGAGAACACTGGATCTACAGCCAGAGGCATTTGGTCTGAGTCATGTCTGACCCCAGAGAGCAGAATTATTGAGATCAGTGATGGATAAGGTAGAGCCTTCTAAAGAGACTCTGACTTTCTTTTTATATAAATGCTGGCAATAGGTCAGTGTCTCTGGTGTAACTTCTGATAAAAATTAAGGACATCTTCTTGATAGGTAGTGAAGCATTTGTTGCCATCACATCAGATATCACACTGGTTTTCCCACTAAATCAGGTACAGAATTCCAAAGTGTTGAGATATTTTTTTTTTTAGCACTGAAACCTATCGAGTGTGCTGCGGTCCCAAAGCAGTTCATATGGTATTGGAAAAGTTCCAGTAAATGAATGAACAGTTTTCTTATTTCTTTTTTTATCTTAGTAATCCCCAAATTTGGACTGGGGCTGTGAGAATGAGAGGGAAAGATGGCAGGAGTGGGGGCATCAGTAAGAATCAAGGAAAAGTCAGGGATGATTTTCGCCCACTCTCTCCTTACATTTTCCTCACTCCTCCTCCACATATACGTCTTCTCTGCATAATTGTACCTCCCTCCAGAGTGCCCCAAACAGCAGCAGCTATAAATTCAAATATCCAATGCAGGGAGTTATCTTCATCTTTGTGGTGGGCTGAGAATTGATTAAGCATAAGAAAGTGGAGAAAAAGAGAGAGACATAATACTAACATAATAATAAGGACCGGGTTCCTTTGTCCCAGTTTTTCCATGTGAGTGCACCTCCGTGAGGACAAGTATGCTGAATGAAGAGATCAAAACCCGACAGGTTCACTTTACAAGATTTGTGACGAAGATTGCTTTGCTTTACTATTACATTCTATTTTTACCTCCACTGCCTTGAGATATTTTGAGTTTCTGTTTCTATTGCTACTGATACAAAAAGTTACATCAGTCGCAAGAAATGAAAGGTGAAAAAGAACCAGGGATCCGTAATACTCCATTTGTGAGTAACAATAAAGCTGTCTTCAACCTCAGCATGTCGAGTTCAGCTAAAGTCCGGGGATTAGCTCAGTACCCACGTTATAGGAACAGCATGTTCAAAAGCTTTGTCAGGCAGTGGAACGCCCCACTGCCAGTAGGAAAAAAAGCAACTCCAAGGCTGTTCAAGGGTTTCTTGTCTCTCTCCAGATCCCTTAGTGTCTGACTACACCATCATGTTTCATGTTTTCCTCACACCCCAGGCACCTTTATGTCCTCTATTTGTTTGCTCACCTTCTTCCCTCAGCATGGAACCCACCTTCCCTCAGAGAATGCCTTTGGAGAGAGTAGAGCAGGATAACTGTCAGTACAGTCCCAGGGGACTTGATAAACTTGATAAACTAGGTAAACTTGTCCAGATAAATTTGGCTTCCTGCTAGCTAGCTGTAAACTTGCACAGTTAAGTTAACCTTTCCCTGCCTCAGGTTTCTCATCTATAAGACTAGGGGTGATCACAGGGCTGCCTTATCAGGCTGTTGTGAGCATCCAACAACTTAATGCATAGAAAGTCCTTATAGCAGTAGAACACAATAAAAATTCAGTAAATAGAGCCATTATCATCATTATTATTGTTGTTAATAGTGTTTTAGTCATTCACAACCTCAAGAGCTGTTTTATTTGTGATGTTTTCTCCCTTCCTGCCTCCAGCCCTTCCCTTCTCTTCCAGGCCAGACATCTTCCACCTGCCCCTCCAGGACAATCTCCAGCCTTAAATAAGACAAATATTGGTAATGGGGCTCCTGGGTTTTCTCACTTCCACTTGGCTCTGGCCATTGGGAAAACTCAGTAGGAGATTGGAGAGAAGAAGAAGAGTAAGAACAAGATATTTATACTCCAGATTACTGCCCCCGGCCCTCACCAAGCCTTGTTCTGGATGTATCACTTGGTCGAGTGTCACCGCTTCCCTGAAGGGCGGCTGTTCCACACAACTCTCCCTCTCCCAAGTTCTGCACTCCACCCACCCCTCTCACTTTGGGCCTTGTGGACTAGTTCCACTGCTCTTCACCCTGGGTTCCTGCAGCATCTGTTGTTCCCCTACCCCTGCAATTAGTCTCTTTAAATTAGACCCTTTGTAAGTCAACCCTCCTGGAATGATCAGAGGTTAAATGAGCCATCTGTTCGCTGTTGGATCTCTTAGGGATACAAATTTTTTTTCTTTCTAGTAGAAAATATCAAATTTCAGTGAACATAACAATCAACTATGTCCCAGTGAGGCAGCACACACCTATAGTCCCATCTACTTGTCAGGCTGAGGAGGGAAGTTTGCTTGAGACCAGGAGTTAAGAGTCCCCCCCTGGGCCGGGCATGGTGTCTCATGCCTGTAATCCCAGCACTTTGGGAGGCCTAGGCAGGAGGATCACTTGAGGTCAGGAGTTTGAGACCAGCCTGGCCAACATGGTGAAACCCCATCTCTACTAAAAATACAAAAATTAGCCAGGCATGGTGGTGTGCACCTATAATCCCAGCTACTCAGGAGGTGAGGCAGGAGAATCGCTTGAACCTGGGAGGCAGAGGTTGCAGTGAGCTGAGATTGTGCCACTACACTCCACCTTGGGGGACAAAACAAGACCCTGTCAGAAAAAAAAAAAGAGTAAAAGAGTCCAGCCTGGGCAACCTAGCAAGACTAGCAAGACTCAATCTCTAATTTTAAAAAAGGGGGGCAGTGGGGGAGAGAAAGAAAAAAAAAGAATCAATTAGGTAGTTTGTTGAAAATGCAGATTTGCAGATTTAATCCAACCCCTAGAGACTCTGCCTCTGATCTGAGATGAGACACAGAAATTTGTGTGATTAACAAGAGCCCCTGGAGATTCCGATAGCCACAGAAGTATCATACCTTGTAAGACATTGCTTTGAACTATCTCAGCATTTATTTCAATCTGTCCTGAATTTTATTTACTTTTTTTCCCCAGATTAGTCTTCTCTTCAAGACTGTAACACATTGAATACCTACTCGGTGCTAAATATTCTCATAAGTTTTTATATTTATTATAGATAATAATCACAAACCTACATAGGCCATTATTATTCCATTTTATAGATGACAAAACCAAGGATCATAAACATTGAGCAGTTTACCCAGAGCTCGTAATTATCTGAGATCCATCCACCTCTACATCTGTTGGGATCCAAAACCTTTGCTCTCTTCATGTGACTGCCCATGCACAGTGAAAACTTTAACAACTTAATGTTGCAGTAAATTTAACTGGGAAGAACAACTGCAAATCAAAAAATAGAATTGAACTTAACCTTACAATATCAGGGGAGGTAATAATCGACTTTAGCCCAAAATGCTAAGCGTATATTAATATTGTGACCAGTTTTCTCTTTGATAATTTATTTTCAGGTTTCTCTTTCATTCTCCTCCCTCTTTTTTTCCCCTCACACTCCCTCTCCCACTTATCCTCTGATACACCTTACTGGTTAGGTAGTGTGAACTCAAATGGGATTTGTAAAACCAAAGGGTTCAAAATCAGTATAACTACTGCCGTTGAGAGCAAAGGAGTTTGTTTTTTGTTTTTTCTAAATAATAAAGTTTCTGTTTTTCTTAGTGATTTATTGAAAATTATGGTGCCTCCTAAAGAGACTTCATAGCCAACAACAACATGTTATGGCCTGAAAATACACTCCAGACACTTTTATTAAATATTATATGAAAATATATCTAATACATTTAAGAAAGAAAACCCAAAATGTAGAATTGAGGAAATGAGCTCAACTGATTTTCTCACATCAATGCCATTTCCCAGTGTAAATAGCTTCCCAATATAATTGTCTCCCCTTCTTGCCTGCACTAACCCATTTTTTTAGTTGATTTTTTAGCCTATAAATGGTAAGAACTGATCAAAAGAAAATTTCTATAGGAGTTAGCACTCTTAGGTAACTTATGAGTTTAATCCAAAAATCATTTGTTACATGCTTGCTTCATAGGCTATCAAAAATTTACAGTCTTGAGAATTTCATATGAATAATAATCCAGGGATTTGTTTGTGTAAGGTACTTCTACACTTATATTGGTATTCCCTTTCCTTTGGGGAAGTGTTTTGAGCTCAAGAATTAAGTTTTTAGACCTAAGAACTGTTGCAGAAAAAAATGCTCCCTAGCCTATCTATTACTACAGGGTGCTCATTCTTTTTATTTATTTATTTATTTATTTTTTATTATTATACTTTAAGTTTTAGGGTACATGTGCACAATATGCAGGTTAGTTACATATGTATACATCTGCCATACTGGTGTGCTGCACCCACTAACTCCTCATCTAGCATTAGGTATATCTCCCAATGCTATCCCTCCCCACTCCCCCCACCCCACAACAGTCCCCAGAGTGTGATGTTCCCCTTCCTGTGTCCATGTGTTCTCATTGTTCAATTCCCACCTATGAGTGAGAATATGCGGTGTTTGGTTTTTTGTTCTTGTGATAGTTTACTGAGAATGATGATTTCCAATTTCATCCATGTCCCTACAAAGGACATGAACTCATCATTTTTTATGGCTGCATAGTATTCCATAGTGTATATGCGCCACATTTTCTTAATCCAGTCTATCATTGTTGGACATTTGGGTTGGTTCCAAGTCTTTGCTATTGTGAATAATGCCGCAATAAACATACGTGTGCATGTGTCTTTATAGCAGCATGATATATAGTCCTTTGGGTATATACCCAGTAATGGGATGGCTGGGTCAAATGGTATTTCTAGTTCTAGAAATAGGCTCATTCTTAATAGCTCCAGAGCCTTGGGCAATTTACACAGCCCTCCAAGCTTCATTTTGCCTATTTGAAGGAAAAAAGGGCATTTAATAATATAACACCCATCCTAGAGTGTTATTGTGAGAATTAATAAAGCAATGGGTCTAAAGCACTTGGCAAAGTGTTGGTATGACTATTGTTATTGTTAATAGCCACTACAAGGTACCATTATCGTAGTACTTGAGAGTCAGACAACTGGAGAACTATATATACACCCTCAGGGTGTAAAGCATGAAACTGATTCCCTGAAAACTGGGGAATGGATTGAAGAGCTGGACAGCTCCAAGTTGTATACCTTAAGTCACAAACTAGTGGAAAGGAAGAAAGGACTTGTAAATGAGCCATATCAATTTTCCCATTACTTGACAAGTATTAAGGTATTTCAAACTGTGGTCATATTTAAGCCTAATACAGAAAGCACAGCCTTTTAATGCTTGGTAATACAGGTAAAAGATTAATTTTGCTTCTTTTCAAAGTATTGCCTTGTTGCTGTTATTACTGTTTTTAATTGTTGTATTCTTTAGATAGTAGGCACTGGCAGAGACAGGAAGAATACAGTGAACCCAAGTCAGCCCATTTGATTATTTGTAACCACTCTGATTTGAGATTTGTTGAGATAGATGCTTCTGGTGACAATGAAATTATGGATCATTTATGCACTCACCAAATATTTACTCTGAGTCAAGATATAAGATTACCTGTAAGATTGTTTTACTTTGTTTTCTGGTTTCCATTACTGAAATTTGCCACTTTTCAAAACCTTGTTTGATTCTGAAGACCAGTACACTTATTGTATTAATTGTTTAAATTAGGAAATAATCATTTTACTCAGAGCTGACTCTAGAAGATCTAGAGTTTACAAAAAGGAAATACCAGGAATTGATAAAAAAAAAGGAAGTATGTATAAGGTAGTAAAACTCACCTTATTTCTAGAACAAGAAAATTTTTTTTTTTTATTTGTGTAGTAGGTTTATCAGGAAGCAAATCTCAATTTAGATCTCACTTTCTATATCTCCTTTTTTTTCTCTCCTAGACATTAACACCTGTCCCCAGGGGGAGGTTGAGGTGGACTTTGGAAGGGGCAACAGTGGGTTGGGGCTGCTAGATGGAGCCGATATGAACAAAGGAGACTGAGCAAACGAGAGACTTGCAGCCCTTGAAAGGAATGTCCACCTGTCTTTGCTGTCTTGGCCCTCCTTTCTATTCCTCTGCTTATACATTCTTACAACTGGGATGTTTTATCACCTCCCACCACCTCATAATGTCTAGTAGAGTGTCTATCCTATCAGCTAACGATCAATGACTATTGATTAAACTGAATTGAATTCTAAGTACATATTAATAAAATAGTGATTTTCCTGGTTAAAACTGCAAAACATGAAAAGTGTACATGCCCTCCTTCTTCTGATCCCTCTGCTTAAGCCTCCCCTTATCCTTTCTGGGATGTTTTTAAACTCCATTCAAAATGTCCTTTATTCCCTCTCAATTTAAATTACTTAATTTATGTTATTTTTAGAGAAAAGACCTCCCTGTGTCACCCAGCCTGGATTACAGTGGTGTAATCATAGCTCACTGTAGCCTCAAACTCCTGAGCTCAAGTGATCCTCCTACCTCAGCCTCCTGAGTAGCTGGGACTACAGATGCATGCTACCACACTGGGTTTTCAATTTGGATTTTAAAAGAGCAAAATCTCAGGCCATGGATATCAGTTATTATATATAGTCGTATATTGTCATATATATATACACATATATATGCTTATTTATATTCTTATATTATTCTCTATATCTTTTCTTATATATATTCTTCAGAATATAAATATTCTATCTCCATTTTAAAAGAATTTGAGATTTTTTTATTGGTTATGAGAAAAAAAATTTATTCTAAGATACACACCCTTTTTTTCTATGCATCTATCCATGCAGGCAGTATTTATTGGGCACCACCTCTGTACCAGGCATGGTCCCTTGCGCTGGGGAGACAATGTTGAACAAGACAGACCAGTCCCTATCCCTCATGGTGCTTACAGACATGTGGAAGACATGCACAGGATGTGGGAAAATCCTGGATGCCGTGGAAACCAATCAGAGGGACACTTACCCCGTTTAGGGATGCAGTGAATGGGGGCATACCCCTGAAGAAGTGACATGTGTTCTAAGATCTGAAGGTTGAGCAGGAACTAGGCAAGTAAGGAGAGGGATGATAATGTACTAGGCTAAGGGACCCATATGTGCAAGTGCTTGGAGGCAAAAGTGCTTGTCCCCTCATCCCTTCTAAGGAGCTGAAAATAATTCCAAAAAGCCAGAGCAGAGAGATATGAATGAGGTATGACCTTCAGATTCTCTTCAACAAATTATTAGAACAAGAAAAAAATTGTTCTATTAGTATAGTAGGTATATTAGGAAGCAAATATTAGTATACCTGGTGCCTACCTAGTGCTTGGGACTAACAGATATTCAATGAATAAATGTTTTCCAGCTTATCAGCTGACTGAGTGGCTACTCAATACTATGTAAGGAGCTTCAGATTTTGATTTCTGCCTTCCAATATCTTTTGGTTTTATTTGGGAGCAGGTGGAAATTGAAAAACAACAAAAGGGTTTTAAAAATCAAAAAAGAACTCAACAGAAGAGCAGGCAAAGGTTTAAAGGCCTTGAGTGAATGGGGGGAAAACCATGTGGTGGGTGGAGGAGACCCTTAGGAGGTTTGCTGGGGTACACAGGGCTGTAGCTGGAACCTGAAAGTTTCCACCTGGGGAGACTAAGTCAGAGAACTTGGACAGAGCCCCTCCGTTAAGCTATGGTGGCAAAACTGGGTAGTTATTTGTTGAAGCAGCCTTTGCTATCTGAGCCTGAGCAGCAACAGGCAGGCTTCTGCTGCTAGAAACTGTAGCATAGAACCATAATATTTTCCACTAAAAATCTGGGGCACATTATCTGGCAGAGGTACAAAAACTTGCAAATTAGAACTCTCCCAGGAACTGCAGAATATATGATCGTTATAGACATGGATTTTCAAATTGGTGTGATGGCCAGTTTTAATAGGGCCTTATGGCTAGGAACATATGCTTCAAAGCCAGTTAGACCTTGTTTGAAATGATGGTACCAGCAGTGTGACCTCCTGCAAGTTTCTTTACTTCTCTCAGCCTTAGCTACTTTATCTGAAAATGGGGATAATAATACCTTCTTAGGGGTTATTTGGCTGTTTCCATGAAAAAAAATATATAGTAAGTACTCAAGACCATGTCTATGCTAAATAATAATATTATTATTAAGATACTAGTGATTAAGCCTAATTTATGGGGGTAATCAGACTCTTTTGGGAGTACATAACCCCCTGAATTCTTTGACTTTCCAAGTACCCATCATTCCCAGGTCTGTAAATGTGTTTTTGTTCTCAGTTTAGCCTTTTATCAGGATTCCCAAACTCACTGATTAGGCTGGCTTGTAGGCGCCAACCTGAAAAAGAATTTGACTTTCTCAGTATTGGGAAAATATTTGTAAAATAGTACAGTCAACAAATAAATATACTGTAGACTTTGAGTCGCTTTAAAAAAAATTGCCCAGGAGGTTAAAAAAAAAAATTCTGGACTCAAAATGTTAACTGGGTTTGGTTTAGTATTTGGACAAAGAAATCCCTGCTCTGAACTGAGCAGAGAGATAAGCGCCTTGACTTGCAATAGATTAAGAGACTTGCATTGGTGAGAACAAACCACGTCTGAGGCTCTCCCTGAGTGCCGCCACATTTAGATTTAAGATTAACTGCAGCCGAATGGTGGAGCGGCTGTTTGTTTTATGAAACAATCGCTAATGACATTAAACAGACGGAGGCCCTTCCAACATGATTGTTCATTTGCGATAAACTGAGAGAAGCCCACAAGAGACTGAAAAAGAAAACTCATAAGTGCTTCATTTTGAGGCTCTTACAATATTCTATTGGAGGTGACAATTAATGGAAGTGAATGGGAATCTAATTCAGAGCACATTTAGATCACGGGAGGAGGAGGTATGGCAGGAAAGAATCAACATGAATTTGCTTGCTTTTATATTTATATTAAGGAATCAAGTCATCATAATTTCATGACAAGTTTTCCAAGGAGGATTTTCTTTCTTTCTTCCTCTTCTTTTTTAATGCTGTTTATTTGTTCATTTCTCTTATTTCTGCAGCTCCTGGGCTCCTAAATCTGGCACTAAGCATTAACTGTATTAAAGAGTACTATCTATTAGTTCAATTAGACATTAGACATTTACTTTTCAATGTATTTGAAGCCTGATTTGATTTGGGTTCAGTCATTTAAAATTAAGAGAGCAGAACTGTGTACAGAACTGTGTACAGATATCTGTGGCTCTGAAGTCTTAATTGCAAATTCAGATAAGGATTAGACAGGACTATATCTCTCTAGACCATAGGTATTTGCTAATACCTGAGATAGAAAGGTTGTTAGATTGTAAATTTACTACTTCAAGCTTTTTGCCTTTGGATTTTTGTTGAACTTTAATGTTTTGGTTGAAAACAACACAGTTTGCACCAGCATTAAGAGTGTGGATGTGGGTAAAATCTCAAACAAGCCTCACTTACATTTTCATTATTTTGGTCTAGCTAAAAACTGAAATAGTGTTTATTTTTGCCAAAAAAAAATTGTCAAAGGCCATGTTGCAGCATTAAGCTTTTGTTTTATACACAAAGAAATATATTAATGAAAAGTGTTTTAAGTGCTTATTATAGAGATGGTTTGTTTTGAAACATGGGCTTTTTCACAGCAGTTTTACACTTCATTGTGTACCATGAAAGACATTCTAAGTAGAGGTTGTCAGTCTCCCATCAGAAGTAGAGTACTGCTGGGGAATGAGCCATTTAGGATGTCACTCAAGCAGGACTAATCTAGAGTAGATATCTTATAAATAACCAGTAACGAAAAAACAAATCATTCCTCTCCCCACCAGAGCAGAGAGAATTACTGCTTAGGAGAAGGAAATCTTTATAATAAAGATTTACAGTCTGAATTAGTGAATTGTTTAGAGCAAAGCATTGCATAAAGTTGCAATGACAACCTGAGATAGGAGTTCTGGGAGCTGTGGAAATGCCTTTATGAGGAGAGGGAATGAGTTTAGAAGGACTTGTATACTGGCATCTCCCACCTTGGTCTTGGGGAGATGGGTGTGCGTACCCTAGACATCTCAGTTATGAGATATGGGCCTATTTGTGATAATGTTTTTCAGTCTCTACTCTAGGACATGCTGTTCCTGTTGGATCCCAAAGATATTCCCAAACCCAATGAGGACCATTCTTTGCATAGAGAATTGTTGTACACATTTAAAGTGTACAACTTTTCTATTACATGATAGAATATAATGAGAGTACTAAGAGTATTTTCAGCTTTCTGTTATTTCAGTGTCAACATTTCGCTCTTTAATTTCTTGAAGTAAATACTGGCCTCTTTAGATATTTGCAAGTTCTGTAGCTTTGGAAATCTTATTCATAGCTCCCCTTCCCTGCCTCGTTCTCTTTTAAAGTAGCTAGAATGAGCTATCTCTCAATTCCTAGTGGGGAAAAGGCTTTATTGAGACCCATTGTGAGAACTATATCTGTCAAAGAGAGAAAAAACCTGATTTTCTTGATTCTGATAAGTACAAATTCCTCTCGTTGAAGCTCCTGTTGTGTCCAAGTTGTGGCGATATGCAGAGAAAAATGAGTAGGAATGCCTGGCTGGTTAAAATAATCTTCTCGATCCCCCACCCCAAATCATTCTCTTATTCCAGGACCAAGAAATGGCACATTTCCCAAACTCTTTGAACTTGTCCACCATAACATGTCATTCTGATATCCTAGAATACAAAAAGAAGAGAAAAAACCCTAATATTTATATATTGCTTTTTTTCAGTAGTTTGGTTTTGATGAGATTGGGAAGAGAATGGATTTTATTGAATGCCAGGGCTTTCCATTTTATTGCATCTATTTCCACACATGCCTGTGAATTAGATAGAGCAGATGCTATCTACATTTTTCAGATGAGAAAATTAAAGTACACAGGCTTCCTTAAGATCTGGCAGCAAGAAGCTAGATTTATCTGGGGTACAACAGCATTTTGGGAATGCACACTACTTGGGTCCAAACTATTTCAGGTTTCTGGGGGAAAGTTAGTTTTTTTAGATTCCCTGTAATGTGCAGGGGGGCCAGGGTCAGGCAACATCTCTGGATTGCTACTAATAGGGACCCCTCATCCAGGAGGAAAGTATTCACTATTTAACTACAATCATTAGCAAATACAAATAGCCCCTGGAATAGAAGAAGTTGAAAACTTTGAAACAGTATATATTGCAAAGTAAATCCTTAGCATAAAAATGCATACTGTTTCTTGTTGTTTCTGCCACTGATGGTCTACACTAAAGGAAGAAGATTCAGTTCTATAAACATCTACTGATTGCTCTGATTCAGCTACTTGAGACTCCACAGAATTTGGAGATTGGGTTTTGGGGACTGACAGCAAGGATTGAGTTAAAAAGGTCATTCTTTCCTTATATGTGGGGACCATGTGAGGTAAATATAAGAAAATAGGAGTAAAAAGGAATTTTATTTTCACCAACCACAGTATAATATGCTATTGAATATAACAAAGCTATTTTCTATATAGTATGTAGTTTGTATATAATTGATAATTCGGGATATGATATAGTCACTTTGATAATTTAGCCATTTATTTAACCAAATGCTCCTTTTTACAATATACAGTAGCTGAGTTTGGGGGGCTCTAAGATCTAGAGTCCTGGTCTAGGTGGAATGAAGGCAAATCATGACTTGAAATTCACAAATTAATTTTTGCTTTAAAGGCAAATCATGTAATTTGCTACCACTCTGGGAGGAATGACATTTAATATAAAACCATAATTCAGGAAATTACAGAACATCAAAAATTCACCAGTTTGCTGCTTTGAAAAAAAGTAAAGTCAGTTTTTATTTAAAATATCTTATTCAAAGAAAACAGTAGATGTGATAAAATCATGAATTGCTTTGGAACCTATAAAATATCCGCTATGCAGCCCCTTTCTCTTTATTGTTCTTTGTAAATGTGTTCATGGAATACCCAAAATATATAAACATGAAAGCCATACTCTCCTTCTTCCATAGTCTATCATCATCTGCCTCTTTTAAGAAGGCCTAGTTACATGTAGCAAATTTGATGTCCCTGTCATCATCTTGAAATATTTGTTGAATGAATGGATGGATGCATTCCCCATCTGTGTAGTCAGTTCTCAATTATCCATTATAATGGAGTTGAAATAGAAAAGGAACGTTTGAGAGTGAAATCCACAAATCATTGAGAAAGTTCATGTGATTCATTACTTTCAAAGTTTCCCACCAAATCTTTTACGCAACACGCAACTAGATTAAAATGTGGCAAAAAAAAAAAAAAAAAAAGTTCTTTCTCTTTTGCCTGGTTGTACTGACTTAGATACTAAGGAATAAAATCTGAAATTAGTGACTGAAATAAATATATAAATAGAGCCCGGCGGCTGAATGATTATCTGTGAATCATCACAGCAGTAGCTTAGGCCAAACTCATTGTTTCTTATATAGAGTTCCTAGGCAGATATTTTTTAACAGTTGCTGGTAAATCTGAACTAAGGGTACAGAAGGAAAGATGCTCCCAAAAGGATGTTGAATGATAAAAGTTGACTGTCACCTTTGCAGTGTGATAGAGAGGGGAAAACACAATTTAAATGTTTTAGGAAATACTGAAAAAGATACGGGACTCTAGAGTGAAAGTTCGAGATACTTCTGTTCTTTTGTAAAAGTTAATCCTGAGACAGCACTATATCATGTGAGTATGTGTGTAAGTGTTCTGGAGGGAAGGCCTGGGATTCCCCAGGGTTTAGACCCCTTGGTGAAATGTATAGGCTGGGTCAAGGTCACATTCATTTTGGGTCTTATATTTCAGAATATTTGGAAGGAAGAAGGTTTCGGGTTTTTGTTTTTCCTCCATCTCTTTTAAAATGTCTAGCTGCTTCCCATTAAGTTACTTTTGAAAGCTCTTATGTTTTGGGAAGAAAAAAATGGCAGTAAAATCAGCATGGTTTCTGACAAAAGGCCTGAGAGCAGCAATGGTAGGATAACCAAATGCCACACAGAGTTGATAACACTGAGTGGAGTCACAGCTGAGCAGAACAAGCCCAGGAAGTCCAACTTTATGTTGCATGAAAGATCACTGGTGACTGATTTTATTCCTGCTCTGAAGAAAATGTAGACAATGCATGCACACCCGGTCCTTCTTACGACTCCCCACCTCCTCCCTCCTGTTATATCTGAAGCCAGGGTTTCTGACACTCTGATACAAAGTCATAATACATAATCCTTAATACTTCCAAAGGGTCCTGGCTTTTCAGCTAAGAAATTAGGTATGCTTTAAGTTTATTTGGACTATACCTATACACTTTGTTAAAGGGCTATACCACAGGAATGTAAGAATATATACACTTTTATGTATTTGCACAACTATTATAAAATATGTGGAAAGCCCAAATGCACCTCTGATATTAACTTTTTTAAAATCAGAACATAGACTTAAGATAAAAGGAAACTATAAGCAATAGCAGTATTAGTTTGTTGAACTCCTTTCCTGACATTTTCTTTCACTGTTTTTTAAAAGGAGGGTGGCAGTAATCATTAATATGGACTTTAAAAATACCCTTTGATGGTTTTCTCTTGCCATGTCTCATAAATTCCAACCTTCTTTGATAAGAAAAGTGTCTGACATTACAGACCAGGCAAAACTCTCTGAACATTAATTGAAAGCATCCAATTGAATTGTCATATCTTTGCAAAGAAGTAATCATAAGCACTAGTGTGTAGTTTGAAACTTTCGATACAGGAATACAAGAAACATGTTTATGTATGCGTAGGAAGTTCTAATGACAGGTACTACTCTGTGTGTGTGTGTGTGTGTGTATCAATATATAGATATATGGTCCTTTGCCTTTGGTTATCATTTGCCCATGTTAATTGGTAATGCTTATAGGTTACAAAGACAGCAAAGCCACACATATTATTTCCATTAATAGAAGTGAGACATCATCCTCATCATCCTGGTATAAACTTACTGGTGGTTCTGCATCTACCTTTCTTTTATTTTGATAACTTTTAATCTTGATAGATTGAAAAAAAATAGTGAGAAGGCAGCAAAATATTCTTCTTGAAACAGTTCTGTTCTAATCACTGTAACAATTTTACTATTTTAATTCTCCCAACAGTCCAATGAAGTAGTTACTATTCTAAGCCCATTTTATGGAGGAAGAAACTGAAGTACAGTAAAGTTAACTAACTGGCCCAAGACCAGAGAGCTAATAAGAGGCATGGATGGGACCCAGCCACTGTTCCAGAATACATGTCCACTACACTCTACTGTTCTAAAATACCCTAGTATAGGAAGAAAGAAATGTCTCAGACTCAAGCAATTAGTAATTACCATCATACTGAATCCATGCTGGGCTAAACAGTTCTTTGATTTGGCCAGTTTTAGTTCAAATGCCCAGAAGTTCTTTCTGAAGAGAATAGGACCTCTAGCAGTGTGTTCTGAACTGCTTTCCAGAGGTAAAGGGAGGTATGTTTCTCCTGTTTGCTTCAGGAAAGAAACATAAGTAAAAGTAAAGTATTCATTCCTGTCTGGCATTTTATCAACTTCACTAAAAAACTTTTATTTTTTGTTCTTTAGAGGCAGCTGAGATGAATTGTTGCAGAGTGCCTACCTCTTCAATAAGAAATTCATTCTCTCCTGTCACATGCACCCGTAATTTCCATTGATAGAACCTTTCAGAAAATGGAAATGAAATGTATCTGAAATTTCTTATACAGCTAGAAAGCAGAGAAAAGCGGAATCTGCTCTCTTGCTATTGAAGCAAAGGAAAAATTGTACATTTTTTTTACTGGATTTTTTACAAAAATACTTAACTCTTTTACATCTCAGTTTCCCAATCTGTTAAATGGGAATAATAGCCCTTCCAAGTGCTTGAATATTCTAGGTTTAAAAGGCCAAGTGAGCTTAGAATGAAAACATCTATTTTCTTTCAGTGCTGTGGCTAAGGACGCCTTGAAGTAACCAAGCCACAGAGCAAGGATGATGGCCTTTATCGTGTAGAGAGTGGACGACCAGATGGCAGAGCCCATTCTACATAATGACTCTCACTCTGGTGGTTTGTAATTTATGAAGTAGCCTTCTAATCAAAGGCGCTGTTGGCTGCCAGAGAGCTCAGCCACAGCATGGAAATAGCTTCTTCCAAAAAGAAAAAAATATATATATCAGCTGAATATTCTTCCATCTAATACGATAAACAGTCTAAAACACAAGAAAGGTTATCACCAATGATTCTGATTTTTATTTTGTAAACCTTGAGGAAAGAAGCGAAGGGACAGGTTATCTAGGGAGGCCTTTTCCCTTGACTTTATCAGGGAAGAAACAGGAACTATTCTAGCCATCTTGTGTCTTTTGGGTCTACTGGTGGCTCCCAGGCCCTGATGCCTAAGCAGGGAGGAAAAAAAGGGAAAAGAATAAAGGGAGTGGAGGGGCAGGCAGTGAAAGGGCAGATGAAAGGGACAGGAGAGAAATGATGAAAGGGGTTTGCACAGCTGGGCTGAGGCAAAATACCCCCCACCAAATGTCAGTGGTTGCTCAGAGACATCAAAAAGGCACTGGAGGAATTTCTCTAATTTCCATAACCAAAGTTAAAATAAATCAGAAGTATGATGAATATGGTAATAATTCTGCAACCTCTTCTCACAGTCCCTAAGATTTTGTCCCTTCATCTCTTTTGCTGTGACTAGCATTTCTATTGTTCATGATCCCAGTTCTTTCTCTAATATGACAACAGCCTCACTAATCTAGCTATAGCTGAAGTCATAGTTTCCAAAGAACTTCACTTGATTTAGAGACATACACTGCCCCATTTTCTCTTAAGCGTGTAAGGAGACTAAGAATAACCCATCCACTACTTGGTGTTGGGTACATTTTCAATCTGGCATGCCAAAATTCCCAACTCCAGGGTGAGAAATAAATCTGTTTCTTTGAATAGCAATGAGAAAGATGGGTAAGCATTTTAAAAGGGTAGATGATGAGAGCGGGTAGCAGTGCTAAATGGAATTTTATGTTCTTATGAACCATTCAGTATAAAATGATAGGGTGTTTTCTGATTAGGTGATTTTAACTTTTATGGTGAGAAAATGGTTAAACACAGAGCACTCTCCTAAGGTATTTCTTATGAAGCCTTTTCTTCTTTACTGAAAGCACATCAGGGAAATGGATGATGCATCTCATTTGATTCAAGTGAAACAGTTTAAATTGTTATGGCTTTGAGTTTTTTTTTAAAAAAAGGTAAATAACTCTCTTTAGTGAAGAACTGTATCACAGTATGTTCTTCTTCGGGTGGTGGCCTGGTGCCTATCAATGTATTAATTTGTGACATTTGATAAATACATGCCACTGGACAGTAGGTTGTCAGGACATATATTTATAAAGGGTCCTAGCCTATAGAGTTTTCATTTTTAAGCCAAGATCCTAGCAAGTAGCATCATCTCTGAATGAATTGTATTTAAATAGGGTTAGAAAGAAGATCAGTAAGGTAAGAAGATATGCTTTAAGAACAGCCATTCATAATCAGAAAAGCCAGGAGATATTTTTTTAAAAGACCACAAACTATTAACTGAAGAACAGCTTTTTAATGCAGAGCTTTGAAAACTGGACATAGAATATCAACTAATAGAGAAAGAAAAGAGGTAGCTTTCTTAGGAGAGAGAAAGTCTATCACAAATGGAATGTGGTACTGAGAGGTTGGCTAGCTGGAAGGCAAGCCACAAGTAGAAGAGTGATTTTGTTCTCTCCGAGGCGATGTCTGCCAGATTAGAAGCATCAGTGCCCTCTATTGTTCACAGGAGAACTGCAGAATTGCCTGAGAACACAGGCCAGGCATTTTTTGCCTTGTAAACAGACTTCTCTACAAACTGCAATGGATGATAATCAATAAAGCTGAAGGAAGGGAGGGAGGAACGAAGAAAGGAAGGAAGGAAGGTTGGTTGATTCATTTGTGGTCCTCTTTGTAATGTTTGAGCACTATTGTCCAAATGCTTAAAACATGAAATCTTTAAAATGTTTTTCCTAGACTAGCTATTTGAGTTTATTAACATAAGACATATTCCTCAGAAAAAAGGTGCAATTTACATTTAGTGATAGATGGGGATAAAGTTTATGATGCAAAAATTCTTCTGTTAACTTCATTATACTTATTTTTTGTTTGTTTTGATAAACCTCTATTTGCCAATTAGCATTTGACTAACTTAGGTAGAAAAATGCTGATATTAATATCTAGTTTTCTCCTTTGCGTAATTATACTTCCCAGTAATGATTTCGATCTGTCATCATCATGGAAAATATGGGGACTGGAAACTTTTTTAAAGCTAAAATAATATTAAAAATAGCATTGCTCAGCTATGTGTTTTACCAAATTAAAGATTACTGCAGGAATGACAACTTCATTCAAGCAAATCATTTGGAATTACATTAAACAGCTGCTGTTAAACAGCTGACGACAAAAGAGACCATTTTGATCTCCACAGCACAGGGAATCTAGCAGGGCGCTCCCTGCATGGGGTTATGAAGAACATTGTGCTCCTGTGGACCCACACACAGCGTATTCCCTATCGCGCTTGTTGCCAAACACTGGGCTCTCTAATCACTTTGTATTCAGTCAGAGATCCAGGAAGTCCAAATCCAGCCAGACAAATGCAGAACAGCTTAGCAGAAGCAGCTTTAACAGGTGCCGTCGGTATGGTCTTAGGGAACCTGAGAGACACGACAAACCATGGGGAGCATTGGTCATTGGTGTCAGTTTGCCCAGCGCACTGGATGGCACCAGTCACTGAACAGCAGTTTGCCACAGAGACCAGTTAATTGATCCTTAAGTGATGGCATAACAGTGCAAAAAAAAAAATATTTAGACACCTTAACTGTGCAAGTTCCCAGCAAACAGGCTGCTGCTGGGTCTCTTGCCTGCTCTCCCTGCTCCTTATAGTGCTAGAAAGAGAATGGACTGGAATAAAGAGCATGGAGCCATGACAAATTAAAAGGGATGGATGAGAGATTTGATTTAAGCAGGTGTTGTCTTTCTACGTCGACCGTAGGCAACTGAAGATTGCCACCCCATAAGCATAGACTCAAATGGATGGGCCCCTCCCCAGCTCTGTGCCTGTCTATAAGGGTATGTGGTGCCCCCAAGGAGACCACACTCACATACCATGTTTTGAGATTATTTCTAGATGGAGACAACCACTGCACTCAGATGTGAACTTGCTTTCTGTGCGTCGTCTGCCTCAATAACAGCACTTGATTTAAGTGAGTTTGAAAAAGTTGGCTGGCCTGACAACATCCTTCCAGATTCTGTCACTTTATAAACACAGGGATGACTTATATTCCCCACAAAAAAATCAGAATTTGTGTATTGGCAAAATGTTCATGAACTTACTTGTGTAACTTGAGCAAACACAAGAGAAATAAGAGGTTTCTGTGTGTTCAGATACAGCAAGTTGCAGAAGAAATTTGAAAAATCTGCATTAAGGTGGACAACAGCCTGTATAAATAGTTCTATTAATATTTAGACTCTTGGCTTGGTACTGATAGTAAAAGGGAGAGAGAGAGAGGGAGAGAAAGCAAGGCCACATTTTAAATTATTTGGAATTTCTGGCAAAGTGTTTGCTTCTGCAGTTGGGAAAACATTTGACTTTCTTGTATGTTTTTCTTATTCTGCTACTACTGCATTAAAAAAATGGGGTCCCAGACAGATTAGAGTAGCTAGGCATTCTGGTGCCACAAAATGTCCATTTCCATTCCGTCTGGGTAGCATGGATTAACTAGTGTGATACTTGTAACCTGTTCTGAGCAAGTGTGGATCTAGGCTATACATTGACAAGTGAATTGAGAGTCCACTGCTTATGAGGGATTCCAGCTTTACCCTCTGCTTCCAAAGCTTCTTATTTTCTAAACTTTATTTGTAAATCAATAATTACATCCCAATATAGTCCTATCTGAATGCCCTACATTTTAAGAGTAATAACTCTATTTCAATAGTATCTTTTATTAAAGTTCATGTTACTGACATCATAGAATTAACCTTTATACAATCACCTTTCTAGTTCATTTGCAAGAAACTAAAGCAAAATGGAGTTGATAGAATAAGCAACATTATAGGCAAAATGAGGGAGGAAACCTACTGGATTTTATTAATTATATCTTAGCCTCCTGAGCACTGTTGTTTTTTGAATTATGCCACATACTGTTTTCATAGATTAATAATATTTTAAGGTTTGAATAGACTTTGTATAAATTAGTCCTTTTTTCTCACAGTAAAGTTGGTAGGCTGAGGCCTAAAATGATTGAACGTTTCGCTCAAAGTCCACAAATTGCTCACAGCAGAACCAGAATTATACCAGTAAGTATTTTGGTATTAAGTGTTTATGGATTATTTGATAAAAATCATCATAACTATTTTGGAAGGAAATGCAATCATTGTGGGCCATATACCCAGTTGCTCTACCTTCCTGTGTCTGGGATATCCAGAGAAATCAGAGAGAAGCTGTGTTGCTGGGCATAGGGGTAGGGGAGAGGGATTTCACCCAATCTATCATTATATCCTTGTGATGCTATAAAGGACCTGTGCAGAGGAACAGAGCCATATGAATGATATTGTGAGGACCTAGCACGTGAGACAAAGAGGTATATGAACACTGACATTATTCCCATCATATGGTATTGCCATAGAGTGAGGCAGAAGAATAAACACAGGGCTAAGACAGAAAGAAGCCTGGTGGGATGCGGGTAATTACTCTCAAGTTTGTCTCTGCCACTTATGGGTTGATAGAATCCCAGGCAATTTAAATGACGTCTCAGAATCCTTGTTTCATAATCAATAAAACTGGAAAACTAACATCATTTATCTCACAAATAGGTAAAATCAGATTAGGGGTGTGCAAGCATTTTTGGAAGCTTTAAAGTGAGATGTTTGTGCTAGAAATTAATAAAATAAAACAAGTCTACAAAATACAAATTCTATGAAGCCTGTTT
Source organism: Homo sapiens (assembly GCF_000001405.40). Classification (NCBI taxonomy): domain Eukaryota; kingdom Metazoa; phylum Chordata; class Mammalia; order Primates; family Hominidae; genus Homo; species Homo sapiens. Next base: position 216,747,021 of record NC_000001.11, on the reverse strand, counting down.
TATGAGTTCTTTGATGAGGTTTCCTTTGCTAAGTCATACTGATAATTACTGATAATAATCTAAGGTCTTTTGAATATATTGAAGGAAAAAAATTAAGTTAAATAAGGCCGTTTTAAGGAAAATGGTTACAATTCCTTGCAAACAGGTATAGCACAAAGTAAAGCAAAATAGTGTGTGCACGTGGGTTTACATGCTTCATTTATCTGATGAACAGACAGTTTTTGGAAAAAGGGACCAGTCTTTGTTTATTTAGAATTTGACAACTCTGTAAGAGCTTTAAGTTAGGAGATGAAGATTCAGTGCACATGTTTATTATTTCATCAAACATTTACCAGTTTTATCTATTTAAACAGGTCACTAATCAGCTATAGGATCTAAATAAATGGTATGACGTTCCAAGTGATACCTTTAAAAATGAATACATCTGCCTACATTTTCAAATTTGACACCATCATTCTATCATTAGGCAAGCAAAAATACTACGAAAATTAAGAACTTTAAGCAAAGAATTCTTTTAAAAGTTAGCTTTGGTAACTTCTGTTATTTACGGTTATGTGGATGTCATACTATTTGGGATATAAAACACTATATATATTAAATTAATATTTTTCCAATGAGGGCATTTTGCCTGTAAATATGAATATTTTATTAGTTTGGTATCATTTTTCTTTTCATCAGCCTAGCTTGGGCCTCCTCTATTATACATTGCTTCCATCTAGGAAAAGCATGTGTTGTAGCAGAAAGAGTTCAGACCCTGGCAGCAGATAGTCCTGGGGTCATATTCTGGTTCTGTCACTTACTAGCCAGGTTTCCTTGGATAAGTTAATGTTTGAGCTTCATTTCCTTCTTTTTATTTCTTCATAAAATCAGAATCATTATCACCATAATATCTACTTTTTACATTATTAAGATTGTTAGATAATTGCACAATAAAAGAAGGCTGTTATTATTTTTACATTATTGAACTTTTTTGAGGTTGAGCAAAATACTGTAAGTAAAGCTCTCAGAACAAAGCTTAAGACATAGTAGGTGTTCAACAAATATTTTTCACTTCTCTTTGAAACAAACTCTACATTAAAGCCTATATTAAACCCTGTATTAAATAATAACACCACATTACATTTGTATACTTTTTTACAATTTACAGAATGAGTTTGATACATAGATAATTGCCTTCTACATGAGGACTGAAATATAAATATACATCACCATAATACAATTTAAAGATAATAGCCATTCTTTATTGAGTGTGTCTTTTACAGATGAGTAAACTGAATACAGAGAGGTTAAGTAACTTTCTCAAGGACAAACTCCTAGTAATACACAGAGCTGACATGGAAACTTACCCAACCTCCTAATCAATTGGCTAACCAGCCTGCATTGAATACACGCATTGAGAGACTGGACAAAGGGAAAGGAGGGGGCAGGGGGAACCTCAGCCTTCAACTCAAGAGGGTAAAAACTCCTATGCATAGCACAGTGTCTGCAATAGAGAAAAATGTTACTTAAGTGAATGAAAGAAGCAAAAACATATTGGGCATGGTGGCTCATGCCTGTAATCCCAGCAACTTGAGTGGCCGAGGCAGGAAGATCGCTTGAGGCCAGTAGTTGGAGATCAGCCTGGGCAACATAGCAAGACCCTGTCTTTGGGAAAAAATGATGGGAAATAAACAAACAAACAAACAAACAAACCACATAGGTGTGCATGATGGTGTGTGCCTGTTGTCCCAACTATTTAGGAGGCTGGAAGTGAGAGGATCGCTGGAGCCCAGGAGTTTGAGGCTGCAGTGTGTCATGGTTGTGCCACTGCACTCCAGCCTGGGTGACAGAGTGAGACTCGACTTAAAAACAAACAAACAAACAAACAAAAAACAAAAAAAGGATGAAAGACAAGCAAAATGTGAAAGAATATAGCAAAATCCAGGGAGTATTGTCTTTAATAGGCACACCTCTAACCGACATCCCATTATAAAAGAAAAATTGAGACCCTGGGCTGAGTTCTCTCATGGCTCAGCCAGCAATTTCTTGAGGAACTTTAGACTCTGTTTTCTACTCTATCGAAATAGTTTGCAAACTTTGGTAAATAGAGCAGAAACATACACACTTGCTAATATGGAACCAAAGTTAAACCCTGCTCAGAGAACTACAGAAAAATGTATATGCCTGCCCTCACCTGGAGAGCTAAATGAACGGGTACTTGAGAAAACCTAGTCAGACGACATCATGAAGGCTGATGTAGCTTCAATGGCAGTAAGCCAGCAATATTGCTAGAAGAACAGATGGAAGATGGGACACATTTGTAGCCAAAAAGAGACTACTCATAGGTAACACAGCATGTATTGCCAGGAATAAAGATGGTGAGATGTAGAAATAACCTCTATAAGTCCTATGTGTGTGCATTTCTTAAAATCAGGTTATTTTTAATTGTTGGACAAATTTTGAAAGTTTTTGCCTGAAATCTGTGTGTTTTTGGCATCGTTGGACGTTTGCTTTTAGGAGTGTGTACAGAGGTGTGTGTGTGTGTGTGTGTGTGTGTGCATGTCTGTGTGCACATATTCAAGTGTGTGGTACTAGACTCAGATGGGATGGAGTTGATTAAAACATCGAATGAGTTACCCTATGAATGTTGTACAGTTGATGTTTACTTCCCAAGGCAAGAATATGGGCTTGCATTTCTCCTGTGTGTAAATATTTTGTTTAGCGCCTAGTGCAGTGCTAACAACAATGTAATAAATGCTTGCCAAATATAGTATAAATAAATAAATTGATTTAGCACCCAGAAGTTTCATGCTCTTTATTTTATTGCCGTTTGTTCAGAGGCACAGAGGAAGAGACTCTAACGGACAATGTATTTCTTACTCCCTCATGGTTCCTTATCCACCCAAGACTGAACTCTATGGCTTTGTTCTCTTAAAGCACTTAACCCTTTAAAACCCTCCTAGCAAAACTTTCTGCTCATCACTTAGATAAAAAGAGGAATACAGCAGATAAATGAACAGAATCACACTCCATGTGGCACCGTGTCCAGAGGAATCACAAGTAAAATCTGGTACCTAATGGCAGTCAATATAATGATTAAGAGCAAAAGTTTCCGTAAGCAGGATTAGAATTATTTCTGCAAGTTACCTACTATGGAAGTTATAGTAAGTTACGAAGTCTCAGCTTCCTAATCAGTAAAATTAGAATGTTACTGAGATGATTGTGAGGTTCAGATGAACTAAATGATGTAAAATTTTGAGCACAGTCCTAGCACATCATAAACCTGTGATACTTAGCAGCACTGACCATCATGTCAATGACTGTGATCACAACGACAGTGACAGTGATGATGATGAGTGTTATCCATGAATGGTGATGATGATGATGACAACAGTGAAGATGATGGCAATGGTGAGAGCACTTAGTGGCTAACAGCTTGCTAGAAAAACTCTCTAAAGGAATCATGGCACAATGTGTTTTCTAATTTATGTTTCTGGGTCTAAGACTGCCTTCAAAACATGCTATTAGTTTTCAGAAAATTTAAACCAGCTCTCTAAATTAAATTACCCTGAAGAGGAATACTTTTATATTTTTTAATATAAGGGACTTTCTGAATTCTATGCCATAGACAGAACAATAATTTCACACTGAGATATTTATTCCAGGGTTCTCTCCATGATCCTAAGAGTCACCTCAAGGAGGGTGTATTGTTTTATTTCAGCTGCCTTGGCACAGTGTCCCAGCATTAACAGCAAATGAATAGCCTGTGCCTGTTTTGTAACTTTCATTCTCTACTCAATGGCTTTTCTCAGGCTTAGCAAATAAATACATTTCCATTGTATGCTATTGTTGAAAAGTCATATTGTCTTAGATTTTAAAGCACACCTTTTATACAGAGGACCTGTAGTACAGCTAGCAGCCTCATTCCATTGGTCTCTAATAATGACTATCATGGTGAGACACAGTGACTTTGACAGAAGGAGGAATTCACTCCATTAAGCAAATATACTAGAGGCTCCATACTTTGTTGGAGTTAATAATTTCATCTTTAACAACTGAAGCAAATTTGAAAGATGCTGCACCTCTCATTCAATGCTACACTCATTTTGCCTTGATCAGGGAAGGTTGAATGCTCCTATTTTGAAGTAAAATCTCCCTAAACTCTTAAGTTTGAGGGTTTTTTTAATTGTCTGGGAGAGTCCAACACCAGAGGGCGATGTGAATTCAACATTTTTACTTGTTTTCTTGTACAGTTTACTTTTGGTGTGTAAACAAAATAAGCATATTTGGTGTTCATAACGATTCATTTTCTGAAGTTGTTTTTTCAGTAACTGCAATTTTACTTACTCTGTTCCTCTCCCACTTTTGCATTTTAACAAGGAATGGAAAGATTAAGAAATCAGTCATTCATTTAGCTGTCATTTATTGAGTATCTAGTATATGCAAGGTACTGTATGAAAGGGTCGGATGGAGTTAGGACAGAAATGGATAAAGAATCATTAAAGAAATATTTACTAGTCAGTTGTTGCATACAAAGCACTCTACTGGGTACTAGTGGGAATATAAAGATGAACCAGGTAGTTCTTGTCTTCAAGGAACTTACATTCTATTGGAGAAACATGATTCCATTATTCTCTTTTATCTTAAAGGTTGCTCACTTACCACAAATTTTTCTTCCCCCAACAGTCTTTAGAGACATAGCTCAGAAAATCTGCATCTTTTGCTCCTCTCTCAAGTCAAATTGGCCATGCCCTTTTTCAAGGCTCTAACCTACTTTATAAAGACATATCACATGTATACAGAGCATTACAAATGGATGTCCTTTAAATATAAGATGGTGGGAATAGCTGAGGCAAAAATCCTGGAAATAAGAATGCATTTGGTGTGTTCAGGTTACGTGAAGGCTGTGATACCCAGGCTCTGTGAAGCAGACTTGTGGGAAACTTGCCAGGAAAGAGGGTTTGGGTCAGGTTATGAATAGACTTGAATTTTCAGGTTAAAAGAATCTTGATTTTGTTCTGTAACAGTGGAAAATGTGGGGTAAAAGTACTTGAGAATGGCATATAGAATGAATTAGAAAGAAGCAGAAAAACAGAGGGAGAGAGACCAATGAAACCACCAGTGAGGAAATTCAGGCAGTTGGAATTTAACTTTGAGAATGTAGAGATGATTTAGAGTGAGAACCAATAGGACTTAGAAGTTGACAAGTGTATTCCAAGCACCCATGTACGAAAGTGTGGTATTTTTTGACATCAAGAGGGTTGCATGAATTCATCTGTTTCATAATAGTAAGAATTCAAAGCTTAGACAGCAATTGCCCAGCTAGGCTTGCATTCATTCATTTATTCATTAAACAGCCTGTTCAATAACATCCAGTCTGTCAGGCCCTAAGCTGTGTTCTAAGCATTCTGAGATGAGACAGGGTCTCTGCCTTCAAGTAGCTTACAGTTTAATAAGAGAAGTAAAATCACATACAGATATGAAAATGCTAAAGGATGGCAGGATAAGAGATGCCTCCCGAGAGGAGGTGATCTTTCTGAGTTTCCATCTGGAAAAGAGGTATATGTGTGTGTGTGTATGTGTAGGGGGGTATTTTGGGGTGTGTGCAGGGGCGGGGGGGAGTGTTAGAAAGGGGTTGTGAGGTTGGTGTTTTAGCCTGAGGGGTCCACACATGTAGTGACACAGGATTGTGAACAGGTATAAAGAAATAATTATAATATAAATTATAAACATAAACTATATAATATAAATTACAAATATAAATTATATAATATAAATTATAAATATAAATTATATAATATAAATTATAAATATAAATTATATAATATAAATTATATAAATTATAAATATAAATATAATATAAATTACCCTGACCCCAAAGAGCTTTCAATCCTCTGTTTAGACAATGTTCTGTTTTTATATCCAATGCTATCCCATTATGTTGGACAGTCTTCCCATATGGGGACGGGGGCGTGAAAGAAGAGAGAGGGGGGACTGTGATAACTCAATGCCAGTTATATTTGAGAACCAATTTCGTATATGACTTTAAAAAATTTATCTGAGAATTAACACTTTAAATTCTGCCCAATGAAATAGTTAAATTCAGAAGGTGGAAAAATGAAAGAATGTCAATATGTATATATAATCCCATTTTGATAAATGTGACATGGTAAATTCAAAGCCACTCCAATAAATGTCAAGCTTAATACAGGGGCACCTCTGCCTGCAAATAATCTCTAGGAGTGAGGAAAACACTACAAATAAAAAAATGGAACACTTTAAGTTCTTGATAATTTTTTAGTTCCTCTGTCGGTGATATAGAAAGGTGTGTAGAAAGCATTATTTCTCCACAAGCATCTAAGGCAGGGTTACAATTTCTTTCTTTTTTTCTTTCTTTCTTCTTTTTTTTTTTAATGTTAAGCACGTTCCTTTGCAGGGCTTAGAAATCTCTCTCGTCCAAAATTGAACAAAAAAGGCCTCCCCTTGTGCTTTTTTTGTCAGGCTGATGAAGCTGTATAGAAATGTAAATGCAATATAAGAGATGGTAGTGGGAAGCTTGTGTTGTGCTCTCCTCTTCTCTGGGGCTCTCTTGTAAAATTATTCTCTGATTTTGCTGTGTGTGTGTGCACCTCTTGTGTAAGGGCATTTAATTAGCTACAAGTTACAACAAAGACTTTTGAAAGGAAAATGTGTCTGTGGTGCAGATGCCTTTATTTTCATTCTGTGAACAGCTAGGTTTTTAACTCCCTTATCAAGAGCTGCATGAACTGCCCAGACTAAATTGGGAACATCTCCACACTGTTTGACAAATAGATTTTTTGTAAACTGATTTAGCCTTTTCATTGTTTGCATTTCATTATATAGAAGACTTCATGTCACAAAATTGGTATTCATTCAAAATAGAGAATTTAGAGATAGGACTGTAGCCAGATAAAAAATATTGCACAGGTCGGGGCTATTAAGCATAGAATAATAGCAAGTCAGTGATCCAAGGGGCTGTTCTTCAGCAGCAAAGGGGCTAACATAGCCGAGGTCAGCAGTCAGACTCAGGACTGAAGATGTGTCTCTGGCCACATTTACAAGACAATCTGCAGGGAACAGAGTGAGGAATGAAGGAGTCTGGCAGGATAAACTGTAGGAAAGAGACGTCTTTGCATCTCAAATTTCATTCTCCTGAGGGGTCGGAGGTGGGAATTTTAACAGTTGAGAGGTGTCTTGGTCTGTTTTGAAACATTTGCGCATCAGAGTTTGGGTTCCATGGCACATATAGGAGAGCCATATTAGCAAAATAGATTTTGAGAAGGAGTTAGCAGTGAGCTGGGTTTTCATTTCTTCTAAATCTTTTAGCTTAGACCAGTGGGTCTCAAACTCGAACATGCATCAGAATCACCTGGAGGACTTGATAAAGCACAGATTGCTGAATCCTATCCCCAGGGTTTCTCTGGGGTGGCAGGGCCGAGAATTTACACTAACAGTTCCTGGATAATACTGATATTTTCCTTTGAGAACTACTGGTATAAACTCTACATACCAGTCATCAGACGATCAAATGATTTGCATTTTTAGAGCACCTATCAGTTAAACCCACTGAGCAATGAGCATTGGCAGCTCTTCACTGTTAACCTCAAATAGAAAGTCCAAAAGATCACAGAAGATAGTTTATGTGTAGGAGTTGTCTTTGTTTTGTTTTTATTTAAAAAATAGCTTATGTAGAACTATGTTTATATCACATCTTATTCTGCCTGTTTCCCACAGCTGGGGAACTTTTTTTTTTTTTTCACTTTAATGAATCTTTGGAGATACCTTTTATGCACTTGTCTCTCAGTGTCGGGATTATTTATAAAGATAAACAGGATGCAGTTTTACTCTCAAGAGGCTTACAGTCATGGGAGAATCAGATAAATACGAAGAAAACATTAATAGCATTTGGTTAGTTGAGATGATAGAGGGATGCTGAGGTCTCTATTCTACTGGGAGCCTCCCCTGACCTCCGCTCCAAGGTAAACTAAGTATTAAGGATAAGTAGGGGCTGGTTGCAGTGGGACATACCTGTAATCCCAGTGCTTTGAGAGGCTAAGGTGGTAGATCACTTCAGGCCAGAAGTTTGAAGCTGCAGAAAGCTATGATTGCACCACTGCACTCCAGTTTGGGTGACAGGCCTGGGTGACAGAGTGAGACCCTGTCTCATAAGTAAATAAATAACAAATAAAATTTTTAAAAAGGATAAGTAAGATTTTGCTAGGCAGAGAGAAGTGAAACATTAGCATGTATTCAGGAATCTGCCAGTGTTTTGAGAGTCCTAGAATTTTTTTTGTTTATAAGTGCACGCTGCTTCATCTTTCTCAGCTCTGGCATTTATTTTACTGTCTCACCATTTCATACTTTTCCCCTACTTAATCCACTTTTTCCCCTTACTACATTCTGTTTGACTGTTATTTTCTGTTAAATAAATAATCTGCATTCATTGTAAAATTATCTAAACAATACATAAGAATATAAGGAAGAAAATGAAAAGCAACTAAATTTTATTGCCTTATGATACCACAGATTTTGTTTAACCATTTCACATCTGTTTTTACTCTGAAGCATAGTATTTAGAATAGATTTTTACATTATACTCAGCTCTTCATTGATAAGCATTTTATGGTTCACTTTTTTCTCCTTAGTTGCTTGGCAGTATAGGACTTATTTTAGTAAAGTTTCATAAACTGATGGATCCCTGGAAATTTGGTTTCTCAGCATTGTGTCACTACAAAAGCTGGAGTCCACAGATGGTCTTCACTTTACCCTAAGCCCCTTCCTCAGCAGTTAACTTCACCTTTTTCCTTCTTTTTAATGTTGGCTGCAGTTTGAAACCCCAGTAGATCTTATCCCAAAAATACCACTGTATGGACCCCACCCTCAGAGATTTTCACTGGGTGAGACCCAGGCAGCTGTACTTTTAAAAAGTCTCCAGGTGATTCCAAAGTGGAACCAGATTATCTCATCCTATGATCACTGTTGAGCTTTGGGGTATTAGCATGACCAAAAAAAAAAAAAAAAAAAAAGTGATGTCTCATCTGCAGAACTAGTGAAGGTCTGGAAGTCACTTGCATTTAGTGATTGGCATCTAACACAAGCCACTGATAGTTTTTGTGGGCTGTATGTAAGGACGAATATTTTCTTATACTTGCATCATTCACAGTGAGCTTGGATTTATGTTATCTTATTTGTTTTCATAACAATCTTACTGAGTAAGCAGATAAGTTTATTGTTTTTTTTTTTTAATCCCTTCTTGCTAATTGTTGTTCTTAACAGATGATAAAACCAATAATTCAGGTACTTGCCCAAGGTCACACAGCCAACAGTCTGTACAGCCAGGATTAAGACGAGGCCATCTGATATCAAAGTTTATGCTTTTACATACACTTCCTTTACACGGTTCAATAATGGTAAAATAATGATTCCAGGACCTGGGCTAAGTAATTTAGCAGTGGGTCTCAGTTGCTACTTTGGCAGCATATTGAATTCACCTGGGAGCCTTCAAAACTCCTGATGCCAAAGATTTTAAATTAATTGGCTGGGGTGAGGCCTGAGGATTGGAATTTTTCAAAGGTTGAAACCAATGCTATATATAGACCATTTCATTTAATCCCTTAGCAACAATATGAGATTGGAGTCATCACCATGTTAAAAATGAGGAAACTGAGACATACAAGACTTTAACCCACCAGCCCACCTGTCTACCAGCTAAAGAATAGCAGAAGCCAGGCTCAAAACAAGGGTGAACCACTGTCTGCAGCTCTTCTGGTCACCATATCTGTCTCCACCAATTTTAAGGCTTTTGCTTCAAACTTTGAAGCAGATGCAGCTGAGTGAACCATGAGACATATACTAGCCAGAGAAAGAACTGAATTTAGAGTTTTTAAAAGTCCAAGGACCACATTCCTCTCTGTAAACTGAGCCGTAGCAGCCAGCATCACTTTATTTATTAATTTATTTGGTATTTCTTGTTGCAGGATTTGATTTTTAAGACTCAATGTGTTGAAACATGAAGTTTAAAAAACGTAGGGGCTGGGGGTGGAGAATATATGAATAACAAAGCGAATTCTGAGCCATTTATTTTTAATAAAAGCTCTGTTCCTGATGATGAAACTGTAGACCTTTAGAGGGAAACAGGTCTATAGAGATCCTATTCTCACATCTTGGCATGTCCCAGAATGACCTGGAGAGCTTGTTAAAACACAGACTGCTGGGATCTAACCCCAGAGTTTCTGACCCAGTAGGTCAGGGGTGGAGCCTAATCATTTGTGTTTTCAACCAGCTTCTACTTGATGGAGATTCTGCTGGTGTGGAATCTCTGCACCGGTTCCCTCTTGTTCACTGAAGCCCAGCGAAATGCAGCAGCTAGCGCAAGGGTACAGATGACCAAAAACCATTCTTCCTCAACTGTTCTTTCTACCAACTCTTGCTTCTCTGAGAAAGAGGGGAGCTTCAGAGATGGTATTTTTACTCTGACCCTAAAATTCAGTGTGACGTCAACTTGAGGGGATAAATATCACAGTTAAAATAGTCCTTAACGGCCAGGCATGGTGGCTCACGCCTGTAATCCCAGCACTTTGGGAGGCCGAGGCGGGTGGATCACGAGGTCCGCAGATCGAGACCATCCTGGCTAACACGGTGAAACCCCGTCTCTACTAAAAATACAAAAAATTAGCCGGGCGTGGTGGCGGACGGCTGTAGTCCCAGCTACTCGGAGAGGCTGAGGCAGGAGAATGGCGTGAAACCGGGAGGCGGAGCTTGCAGTGAGTAGAGACAGCGCCACTGCACTCCAGCCTGAGCGACAGAGCGAGACTCTGTCTCAAAAAAAAAAAAAAAAAAAAAAAATAGTCCTTAACTCCTTAGAAGCACCATATTTTGGATGGATCATAGGGTCTAGAAAGGTTACTCATTAATACCCTAGGAATGGGCATTTGGGAAACTCCCCCCCTGTTCTCATCTTTCTCAAGTGAAGGTGAGTATAGTGACCCAGGAAAGCAAATATATGTATGTGTGTATATATATATATATATATATTTTTTTTTGAGATGGGGAGTATTGCTCTGTCGCCTAGGCTGGAGTGCAGTGGTGTGATCTCAGCTCCCTGCAACCTCTGCTTCCTAGGTTCAAGCAATTCTCGGCCTCAGCCTCCCGAGTAGTTGGGATTACAGGGGTGCACCACCATGCCTGGCTAATTTTTGTATTTTTAGTAGAGACGGGGTTTCACCATCTTGGCCAGGCTGATCTTGAACTCCTGACCTCATGATCCACCCACCTTGGTCTCCCAAAGTGCTGGGATTACAGGCATGAACCACCACTCCCAGCCTGAAATTTTTAAGTAAGTTAATTAATTGAGACCAGTCAGGGTCACATAAGTATGTAGATTTATTTATAAATGTAATGTTAAAGATTGAAAACTAGTGAATAATTGTTCTAGAGGTTCTCTCATGGGTGACAGAGGTGGAGGCAGGGCAGGGATTTGCCATTGCTGCACAACCTTGTCTTAAGAAAAAGATGGGCCAGGTGTGGTGGCTCACGCCTGTAATCCCAGCAATTTGGGAGGCTGAGGCTGGAGGATCCCTTGAGGCCAGAAGCTTGAAACCAGCCTGGGCAACAAAACAAGACCCTATCTCTACAAACAATTTTTTTTTTTTTAATTAGCTGGGTATGGTGGCACACACCCAGTTACTCAGGAGGCTGAGGCAGAAGGATCACTTGAGCACAGGAGTTTGAGGGTGCAGTGAGCTATGATCTCATCACTGCACTCCAGCCTGGGTGACAGAGCCAGACCCTGTCTCAAAAACAAAAAAACAATGAGGCTGGGCATGGTGGCTCATGCCTGTAATCCCAGCACTTTGGGAGGCGAGGAAGGCAGATCACCTGAGGTGAGGAGTTGGAAACCAGCCTGGCCAAGATGGTGAAAACCCATTTCTACTAAAAATACCAAAATTAGCCAGATGTGGTGGCAGGCACCTGTAATCCCAGCTACTTGGGAGGCTGAGGCAGGAGAATCACTTGAACCCAGGAGGCGGAGGTTGTAGTAAGCCAAGATCGCACCACTGCACTCCAGCCTGGGCAACAGAGGAAGACTCCGTCTCAAAAAAAAAAAAAAAAAAAAAAGAATATGGAACTATGTAGTAGCCAACTTTTTTAAAAATTTATTTACAGGGTAGAGGGGGGAAATTCATAAGTCAAAATGTTTCATTTAATGAGTAGCTAATTTTGAAAGGGTAAATATATTAGCCCCATTAAAATACTGACAAAATTTCTTCAAAGAAACATTGAAACTCATTTTTAAAAAACTCAAGTTGTATGAGTACGTTAGTCTATTGCTGCATTGCTATAAAGAAAGACCTGAGACTGGGTAATTTATAAAGAAAAGCGGTTTATTTTGTTCACTACAGACTGTACAAGAAGCATAAGTGCCAACATCTGCTTCTGGTGAAGCTCCAGGAAGCTTATAATCATGGCGGAAGGTGAAGGGGCAGAGGCATATCACATGGTGGGATAGGGAGCAAAAGAGAGGGGAGAGGTGCTACACACTTTTAAATTTTAAACATCCAGCTTTCTAGTGAACTACCAGAGTGAGAACACACTCATCACTGCGAGGACAGCACCAAGCCATTCCTGACAGATCTGCCCTCATGACCCGAACACCTCCCACTAGGCCCGCCTCCAACACTGAAGGTCATATTTCAATATGAGATTTGGAGGAGACAAAATAGCCAAACCATATCAATGAGTGTGAACATTTTTGCCAAAATCAGGAATTTATTTGGCAGATATTTGTTGAGAGTCTAAAATGTCTAGATATCAGTGCTAGGCACAGTGCAGAGGATTAAAGGCCATCAAGAAGTTTACTCAATGGAAGGCAGAGACACATAAGGACAATCTACCTTGACACAAACCATTTAGACCAGTAAGCGCAAAGCATGATAGGACACAGAGGAGAGGGCCATTGATTCTGCCTGGTGCCCCTTCAGGAAGGCTTCCCAAAGGGAACACTTGAAGGTGAGTTTTTTTTTTTTTTTTTTTTTACAGAGTCTTGCTCTGTTGCTCTGTTGACCGGGCTGGAGTGCAGTGGCGCGACCTCCACCAACCTCTGCCTCCCTGGTTCAGGCAATTCTCCTGCCTCAACCTCCCAATAGCTAAGATTACAGGCACCCACCACCACACCTGGCTAATTTTGTATTTTTAGTAGAGACGGGGTTTTGCTATGTTTGTCAAGCTGGTCTCGAACTCCTGACTTCAGGTGATCCGCCCCCCTCAGGCTCCCAGAGTGCTGGGATTACAGGTGTGAGCCACTGCGCCCAGACTGAGAGTGTTTTATCTACCCTGTGGATTGTGTTGCTAAATATTGTAGCTGACTAAATGAGAGCCAGTATTACAAGAAAAGGAACCCACCGCTTTTTTTGCAATGGTTTATTTATAAATATGTAACTTTCTCCTCCAATAAGAGCACATGAATTAAGTATGGTAAAAATAAACAAAATATTTACATTTACTTTCTTTACATCTTGAAATATTGATTAGGATTGAATAATTGAATAGATTTAACTGCTCAATGACGGCAATGAAGTCAATGTTGGGGCAGAACGTGGGCAGTACTAGAAAGCTCTCACCACAAAAACAGCCCTTTAAAGCTAATATTGTCTTATTTAAGCATCTTTGCTAATAGGGAAAGCAACATGTGGCCCTGTTTTCTCCCAAGATCTTCTTAGCAGTAACATACCCAGGCCCCAAAGCACCTGGTAGTGTGACAAAAAAAAAAAAAAATGCCCTTATACTGCAGGCTAGCAAAATTATGGAGATGAAACAGAATAATTCTGAAGAAAACACGAATGTTTGAAAGCTGTTATGTTGTATGGGTTGATCATAGTTCTATTTTATTAACAAGGGAATCTTTGAAAAACTGTAAGCAAATATGGTAGTTTTAAAGTTGAATTTTTTTTTTTTTTGGATTATTGTTGCTTCTGTCTTAATGAGGAATGATTTTGCTCCTCTTTAAGTCTCTTGGTTCCTTAGCTCAGATATCCTAGAATTTTGCTGTGGTTGTATGGCTGGGAAACTTGGGAAAGAGAAAGCAGTCAATTTGGAGCTATGCCTAACCAGAGTAAAATTCCTGACAGAGAAGGGAAATTATTGAGACCACAAGAGTCCCCCTCCTCCCCCCCCTTTTTTTTTTTAATTTTAGAGATGGAGTTCCACTATGTTTGCAGGCTGGAGTTCAGTGGCTATTCATAGACAGGTGTGATCATTGATCATTGATCATTGATCACTGATGCCTTGAACTGCTGGACTCCAGCAATCCTCCTCCCTTAGCCTCCGGAGTAGCTGGGACTACATGTGCACGCCACCATGCCCAGTGGTTTCCTTTTCGTATTGTACATTTTCACTAGTAGGGCAGATCAGCTGAGGTCAGGCATTCGAGACCAGCCTGTCCAACATGGTGAAATCCCGTCTCTACTATAAATACAAAAATTAGCCGGGTGTGGTGGTGGGCACCTGTAGTCTCAGCTACTCTGGAGGCCGAGGCAAGAGAATAGCTTGAATCCGGGAGGTGGAGTTTGCAGGGAGCTGAGATTGTGCCACTGCACACCAGCCTGGGCGACACAGTAAGTCTCTGTTAAAAAAAAAAAAAAATCAATAAATCCAGATGTCAACTTTGCAGCATGAAAACTGAGTGCTGTTGGGCAATCAACAAACTCTTTGAATCTCAGTGTCATCTATAAAATGGGGATGATAATATAATAATAATGAAGTTTCTACCTGCTACAGCAAGTTGTTGTGAGGAACAAAAGGAGCACGTGTGAAATTGCCTTGTTAATGTTAAATTATAGCAAAAATATTGGGTATTCCACTTCTTTTTTTTTTTATGTTGACAAAACCTTTCTTTTTTTTATTTTCTTTTTTTATTTTTTATTTTCTTTTTTTATTCCACTTCTTAATTAGAATTTTTAAATGTTCTAAACAGCTAACTTTTCTGTCCATATTTTAAACATATAAAAATTAAAAAAAAATTTCTTTGTTAAATTTCAATTCTTTGTTTAACGTTCTGATTTATCGAAGGATGAATTAATCCATGTCTATTCTCACTAATGAAAATGGTCTTTGATTTATTTAGTTTCCGAATTCAACTGGTAACTGAACTCTTGCTTTTCGGTAACACAGTTTGATTGGATAAACTTTCGTTATCCAAATAGCTGTGCACTTAGTTACAAACTGTAGGTGAGATAACAGCCCCAGGATTTCAATGTCCTGAGTACAGGCCTCATGCCCCTCCCCCATCACCATTCCTGGTAATTTAATCTACCACGGAAATGGGAAAGGAATTCTTTGTCTCACTCTTTTTAAAATTGATACATAATAGTTGTACATATTTTGGGGGTACGTATTGAGTTTTGATACATACATATGAATGTGTAATAATTGAACCAGGGAATCTTACTCTCTTTTGCATCCAAAATGTGGTTTTCTAGAGATAACAGTTGGCTCTCTAGAATGTGATATGTTCTCATCAGGGCCTTGCTCTTGCAATGAAATCATCAAGCAAAACACACAGGTCTTGTTTTAAAAATTGCAAGGAGTAAAGAGAGGTAAACAGCGGCCTAAAAGTAAGACCTTTGTCTTTTTCTGCTGATTAATTCCCTTCTTCCTCTCCCCATAAGAGGAAAAATCCACCTTCCCACTGAAAGTATTCAGTGTTCACTGCTGCTCCAGTCATACATCTCATAGAAATAGGAACTCTGTGACCATTCTTCATGGGATCCTTGTCAACATTTAACCAAATAAATCTTTAGATAATGAAAAGTACTTAAAATCCTTAATACAGAAATTTTTATGTTGCATACAAGAACCGTTTTTGAACACTTAAAAATATTTGGGTTCAGGACATATCTGGGATCATGATTTTTAAAAGCACTTGCTGTCAGATTAAATGAGAATATGTTTCCATGTTACCCTGGGAAGGGTCACAGTTTTAGGTACTGATATGGCAGCTTTGTTTGCTTTTGTTTTAATAATAATTGTTTTCATTATCCAATACTTAGTCAATATGAATATTTACAAAACATGGAAAATTAGAAAGTAGAGGAAGGAAGCAATCATTGTACATTGCTCCTTCTTAGCTATCAGAAGAATAAATGATGATGGAGTGCTGGTGCCCCTTAGTATAGCATGGAGCAGGCCTTGTCTTCAATCCTTTTTTCCTCTTTTTATCTTTTTCTACCAACTTTCCGCCTCACCATTTACCTATTTTTTCCAATCATCTTATCTCTTAAATTTTTCCCATATTACTCTAGTTACCTGGCTTGAATTATCTCATTAAATTTGGCAGCCTCCCTTAAAATGAATAATTAACTGAGTAATAGCATTGGTCATTAGTTCATTCATTCATTCACTCATCCAAGACATATTCATTGTGTTCCTATAACATTGACAGGAATATGTCTTGAGTTCCATTACTGGCCATGGGCATACTGTCAGGCCCAGCCCAGCTCACAGATTACAGTCAGATAGAGTTTAGAGTAGGGAAAGGTGTGGCCATTTAACAAAACTGAATCCCTGAAGGAAATGATAGTTAAAATGTGCTTATAAAAGGACAATAATTAGCTGGGGAGAAGACAGAATTTATTTCTACCAGTACATTCCCAATTCTTTTTAACTATGTACCTTTTTTTCTTTCTTTCTTTCTTTTTCTTTCTTTTTTTTTTTTTTTTTACCTTTCTAAGCTTTTGGAGAAAGTAGAGGACCATTTGGTTTACACTTGGATATTTATCTCTTAGGTTCAGAACTCCCTTGGCTTTTACTGGACACGTGTCCTCAGAGAGGTCAGATCTCTGTCGGAGTTCTATGCGCTAGTATAGTGTCAACAATTGTGACACTAACATTGGTGGCTTGTTGCTAACGAAGCACTGGAAAGGGGAGAAATGTAATCTTTTCTAATAGGAGCTTTCCTACTACCTAGGTATGTAACCTGGGTTAAGGCTCTTAACCATTCTGAGCCTGATTTCCTTTACCTGTAAAGTAACCAAGCTGGACTCATAATCCCTATGGTCTTTCCCAGCCTGTAATTCCCCATTGCCCAGACTTTATGTGCTGCCATAGATTAGTGGCCATTCAATGTAACAAGAGCAAAGCCTTGTGAAGAAATTGAGTTTTTGGGATATCTGATCAAAAGAGCTCCTAGGTGAATGAGCTTGTGCTTGGGATAGTAATAAAATCAACAGCATTATTGACTGAACTGCTAGAGTAGAGGGATGTGGAAGAAGTGTCTTAAAGGAAGAGAAATGGAGTACAAGCAATTTCTCTCTCCCCTTCTTTCTGGTAAACAATGTACAATTGAATTCTCTGGAGAGTCAGCAGAATCAGTTAACTTTCCCAAGTCTGTTTTCCTCATCCCCACGCAGAAAACATCATGGTAACTTTAAGGGGAACATCTTTTAGTTTTCCCTTTCATTACATGCAGCCAATGTATATGTGGCAGTATGGCAAGCAATTCATAATGTAACATACTTGCACTTCACTTTCTTTTCTGTATCCAGTATCTCCCACTCCTAGTCAGAGATGGAGGCCAAATGAATTACAATGCCTTTCTCTTGCATCTCTCTGTTCAGTTTTAAAATTTTGTAAAATAATTTTTAAAGATTTAAAAATAATATAGCTAACATTTATGGAAGGCTCACTAATTGTAGGATGACAATAAAATGTATTCTCCAAACGGGGGCACTATTGAGGGTGTAAGAAGGTGCTTCTGTAAATTGTTATGCTAGGACAACTGGCACAAGCCAAAATTTCCTCAGCGCACGGGATCATATGGTCCCCAAACTGGGGCCAGATATTGTGCTAAATTGGTTTAACCTGCTTAATCCCCATACGAATTCTATAAGATTGTTATTGTTATTCCCATTTGGTAGCTGAGGAAACTGAGATTAAGATGGGTGAAGCTGACTCCAGTACAAAGCCTCATCCCTCATAATTGGAATCTGAACCCAAGGCATGTTCCAGAATGACCTGTAATCCCTTGCTCTAAAACCTTCTTCCAGGTCTGACAAACACACACCTCTAATTAATTTGCCTTGGTTGGGGGAAGGAGACTCTTATCAAACATAGTCATTTATAAAAAGAAATCTTAGAAGTGTGTCAGAGAGTTCAAACATCAGAAAAAGTATAACTCTTTAAACCTGTTTATATGGATACCAGATGTTAATATCTTACTTTTTTTTTTTTTACTAGTCCTTTGAAAATTCGGACAAAAGGATTAACACAAGCCACAGGAAAAGGGAGCTTTTAAATTTGTATTGAACATCCATATACGTCAGGAAAAAAATACATTGTGCTTTTTTTTGATGTTTTATGATATATATATTTTTAGACTCAAATATATTATATGTTGAATGGGGTGGTTAGGATAGGTAATTTGATCATTTTACTGGTATCAAAGCATGGATTGCTTATTCTGGAATCTGTCATGTTTGTTCCACTTCCCCCTGCTTCTCTATCTCCACTACCCGCCCCCGCCACCTTCCTCTCAGAGTTAAGCTACCCTTTATTTTGGACAACACTATCACACACATGATTGAGTCAACAATTTATGGCTTTTAAAAACAGGGATTTTGTCCTCTCTTAGGTTTACTGTTTATCATAATCATCTTTCAAGTGAAAAGGCTAATTTACTCTTTCTATAGGAATATTTTAAGCTTGATTATCATAATATTACAGCTGCCTCAAAAGGTCTAAAATGGGACATTGACCTTGAATGTTTTCTGCATTTAGCTCATGGTGCTTAACATTCAGGAAAGAATATAACTGCAACTTATTTATTAATGTATAATCTCAAAACGTTAACTATTGCTCTGTAAATACATGCCATGCAGATTATAGAAAGCTTGTAGGATACTGTAAAATGCATTTGGTATCTTACCAGGGTAAGTATGATGGAAATACAACCTAACTAAGGTCAGTTTTCCCATTGGAGCTACTGTAGTTTATAATTTAATTTTTACTGACATTTCACCATGTGTATTATTAGTTTGACAAAACGAAGGTGAAATAATCCTGAATTAATTAAACAGAAACTGAATTGCCTCTATTAGTTTCTGTCTTTCTCTGATTCTTTTTTTTTCCCCCTCCAACTTTCACAAACAGTGGGAAAAGAGTTTAGTGTGTTATGTCGGTGAGACAGTTGCTCCCCAGAGAATGGGCTTTTTTTTATATATAGGCTCCATAATTTGGGAATGGGATGGATTTATAGGACAAGAGGTTTGTCAAAAGGAAGGGTTTTTATTAGTGCTTCTGTGGAAGCGATCACTTTCAGCAGAAATGATTGCTTCTTGCCAATCGAGACAATAATTTAAATATCAAAGCCTGTGCCCTAGAAATGAAAGGCAACAGAAAATGAGGAATGATGAATTGATAGAGGGCTGGTGGTAATATAGTGTAAAGTAGTCATCCTGACTTCGAAAGAAGTCTGCGTGTTCTCAGTGGGAAAGGTGTGTTCTTAAGCAGGTTTATAGCACAAAAGAAACCCCAATTTTCAGATGAGGAAATGAGGGACAGATAAGTGAGGCAACCTACCCATGGCCACACAGCTCATGAGGAGTAGAAGGGAGCCTGGTGCCTTGCTTCTCATTTTAGGTTCTTTTCCCAAGGTTGTCTTTTGGAGTTAAAGATAGTAGTTTGTAATTGTCTTGGTTTGCTTTTTGCAGGATGGTATATTATACTATATATGATACATTTAAAACAGCAGGGAAAATAGTTCAAAAAGTTAAACAGCTTTTCAAAGATTTTATAATCCTGAGGAAAGATTACTAGGCAATTTGAAAATCTAAATTTGTTATGCCTTGTTTAGTTTTACATATTTAGTAAATGATGAATGTGTAATATAAAATAAAAACCTGCTTCAAAAATGACAGTGATAAACTTGAACATTTTAATGAAGGTTAGTCCTGTTAATTTTCAGAAAAGAAAGATAGGAGCTAAAAATAGCTATTAATATGCAATAACAGCAAGACTAAGCATTTCTCATCACCTTCTAGCAACATAAGAATTCCTAGTTAGAATGTTGCAAGAAATGATTCTGACTTAAATGTAATAAAATGTCTGGTGTATATGACTAGAGGAATCTTCCTGTTGTTTCCACTTGAGCTTTGCTTGTTTTCATTCTGTTCTTTGAAATAGAAATGAAGTATATTCTCTGCTTGGTGACTGTGCATTAGTTGGGGACTGAGAATGAATTTGTTTGGATATTTATGACTGCATTGTTTAAGGAAGAAGAGATTGAAACTATGCATACACCAAGAGCCTGATGCATAATAGACTGATATTAACTAATTTATTAATATTCTTTGTGAAGCAATCATGAGAGATCCTTTTGTTTGGTTCAGTTTTTCTTGATTTGGGTAGACTCCTTGTGGTAAGATTGTGAAGTGTATAGACTGGGAATATATGTGTATCCTAGGCTGTTTATCTGTTTGTTTGTTTATTTGTTTTTCCAGATTTTTTTTGTAATTGAGATTCTTGAAGGTTTAAGCTCAGTATTACTCATGGCACATTTATTTCCCATGATTATCCATTGTTTTCTCCTGCAAGGTGAGAAAAATCTGGGACCAGGGAAGTTTCTTGAGATGACTGAGCTGTGTATTTGTAAAATATTCTGGAAGCTGTCTCACAAGTTTAGTGAAGAGGATTTTTAAAAATTTTAAATTGGTTAAACTGGATTCAAGACAGTAAGTACAGTCTTTAGGTCCTTGACTTGTACAGGTGATACTTTGATCCCAAGGGGAAAATATCCAAGTCTACAAACCTAGTACACATCTGGTCACTCAGAAAGCAGCGAGTTCAGTGAACACTGCACCTTGCGTAGATGAAATATGGTTAGTGAAAAATCAGTGGGGATGACACTATGTATGTTTGTACATGTATCTCTGTGAGCACAGAACAATGACTTACGCATGAGTCTAAATATCTTTAAAAATATACACCAGTGAAGTCAAATGGATCATAATGAGGGCAAATAAGTACCCAAAGGGAAATAAGAAAATGATGGGAAATTAAAGATCACTTGTACGACATTTGGTGACTTGAGATCCACCGGTAAATACACTACAAATCTTGTCTTTAAAAAGCCATTTCAAAGGAGTAATAAAGAGGTTCTGTCACAGCATAATGTAAAGAAACTGAACACAGTACAGGATTCTGCACCGGTGCAAAATCGGAATGCATTCTTTGAGTACATTAAGATGCATTGAGTACATTAAATAATTTATATTTTTTAAAGAAATATCCATAGCCAAACCAAGAAGGAAAGTTTCTTTCTTTTTTGTGTGTGTGTGTATCTTTTTTAAAGTATGTGCAATTGAATCTATTAATTACCCTGAGAATTTTAGTTTATTCAGAAATCACGATAGTAATCATATGAATCAAAGGATGTTTTTCTGTCTTTGTAATGCAGTATTAGCTTCCATATTTCTTTGAGTGTATTTTAGAAAAATCATGTTTCTTTTGCAAAATGCCTGTTTTATTTATTTTTTAATTGTAAAATGATTACGTGTCTTATTTTAGATTGAATAGACAATTTTTTTTTTCTCTCAGTGTCTGCAGAATGCTTGGATTTTCTTCTACATCTCAAAGCTCTTTTAATTCACTGCTCACAACCAAATTTACATCTTAATTGCAGAGTTCACATTTAACAATATAGACAGCATAATGCTACTGGTAATTAAGCTTTTACTACCTGCTTTTATACAGTATTCTGAGGCACAGTTTTTGCTATGTGAGTTCTGATCTAGAAACTTTGTATGCATTTAGAACACAAATAAAAGGAATTAGGCCTATATCTTAGATATAGCTAAATACAAGGCAGTGAAATTGCTTTCTTCTGTGGGGGGACCAAATCATGTCTGTCATTTTTATATTCTGAATTTTAATGTGGCTGCTCTATTTTAGTGTTTTGGTTTTTTAAAGACCTAGAAAATTTGAGAGGGTTAAGGGAGTTGAGTCCTAATTTAGTGAATTTAACATACGATGAATATCTGAACTAATTTATTTTGATCTCAAAGATTATACTATTTCTATCATGTAGGACTTAAGATGTAAAAGGTTGATAAGCAGTAGAGCTGAATTATATCAAAATTGTGGGTTTTTCACTCTCCATAAGGTAGCAGTTATCTCTTTGCCATAAATAGCTGGTATCTATTCCAATGTACATTTGCTAGTATAAAAAAATCCTGTAGATTAAAATAGGACCTAAGCAAACTCTTTGTTATATGGAAATTAAAGACACGGTGTACACAATTGAAGGAGGAAAAAACACACTTGTCCTCTTATATCCTCCTTTTATTTTTATTTTTTTGAACACTTTTGATTGAGAATTCTTAGTTTTGTAAATTATTATCTGTTTGAAACTAGTTCTTATAGTGACCAGACTGTGTGATGGTTTATAAAATGTTTCTGGGTTGATTTTTTTAAAGCATATAGGGTGCCTTATGTATAGAAACAAATGTGTACACTGTGTTTTATTTGAAAGCAGGATGTTTTGGGTAAAATCATATATAAAATTATATGCCTCCTAGTTTGGAAGCTTGTATTGAAATATATACATATAATTAAGAATACTTTTAGTGCACTGTTTAGTAATGCTCTCCCTACAAAAAAAAAAAAAAATGCTGTCTTTATTTTGTCAAAATGCATCGAGAGAGATTTAATTCGCTATTTACCCCCACAGCCCTCAGACTCCCCACCCCTAAAACTGAAGAAGCCAATTTGTCCTGCGGCTGTTTACCGTTGTTTTGAAAAGCTATGCGTTGTATCTATATGTAAAGAGACAGTCGCAGGTATAGAAAGGTTTACACATATAATTTACTTAGGCATTCTTTCAAATTGTATTGTCACTATCTCCTCTTCTGTAGTTGTGTAAAACTGCATTCCACCTCAGAGATGACGATCCCAGTTCACATGCTCAAACAATTTAGAAGAATGCCTTTATTATTATTATTTTTAATGCCCAGCATACATCAGGAAAACAGGAAAAGACATGATTAGGAATACATGAGAAAGTACAGCACCAAATAAGCCGCGGCCCCCGGTGTAATAAAAACACAGACAACGGCAGGACAAACTTAATTCTCTACCTTCCGCAGAATCCTTTCCCAAATTAACTGAGAGTCTGCGTGAGTTCTCCTTTTCAAGGCAAAAGAGATCTTAGGTTAGAAATCAAAGGCAAATCCCTCCAGTGCTTAGAGAGTTAAGTTAGTTATGTTTCTTTTGTAGCTTCCCAGAAGAAAAAAAAAAGAAAGAGAGAGAAGGGAGGAAAAAAAATCAAACCCGAGAGTGTGTATTGGGAGCGTTTCAATCGCTCCCTTCTCCGCTCCCTTTTTCTCTGCCCACTCTCAGTTTCCAGCCCCCTTCGGCTCTCTGCACCCTGCCTACCTGCCTGGCTCCTCTCGCTCCGTGCAGCCTCCCGTCGCCTCCCTCCTGATTGGGCAGAGGCCCCCCAATCGGCTGCGCGGCTGGGCCGGTGGGACTGCATATGTAAAGCCCTACTTCATATTAATAAGCTCCAATCGGGGCTTTAAGTCCTTGATTAGGAGAGTGTGAGAGCTTTGGTCCCAACTGGCTGTGCCTATAGGCTTGTCACTAGGAGAACATTTGTGTTAATTGCACTGTGCTCTGTCAAGGAAACTTTGATTTATAGCTGGGGTGCACAAATAATGGTTGCCGGTCGCACATGGATTCGGTAGAACTTTGCCTTCCTGAATCTTTTTCCCTGCACTACGAGGAAGAGTAGGTACCTTTTTTCTTTCCTTTTTAAACTCGTCGTGGGGGTGCGGGGGTGGGGGCGGACAGACTATATCTTTACACACTGATTCAGGTAATGCCCTGGGTATTTTGTGTGCACGACTGCTTGTTTGTGTCTGTCTTGTGTCTTTTGTGTTGAGGGTGATCTCCTAATTCAGTAAGTCGAGAATTGTTCTCTGACTACAATGTTACCTTTGAGGCAAAGCTCAGTGACTGTCAGTAAAACAGCTGTGTGACAGTCACTTCTTATTCAGGTGCTAAGAATAGGCACTTGGCACAAATGCTTAGTGAACTGTTAAAATGCATCTTTTACTAGGACCCATTTTCCCAAGGAAAGATGTTTTAAAATACAATATTCAAAATGATTTATACTATTGAGGGCCTCTTATGTATTTGCAGTTTGACAGATATTTTCAGCTCCTTGTCATTTCTTACCGCGCAGAGTTAGAGGCAAAATTGCACATTTACTAATTCTCCTTCAGAGAACAATTTAAAAGCTAGCCCTATGCAATTCTGAGCTAGAATAATGTTATTTGCATGGTTAGCGTTAAGTCAGCACTTAACTGACAAATCAGTCCATTAAGTAACATGAGATTTTCACACATTATAAATATTTAAGGGGGGAAAAAAAACTAAAGAAGAAACAGTAGTGACTTTAAAATTTTCCCCTTAAATACTGCTCAGAGTGTGGATTTGTCTCGTTTGTTGTGTCCAGAAAATATAGAAAAGTACTTTCGTTCTTACAAGCAGTTTAATTAGTATTTATGGATATCTTTATGCACATGGAAATATATATTTAGATTACTAAAGGGGGGGGAGTGAGTAGGGGGTACGAGAAGTAAGTTAGGCATTTTTGTGTAAATGAGTAGGTGATAAACTTAATTTCAACCTACTGTTAAGATAAAATGTTAGTATATCACGAGAGCTGTCACTGGTTTATCTCCCTTTCTGTTGAGTCAGTTATATTGCTTTGCTTTCACATTACAGTAATACCAACTGTTATAATTCTGAAAAGAGTGCCCTTGGCAAACATTTCTCTCTATAGATTGTGAAGAAAATATCAAACTCTAGAAGATGAGGTAGTGCATTATAGGTAGATGTCCACTAGCTGTCCTTAGTGACTGCATATTGCATTGCTTTGTAATTAAGTAAGAGATGAAAAGTGACTTGCAGTCTCAGTGGCTGCTCCTGTATGTTTGAGCGTGAGTGTGAGTGTGTGTGTGTATGCACGCTCACACATGCACATCCACCCACATCCATGCTCACACAGGGAATATTAGCCAAGAGATGGATTTAGGAGGAACTGAAAGATTATAAGGCTGTGCTTGCATCAGTTTGAAACACTCAAGGGAAGAAACAACCTTAAGATGTGTAAAAATAAAAATGAAAAATAAACAAAGGTAAGACTGCCCGCTCAAGTGTAGTTTGAAGGTTAGTGTACTTCGGGCTGTAGAATTGGAGAGTTTAAGACGTCTTCGTGTCAGGAAGAATGTCTTATCCAAGCACGCCCAGATTCTGAACTTTCTCTTGTAAATAAATAAAGAAAACAAACTTTAAAAATCCCCCAGAGGCTTCTTTTTGAAGTAGTTTCCTTGAATTTAACTTCTTATAGCTAATTTGAATAATTCGTTTAGATAAGCCTCTTAAAGCAGATGCATTTAAATGAAGTCAAGGCACATGTCCTTTTGGCTTTGGCGCAAGATTCAAACTAGCTTTCTTTTGGGCTCAATTAAAAGTCATCTTTAAAAAATACAGATTTATTGTCTGGATGCAGTTCTGATGGTTACGTGGTTCACTGGACAGACAGAAAGATCTAACGCTAAGCAACGCATCTGCCTCTCTGTCTCAATTAATAAACCACAGAATTTATACATGCTATTAATATTCATAGTAATTGTACCGGGTTAAACCCCATCACGTGTGTGTATACACAGAAATGAAACCAGAGTTATACAGTTTTAGGGGCAAATATTGGACAGTTTCTGCTTTGGAGGCTGTTAAAAAGATTCATACCATTTATTGACCACCATTAAGAGAGCTTAAAATGTTAACCTCTAACTATGTATTTTTTTATTTTAGGAAATGTGCCAGCACATTAAAGAACATAATACTTGAAAGCTTGTTTCACATTTAATAGCAGTAATAGCTGATAGCATAAATAGATGAAAATAATATATCTGCTCATTTTGACATATGTGTCAGTCTAATCATTCTAAATGAGTGTGCTCATCACATGAATCCCTTTCAACCTCTGATTAAAATGTAACATTGACTACAGGATTATAGAGCGGACTTAATTTTACTGACTGTTTTAACAGTTGTCACAGCTGTTGGAAGAAGGAAAGGCAACTGAAACACTCCAAAACAGACAAGGCGAGGAGGGAACAGTTTAGTAAATTTCAGCCTGATCACTGAAGTCCAGACATTGAAAATTTAAGTTTCGTGTTTTAAGATTCGTGTTTGGAGCTACACAAGTTTTATTTTGTATGTTTCACTCTTTCTGTTTCAGGGTTTTCATGTTTTTTCTTTTTCTCATCTCTTCTTTTTAAAATCTATACTAATTAAAAAACAAGACAATCCCAAAGTAATTCCATAATGTCAAATTATAGGTGATAAAATAGGCAGAAAGAAAAAATTTATACAGTAACAGTAACAACAACAAAAAAGCCGAGATCAGAGGGGATGCCTTTTTTTTAGGGAATGATAAGAGCTTGGCCAAGTCACTTTAGATGTGATATTATTTGAGAACTCTGAACAGACACTTTAAGTTTATTTTTTCAAGTAAGAATACTTAAACTCTAGACTTGGAGCTCACATGACTTTTCTTCATGTTTTGTTTTTTATTTTTTTTCCCTACAATCTTGAAAACACCTGCAGCCTTAAAGGTATGTGGTGTTGGTGGAGTTTTCAGATGATTTCTCTGTAAACTGCTTGAAGTGACAATCAGCTGCAATTAGTTGTGAGCATTCTTGAGCTGTAGTTTTGTAACCTTGCCCATTACATTACTAAAGTGAGCGGATTAATTCTATTTTCCTAAAAATTAAGTAATCATTGTACATGTTCCAAACTATATATAGTTGAAATGGCCAGATGACTAGTATTATGTAACATATGATTTTCTCCTTGAAGTAAACAACAAAAAAACAACTGTTCCTGAGTTAATGAAATATATATTGAATGGGAGTGGTGGATAAATGATGGGTACCCCATGTTCCACTAGCCCTTTGTGTCAGGGTATTTATGTATTACCCTATACACATTTGGTGGTAAGTTTAAAAATCCCTTTTTTATAGAAAGGACTAAGAAACAGCTTTCATTTCCTGGGCAGAGCTAAGGGTGATGGTGTTGGCTATTTCTTCTTACAGTGATGGTTTCTCATCTTAATGTGTTTATGGCACTGCTGCTTTATTTACTGAGCCTAGTGTGTTGCAGCGGTAATTAACCCATGTTATTAGCAAAGCCCTTGTGGATATCCATTAATTCTCTTGCATGGATGATCATTTTTCTAGTGTTTTCCCCAAATAAGGTATCATTGTTCTGTTTTTTTCCCTAAATTGACGGCATTTGATATATTTCTTTGATTTAATCTGACCTGTAATATATATTGGTCATTTTATAAAGAATAATAATTAACTCAGCTTTTAAAAATGCTAATAGAAGCAGGAGGAAAGATTTTTTTGTTGTTGTTCTTTTTAAAGTGAAAAAAGAAAAGAAAAGAAGGTTTAAAAATAATGCAGGAAATCAGCTTTAACTCTAAATTTTTCAGATCTTACAATTTATAACAATTTATATCTTTGAGGTATTTTAATCAGTTTTTTTCTTACTTAGTTAATAACACTTCAGGCATTTTTGTAAAATATTGAGCCAGCAGAAAAATACTTGTGCTTCCTGGCTGAGAAAAGATAAGGACCATCTCATTAGCCGGGCCATACTTTTGCAATTAATTTTAGATACCTGGTGCTATTCATCAAAGAAGGAAGCTAACTTCTCTATGATTCTATTTAACAATACTTTTGCAATACCTCACTCCTGCAAGAATTACAGACAAAGAAGAAGCCATTCTTTTGGAAGGTAGGCATAATGCCCAATCTCAAGTCCGTATCACTTACGAAAAATTCCTCAACATTTGTTTTAGCTCAATGACTAAAGAAAATATTTCTCTGTCTTACTTGTAAAGTGATGTTAAGCACTGAAGGTTTTGCTTTGTATTATTTTATAAAATAAATTATATGCTGATGAGAGATACTTTTTCATACAAATGGCAATTAATAGCAATGATTTCTATTAAACCAATTAATATCAAATAAACTTTTTAGCATCACTTATCCAGCTTTTAGAAATAAGAGGAGAGGATCTGAGGGATCTCAGTAGAACTTTAGAGTCATTGCAGCAGATAAGCTTTGCTCTGAATTTTGCTTCATAGCAAATTCATGGAAGAGAGAAACAATACAATGTTGATCTATTATAAGTGCGTATGAGCTCCGGCCCTAGCCAGCTCTCTGGAGAAAATCTTTGATTACACTGGCCCAGTTTGTTCCATTTTTATCTCTTTTACATCCACTGGCATTGTATTAAATTGTCATGTCCTAAAGCACAACAGATAGAATGAATTGCAGTTCTCTACATTCTCTGACAGTGAGATATTTAGCCTCTCTTTCTCCAATCATACTTATGTGTATATTTGATAGTGCAAGGATGACACCAAGCATCTCTGCTGCTTGACAATCTTTCCATTGCATTTTGTATGTTTTTGTCATTGATTTTTTTGATAGCCATGTATATGTGGATATACATGAACTATACTATTATTAATAAATAAATACACACATGGTACTTTAAAACTCAAAGCAGTCGATAGGATACCCAGGAGTATATTTGTGTGCATGTATAGTATGCATGTGAAATATGCATGTATGTGGGAAGAGGTAATGTATACGTAGATTATAGGTATGCTGCTAAAAGTATTCATGTACATTTATATAATAAAGTAGATCTCAAGTATTATTCTAATCAGTTAGTTGCCAGTTAAATTTGCCAGGCATGATTTTAACCTGGAATTGGTATTTCAGGTATTTACAGATCTGATTTTAATCTGAGTTTACTTAACTACTGTGTGTTAGACAGGTAACAGGTAACCTAGTAAGTCAATTTGTTTCTGATTTTAGAATTTTCACATTATTGTTATTCATGTATTCAGTATCTGGAAATCATAAATAATTTGTAAAATAGGAAAGAAACTACTGATATTAAATGTATAATTTAATGGTTTGGGCCCATATCCAAGAAACAATTTTGAATTAGCTCTTGGCTACATTCTTTTCTTACACAATTGGGCCTGACAAATACATCTTAATGTAAAGCATGATAGCTTTCAAACAAATGCAAAATATGAATTTCCTTTATCTGTACTACATAAACATATCATTTGCTCTTTTTCTAAAAGCAAATATATAAAACTATAAGTATTATATTTCTATAAAGTACATTATAGATTTCAGAATTATTTAATTTTATTCTAAGAGGTAAGTTTAGAAGTCTGTGAATTTACTTAGTAAATGACTGTTGAGAGAAAGCACTTATGCAATTGCTTTTTCTATTCTAATTCTTGTTCTAATTCATGTTCTTTTTAAAATTCCTAGATTCATTGCCTACCTTTATTTATTTGCATAACATTTTAACAAATTTACTGCTATTGTGTTTTTAAAAAAATTCTGCTAACCGCTTCTTTATGCCAATCTATCAGATCAAAGTTAGCTCCTTTATTATCTGAGGGTGGGAAATGACAGCCTTTTGAAGGATTTACCTGGCCTTTTATTCTTGTTTCAAGTTCATTTTTAGTCTTGTACTTTGTAAGGTCTAGGAAACCTAAGCTAATAAAATAATTTCCATTCAGAGTTTTAGCACACACATCTCTCCACTCTACTTTTTCTTTCCAGAAGTGACACATGTTTCTTGTCCTATGATTTGGACAATATTTCTCAGTATTTTCCAAATGTGTTTTCTAATCAATTATCCAGGATTTTCCAAAAGTATCTTCCACTCAATTATCCAAAACTATTGAATTGAGAGAGTTTAGATTTATTGAGTGTTGTATATATGTGTGTATATACACAAATTTCCCCTTATAATGTTTAAAAATAATTTTAAATGTTTGAGGGAAACTTGCTTTTGATGTTTTGATTTCTTCAAATGATATGTCATTTTAATTTATGACAATGCATGTATACTTGGAAGGTAACTTACTGAGGCAAAACAATGAAAGAAAAGGTACAGTTTTAAAGAAATTGGCTTCCTTCTGGTCAGTTAAAGTCCATTTCAGTATACTGGCAAAGATCTATATGTGCATTTGAATGTAGCTATAAACCACGCAACACTAACAATTAGAAATACAACCTATGGCTATATGGAATTCTTTCAAACAATATAGAAAAGGAAAACACTTGGTTTTGGCATTTAAAAAATTTTAAATACCTATTAAATTGCCAAAACTTACAGGGAGCCTACTTCAGATTAGATTAAATTCTAAAAGAAGAACTGAAAAGTACATTTATATTTTAATTATAAAAAACAGTCTTTGTCATATATATTCCTCTGTGACTTCTCATTTTTCTTTGAGTGAAACAAAATTTCATATATACTTTTCATCATTTTGGTTGGAAGTACACATTATGTGTAATATGCTTTGGCAGGACTTACCTAGCCAAAGAAAACAAATTAATATTGGGCATACTGAGGGCTGTCAGGCATATCACAGACATGTCAATTTAACTTTGCTTCATTATACACCTTTTCTGCAAACAGTTGGCTAAGATGGTACTAAATAAAAGGGAAGCTACCAATAAATTCTCATATCAGATTGATGGCTAGTATAAATGTAATGAAAAAACAGCTTGCTTGCTTACTTATCTTTAAAAATGAACTGTAGGAATACAGATAGCATAGATAGCAATAAGTTTCCAAGAAAAAAATAAATTAGGTTCATTCAAATTTTTCTACTACCTTGAAAGTAAAATAGGTTTAGAAAGACAAAAGTCTCTGAAGTGGTGAACCTCAGTGGCTCTTATTTATGAAGTAAATAAAAACTTGAAGAAGTGGAGAATCCAAAGGAACACGGACAATCCACCTTTATCAGGGGACACCTCTTTTTGTTGCACTTTGCATATGTTTTCTGGAAAACAAAAAAATCTTACGCTTTCTTTTTGTATGGCATATTCAATATGCAAAAACAAAAGAAAATTAAAATATAAATTAAGAACTTATGTACAGAAAATAGGCAGAAGCACACTAAATTCTTTTTTTCCATGATCACAACAATACCTTTGTAAATGATAATTCCTTTTTCATCTACTCTAGAAAGATTTTACTCATTTTTCATGGCTTTTGAGAATTTGAACAAAGGATTCATTAAAGAAATATGTATTTTTTTCATACTCACAATGTGAGTTAAAATATCTTAAAAGGATACTTTTCAAGGCAGTTATTATGTAACAATATTTATAAGAACTTATGTTGCTTTGAAAATAATAGTAAATGCATATTAGTCATATATCCAGAACTGCATCCAAAATTAACCAAAATAACAGGTCATATAAAAAATTATAGACTGAGGTACTCATTAAAGAGAAAAAAAATAAACTGTGAGGTTGTTCAATTGATTGCCCTTTGCCCTCCATAATTCCAAATTATCCTAGTACATTAACTTCTCCAAAAATGTAAGATGGGCATGTTAAATTGTATTCATTTTCACATAAATAAAAGAATATTCTGATAATTTTTAATTTCTTTTCAGCCATTAATCCATTAAAACAGATCAGATATTTTGAGGAGGAATATCATACCCGTAACCAACTGTTCATGACCAAAGAAAGGGAAAGATGTATATGGTTGGTGAGAACCATGTCTTTTTCCTATGAGAAAGTGACTGTATACAGTTGGTGCTGGGTCCTATGAAATGACGGAAACATCCCTTTTATCCATAGACTTGAATGAGACCTGCCTCATCAGTCATGGGATCATAGTGTCACAGATGGAAAAGCAACTATCAGCTGAATTGTACTGAACTACACACTTGGCTAATTCATCTTATTGCTCTACACATCTAAAGGAAGGCTCATTCTGTTCTTGGAGTCTAGACAGCATCAGGAGTTGGGCTCAGGTGGGAGCATGTGGCCGCCTTTTTCTGTTCTCTCGTAGTCATTCAGCAAAGGGAGGTGAGGAACAAATGGACAATTTATGCACAGAAGCTCAGGCAGAGATTCTTTCCTAGGGTCAGGAATTTGTTGTTACTCAGTCATTCAAGTAGATTTCCGATTTCTCTTATGCTCTAGAAATGTCATTGTTATCTTTCATGCTCCAAAGTACTACCCGTAAATGATTAGGTGTGTCTTTCAATTCGTATGAGCCATGACCTAGTTTAAGCATTTTTTAATAGATAGAAATGGAGAACAGATCATCTATTTACATTAATGTGAATGATGATTCTTTTTTCATGTCTTTATATTGAACTATTCAGTTGGTTAAGTCTGAAGAATAAGACAAATAATAAGAGGTTAAAAACTCAAATTGTATTTTTTTATTTCTTTATTTTCTTATAGTGAACAAAACTTTAATGTCTAGAGCATTTATGAGGGTTTTAATGATTGGAAAATCTATCCTGAGAATGTGGTCACCATATGTGACAGCCTTGCTTTCTATCTTGTCTTCAGTTTCTGGGGTAAGTTCGGTGATATTGTCTATTGTCTTCCTTTGCTTACATTATAGAACTTCTCTGCTGCCACATTGAGATAACCTGAAGTGTGGGGGGAATGCCTGCTAAGTTCTAAAACACTTTCCTAAACACCTTCCCTTCCTCTATCCCGGCAGTATTTTCCTTTACAATTTCTGTTTCTATTCATCTGTTTTATTAAAGGGTCATTTACTTTGGTAAAAGGTAAGTGCATGATATTCACCCATATTTGCATACAGAGTACACCTGATTTTCCCTCTGAATTCCAAAGAGATTGCCTTCAACTTTTTATATTTGTTTTTCTTTTTGTTTCTGTTTGTAGTGCATTCTAGTTGAGTGCTTTTATAGTGTTTTCTTGATTGTTGTCAGTTTGGGATACTGGAGGCTGACATTTTTGCTAAGTTAATGTTACAGCAGAAAAACCTATGGTAAACTGGAATCTGGCTATAGTGCATAGAAGATACAACTTATGTTTGATTGTGTGTAAATACAGTTAGTTAGTTGGGGGTTTATCAGATAGCTTGGCAGAAAGAGAGAGGAGCAGTACAAACTGTTTTCAGTTAACTGTGCTGTTCATACACCTGATAAGACTGAGAGAGCTTTTCGAAATGCTGATAGGCTTTGAATAAGAAAAGAATAATCACTTCTACTGGCACCAGCTTATCAGGAATGAAGTAAAATGCCAACACTGTTACATTAGCAAAAGTAAATGTTTTAGACACTCTGTGCCTTTTTTCATTCAAGTTAAATAGGAGGGGTGCTTTTGAGTGTGCTGTTATGAATAGAGGGATTTATTACCTTGATGAAATTACAGGTGAATATGTTGATAAAAGAAACTTCAGCATCAACAGCAGCTTCTTTGATAAGCAGGTGCGTCTCTGCTGTACATTCTCTGGAGAAATTAAGTACTCCTTTCTCCACTCCAATTCTATTAAACATCATTTCTGATGTTAGAAGATGCAGTTATGCCCTATGTCAATCCAGTCTCCCTCTTTTTTCAGCAGATGGGTTACAGGTATTTGAAACTT
Organism: Homo sapiens; assembly: GCF_000001405.40. Lineage (NCBI taxonomy): Eukaryota > Metazoa > Chordata > Mammalia > Primates > Hominidae > Homo > Homo sapiens. Next base: position 216,713,475 of record NC_000001.11, on the reverse strand, counting down.
AGCTGATCAGACTTGTAAAATGCTAGTGTGCTCTGGTTAAATAAGTTAGGGCATCTGTGAGTTGTGCTGAACGAGCAAACTCCTACAGGAGAAATCTTTTTTTTTTTTTTTTCAAGAAAGGAATGAGATTAATTATAAAGTTAGGATTCTTTAATGAGAAGATAAATGTATTTGTCCAAGTAATAGTCCATCTTAAAGCACCTCCCTTTGAAAAAAGAGATATTGGTTTTTTTCTTCAATACAAACCATTAACTCTCCCAGTTCTGCCATTTTCTCTTCTTTGTAATTTGACGCCTACAAATAATTTGGCGTATTCAGATTTGATAAGTGATAGTGCAAGAGCAAATTGATTGATTTTGGATTACTATTGATTACTCTCAATGAGATCACTGTGACACACTCAAATCAATAGTATTCGATTAAGCAAGGCACCACCGTTCTATACATTCAGCAGCAGTGGGGAATTCAGGAACAGAATGTTCACAAGCTGATAAATTGACAAAGCGTTCAGCTTTAAATAGCCCTTTGTTCAGTACTAGTTCCTTAAAATATATTTCATTGGAAAGTTCGTTTTTGCAACTTGGGACCTTTCTGTGGAAGAAAGGTCATCAGTTTAAGGTTTATTAAATTTTCACTAAAAACAACTGGGCTCCATTTAGGTGTAAAATAATTTAAGTACTTACTGCAGGCAACCTTCATGCTTTTAAGCTGTTGCTCAAAGGTTTCATTCTTTTATGAAGATGTCAATTGTAAACATAAAAATGCATCACTGGAAATGTAATGGTTTAAGATTCAACGGAAATAAAAATTCCTGCCCGAGGAAAGCACTATAATCAAAATAAGGTGGTCTTCACTTTCTTCAGAAGTGGGCAAGCTTAGCAGCAGTGCTGGGAGGCAGCAGCAGGTAGCGCACCTTGATAAAGCGCACAGCTGCTTATATTTTTCTCCTTCTCATCTGAGGGTATTCATCACGTCGCCAATACTACATGCAAAACACTAAATATCATTTCATCTGAAAACCGCCACTACTGCTGATACACTGAAATCTTTTTGTCCTGAGTAAACTTAGAAAGTCGCTGGAAAAAAAATTATCCATGTCTCAAATCCTTTAGCCAAGGACCTCAAGGATAAGATTTTCTATCATATTCCATTATTGTGCAGTCTTGGCACTTGGAATGAAGCATTTGCTCTTCCGTTATATAGCATTGCTAAGTGGCTTCACCAAAGGGGGACCATATAGTAAACACTCCATTGAATACGTAAATGTTCTTACATGCAAAAAACTTCATTTCACATGAAATGTTTACCACTAGGGCCTATGTACCCAAGACTTTAATAGGTTCCAGTCTTAAAATAAACTTAGATAAGTTCTCTCATTTTGATATTAATTAAAAAATTGATGTGGCTTTCTGAGGGAAAAAGGAATAGGAAGGTCAAATTTGAAATCATAAAATTCCTTGATGAAACATCAGACTTTTTTGAATGAAAGCAAGGTAATAGAATTCTAATTATATTAGAAAGAATCATGTGAAGTTGCCATTTTTGTAGGTCAAACAATGGTCAAGTATCAGTAATTTCATATGATTCAACACAATAATTGAATTTATTTCTCTACCATTCATATTCCATAATCAAATTGAAAGCAACAACTTTTTTAAAATTATTTTTCTGATGGGCTGTCACAGATGATGGGAGACACATGAATTCTATCTACAATTATACCAAGTATATTATAATATCATTTTTAGCAACTTTTTTTCTCTAACATCATTACAGAGCTGCCAAGTATAAAGTATTGTACACACTGAAAAAGTTTACATTTATCTGATATGTCTTCTGCGGTTGCTTAGCTTCTTTTGAGAATCCATGTAAAATTTGCATCTGCTGAGGAAGACCATGTCACAAATGCCAGAGAAACCTCCTATTAGAACACAGTAGTGACCTAGGAAGAGCACATTGCTAAGGGTAAAGGGTTTCAAAACAAATTGGGGAAAAGATACCAACACCTCAAATATTTCATCCTCACATTCATTCGTTAAGAGAACCTTAATATGCTAGTTAGTGCTTTTTGTATTTCCCCCAGAGAAGTATTAAAACTGTGCTCCATGAAATCTGTGCACCGCTGTGGTGTGGGCAGCTGCAGAACTCCCCGAGTTGGCAGTGGAGCCGAGGATGCTTTATTGGCTATTGCAGTCAGGAAAGGTGCCCCAGGAGTTGTAATAAAATGATCCCAGAGCCACCATTTGACCCCCAGATGTGCAGCTCCTATTGGAGCTGTCCTGCAGTGGCCAATAGGAGCTTTCCTTGCCCACCTGCGGCAGAACCTGGCTCCCAGATAGGAAGGAAATTGGCTCGGTCGATAGGTAGGAGGGAGGGGCTCTGATGCCACCACTAGAAATGTCAGCACAAAGTGCTTCTTAACTTAGGGTCACGTCAGGACTCAGTACGTTTTTCTCATTCTGGGTAAATGCACGACAGCTTACATCTTGTTTCAACGAGAAGGGTGGGCATCGTTTACTGAAACTTGATTGAGCGAATGCCTCTGCCTGGTCCCACTGTCAGTCTTGGAGTTTTCCCTTAGTAGTGCATTTCCCCCCTGTCTGTGGCACTGAATTTGATTTATCGCTGGTACTAAGATCAAAAAAGAAATCATTCCTTTTGATGTTTGCTATTAGGCGCATGCAGTGCAGCGGGGTGGGGGCGGTGGGAAGAGAGCAGTCTTAGTACACAAGTCACTGTCCTGGCCACACCATGGACACCAATGGCAGAATATATTTATTCTCTGTTCACTTTGGATGCAAAATTCCATGAGTAGAAAGGTTAGCCATGGAGTATTTCAAATGAATAATTATGTTTAAGTACAGATTCTTTTGCTAAGGACTCAAAGTAGTGACTCACATGTACACCTGATTACAACAGCATTTTTAAAAACTATTTGCATCAATTTTACCAAAAGACATAAAAAGCTCAGGAATGTAAATAACCCAATGGTGGTCAGACTTTTCAAAAAAAGCAATTGGTTGCCTTTTTTTGTTTAGTGGCAGGCAAACTTGGGACATTGGAGCCTTATCTGCAAATGACAGGAAAGATTTTGTGGGGTTGTTTCTCTTGTCTTCTGGACCCTGGGCAGGCTTTGTTTCCAGCTCTGTACAGTAGCTTTTGTCCAGCTTCTTCGTTAGTTTTAGTGGGATTTCTCTGAGCAGCGTGAGCCCCAGCCCATCAGCAGGCTGCTAGTCAGCAGCAGGTGTGAACAACATAAAACAGGATTAACACTGAACCGAAGTGTGTACTAAAAACAGAACCCCTGCCTTGTTTTTTAAAAAGACGGCAGGACTGGAAGATAGAAGCCACTCTGGACTTGTACCCGCCTTGTTTACTAAACAGTGTTCAATGGGCTATGTAAATGGCTCTGTTTAGGTGCAGAGAAGGCATGCGAGGGAGCATGCACTCATTTTCTCTTTTTTTAAAACTATAAACTCAAAACACATGCAGAAAATTCTTCTAAGACTCTCAGAAGAGAAAAGCAAAATAAAACAAAAATTAGGTAAATCCTGAACCAGGATTACAGGTTAATATTGCAAAGACACTGTCCTTATTTACAAATTTGGTGTGTTGTATTTTCCAGCTCTAAAAAAAATTATTGTTTCGTTTATTCTAAGATTTTTTTGTGTGTTTAATTATGTGACTTAATTTATATTTTCACCAAGGTCGGCAAACCACAAATAAGTACAATCAGTAATTTCATTAGAGAGTATACATACTCCCTCCAATTTTTTTTTTTAAATCAGCACTACCTACATAGGAAAAAAAAGCTGGCAAAAAAATCATAGTTAATAAAGGGGTCTGTATGAATTCAGAAAATGGATCATTGCATTGAATCATGGCATTTGAGTCACTTTGTGAATATTTTGTTTGGCAAAAAGAAGGGGGGCATTTAAAAGTATGTTTCTCTTTTTAAATTAAACTAATTCTAGTATATATTAGATTAAAGGTTGGATATATGTTTTCTTTATTAGGTTCAGAATAACATGTATTTTGAAACTTCAGACTTGGCCATATCCAGGAAAAGGTCTGAAATAAGAAAATAACAATTTAATTAATTAGAGAAATTGAATATATATATATATATATACACACACACACACATACACATATATATCTGTACACACATGTACATACACATAACTCTTCTTTGAACACATGCAAATGTAAGCTTTTTGCATGTATATGTATTGTCATTACACTGATTTCTTTTTTTTAAATTATACTTTAAGTTCTGGGATACATGTGCAGAACTTGCAGTTTTGTTACATAGGTATACATGAGCCATGGTGGTTTGCTGCACCTATCAACCCGTCATCTACATTAGACATTTCTCCTAATGCTATCCCTCCCTTAGCCCCCCACTCTCCTGCAGGCCCCAGTGTGTGTTGTTCCCCTCCCTGTGTCCATGTGTTCTTATTGTTTGACTCCCACTTGTGAGTGAGAACATGCAGTGTTTGGTTTTCTGTTCCTGTGTTAGTTTGCTGAGAATGATGGTTTCCAGCTTCATCCACGTTCCTGCAAAGGATGTGAACTCATCCTTTTTTTATGGCTTCACAGTATTCCGTGGTGTATATGTGCCACATTTTCTTTATCCAGTCTATCATTGAAGGGCATTTGGGTTGGTTCCAAGTCTTTGCTATTGTGAACAGGGCTGCAATAAACATACGTGTGCATGTGTCTTTATAATAGAATGATTTATAATCCTTTGAGTATATACCCAGTAATGGGATTGCTGGGTCAAATGGTATTTCTAGTTCTACATCCTCGAGGAATCACCACATTGTCTTCCACAGTGGTTGAACTAATTTACACTCTCATCAACAGTGTAAAAGCGTTCCTATTTCTCCACATCCTCTCCAGCATCTGCTGTTTCCTGACTTTTTAATGCTCACCATTGTAGCTGGCGTGAGATGGTATCTCGTTTTGGTTTTGGTTTGCATTTCTCCAATGACCACTGTCATTACACTGATTTCTAACACTCCAAAAATGTGTCCAAATGTAGACATTTATATAAGGTGGATCTATTTGTGAATATAATGTAAACTTAACTAAAAGAATACTATTGAAATGTAAAAAATTAAAATTTTGTTTATAATTCTCTTTCAGTAGCATCTTGGTAATATATATTACTTTTATTATCTTTTATATTCCAGGCTTAAATTGTAATTACATACTAGTTTCTTCATTCTTTATTTATACTTATTCTTTTATTTTTTTAAATGGCTTTTTTTTCTGAGACTTTGCTACTAATTTTATTTTAGAAGTAATATTGCCTACCAGTTTAATTACGACTGTCTTAACACACGTTGAATATACCAAGAATATTCAAATCATTATGAACTACATAAATTCTAAAAATTGTTTCCATTCCACAGTTGCTATCTTAAAAAATTAATCTAACACCACTTGCCTTCCAGTGTATTTTTTCTTAAGAAATGTTTATTCTCTTCTGTTTAGTATTTTTAAGTATCCTCCATTATGTACAGTAATTAGGTTATGGGTACATAGCTTAATGATAGTTAATAAAATCAGAAAATATCAGTTTAAAATTGATTTTGAAGTGTATTCCATATAACCAACTCTCTGGTGTCAAATTAATTGCTTATAGTCTCACATTGCATCAAAAAATATTACATGTGTTCTTTTGCAGTTTTTAAAATCATTAAAGCTCTCAATTTAGTGCATTGAACTGCATTTTCTTGATCATTCAAAAGTATTTGGCTATGTGGAGACACTGTCTTAAGCACTAAGATCTTGAAATGAATGATAAAAATATGTGAATGCATGTAAAACATTTAAAAATGGGATTTTTCATACCTAAGTCTCCAATGTAAAAAGGAGTCAGTCTTCATAAAATAAATTCAGGACTTAAGTAGCTGTAGTTTTACATAAAACTTCAGCAAATTGCAACTTTCACCCTAACTTTCTGGTTTTGGCTTTTTAGAACTGATGTAAAGTTCCCATCATGAATGTAATTAGGAATTGTGCATTTAGATCCTGAATGTGGCGAGAATGTGATTGGGGTCTTGGAGCAGTCAAGTCTGATCTGGCCTGTGTTCCTTCAGCTAAAAGGTGGGCCCGATTATTTTTCTTTGTGAAGACTTGATCACCAAAGTTGCCATTAAATCTTAAAATGCTCAACGTTACTTGTATATGGTTTGATTTTTTTAGACTGATTAATGAAAAGAAAAAAAAATGCTTTTAAAGATCATGTAAGACAGTATATTTCCCAGGTAGCAGAGAAGGTAAGAAGGATTTGTTTGAACTCTAGAAGGTTTATGTTGTTTGACTTTGAGGGAAAGGTTTGAATTAGTAAACTCATTCCAATCAAAGTAAATGACTATTGAAAAGTAGTTTTTATAAGAAAACCTTGCCCTTAATCTTGAGATAATCTCACAGCTATTGTCTTTGTCCAGCATTCCTGCAACACTGCCTGGTAGTTCCCAAAAGCCTGGGATTTCAATTTGCCTGAGGACTCAAAGATTGAATTCAAAGCAGTTCTCTGTTTGCAGCATCTCTTCAGTGGATGCATTTTATTTAGGAGTTTTATTTATTTATTTTTGAAGATACAGATTGGTTTGCTCCAGGTCATTAAAATTATTGTCTTTCACATTTTTAGATGTTTTTAATTAGATGATTAGTGAAGTTAGGTAATAAGATTTATATTGGCATCAGTTAAGTTTATAGAAGGATTAAAATCATGGTATCAGGGCACCATTGCCAATCGGAATATGCCAGAAATATCTCGAGAGAGTTTTTGTCAAGTGTTTATGCTCAATTAAAATTTATACTACATGTTACTGAGTGCTTGTCTCAGGATAGCTTGGCATCATGATGTTGTAAGTTTCCAATTGCAAGTGATATGCAATGCAGTTTTTTTGTGTGTTATAGTATTACAGGATTGCAAACTTTGGAAGGGAAATGCCACACTTTTAGAAATGACACCAGAAATATCAGACAAAGAACTATTGCAACGTGGGCACAGCCAGCATTTTCTGCAACATCAAAAGGCTGTAAACATATGGTTTTTATCTTTTCCACTCCATATATGCAAAGGACCTTTATGTAAGCACTGCAGACATGAGCTGAGTCATCTCACCTATGTTTTTGCTTCGTTTGTGGGTTTTTTTGCAAAATATTTGTGAACATGCTTTATCCAGCCCCCCACCCCCGCCATAGTCTTTCTGAGTTTTCCCATATCACTCCCTTTGAATTCTCTTCACTTTTTAAAGCTGAGGTGGACTGTTTAAAATGGATGCATTCTTCGTCATGTATAGTGCCAGAATGCTTCGGAAACCTTCACCGTAGTCTTAAAAAAGACAAACTCACTAACAAAGCAACAACATGAAACATCAGGGGTTGCTGGGGGTGGGGGACGAGGAGGAAGAGGGCAGCTGGTAATTTATGATTTCTCTAGTATTGCATGTAAAGGATTTGCCAATGCCCCACTTCCACCCCACCCCCAAACTACACACCGCTCAGTGTTAGGATGATGATAATGTACCTGGAAGGAAAAGGCAGTCCATGCCCAGGCAGGCAGCATCAGACAGGGCGCCTTGCCATCTGCCCCACCTGCTGCATTCATGAGTCCATCTGGTGACTGCAATAGCTCATTGTAGGCCTCTTCTGAGGAACATTCGGGCTGAAAAGCAGGCAGTGTGAATTATTTAGGTAGCTAGTATAAATAAATAGAAGGAAAGAAGAAGAGTAACAGGGGAAGGATCTGAAAGAACCTGCTGCTCCCTTGGTCCTGGGTGCTTTGGAATGCTTTAATGCATGAAAGCATTCGATTTGCATATAGATTTAGATGTATAGATCATTGTGCAGATTACAAACCAATGAGTTTTATCTAGATTTAGATAATGCTCAGCCTGTTTTGCACTTCAAATATGGGCAATTCCAGGTAGGGAATCTTTGGGACTTTCAACGGAAGTGTAACTGAAGAAAAGTAATATTTTTGGGTATTGATTTAGCAAAATAAAACAACTGTGTGTCCTTTTGGAAACAGATTTTTTTATAGTGGGGATAACACATTTGACTTTTTAGTGAATAATTTACACAGATTGTGTCCTTTTTTTCCTTACTAGATATAAAAAAATAGAAAATAATTTCTATGTCAATTATATTCGTTTATGTGGCCATTCAGAATATTTTAGTTGGCTACCATGTACAAAGCATTGTTTTGGATTTTGCATATATATTAATATATACTAACTATTAAATGAAAGTCTTAAAACGTGTAAATCTCTATGTAACTGTGTGTTTTGTGCCTAGATAAACCACATGGACAGGTACCTACTTGATTAGCCCAAAAAAGAAATACTTAAAGCGATTGTAAACTAGAGTCAAACAAGTCATTTATACTGAAATAGACACTGTTGCAATCAGGAAAGTTTAAACATACTATTTTTAAAGACTTACTGGTATCTTTTGTATCTAACAAGATAAGTTTACAAAGCTGTAGTGTCATTGTGGACTAGGAAGAGCTAATTTATATAAAAATGATTATAAATTGTAAATCAAAGTTTAGAACTGTGAATGGAATTGGTAGCTTCCAGACTTGAATCAAATTTTCCTATTTTTCTTCCTCAGAATCATTCAGAACACAGTATCATTTTGGGCTGTGGGTAGGGGGTTTTATTTAAATTATGATTTAAAAAAAATCTACTCCTCCAATTTTTACATTATAGATTAACATAGACATATACGTGTGGATAATATTATATGTTATATCTAGTGATTATATCTTATTATATCTTATTTGTTAACTGAGTACCTATGATAAAGTCATGAAAAGAGAATTTTTTTTTAATATTTCCTCTGGCTCCATATGTACAGAAAGGCATGTGATGTTTTACACTTTAGAATTTACTAGATCTTTTTTTCTTCTCCTTCTTCCTCTTATTTTGGAGAGAGACAGAGTTTTGCTCTTGTCTCCCAGGCTGGAGTGCAATGGCATGATCTTGGCTCACTGCAACCTCTGCCTCCTGGGTTCAAACGATTCTCCTGCCTCAGTCTCCCAACTAGCTGGGATTACAGGTGCCCACCACCATGCCTAGCTAAATTTTTTTGTATTTTTAGTAGAGATAGGGTTTCACCATGTTGGCCAGGCTGGTCTTGAACGCCTGACCTCAGGTGATCCACCCGCCTCGGCCTTCCAAAGTGTTGGGATTACAAGCGTGAGCCACCGCGCCCAGCCGAATTTACTAGATGTTTAGGGTTAGTTAACAGTATCCCACTTGACTCAATTCAGTTCCAAAGTAAATTTAAAAGATCTGCTTTTTTTGAGCCAGTGAAGTGCTAGCCTTCATTTAAATAAGCAAGGTCTATATGGGGAACGGAACACACATGAAAATGAATCACATTGCTAACTCAAAAGGTAACCAGTAATCCTTTTTATATTTTTTCAATACTTTTTACTTCAAGAAAATTTATTTATACCCAGCCTTTTCCCAAAAAGTCTTTGAGGTGATTGATTCCTTTTTACCTGCATTTAAAACCATTTTCCAGCACCAAATAAAATGAGATATTTTCCTTACATCAAGCAACTCTGTAAAATTTAAGGGCCGTCAATAAAATTCAGGTGAGTTAGGCAAGACTGAAGTTTATCCCCCATTCACCCATTCTTTTTTGGCTCTACACTTCCTCCTTTGGCATCCCAGCTCTCTCTCTTCCCACCCCCACATTCAACAAAAATCCCACTCCTGCACACACACAAACACACAGAAACATACACACACAAACATACACACACACACACACACACACACATCTATCCAGCTTTGAAAACATGCCATTAAAAAAAGCCATTGTCTATTTTTTCCTTGCACTTAAAAAAAAAAGCAAAAAAAAAATTACATTTATACAGAATTAGTAACAAAGACCTTCACTTATTCTTAAATTACCTTTTCCTGAAAATCAGGCTACTTCTCACAGAGTCACTGGAACACTGTTTGCTACTCTAGACAGGCAAAGAAGGACAAAGTTGACAGAGACAAAACTTAATTAAAGGTAACCTTTATCAAGCTTTTCCAACATATGGCCCAGGACGGCTTTGAATGCGGCCCAACACAGATGAGTAAACTTTCTTAAAACATTATAAGATTTTTATGTGTGATTTTTTTTTAAAGATCATCAGTTATCATAGTGTTAGTGTATTTCATATGTGGCCCAAGACAATTCTTTTTCCTATGTGACCCAGGAAAGCCAAAAGCTTGGACACCCCTGCACATGTTAGTTGTTGGTTAACTGCAAGAACAGTAGTTGGCTCAGTATTTATTTGACAACTTCAGGGAACTTCTATAGATATCTTGAGACTCCTTAGATAAACAAAGTAATTAAATGTTTAAAAAATCTTTTAACTGCATCTATACAAGAATACTTAAGCTTTTTTCTCATTGCCTTGATTGGTTTGTATTCACCACAACTCACAGTGCTGATTTATTATTATTTTTTTAAAATTTAAGATATACTGGCAAGAATCCTCCTGAGCACTCTTTTCTTTCCTTTTTTATTCTGCTGTTAGGGTATTAGAATTTCTCTGATCGAATATGGACAGGACTAGAATACTAGAATAATTCACATGTACATGATTTCACCAACTCATGTGCTTGAGTCAACTTTGCCTGGAATATCTTTTTTTTTTTTTTTTTTTGAGGCAGAGTCTTGCTCTGTTTCCCAGGCTGGAGTGCAGTGGCGTGATCTCGGCTCACTGCAACCCCGCTTCCCTGGGTTCAAGCGATTCTGCTGCCTCAGCTTCTCGAGTAGCTGGGATTACAGGCATATGCCACCATGCCTGGCTAATTTTCTTTTTTTTTTTTTTGTATTTTTAGTAAAGATGGGGTTTTGCCATGTTGGCCAGGCTGGTCTCGAACTCCTGACCTCAAGTGATCCACCCATCTCGGCCTCCCAAAGTGCAGGGATTACAGGCATGAGCCACCACACCTGGCTTGCCTGTAATATCTAATAACTTACTTTATCCTAAGATCACATAAAACATGTATTTGTTTTGTTGGGGGAAGTCTAGAGTGGGTTTATTTTCATAAAATGGGAACTGAAACTTAGTAAATGAGCATGAATCAGCACAGCCTACTGGCTGTGAATGTCTCTTTTTGGCCTCTTATAGATTTCTTTCTTCACCCTCTCTCATAAGACTAGAGAATCTATAATCTGGATGTTAATTTTATTTTTATTTGATCAGCGTTTTCATCAAAGGTGTTATTTAAAGGAATAAATGTCACCTTTTAAAGAAAGCTATGGTCTAACTATATGTAAGAAATTTTAAAAGGGAGATATTATAATTTGTCAAGGAGATACCCAGAAGAAAATTAATTAGCGATAACTACTTGCTTTTAAGAATTCTGACTTTATAATTATCTAGCAAATTGGTAAGTCTAGTGATTTCATTAGAACCAAAACATAAATAAAACAAATGTGAATAAAAGCCTTTTTGTAATATATATTTCAAAAGTAAATCTCCTTTTAGTGGTTCTTCTTGAAATTTGCCATTGACAGTTTAGTCAAATCAGCCATATTTATGATAGTCTGGCTACTTTAAATACTGCTCTCTAATAGCAGTTATGGTGTTTTTAATTATATGGGATAAGTAGCAAATAGTAGCATCCATGTTGCTTCTTAATAGCCTCCCATAAAGAACTTCATTATCAAATTCATAGGGAAGAAGGGAGATGCAATAATAAATCATGGGCATTTTTATGGATTCATAAGTCAGGAGGTAAGGTGACCATTTGGGGTTTCCCCAAAGCAAGGCTAATAAATAGGGTGGTATTTACTTAAGCACTGAAGACAGTCAGCATGGCCTGGTGATCTTTTGTTTTGGGATGTCACAGCTGGTCCAGGCATAATGCCAGATTCCTTTGTTTTCTTAAAACATATAGATTAAAACCTAGTTGTATTTGCAGGAGAGAACCCCTGGCGAGAGAGGAGACAGGTCTGCTGATGAATGCAAACAGAAGGAGCAGCATCTGTGCATAGAGGAACGAAGCAGTTAAGAGAAATCTATCAGGTCCTTTCTGCTACCGTTTCCTGACAGGATCTCACAGAATGTCAGACTGTTAATCTCAGGGTCATACAGTAAGGATGATATTGGGTGCAGGTTTTAAAAATAATGCACTTTATTTTGGGAAGCAAGATAGTGTGGTGCAGACTATGAGTTTGAAAGCCAGAGAAATTTATGCTACTGCTTAAAGGATGTTAAGTCTAGCGATTTCATAAAATAGCATGCAAAAAATGCTTGGCAAAAGCAGGCACTCAATAAATATTTCATACCCCCCCCAAACTCCGCAAACTTGCTCTTAATAATGGGGTTGTTAATAGCACTAGAAGGAAAGTACAAAACTGAGATTTTACTTCTCAAAGCCAAATTAGCTTCTTACCTCAACCGACAAATTCTGAAGTCGAAATGAGTCATAATAAGGATTAGTCAGGGAAGCTTGAATTGAACCTATTTCTTTTGCATGTGTGACTCCTTATCAGCCTCACACTACTTATAATTGCTGGATTCACTTTCTGAAATTAGCAAAGGGGGAAAGCAAAGTAAAGACAGAAACCTAACCACTCACTGGTTTCTTCTCTGCCTAGAGTGTTAGGGTAAGAATACGACTATGAAAATATAATATTTTCTGATATTAAAGGAAATGTCAAAATAAAACTATAAGTCACCTACTAAGGGTACTAAAGGAGAAAGTGTAGACTCTAGCAGATTACACTGAGATTAAAGATATTTGAAGAGGTTCTCATCTTCAGTTTCTCCTATCTTTTGAAATGCATAGGAATACCATCTTTCATACTAATCCAGTAAACAGTACTATCTGGCTCTGATGTTAGGAGGCCTTTACGAACCTTGTTACCAGTAGTACGAGAGTCCAGCTTATATGTTTAAGAGTGAGCAAATGAGTGCGTAAGTGTGTGTGTTTGTGTATGTGTGTGTCTGAGAGGTGGTCCTTAATCTATTTCAGGTGAGTTTCTTGAAGGACAGGTTAAATCAACTGAATGAGCTGATTTTATCATCCTGTGGTGATGTTTTATTTATCTGATAAAATGCTTAGAAAGTACTTAATTTGTCACGGAAACATCTTGCTACTGTATATTTGCTGAATGTGTGATAATATTGCCATGATACAGGTGGGAAAATGAAGTTTTTTAAAAGTGAAAATAGCCAGAGTCTTCCTATATTTCCATCAGCTCATTTTTACTCAGACTTCCCTCTTTAAAAGCAACAACTTTGCAAGACTCCCCGCTTAATAGTTAAGCGAGGTATCTAAGCTAGTGAGGTTAAAAAAAAAAAGGTGCGGGGCTGCGGGGAGTATAATAGAAGCAGCGGAGATGAGGTAGTAGATGTTGGTGCTTCGTTCTCTCTCTCTGGACCAACGATGACTGATACATCCATTAAATTTCAGCCCAGGCTGATTGACTGAGTGGATTTATATAAATTAAAAAATGCAGGTCATATACCTTTTCTGATAGACTGTAAATGAGAAATAGGAATTCCTTTAAACCTCAAAGGAGGAAATCCATAGGCGAGGCTTTCTAGTCAATAAAGCTCTACAGCATCACTCTTCTTGCTGTGTTTGTACAATAAGTTTTAGTTAATAGACAAATATTATGCCAGCCTCTCCCTGACTTTTTCAGCAAGAGGTAATTTGTAAATTAACTCACATGGTGTTGAAGGTTTTCCAGCTTTTGTTGCAGTTTGAACTCCTGCATTTTAGACATGAAGGGGGCAGAAATCATCCCTCGTTCCATTTTTTTTTTCAGTGTAACAAGTGAAAATGGCATTAGTTAAGGAACAATGACTTATTCACACCCATTCTCTCAGCTCCATGTCCATTTGTCCATTGGAATGAGCCACTTATCATTCTTCCAGGTTTTTCCTCTTTCAACATCAAGAGTTATGAAAAGAAAATTCCATTTTTTTCTGGCCCTCCATGACAGGTAGACTGAAGATTGTGGTCATTTGGTTTAAAAACATATCCATCATTACCAGCCGGCAGGTTATTATGATGTCTCCTTTGAATATATGAATTTCATACACTGCATGTTGGAAGTCTAAGAATGCCAACTTTTTAGATAAATAGTTATCCCATTGGTGATGTACAGCACACTGTTGCCATATTTTCTCACTTTTACAGCATTCTTGCCCTTATCACCCATAATATAAATCTTTTGCTTTCATATTTAATAAAACTACTAGGTAACAACCCCCTGTACTCAGTACAATCAACCAATCACACACCATCATTTGGCTATCATTATTTGTTTTCTTGTGGCAGATATTTTAGTAGCTCTATAGTTTAAATGTGACAGCATATTTGATACAGCAATGCAGGTAAATAAGCAGATGACCTTATGTACGTGCTGGCGATGGCCTCAGCACGCAGCCCTCAGCCTCGTGAGGTTCCAGGGATAGAAAGATAGATGAATGAATAAAGTTCACAACATCAGTCAGCATTATAACCTGAACTGGCTAATCTGTCAGCCAAAATTTGGAGAGTGGAGAGAAATATGTACATGTGGGCGTAGGCTAGGATGAAAGTCGCCATTTTTCAAGAGATTGTTTTTCCTAAAGCTCAGTTACCTGAGGCACAGACGCTTTGGTTCCTTAGACACTGGAGAGAGGCATCTCTTCGATAGAGGTTTCTGAAGTGATGAAACCAAACTCCTTACTTCATTTCCATTTCTTTCTCTGACACCCCGTTAGTTTATTTCTTACTATCGAAACCATCATATTGTTTTTTTAATCTGAAAAGTTAATGCCTCTATACTCACCGTTGCTTACTGTTTGGTTTGTGATTTTCCCATAAAAAAAGAGGCTTAGTTATGAGCAGAGTTTGCATGGGGACCTATGTGCTCCAGGAGGAAACTTGCAAATTTTTTTTTTTTTTTTTTTTTTTGAGACTGAGTCTTGCTCAGTCGCCCAGGCTGGAGTGCAGTGGCGTGATCTCGGCTCACTGCAAGCTCCGCCTCCCGGGTTCACGCCGTTCTCCTGCTTCAGCTTCCCGAGTAGCTGGGACTACAGGCGCCCCCCACCACGCCCGGATAATTTTTTTTGTATTTTTAGTACAGACAGGGTTTCACCATGTTAGCCAGGATGGTCTCGATCTCCTGACTTCGTGATCCACCTGCCTCGGCCTCCCAAAGTGCTGGGATTACAGGCGTGAGCCACCGCGCCCCGCCAAAACTTGCAATCTTATACATCTAACTAGTTAGCTAATATGTAACATTGGCCAAGTGTTTCATGAGATGGATTGCACTAATTTTTCCTTTCCCGTTTTCCCTCAATAATTCCTACTGAGCATTGGATAAGAACAATAAATATCCCTGCCATGTCTAATTCCCTTCTGGAAACTGAACAGATGAACTGTCAACATCTTAGGGGCAAACGGAGGGGACAGGGGCTTAAGTCTCTAGGGTGTGGCCAGCAGCTACTGAGGCTGAGAAGTGTTCATACCGTGGATTGTTAAAGGAACTCCACAGAGAAGTTTCCATGGCTCTTGGTTGAGACTATGCCTTTATTCATAGTAGTCATTTTTATTTCCAGAAGTAGTGACAGATAGGTTTCACACTATCTTGATCTTGTCTTATTTTCCTTGTGTTTAGTGGCTAAGATGGTTGAATGTAGCTAAGCAGTTTTAGAAGTTGTCTCCACATTTTCCCCTGACCTGTGTTAAATTAATTGTTATCCACATGGAATCTGATGGAGGGCTCTAACCTCGTTAGTTTCTTGCATAACTTCCACACAACCTTAATTCTTAGCATGGCTATTTTGACCTTCCCTGAAATTCACCACATTTTCCTTTGGAAAAAGACCTCATTATCACAGCTAGCACCATGCCTTGTGCTTCAAAGATACTCATAGAAGATCTGTGTGTTGACTGAATTAAAACTGCTATAAACACCTAGCATAACCTCTTAATCTCAGGTACTGAGAATTAAGGAAATCATTTGGTATAACATTGTGTAAATTGATGAAAGATTGGTAAAACTCAGACTACATTACTAAAGTGCTTAAACAAACACAAATCACAACAAATCTCACAAATTGAATAACTTTTTGTGAGTATTCCAGGTAAGTTTGGATTTGTATTACAAAATCAGATGCAGATTTTAATACTTGATTATTCCAAAAATTAAACATGATATTTGGGGCCAGGTGCAGTGGCTCACGCTTGTAATTCCAGCACTTTGGGAGGCCAAGGCGGGTGGATCACTTGAGGTCAGGAGTTTGAGATCAGCCTGGCCAACATGGAGAAACCCTGTCTCTACTAAAAATACAAAAATTAGCCAGGCATGGTGGTGCACGCCTGTAGTCCCAGCTAGTTGGGAGGCTGAGGCATGAGAATCACTTGAACCCGGGAGGTGGATGTTGCAGTGAGCCAGGATCATGCCACTGCACTCTGGCCCGGGCAACAGAGTGAGACTCTGTCTCAAAAAAAAAAAAAGATATTTTATTCTACAAATTTGTAGTAGTACTTTAATTTTGCATAATGCTTTAAGCTTTTCAAAAGATTTGATACCTATTTTATCTTGTGAGTCTCAACATTTCTGTACATTAGATAGGATAGGTATTAGTACCCCATTTTATTTAACAGATGACTGAGGCACAGTGAGTTAATTAATTTATATTAATTATACATTTTAATACAGTTAATTAATGACAGCAACTATTTGGCCAGGAAGTTCTAATATCTAGCTCCAGTTTTCCATGGTGTGAAATAAGTCAGCTTCTCCTTATTAGAAGACTCTAATTCTGTACCAATTAGGGAGTAACTATGATATAAATAATCTTAGTATGTTTTATTATCCTATGATATAAATAATCTTAGTATTTTTTAAGTTGCTCTGTAATTTTGACTTTTCAACACTATTATTCTTTGTTCTTGGGCATTTATGAAGGACTAAGTTACCTTTTTTGTTTTTATTTTAATTTGGTCACAGTTTTGTTATTTTGGGGTCAAATAGTCAAGACAGGTACATCATGGCACTTACTGAGTATACAGTTGTTTAAGAAAATTAAAGAATAAAAAAATCTTTAGAAGATTAAAGTGTTAAACATACGTATGTCTACAGTTGACATATTAAGTTGGCTGCTATAAAATATTGATATTAAATCTTTGAGGTACAGCATTTTGTAGTGCAGAGTGAAGGATTTCAACAGAAAATTTAAGTTTGTTTCTGGTTCAACTACAGCTTTCTTTCCTCATCTGTAAAATGGAGATAACACTCATCTTACAAGGTTGTCTTGAGAACCAGTAGGGTTGTAATTTTTTTCCCTCAGAGAAAAGAAAAAGAACAAACTTTCCATATATCTTTTTGGGACATATAAAATTATATCAGTATTTCTTAAGAACATTATTTTGAGAATTCACCATACACTGTGAGATGTGGTGGCAGAAGAGAGAATCATCCAAGCATCTATGCCAGCATCTTCAACGATCTAGGTTGGTGTAAATACACTTTAGGATGTTCTCATAAGGAAATTGCCTAACAGTAACTTTCCCAGAACATATCCTTGTTGATAAATAACACATGGCTGTATACATGCAATGCTTAATGCTTTGTGAGTCCCCATGCTAACCACCTTTTCACACTGGTGAAATCTTCATGATCTTGACTTCATGGTATCTAGAATCAGATACTCATGATTCTATTATTTAAACTAATGCCATAAACATATATTTCAGACATAGAAACTCATAAGATCAGGTTCATAACATTAGTAAACAGAGATGATGTGTTTATTTGATGTGATGCTTTGTAATTCATTCATTTACTTATTCAACAAACGTCTCTTAAGTGACACATTTATTAAGTAGCTGACATGAACTCAGCATAACATGAAGTACTGGGGATACAAAGTCAAATATGATCTATAGTCTAGCCCTCAAGGAAAATGTTAATTAAAAAACTTTTTATTTTGAGATAATTATAGACTCACATGAAGTTGTATGAAATCATAAAATCCTGTTTACCCAGTTTCCTTCAGTTGTAACTATTTGCATAACTATTGTATAATATTACAACCAGGTAATTGCAGTTCATGGACTTCTCAGATAGCACCAGTTTTACTCATATTCATTTGTGTGTGTGTGTGTGTGTTTAGTTCTACATAATTTTATCACATATGAGATTTTTGTAACCACTTCCACAGTTCAAGAAAATGATCAGCTCCATGACAAAGCATTAATTTGTTTTTATATTATATAATATATTAAAAATCGTACTTTGTCAAAGAAATTGTAGCTTGACTAATTATTATATATTATTTGTAGAATACTAGGAGTGCAAAAACCTCCTCCGATGATTCCCATAATATTCATCTCCTTTCTTTTCATTCTCTTTTCCACCATCTTAGTTCAGGCCTTTTCCTCATGATTTATCTTCATTATAAATGAAGATAATATAATAGCTTCATAGTTGGGCTGTAAACACCGAGTTCAAAGATGTGGTCTGTTTTGTTTACCAGGTTATAGGCTTAAAACATGATAGGAATGAATGAGTGAATACATGGAAAATGCTGGAGCCAAAACAGTGTTTAACAGAAACAAAAAATGGGCCAGGTGCAGTGGCTCATGCCTGTAATCCCAACACTTTGGGAGAGACCGAGGTGGGTGGATTACTTGAGTCCAGGAGTTCAGGACCAGCCTGGGCAATATGGCAAAATCCTGTCTCTATTTAAAAAAGAAAAATTAGCCAGGTGTGGTGGCACGCACCTGTAATCCCTGGTACTCGGGGCTGAGGCAGGAGGATCACTTGAGCCCAGAAGGTCAAGAGGCTTCAGTAAGCTCTGATCACGCCACTGCACTCCAGCCTGGGTGACAGATCGAGACTGTGTCAAAAAAATAAAATAAAATAAAATAAAAAAGAAAAGATAAGAAAAAGAAAAAAGAAAAGAAACACAAACTGGCTGATTTCTTTTTTCTCCTTAGTTACCTTCAGTAGCTTCCCATTACCTACAAAGTGACATCTAATCTAGGTAGTGTGATATTTCAAATCTTCTGCAATCTGGCCCCAATGGACTTCTGAACCCATTTCTGATTCCATATCCCCTACAGTATTCTTCAGCACCACCCCCTCCTACATTCTCTGAGACTACTCCCTGCTTTCTCACTTTGGGGATCATCCTCCTTCACCCTAAAATGGTATTTTTCTTCCTTGCTCAATGATATCCTTCTGATTTAATGCAAATAATTTTTATTTAATCTTCTTAACATTCACAATGAGATATACCTTCCATTTAACAGCTTTAGCAACCAAGTCTTGTAGATACCATGTCAGAGTTTACCTTTAGCAAATGACAGTGCTGGTGAACTCAAAACCAGGCCTTCCAGTTAAAAATCTTATAATCATTTTACTACTTCACACAGCAGGTTTTTGGGTTTTGTTTTGTTTTGTCTTCCACAAAATTGTTTTTCTATGCTTAATGCTTTATTTCACAGATTCTTGAGATTGTATGAACAACACTTTTATTTAGGAAATGTGTGATCCAACATTTAAAGTCCACAACTTTTTTTGTGTGTGAATTCATGGTTTGTTCATTTACTCAACAACCCAGGAACAGGGTTAAATAGAAGTATAAAACAATTAATTCATAGAGGAAGGATGGAAACATAAGTTTGTACAGTCATTTCTCCATGTCTGTGGGCTCTGCATCTGTGGATTTGACCAACTGCAGATAAAAAATATTAGAAAAAAAGTATGATTGTATCTGCACTGAACATGTACAGACTTTTTAATTGCCATTATTCCCTAAACAATACAGTATAACAACTATTTACGTAGCATTTACGTTGTATTAGGTATTACGAATAATCCAGAGATGATTTAAAGTATATGGGAAGATGTGCATAGGTTGTATTCAAATACTACATCAATTTATATATGGGACTTGAGCATCTGTAGACTTTGGTATCTGACGGGGGTCCTAGAATGAATCCCCCATGGATACTGAGGGACAACTGCACATTAAAAAGGATGTTAAAACTGGATGTGGTGACTCATGCCTCTAATCCTTGCACTTTGGGAGGCCAAGACAAGAGGATTGCTTGAGGCCAAGAGTTCAAGACCAACCTGGCCAACATCGCAAGACCCCATCCCTATTTTTCTTTAATTACACACATAAAAAATTTTTTTAATTACACACACCAAAAAATTTTAAATTACACACACAAAAAAAGATGTTAACTGTAATTATAGAAATAGGCTCATAGTATTATGAGCCTAAAGGAAGGAGTGCCAGGAAAGACTTGCTGAGGAAATAATAACCGAATTGTACTTTTACTGATGAATAGAAGTTGCGCAGAAAGTGTTGCCAAGGGCAAGGAAGTTGAATTCCAGAGAGAAGGAAAAGCAGTGTGAAAAGCTGATTAGCATGGGGACTTACAAAGCGTTAAGCATTGCATGTATACAGCCATGTGTTACTTATCAACAAGGATATGTTCTGGGAAATTTCTTGTTAGGCAGTTTCCTTACGTGAACATCCAAGAGTGTATTTACACCAACCTAGATCATATAGCCCCCTACACACCTAGGCTATGTCATATAACCTAGAGGCTACAAATGTGTACAGCATGTTTCTGTGCTGAATAATGTAGGCAATTGTTACATAATGGTAAGTATTTGTGTATCTACATAAGGTACAGTAAAAATATAGTAAAAAGGATAAAAAATGGTACACTTTTAGAGGACACTGAGCATGACTGGAGCTTACAGGGCTGGAAATTGCCCTGGGTGAGTCAGTGAGTAAATGGTGAGTGAATGTGAAGGCCTAGGACATTACTGTATCCTACTGTAGACTTTATAAACACTCTACACTTAGGTGACAGTACATTTATTTAAAAATTTTCTTTGTTCACTGGTAAATTAGCCCTAGCTTACTGTAACTTTTTGATTTTATATAAACTGCTAAAATGTTAAACAACTTTTTGACTCTTTTTATCATAACACTTAGCTTTGAACACAAACATGTACAGTTGTACTTTTTTTCTTAATATTCTTACTCTATAAGGTTTTTTCTATTTTTCAGATTTTTTTTTTACTTGTTAAACTCTTTTGTTAAAATCTAGACACACACACACACACACACACACACACACACACATACACTAGCCTAGGCCTACACAGGGTCAGGAGTATCCACATCACTGTTTTCCACCTCCACATCGAGTCCTACTGGAAGGTCTTCAGGGCGGTAGCATGCATGAAGCTTTCATCTCCTATGACAACAATGCCTTCTCCTGAAATACCTCCTGAAGGACCTGCCTGAGGCTGTTTTACAAGTAAATTTTTAAAAAAAATTTTTTAATAAGTAGAAGGAGTACACTCTAAAATAATGATTAAAAAGTATAGTAAATACATAAACCAGTAAAGTAGTAATCTATTATCATTATCAGTACAACATACTGTACATAATTATATGTGCTATACTTTTATATGACTGGCAGTGCAATGTGTTTGTTTACACCAGCATCACCAAAAACATGTGAGTAATACATTTCACTGTGACGTCACTAAGTGATAGGAATTTTTCAGCTCCATTATAATTTTACAGGACCAGTGTCGTATTTGTGACCTGTTGTTGACTGACGTGTTGTTACATGATGCATGATAGTTTAAGATACAAGGCTGAGGTTGAAGAGTAAGGCCAGGTCAGCTCAGGGAAGGCCAGGTCTGGACACCCAGATTAAAAGACCTGGTATCCTGTAGCATGTGTGAAGCCATTGAAAGGGATGGATGGTGAACTTGGCCAGATTTGTCTTCAGGGATATACAGTTTTATTATTCTACAGAAACCCCTTTTCAGGAAAACATGAATTAGCTGTATAATTATGTCGTTTCTCCTTAATACTAAATGCTGTAACCTTTGTGTGTGTGAAAGTTAAAGAAGGCAAGAAATGTGCTCTATGATTTATTTCCTTTCCTGCTAAGGAAAGTCATCTAGGTGTTACTACATCAGAAGCATTTGGCAAATTGGTGATAAAATAATTTTTAAATTTATTCCAGTTGCTATGCAAGTTTTCTTACCTGGTAGCCTCTTAGAAATTATACATTTCTTTTGAAATGTATCATTTTACCTAGTCAGGTTTCATATGTGGTATTTTTCTCCCTAATACGTTCTACTTTGTATGTATATACTTATAGCTTAACCATATTTTAAAAAATCAAATGACTATCCTCTTTTTCTTATTTCTACTTCCTAAATCCTGCATTTTTCTTTATTCTATATTCTATAGCATCTACTTCCTTATTGCCAAAGCCAAACCAAAGGAAACCAAGAAAATGTTTAAGCCTACCTTGACTGGCTTACACTGACACATTGTGACTACTCACACATTGCAGATTTCCTAAAGCCATTTTATTATTGGACATATTTTGAGGGAAGAAAATGGCAAATGAAGGCAGGTTAGCTTTCTTTTCTTCCAAAATATACACATAAATGCATTTATGTTATGTTTACAGTTGCAAGGATTTTATAAGTTTTTAAAAACAGAATATGAAAAGCATTTTATCATTCAAGTCAGTGAAATATTTTTCACTGCAGGCCTTAGTTAAGAAAAGAGCTGGCCTAAGAGATGGAAATCTGGACTTTGAACTGGGCTTTGCCTGTAATTCTGGGAGTCCTTTAAAGTTCTCTCACTTCCCTAGTCCATTGTGTGTAAATGAGAGGTAGAAGTAGGCACTGATAAAAGAATATTCTAGATCTGGTTATTTACGATCTGGTACAGGGCATAGGAATCAAGGAAAACTTCTGGTAATGCATAGTTATTATGTTTAACCCATTGTTTAAAATTTTTTTTAGATTACCTTTTAGATACAGTTTACAACAAGACATATTTTCTGTGCAGTTAGATGGGGTTTAACAAATATGACCCATATAATTCATAAAACCACCAGCTTCCCTATGTTCCTCTCTAGGCAATCCTCACTCCTTGCTCCAGAAAACCACTGTGATTTCTATTATGATGATTAGTTTTCCTTGTTCTGGAACATCACAGAATTTTACAGTATATATTCTTTTGCATCTAGCTTGTTTTACTTGGCCAGGATGTTTTTAAGATCTAGCCATGTCATTGCATTTATCACAGTTCATTTCTTTTTATCTTTGACTAGGACTCGTTTAAGCACACACACATGCAAACACACACACACACACCACACACAGGTATATATTTCATAATTTGTTTATTTGTTCATCAGTGATGGACAGTTGATTTGTTTTCAGCTTAGGGCTAATATTATATTATAAATAAAGCTGTGATACACATTCCTAAGCAGTTCTTTTTGTGGGGATATGTTTTCACTTGTAGTGAATATCTAGGAGTGGAAATGCTGTGTTATGGTGTCCATTTAACTTTATTAGAAACTTCCAAACTTTTTTTTCCAATTTTATACCCTCCCAGCAACATATGTGATTTTCAGTTGCTGCACATCTTCCTCAGCATTTATTGTTGTCGGTCTTATGAATTTTAGCCTCTCTTATGTGTGTGAAAAACTGAAAATTTTCTTTAATTTGGAGCTGAAATAGGAACTCTAAAAATTATGGAATACATATTATAATTTAGAGATATCAGAATTAGCACATTACTTATTGACCTTATGTTTTTTCATCTGTATAATCTTTAATCAGTTATATTTGTTTATGACATCCATTGATGTTTTTATAGGGAGTGTATAGATAATATGTTTGTGTGTGTAGGCATATTTATTCAGGTCTCAAGTTTTTTGTTTGTTTCAGTGTTATAAAACAGTTTATCTTCTTTCATAATCTCCCATATCTCTTAAAAATCAGGCTTTTATTACCTCTAATAGTTGAAATCCAAATTTTTAAAAATCCAAAAAATCCCAAAATTTTGGATTTTAAAAAAATGTATTAAGATACTACCAGTTCAGCCACGGACTTTACATGTTAAAGTCTTCTCTATAAAAATGTATTTATGGATGATAATCAGGCCTGTGATAAATACAAATTTTATATCACAGTCTCTCCAATTATTTCTGAAAGTAAGGGAATGATATTATGTAACCTGGCTGATGTTCTATAATACTGGGTTAGAGAACAAAACGGTAATTCCTGTAATGGTCATAGGAAACTTAGGTAGTGAGCCAGTTGACTAAATGTGTAATCAAAACTCACCCCAGTATTCACATGGTACCTTTTTTGCATTTTGTAATGGATGCCTGTGGATCTTTATGTACTATTGCCTTTAGAGATAACAAATTTCCACAGACTTGGAAAGCAATAAAATACATTTAACACTAAATCTTTACTGAGCATAGTTTAATCTTTCTCTGATGCAGAAAGCACTTTCTAATTTTATAGTTCTGCAGACTCATTATTGCGAATGCCAGTTATTATATTGGCTAAGAGTAGAAGCAATGGCGAATCAAAAGGATGTGCTAATAGAATCTTAGATTGAGGGAAGTTAATGTGTGTTTACCCATATGCATCTCTGTATTTTAAGATATATATAATTGTTTTCCATTTCTATTTCTCCTAGGTTTTTCCACCAACCCTTCTCCACTCTTTCTGAATATATACACCACTCTCTCGAGTTTCCTTACCAAAAATACAATTTCAGCTTTTCTCTGTATGAAAGCGATGACAAAGTGATTTTATAGCCAGTTCTGAAAGTGACTAAACTTGACAAAAATTGTATTTTATGACAACCTCTGCTTTCATGTCCCCGGCCTACTTTTATATCATCTTTTTTTTTTACCCCAAATATGAACAATTTCATATCTCTGCATTGGCTGAAAACAAATCCCCTTACCAGGAATACATTTTAATGGAAGAGAGCCTGCTTCACATAAGTCACCAGAGCCTTAACATCTTAACTCTGTAATATTCAATTTCTCACTCACTGAGAACCAAAGCCTTGTTTTTTGTTGTTTTATTTTTGTTTTGTTTTTGTATGGTTTGTGTTCATAAAGGTTGGGGAAGAATTAGTATTATGGAACTAAACCAGATTAAGGGGGAATGTGAATTAGATTTGGTAACAGATGGTGCTGTGGAAATTAAAGGTTCTTTGCGAATGGAAGCGACAGCAGCTTGCCTCTGTTCTCTCTGTCTCTCGTTCGTGCACTTGATAGACGGGTATAAATCACAACAATCCTGTCTTGACAGCCAATTTCGAGAATTTGATCTGGTTAAAGACATGGCTTTCCCGCTCCACTCACTGAAACCTGCTTCTATTTTATTTTTACACAGCACCTTGTCATATTTAGAAAAGCAGGCTCGCCTGCTTTCTCTTAATGAAATTTTTTTCTTAATTACAGTTTTAGCTGTTTAGTGTTAATTACTTTTTCATTCAGCCTGAATTTTCATAATATCTCTCAGGGATTCTTTTTTCTTTTTTTCTCACCCTTTTCACCCATGCATATTCTTTTGTTTTTTTTCCCAAAGATCCTTTTCATTGTCAGAAGTTGTTGTCAGAGGCACTATTTGAGACACCTAATTACCAAAGTTATTATTTTTAAGGAGAAGGACTTTGATGTGATGTAGTAAAGTTACCAAATCAGAAAAATTTTTTTAAATGCCAGAAGCAATCACCAAAACTAGCACTGATTTCAACAAAATTTCACAAAAAGGTGAATGACAACACTTATTTTCACCTAATAAGGGCTGCAGAAATATCTGTTCTGTTGGCTAAAATAAACCCCACCATGTAAAAAGACACGGCCACAATGTGGCAGAACCACTTCATGCCTGTGTTGACCTTGGAGTGGTCTAGAGATTCTGAATTAAAATGCAATCTTCAGATGTAGGAGACGCTAAATGAGAGACCAGGAGCACTGAACAAATTGCATGGATCCCTTGCATCCAGATTCTCAGATCTGACAAGCTTAGGGGCCAAGTACTAAGGTTTCCTCTTACAAATCCACGTGGCATTTGGGCTTCCGACATATCAAGGAATGGTAAATAGAAGAGAGGGAAAAAATCACTCCAAAAATGAAGAGAAGATTCTTTGAGCGAGCAACTAACAGTTGGTAGAAATGAAGCTTCCTACTGGCAGTCAAATCAAATGTAGTAACAACTCAACAGCTCCCCGCTGCTTGCTGACAGCGTGGTGTCGCACACTGGGACAAACATTCACTTAAACACTGATTGCAGGGAATTGCCCTTCCGCCAACGCCTCCCACCAAAAACGTAATGAGCAAAAGCAGAACCATTTCTAGGAAAAAACCAAGAGTCCCATTCCCCAGCTCCCCTAAAATGATCACGTCTCTGTCTGTCTTTTTGTAGCCCACTGGGAGTGAGTCTTCAGTTGAATGTGGTTGCTGCAGTTTCATTGTTATGTAGCAAGTTGCTTAATTATTCTCCTGCAACACACACACAGACATATACTTCACACACACACACACACACAGACACACACACACACACACACGGGCCCTGCCATGTCCCTGAATGGTGACTCAGTGCAGTGGCAGCAAAGGAAATGGAAGTTTGGGAGTTTGAAGAGTGCTCCTCGGTGCAATAGTCCTTGCTCTCAAGGTCTAACCAGACTTACAAGCCAGTGTGTTTTTTATCTGAGTAGAATATATGGTTTTTAAACAGGGCTGAAGTTGTTTACGAAACACGTAGGCAAATGCTCTCATTTTATAAATGAGAAAACTGAGAGTCAGGGTGGTACAATGACTTGCCTCAGGTTACACAGTGCCTGGATCCAGAGCTAGAACCCATGTCTCCTACTCTGTCGAATACTACAAGAAGTCAGGGCTCCCTGGGAAAGGAGAAGAGAAGAAAAGCAAGCGGCAGAAACCCTGGTATAGTCTTTTTTTTTAGTTGATTTTTTAGAATGGCATTTTATATTTAGAAATTTTTCTCTGCATGTTTGCATTTGGACTTTTGAATGTGACAAACGACAAGCAGGTCCTGATTTGAACTCTTGGCTTTTCAGTGGCTTCTACTGGCTTCACTGGATGCTATGTTTCTGCTGAATAATCCTTTCTTTTTTTTTTTTTTTTTTTTTTTGGTTAACAATACCTGTCATGCTACAAAATAAATCCTTAGTCATTTCCATGGCTTGAATTAAATATATATGCAGATATATGTTATTTTCCCTTGCCTGCAAATAGTGGCTTGTGTATTTTAGCTTTACGTTCTCTTCAAGTAACTAGCTTGATGAAATGTTTATTTAAAAAGAGGATAGAGGAGGAATTTTTAGGATTAATAATTAGCTGAGTTCCCCTCCTCCCTGTCTCCCCACTACTCTCCTACTTCAGCTGGACAACACCTGATACCAACAATATAATGTCACCTCTGCTATAGATCACCCAAGACCAGCTGCATTTACATCCAGATGTTAACTACTGCAGACTAAGCTATTAAGGTAAAAATATAAATATAGTTTAACTGCTACCCAACAGATGGGGTTTATTATCTCTGATTGTGCTGCACATCTCCATCTAACACAGAAATTTTCATATGTGCTTGAAGCAACCTTTATTTCAACAATGATTTCCTAGCATTTAGATTTTCTCAACACTGTGATTCACTCAGTTGCAGAGTACCTTTTAGAGTTCCACTCCTGGTGAACTGATCTATGTCTATAGAAGCAGCTGGTTTATTGGTCATTGTAATTGCTTTTGCAAAACATTATCTTAATGAGTAAAGAATGACATCAATACTGTGATCTCCATATCCTTATATCAACTTGTGATAGCATTTGCATTTCCTCTTTCAGTATAGCAGAGAATAGGAAAGGGAAGTTCAGGAAGCCTGAGCTTTCATTGACCTCGATTTGATTTGTGAACTCCATCACTGGAGCGTCTGTGAGTAAAGCATCTATATTCAATGTAATTTGTAGAGATCAGTGCATAGACTTTCTATGAGTTGAATGTCTGTTTATTTCTTCTCTAGTGCGGTGCTGTGGGAAGGTCTTCATTTAGCTGTCAGTCCCCTTCTGTGTCGAGTTCTCTTTGGTGTGCTCCTTGACTGCTTGAAAACAGAATTGTCTGAACACAAGCAAACTTTATTGATCCATATTTCTGTTTGAAAGACCAGAGATTTGTAGAAGTAGGAGACTATTGCTTTCCCCTAGAAAGCTTACTGCAGAGGAGGTCTGCTCATGGCATAGTAAACCTCTAACACTGAATAAATGTTACATTCAGCATATATTGTAAGCTTCATTTTAATGATTTATCTTGGGTACTTTTTTTTTTTATAAAATCTCATAGAAACCTTTTGTTTTAGTGGTGGTGTCCACCCATTGCCTAGGGCTGTTAGACTCTACCCTGGGCATAGTGACCTGGTCAAGACTGGGACATGTACTACCCAAATGGTTGACTATAGCACACTGTTCGAAAGCCCTTCAGTCTTTAGGCTTTTGGTTCGCAGAAGAGTAACTTGTGTAAAGTAAGAAATATTTTCAGGGATTGGAGACAAAATGCTTGTTTTTCCATCTGCTGTGCATGTTTGTTTCCGTCTAGGAGGTTTTCGAGATTCTCTCTTCGGATCCATTGGCGTCATGTAGTTGAGCAGTTGTGAGGATATAGTTAATTAAGCTGCATTAGGGCAAATATACACACTTGTTAAAACACTTAATTTGCCTCAATAATATTGATTACATGGCAGAAGTTTATTTAAACTAAATGGTATTTCCCCCCTACTGTTACAGTTTTTGAGTGCAATCTGTATAATAGCTAATAGCCATCATCAGTTAAATATCATGTTAGTTATAAAGTAATGTCATAAGAATTGATTTGGACTTGGCAGTGGAGGAGAGCTCTCCCTTCAAAGCCGATGTAGATGATTAGCCAGAGTTTTAAGCAGAATCACGGTTCATATAAACTGTGTATATTTTATAGACTTATAGCTGCTCTATATTACATGAGTGCCCATTATATTAAAGAAAAGCTCAGATGGTTAATTATGCAAAACATCATGTATGCAATTACTCGGCATTATTATGCATTTAACAGTTTTATTGATTTGTCAGTAACTCACTTACTGTATTTAGAGCCATAAACAAGAGATGCTCACCCCCAGATTGAAATAGGTCCAAGAAAACAAGCTAAGGATAAGTTGCACTACTAAGCGCCTCTGCATCAGATCGAATCCTTAAATACAGAAACTGTCAACAATCATAATGTGCAACACATTGTGATATCACAGGACCATTTCTTTTCCCATTAATAAAGTTTATCAACCAGGAAGCATAAGAAATCACCTGGCAATACAAATTGAAGCAACTGCAATTTCCTACATCTAAAATAGTCTGGATGACTTAAGGAAATCAGCAGTCACTTCCAGCTTGCACAGCATAGTAAAATGGGATGCTGCTGTGTCCACAGACACTTACACTACATACATACTTGCAACACCCCTAGTCCTAATTAGTTTAGTCGATCTTATTAGTGCATTTCTTTTGCCATATTTCTGGGCCTCCATTGCAAGAAATGAATTGTCTCCATTTCAAAATCCCTTATATTTTGCAAGAGTGAAGACATAGGATTCTACAGGTATCTTTATATGTCAGATTGAGTGACAAACCATCCTGGTTTACCTCGGATTTAGGGGTATCCAGGACATGGGATTTTACTACTAAAACCAGGATAGTTGACCAACCTAATATTAGAAAAAAATTAAATGAGAAAGGACCATTGAACTCTACAACCCTAAAAGCAGATAGGGTTTCAGTGAGGTCCTGCTGTTAAGAGTTTGGTCAGTAGGTATGAAATTATAATGCATGGGACACTTTTATTTCGATGATCAGCCAGAAATGAGTTGAAGGTCTTGATTACTTGTACTGAATTTCCTTTTTGCTTGCAGCAGAGAGCCTTTTACAGAGTTGGGAGAGCTTTCAGCTCTGATTTTTCTTTATAGGGGGCTGGCTCTATGTCCCCACATTACATAGCTCTATCTCTTGTCAGCAACTCAGGCACCAGCTTTGAGGGCAGCTGTTTTCTTACTCTTGTTCTTCATGGAGTAAGCTAGAGAGAGTCTTTTGAACTAAATGCACAAGTTATTTGTTCAAAGAATCAAGAAGCAGCATTACTAAATCTAAATCATTCTGATCCTGGTATACAGAAATCCATTCTATTAGATAGGGCTCAATTTTTATTAAAGGAGGCCTTAAAATTATACAGAAGTATGTGTGCATAAGTTGTCCATGTGTTTTTATCTTTCTGAGCGTGTGGGTCAGGATTCACAATTCTTTCTTTACAATTAATGATCTCCTTCCGTTAGGTTAACCAGGCAGACCTTAAGATATTTCTTATTAAAAGAAAAAATCCTTTCTCTTCTTTTCCCAACTAAGCCAGTGTACCTTAATGCAATGATGATATGTTAGACCCAGCAGTTGTCAAAGCATCGTATTACTGTGATGCCATAATGACACCCTGTCTCTGTAAAGTAGTCATGTTTTCTCAAATCACACGTTGCACCGTTGATTTCTGACATGACACTTCATTCGGTTGCTTTCCCTTTCTTCAGCATCACCATTCTCTGACAATAGCAGCTGGTGCCCATTTTGTTACTAAGTGATTCACATTTTGCCACTTTACGAGAGTGCAATTAGTTGAAGCAGGGGGGAAAAAAGCTCATTGTAAAGTAGCGTGCTTGAAGTTGTAACTCAGGCTGCCATGGGAGCTGCTGGGGTCATGGGCTCTGAAGCCTGTACCTCCGGGAGCTGCAACACTAGTCTAGAGGTTTTCTTCTAAAAGCATAAAACACACACACACACACACACACACACACACACTATAGAGTATTAAGAGCTTTTTATTTTTTAAAACACAAATACTTAAATATTTAATCTGGTAATTTCAGAATGTAGAAAATCAACCAGTCCCCATAGATTCATTTTTGTTTTGAATCAGTAGTGATTAGGTGGTGGGACTTGATAACCTTCTTTTCTGTCCCTGAAATTCTGTGATTCTGATGAATCACACAGAGGAGCTGAGGACTCTTCTTATCTCTGTATTTGTATGTAAACTTGGAGATTCGCTGCATTGTGTCCTTATACAAAAACATTGGAAATAAATTTTTAAAGCATTTGGAATTTATAATGATGATGATTACCTTTCCAGGCCCTTAAGGATGACAAAGAAGAATAGAAATTGTGTTAACTTCTTTAATTGACATTTATTTAGCCTACCAAAGCGTTTACTATTGGTATAGATATAGTAAAAGTTGCAGAAGATATTGCCTTAGTATAACACATGAGAAGATCTAAGATGATCTGTACACACATTCCTTATGAGAATTTTATGCACCCATTTTCCCATTTATTTCTCCATTTGTTTTAGGGTGGAAATACAGTAGCAAATGAATTCAAGATCTGTGTAAAATTCACATGATGAAATACAGCTGCTTGTTAAGAACTTGTATTTCGGTGAAAGGGTTAATAATGTATAACCCTATGGAACATTATTGTTATTCCAGAGTTTAACAAATACAAGCACTGGCTGAGCTTCAGACCTTCCATCGAAATGCAGACCACTTTGAACATCAGCACGTGCATGTGGGAATTCAAACTCCTGACGGTTCATTCACGATCACACATTTACCTGGATGTAGGTAGAATCTCCGAAAACAATTAAGCTTGATAATTACAATAGAAATTGAACATTAACTTACAGATTATCCTTTTCTCCCCCACAGCAGCAACTTTAATTCTTATTCTTTCTTTCTCTCACTCTCTCTATGTGCACACATATACACACCATTAATTAACTTTCAAAAATTACTTCTTTAAATAGTGAAACAACTAAGACATTTTATTTGGCTGATCATTAGTATCTAATGCCAAAGATAATTTTCACCCTTGCTGACCCTAAGCAGGGCTAGGAAATGACATCCTAGGTTGAAGTATGATCATCAGAATTATTTGATGCTGTATCTCAAACTGTTTTGAAATGCTTTTTAAAGTCCTGAAATTTCAGGTAGGCTGTTAAATTCCTCAAACCTAGTGTCTCATGCAGGAAGGGGAACATCACACACTGGGGCCTGTTGTCGGGTGGGGGGAGCAGGGAGGGATAGCATTAGGAGATATACCTAATGTAAATGACGAGTTAATGGGTGCAGCACACCAACATGGCACATGTATACATGTGTAACAAACCAGCATGTTGTGCACACGTACCCTAAAACTTAAAGTATAATAATAATAAAATAAAACCTAGTGTCTCATATAGAAACTAAAGGTTATTCTTGACATTGTTATTTCCCCCTCTAGTTTATTCTCAGGGGGTTCATTCAGAGGTTTTGGGAAGGGAGTTAGTTAGCTGGTCTTGCTCCCTGTTCATCTCACCATTTCTCTTAAAATAATAATAGTAACCATACTAAGGCTTTAAAATAAATATTTCCCACATATTTCGACACATGTTATTTCTATTCATAATTCTTAACTAAATTTAGATTTTTATTAATCCAATGTGACTTAAAATTTCTGCATTAACAGCACAATGTGGAATTGGGCTTATTCTCTTTGGCTACAGATAAAGCCATCATTTTGAAAATGGCTCTTTCTGACAAAAAGGTGTTCTTTTGAAATAAAGTCCTATTCACTACATTCCTCTTAGAGTTAATGTGAATTTTAGTGCCTCTAATTTTAGATTGAAGTGAAGTCTAGAATAAAACCCACCAGCTGACAATTGAATTTATAGATAGTTGTGAATATTTCAGACTTGAATAATAGAGCTGTAGAATTTCAGAGACAGAGAGGCAGAGAATTAAGACTCGCTGTAGTTTTAGGTTATAATATAATAGTGTCTAGGAAGTGTTCAGTGTAATGAGCTAAGTAGTAATTAGGAGACAACTGTGTTGGTTCAGAGATTCTGTTTAGGTGTCACTGCACACCCTGGGTGGGTGATGCAGTAGGGCAGACCTGCAACCAGCCAACCAGCGCAGTGGCCCCTTCACCCCTTTTCCACTTATGCGTGGGCTGTGGATATAATTGCTGAGAAATAAAAGTAGTAGATCTCTGCGTGCCACCTCTACCTTGCTTGCTTGCTTATTTATTAAAATTGAGTAAATAAACACCATTAAAAACTCTGTTGTCTTCAAGACATTTCTGCTCTGGTCTTTGAAGTCAGGCCTGAGTTCAGATTCAGGCTGTACTGCTTCCTAGCTGTATGACCCTCAGCAAATTTTGAAAGGTCTGAGGCTCGGTTTCCTAAAGAGAAATACCTCCCTTACGAAGTTATCTTGGGGATTCAATGAGGTAATATTTGTAAAGTGCTCAGCTCAGTGCCTGGCACATAATAAGCACTTGATAAATGGCAATTCTGACTTTTATTATTTCCACTGGGCAAAAGATATTAATTAAGGAAACAGTTCGTGGCAGGCCAAAAACACGTACAACCTACAGCACAAATCCAGTTGGTTCACTTTCATGTATGGCTCCAGTGGCCAGACCTTGTTTAGGAGAAGACAGTGCTTCTGTTTTAAGGACCTTTCTGGCAGCTTGTACGTCCCGAATTTCCTTGTTTTATCCAGCCTATTGCCAAGTTATGGACTGAGATTTTCGATGAGACAACTTGCTGGAGAGTCCCTATTTTTCAGGGACTTTAACAACATGCATTTGACACATAAATATTTGATGGCTTAGCAAATAACTGATCCATAAATGGGAGGGCAATTTCTGGCCTTGTTCTTTAAATCAAGAGTTCTGCAAATTTTGCAAGTCCATGAGGAAGAGCCTGAAAAAAAGAAAATTGGGGTGAAAGTGACCATGGAAGATACAGGAAAAGAGAGAGAGGGAAAAAAAATTTAAAAAGAGGGTCTGAAGATCAAGCAGCCCCAAGCAACTCTCCTCTGGATAAAAAAAAAAAAAAGAAAAAAAAAATTCCAAATTAAAAAACGGTGCCTTGTAGGCAGATGGTGAAAGAGTTAATTGTCATAGCTGTGGGAAATTCAGTGCTGGAGAGAGGAAAGGGGAGCAAGCATGGTTTAGTACCCTAAAAACTTCTAACTCTAGTCTAAGATCATAATGTATGTGCCCACAGTCCAGTAATTATAAGGTAATAAGTGAAGTGGTGGTGTAAGTGCTCTAAATTAAAAGGAATTCACAGGGCTGCTGTAAGTCAGTGCCGACCCGCTTTCTTTCAAACGATGACTTGAGGAAAGTGCTTAGCCCAGAGTGCTAAGGAGACAAGGAGAGCGATCTATTAATTACAACGTTCATTAACAGTGACGGGTACAAGGCAGCAGATGCAGAAGAGAGAGGACGCCGTAGTTCAGGCTGGCGAGGGGGATATTTTTTTCTTTCGCTAGTTCTTGAGGAAAGGACAACACAAGTGGGTGGGCGAAAGTACGAAGATATTTTCGTGGCTTTCGCCTTCCTATTTGCTTTCTTCACATCCTGATACTGCTTGACTTCAGAAAGCTGTGCAAGATTTCTCAAAGTGAAATATCTTTGGTAAGAGGCAAATCTTGCCTCAACGCTTTGCTCCTGAGACCGCCTTCTTGGAACAGTTAAGTGAAACTTCCTGCCAGAAAAGTTCCATATTTTTCTTCATTTTGAAGTAACAGAACAATGGAGGACCTGGAGGAGGGCATGAAATTTGTGCAATGATCAAATATCATTAGATTTATAGTGAAAGAGATAATTGCATCCCTTTGGTTATCCTGTGATGAGTCCCCCAAATTCTAGTGAATGACCATTACCCAGAGGGATTCCCATAAATCAATTTTCCACTGGGAGGCAATTATCTAAGTCCCTTTCTTGACTGTCACCTCTTCTTTCTGTAGTGGGCTCTCAGAAGCTTCTTAGACATTTTGCTAAACGAGGTTTTGCACAATGGCTAAATGAAAAGAAAATAGGACCAATTATATCTTTTCATCTAATTACCTTTCCAGAAATTCGGTCACTTGTGAGAACAACAAAGAAAAAGGGATGAAGTGTTTCTTCTAGATAAGAGAAACAGTGTGTCAGATTAGATGTTTCATCATTTTTCCTTTTAGGAGGTATAATGTTAAATGGCAAAAAGAAGTGGGGGAAGGACCATCACAAATATATTTTTTAGGACAAAATATGCTACATTTCTACTTTACTGAATGTAAATATAACATCAGATTTTATAGTATCAGATAATATACATATAATATCAGATTTGTGGACTTACAGGTATACTGAAGGCTCAAATGGCTTTTACTGATTCATCTCTTAAATAATGGCAAATCACACATAAGAAACACATGCACGTATTTATTAATGAATGTTGGTGATGAGTCACTAAGTTTTGCAGGCTCTAGGAATAATCTTTAAATATTGGCTGGAATTTTATACTTGATGTCTTTCTATATTGCCAAATGGCTATGAAATAGAGCAATTTAAATAAAGAAACAAAGTGATTGAGGATATATTCCCTATGTGTTTTAGTCAGATCAATAAGACACAGTTATGCTTATGGAAGCGTGCTGACAAACAGTAATTACAGAGCTGAGGATCATCTGTTCAGTCTTGAAAATAAAAGTTTTATTCTGCTCATAATAAAATGATTGCAGCATCAGAATGAGGAAGGAAAGGTAGAATGAGGATAAATACAATTTTAGAAATGGTATAGACTTTGCAAATCACCACCTCTTCCATTGATAAATTTAGAATCTAGAGTTGAGTTAGATATTGACACTGGTTCTCCAAGAGAAAGGTAAAATAAAAGCAATCGGACTCTTTAGAGCTTTTGTTTATGGCCTGTCTGGGCCCTTTGTTGTAACCCTGTCATGCCCTTATGCTGATTACCTTCTTGTAGAACAAGAAGTATTGACTAGAGAATGAATGATGTGTAGTCCCTAGCCCTTAGGAAACTCTCTCAAAGAGCAATGTCTTTAACATATGAATTCTGTTTTTTTCCTCCTTTTACCTTTCCCTTTCCCTTTCTCTATTTTTCACCATCTCTTTTGTTTCTACCTCTTTTGGTCTCTGTGCTTGACACTCTCTCCTCTTTCTGTCTCTCTTTGTATCTCCTCAATCTCAGGCTTCTCTGCAGAATGTCAAACAAAGATCGACACATTGATTCCAGCTGTTCGTCCTTCATCAAGACGGAACCTTCCAGCCCAGCCTCCCTGACGGACAGCGTCAACCACCACAGCCCTGGTGGCTCTTCAGACGCCAGTGGGAGCTACAGTTCAACCATGAATGGCCATCAGAACGGACTTGACTCGCCACCTCTCTACCCTTCTGCTCCTATCCTGGGAGGTAGTGGGCCTGTCAGGAAACTGTATGATGACTGCTCCAGCACCATTGTTGAAGATCCCCAGACCAAGTGTGAATACATGCTCAACTCGATGCCCAAGAGACTGTGTTTAGTGTGTGGTGACATCGCTTCTGGGTACCACTATGGGGTAGCATCATGTGAAGCCTGCAAGGCATTCTTCAAGAGGACAATTCAAGGTTAGTGTCGGACCTGGGAATACTCTCCCCACTTCCAACCTCACATGATGGGTTTTTGTTTTTCCTTATTCTTATTCTCATAAGTCAAGTATCATAGTTTTAATTCTCTCTTGAGTAGAAAATGGAAATAGATTACAATTGATAGTGGAAGATTTATAGAATAAAATCCCCCCAGATATACTCCATATCTATTAATTTTCCTCTTACTGTTAAGCTTTAATGGTGCAAGGATAATAAACTTTGGGTAGAGTTTACAAGAGCATAGTTATTATTAGAGCAATGTGGGTCTATATAGCAACTGTACAAATGCACATTGGACTAACAGTGTTTTTGACCCCTTTGGATCTTCTTACAGATGCATGGAAATAATAAATACTTTAGACCAGTGATTTCCAAACTTGAGTGTGCATTAAAATCATCTGGAAATCTTGTTAAAATGCAGATTCCTGGGTCCTACCTCCAGAATTTCTGATTCATTAGATCTGGGGTGGGGGCCTGCCTGAGATTGTATATTTTTAACAAATTTTCAGGTAATGCTGATGATGCTGCCGGTCCAGGGACCAATTTTAAGAATCACTGCTCTAGACAAATTTAATTACCTACTCATCTTTCTTTTTTCCTTATGGTTGGATATACTTTTTCTAACTTTTAAATGAATTTATATTAAAAAAAACCTTCCAAATTATACCAATAAAATGGCATTGAATGATAAAATATACCTCCAACATATATAAGTGATATATACCCCAAACTTCATAGATTTCAGATTTATAAATAACATTATTTCCGCCATACAGTGTAGAAAAATAGGACTGAAATTTGTTTATGCCCTTTTAAACTGGTAATCTACAGATCTAGAATTCAGTTCATGAAAAAGCTATAGATATATATTCTGGCAAAAAAATTAGATTTCACGTTTTTAGGTCTCTTGTAATTCACTTTTGAAGAAAATAGGGGAAGAAAAAAATATATTTTGAGGATCCACAGCACACCAATGGTTCTGCTCAGTGGTTTACAAAATGTGTCTTCCTAACAACCAGTTATGGACACAAAGTCTATCTTCCCACATATCAGTGGTTCTCAAGCTTGCCAGCTCATTGGAATCAGTGGAAGACTTAAAAAAACATGCTGATGTCAGGGCTCATGTCCCCAAATTCTGAATTAATTGGTCTTGGGTACAGCCAGGGAAAGGGGGGTTTTTGAAAGCTTCCTAGGTGATGCTTAATGTAAAGGCAAAGTTAAGAAACACTGCACTGTACTGTGTTGTATTATTTGCCAACAGTTCTCAAAGTGCAGTGGCTGTACCAGCAGTACCAGCATCATCTGGGAAAATGTAAGAAATGCAAGTTCCCAGGCCCCATCCTGTATTAACTCAAACAGAATCTCTGAGGGTGGGCCTAGCAATCTGCATTTTACCAACCCTCTGGGTAATCCTGATGCTAATTCAAATTTAGACCCCCTGCTCTAGACCATGCTACTGCTGATTCACCACTGACCATAGACCATCATCATCTAATGGCCCCTTGCTGGACAGAACTGAAACTAATTTATGTGGAGCCTTCATAATTTTGTGACGTACTAGTTTTCAAAGTACAAAAGAAGTAATGTTTGTTAAGTGCTAATCCTTTTAAATATTTTCACAAAACATGATTCTGAAACCCTTTATGTGTACATAGAGCAGTCTCCCACCTTCTCCCCCTTTTTTTTTTCTTTTTGAGGCAGATTTTTACTCTTGTGGCCCAGGCTAGAGGGCAATGGCATGATCTCGGCTCACTGCAACCTACATCTCCTGGGTTCAAGTGATTCTCTTGCCTCAGCTTCCCAAGTAGCTGGGATTACAGGCATGCACCAACACGCTTCTCTAATTTTGTATTTTTAGTAGAGACAAGGTTTCACCACATTGGCCAGGCTGGTCTCGAACTCCCGACCTCACGTGATCCACCCGCCTCAGCCTCCCAAAGTGCTGGGATTACAGGCATGAGCCACCGTGCCCGGCCCACCTTCCCTTTTAAGAGCATCTGGAAATTCAACTCTTCTTCATCAGTTGCACTGAATATTTTAGTGACAATCCTTACTTGTACTGGCTCTCCCTTGCTTTTTTGTTGTCTGTTACATAACTTCCTTGATCTGTGGCTGATGAGAACACAATCAAAATGTTTACTTAGTCAGGTGCAGTGGCTCATGCCTGTAATCCCACCACTTTGGGAGGCTGAGGCTGGAGGATCCCTTAAGGCCAAAAGTTCAAGAGATTAATCTGGGCAACAAAGTGAGAACCCTGTCTCTATAAAAAATTTACAAATTAGTTGAGCATGGTGGCATGCACCTGTAGTCGTGGCTACTGGAAAGGTTGAGGCAGAAGGATTGCTTGAGCCCAGGAATTGGAGGTTGCAGTGAGCCATGATTGCACTCCAGCCTGGGGTGACAGAGCTAGACACAGTCTCAAAAAAAAAAAAAAAAAAAGTTTACCCAAAGCACAATTTCTCAAGACATCATACTCTTACATAGTAGATGAGATACTTAATCCTAATCTTTTCATAGCCTTTCATAGTTTTAAATGAAGAGCACAAAACCAAGTTAGTATGCAGTACATATGAATGTCCTAAACATCTTCATAGCTGTATCTTTATAATTTCTGGCTCATCGTTGCTATATTTATTGATATTTTCTTACAAAAATCTTTCATTTACTGGATTTTTATTTTCTTTATCCTCATCTATAAATTGAAGGCATTAACCTCAGAATACTTAAGTTTAAAATGAAATATAAAATCACATGGAAAGCGAGAAAGCTAAAAACAATGGTCTGTGCACAAGGCTTTTCATCACTTCTGAGCATTTGAGAAATCTCTTCAGTCTATTTGGTAACACTACAAAACTTGAGAATGAAAGCACACCTCAAATCTTTGGGTGTTTACCAGCCATTGTTCCACAGTGTTATAATCCTTATGGTTACAAAGTATATACAATTCAAACTGTTATTAATTTGATTTTGTTAACTCAGTTTACACAGCTCTGAATTTTAACTACACAAAGATAAGCAAATATTTTGGGATAAATTCATGAGCACTGAGTGCGCTGATATAAGCAAGAGGTTCTCAGTGTGAAAACCACTCCCATTTATTCAACGAATATTTACTGAGAACCTGTGATTCAGACAGCAGGCTGGTTGGAGTGTCCTCTTATCCACATTTTATTAAAGCTTTGTTCCCAAAGGTTGTGGATTGAGATGAATTCCTCTAACAAATGTCTCCTGCCTTGAGGAAGTAACAATTTTTAGGGTTGAGGGGATTAAACCCTCGAGTCTTCGGTATGTTTTGTAAAGATAGAATAACAGTGTGAAAAAATTTCCTAATACATGTCTCAAAACATTTTATAGGTTAGACATTAATAGCTCTGCAATAGTTATTTACTGAGCAATAATTAGAATAGAGCAATTGGAATTCTATGCATGATTATTCTTTAGGATGCTGAAATGCTACCAAAAGCTTAACAGAGCAAAGCACAGGGTGATTCTTGGCATTGATGTATGTGCTCAGTTTTACTCCGTATTGGAGAGAGCAAGTTTCAAGGATTTTGAGCAGGAGACAGAGATGTCACTGTCCAGATTAGCACTCTGGACTTGCCCACCTGGCTGTGCTTGTAGCTGGCAGCTGCGCAGCACTTGGTGAGGCTACCCTGCTAGCTACATCATCAGACATCACACTGTGGTGCTCACTTAGCCCCAAAAAGGCAGTGAGGCAAATAAAGGGATTAAATTGTGAAAGTATAATGTAATAATTAGAGCAGTAATTGTAAGGAAGATTGGAACGGCCCCTCCTTTCTGTGGCCAAATACGGTAGTGATAGCAGTTGAACTCCAAAGATGTTGAGTGTGGCCCAGACTCTTATTCCAATGCTGAAGCTGCCTTAGAGTTCATTCTCATGCCTTCAGACAGCATTGCAGCCAAACCACCCTTAACAGATCGTAGTCTCTCCCTCCCCTCCATTAAAGCTCTCCAAGGAAAAGGAAGAGATTATGTAACTCCCCTTGACAACAAGCCTTGCTAGACTAGAGCCCCAATGGACAGGCCGTTACATAAATGTGACTCCTGCCTCACCAGGGCCTGGTTCTACTCTCATTGACTTAAGGGACGTGTGCATCCATAGGCATTTTCATGTACACCATCATCTGTTAAGATCTTTCCTTTTTAATATATCTTCTTATTATTTTTGAGACAGGGTCTCACTGTGTTGCCCAGGCTGTTGTACAGTGATGTGATCTTGGCTCACTGCAGCCTCCACCTCCTGGGCTCAAGTGATCCCTTCCCCTCAGCCTCCCAAGTAGCTGGAAAACAGGCATGCACTACCATGCCTACCTAATTTTTCACTCTTTTGTAGAGACGGGATCTCCCTATGTTGCCCAGGCTGGTCTCAAACTCCTAGCCTCAAATGATCCTCCTGCCTCAGCCTCCCAAAGTGCTGGGATTACAGGCATGAGCCATCTTACTTCTTATTTTAACAATTTATTTTTAGGATTGGTTATCGAGTGTGTAATAAATATATACGTTTAAAAAGTTGGGAAAAATACTTCTTAAACTTGGCACCAAAAGAACATATATCCAGACCATATCTTGAGAAAAGTAATACAAATTGTTCTTTTCAGAGCTGAATGTGCTATTTCTGTTGTGAAAGACAATTAATCATGGATTTCAATGAAAGGTAAATAGAAAGGAATATTTTACTTGTTGACTATTTTCAAGTTATCATTGAAAAACTATTGAATTATGTCAGCATTTAGTTGGGTAGAAGCCAAAGTTTTGCTGTTTTGTTTTTGTTTTTGGCTGACCAAAATACTTTTTACAAAACTTTGACAGCTCTACCCTGTCATCCAATAGGGTTACAGTGGCAGCAGTGATTTCACGTCATTTTCTAGGCATAGTAATTTTGGGGATGTGATATTGTTATTCTTCTGATTTTTTTTCCAATTCCAATTTTGGCCTTAATTCATAAATGATTGGAGTCTGCCTTCTTTCCCTCCTTCCTTCCTTCCTTCTTTCTTTCCTTCCTTCCTTCTTTTCTTTTCTTTTTTTTTGGGAACTTCTCATTAAGAGTTTCCCCTAGACTCTTGTTAAGGAGGCAAGAGAAGGAAAACATCCTTATACCCAAGTATAAGTAATACCCAAGTATTACATATTTCATTATTTAATAGACAAAACACTAGCCTCCTGAAGTTTTTATGTCCATATAATAAAGAAAATAATTTTATAAATAGTTTTCTTTGTGTAGATAATATAGCCATTCTAACTCCTCATTATAGTGCTAGAAATAAAGTATTCTTCTTTCCCCCACATTTAAAAGGTGGGAAATTGTATATTTAAAAATATGAGATTTTAAAAAGATGTTCATTATAGCATCGGTTTTGGATTTATATAAAGCCAGGCCCAAGTCTCAGCCACTTACCAGCTGTGAGACCTTAACCCCTCTTTTCCTCTGTTTCCCAAGTGATGAGGGTTACATGAGAGAATGAATATCGAAGTACTTGACCCATAGTAAATGTACACTAAATTATTAACTTTGGTTGATATTGGGAATATGACTGGGATACCCAGAGGCTGGATGGTTCGTGTAATCTAGCACAGAGTTATCCTTGATGCTAAACTAGAAGGACAGGTATGTCACCTTCCAGAGCTCACAGCTGTCTCCACCCTTTAGCTATGATCGTAAACCCTCTCTCCCTGTAGCCATTTCTCACTGATGGTGCCTTTATATGATTGGAGGCATTTAGGTGAACTGTCTGGAAATTTGTTTAGTTATATTTAGCTTATCGTGCTCAATTAACTTTATTTCCCTGTGAATAAGAATGGGAAACTGCATACATCAAAAAACAAGCCTGAATTTTGGAACTTGCATAAAACATAAAATTCTCAGTTTAGCTTCACTTGTGAAATTTAGGCACTGAAGTAGTAGCATATCTTCCCTGTGTGAGGTGTGGGAGTGACCATTATGGAACTAAGTCCACTCTGAACATTGCAGGACCTAGGACAAGAGTACAGCAAGCACCCAAATACTGCATAGTATATGTAAATATGTTAATGTTATAAATCAAGATACCAAATCACTAAGTGAAATTTGTTCTAGTCTCTTATTTGACCAACTATACCTTCATAATAGCCTGGGAGACTGACTTTTTATTGGTCAGTCTTTGACTCCAAGGAACAATTTTCTGTCAGTGAGAGGCAGTGCAAGGAGAGCTGGTTCATAGCCTGCAGCCCATCCCCTTTCTTTCTCTCTCCTCTATCTCCCAATCTTGTACATAGTGTGGACACCCTTGCCCACATGTCTAAGGCCCAGTGACCCCTTCCAAACAGCTGTTCCTTGACCACGCCCAGGTCTAATGTGCACACCAGAAGGGCAGTTTAGTCCAGTCTAGCTTCCAGAGAACAGACCCAAGAGAGAGTCCCGCTCAGGCCCTGGCACTTCCATGGGCTTGTGGTGATCTAGCCAGGGAGTTTGAGGGTCTCAGGTACTCAGGATCAAGGTGTACGCAGGGGACGGCTCCAGCTGGGCTTTTTTCCCTTCACACTTTGAGTG
This sequence comes from Homo sapiens, assembly GCF_000001405.40. NCBI lineage: Eukaryota > Metazoa > Chordata > Mammalia > Primates > Hominidae > Homo > Homo sapiens. The sequence continues at coordinate 216,670,507 of NC_000001.11, read as the reverse complement.
GGATCTTTGTGCTACGTATACCTTCTAAAGCCCACAGCCTTCAGGCAAGGGCTTTTCTTGTCTGAGGCTAAAGTGGCATTAATGTGAGCCTAAATCTCACCTTAAACATGGGGCATTAAGATTAGTCATTTTCCTGCAAGCCATATGCTAAAGGCATGCGGGCATAGCCCTTGGATCTGATGCAATCAACTGCTTTACTACACTGAATTGTATGACTCCTTCCTGAAGCAGGCAGTGTAGTCCTAGAGGATCTTTCCTGGTGTTGCATTTCTTTTGCCATCATGTGCTGTTTCAGTCTTAGAATGTTTTCAGCCATAGAGAAAATAAGAACTTACAAATTGAGTGTACATGATATGAACTTTCCAAAGGAAACTAATAAAATGTATTTAACCCAAATAGTGTCTAGAGAAAATAACTACCTCAGTTTATAGTAATTGGTAGCTTTAAAACTCTAATATGTTATAAAATTGAAATCCAAAATAATATGGAAATGTCTAAATTGACTTGATGAATCGCAGTGATTATCAGTTTGAATGCAGTGTTAAATTAAATATAGAAGTAATATTTTCCAAAGAAATGTTGTATATAATTCATTGCTTTAACTTTTTTTTTTCTTTTTTTTGAGACAGAGTCTCTTTCTGTTACCCAGGCTAAAGTGCAGTGGTGCCATCTTGGCTCAATGCAATGTCCACCTCCTGGGTTCAAGTGATTCTCCTGCCTCAGCTTCCCAAGTAGCTAGGATTACAGGCACACACCAGCAAGCCTGGCTAATTTTTGTATTTTTAGTAGAGACAGAGTTTCACTATGTTGGCCAGGCTGGTCTCAAACTTCCGACCTCAAGTGATCTGCCCACCTTGGCCTCCCCAAGTGCTGGGATCACAGGCATGAGCCACCGCGCCCAGCCTACTTTAACTCTTAACTTGCTTTTGTTGTAAGTTTGACTTTTCCACTTCTTGCATTTGATGCCAGTTGTGTCTGAGTTTTTGAAATGCATTAAAGTTGCCAAATTATAAATAACAAATATCATTCTACTCTTGCTATTTTAATTGTTAGGTTCAGTGTTTATTTTAATAGTAAAATATTGCAATCTTTCTTTTTTGGTGAAGAAGTACTATATGAATGGGTGTCCTAAAACAGCATAATTTAGTTTTTCTTCTCCTGGTTTTGACTTACTGGAACCACTTCTTGAGACAAATGAGTAGTGATTCCTTTTCCACGGTTTGTTCTGACTTGGGAAGTCACCTAAATTATACTTTTGAGGTTGTCAAAGAGCTACTGGTCAGCAGGCATTTTCAAGAGACAGATAATAAATTAAATAGTTTAAATATCTTAGGTTATCACATATATCAGGATCTGTGTGCCACATGCCTTCTCTGTTCCATACTCTTTGTTTTGTTTTTTTTTTAAGCTGTTTAAAAATATAAAAAAACACTCTGAGCTTGAGGGCATTCAAAAACAAGCCCAGACCTGGATTTGACCTGTTGGTCGTAGTTTGGGTAACTTCTAAATCAAGACACCCTATTTTTCTTCCTTGCAGGCAACATTGATGAAAAAGATTTTTATACCAAAGGATTTCCTAGGCAGTTTTGTGTACATATCATTTATAAAATTGAAACCCAATCTCTATCATAATGACTTTTTTTAGTCTATTATTTCCCTTTTCAGAATATTTTTACTTCTTCAGAATTTTCTAGTCTCTTTTCTCTGTTTGGATATTTCAAGCCTGTTTGAACTACACATCTGTGAGCACTATAATATATATGCGTGAATATATGTGTGTGTGTGAGTGTGTGTGTGTGTTGGCTAGCTAATTAGAAAACAGAATCAATGTAAATTAAGACAAAGTAACAGAGTGGCTGATGAAAAAAGATCTTTGGGTTGTGCAAAATCAGAGTGATTATTTTCAGAGATTGTATTTCATGGTTGATCTTTGATCAAGGAAAGAAAAATAGAATAAAATGTAATGATCCTCACTAGATTTTTGTCCTTCAAATATTAGAAACTCCAGTTTGCAGAAAAAAGAATCTCTGGTGTGATTTACATGTTTATTAAACACATAGCATTATGTTACTCTATTTTGAAAGTCATTTAAAATAGGCATATCATTTTAGCTTTGATTTGTAGGGTATATTTTCCTGTTGGGTGACACTACGTAAGAGCCTATCCCATGTAAGGGGTATATGCCAATGGTATTCAGGATGGACACAAATTTGCAACAAAACTTAATGCCCAACTATAGCTCATGTCAGATTAGGCAAACAAAATTAATTTTCCTAGCAATGTATTTGCAAAAGGGTAACCTTCTTTCCTACTGTCTCTGTTACTTCACAGTGATCTGGAAGAAGTGATAGAATGGGTTTCATATTCCTCTGCTGATATTAAATATTTATTTATTTATTTATTTATTTTTTGAGATGGAGTCTCGTTCTGTCACCCAGGCTGGAGTGCAATGGTGTGATCTTGGCTCACTGCAACCTCCGCCTCCTGAGTTCAAGCGATTCTTCTGCCTCAGCCTTCTGAGTGGCTGGGATTACAGGTGCCAGCCACTACACCTGGCTAATTTTTGTATTTTTCAGTAGAGACGGGGTTTCACCATGTTAGTCAGGCTGGTCTCAAACTCCTGACCTCAGTTGATCCACCTGCCTTGGCCTTACAAAATGCTAGGATTAGCGTGAGCCACCGCGCCCAGCCTTATTTATTTTAAGTAATACACTTTGTAGTAGCAATATCACTAATTCATGATAGTTACATTTAATAAAGGGATAAGCTTTTTCATAATTTTTCAACTTCGTTCTATCTTTTTTTTTTTTTTTTTTTTTTTTGAGATGGAGTCTCGCTCTGTCACCCAGGCTGTAGGGCAATGGGGTGATCTTGGCTTACTGCAAACTCCGCCTCCCGGATTCAAGCGATTCTTGTGCCTCAGCCTCCTGAGTAGCTGGGATTACAGGCATGCACCACCATGCCTGGCTAATTTTTGTACTTTTAGTAGAGACAGGGTTTCACCATGTTTGCCAAGCTGGTCTCACACTGCTGACCTCAGGTGATCCACCCGCCTTGGTCTCCCGATGTGCTGGGATTACAGGCATGAGCCACTGCACCCGGCCTAAACTTAGTTCTATCTTTATATTTTAACAGAACTTATAAAGTACCTGTTACATAAGCCCATATTTCATGGATTCTACTGTGTGATATGGCCTATGTTAGAATCCAAAAAAAATACGGATGTAATTCTGGAATAAATTCTCTTTACACACGCATACTTAATCAAAGCATGTACTCTTATTTATTTTTCCTTTAATAAAACCCTCTGCACTCAGAAAATAAAATCAATTCCCTATAGATCTCCTGAGCTAGTGTCCTCGGACGGAGTAGCGTGGATGGAAAGCTGCCCTTCAGGTGCTGACTGTGGGTGCAGCTGGCATAAGACCTGGTGCCTATCTGGTTCCAGTGTGGGAGCATCCCCTATCCTGACCCGTCTGGGTTACTCAAACGTACCTGTTCCCGATTCAATCATTCTCTTATGGAAAAGAAGCCCTTGCATTACCATTTCTTCCACTGATTTTTTTTGGGGGGAGGAGAGTTCTCTTAACCTGCCCCAAACTACAACCTGTTAAGTCTCTGAGCTCTCCTAGCGAGTAACTGTTGAGAAGGAAGTTTGTATTGTTTTTATGTTCCAGTCTAAGGGACTTCACAGATCACTTCCAATTAATTCTTATAAAAATGCCATTGACTTTTCTGCCTTTTGCAAGGTGGAATTTTAAATTTGTGAGTGGACTTTCAGGAAGCGGGTGTGGCTGACTCTTTGCCTACAGATCACTGGACTTTCCCCAGAGGACATGCCATCCATAATCTCTATTATCTGATGACTATTTGTTTTGATGAAGGTACTGGAGGCAGTTCTTTGATTACAAGATAAACTCCCAAACAAAGACATGAGTGCCTTTCTTAGCACTCTAATAGCTTTCCTTCATTCCTCCTTGTGCTCCCTTAACCCAGAACCAAGTCATGACAAATAAGGCTGCTTCAGACCCTGCTAGAATAGCCTCAGTCTACTGAACGGCATGTTAAATGCTTGAGAGCAAAACAATAGGAATGATACTTTGTGCTTTATATTTTTCAAAATGCATGTTTTTGTACATATGTTCAAATAGTTATACAATAAAAGCCATTCCTCCAGTGAACTCAAAATTGGTTATGGCTAAAGCCAGATAGGGTATATTAGAATGTTCACTCTAAATGTAGGAAAGAAAACAAAAAATGAATGATGAGAGTTGTGTTGTCAGAAGTTCCTATTGATGTGGGTCACTTTTGCTTGGTAACTAGTTGTGGGGGAATATGACTCAATGTGATTTGCTAAATCTGTAAGAAAGGGAGCATCAGTTCTTGTTAAAAGTCAAACTATAGAAGCTGTTAGGTAACTCATGAGGTATGGCTGGGTGGGGTTCAGAATTTTGACATGAGTAAAAGTCATGGGTCAGGATTTTATTTTCTTTTTTTGGTAAAGCCCAGGGCAGTGATGTGTTTTCCTGATATACTACTAGATGAACTTAGACAATTTCTTAGAAGTTATAAAACACATTAACTCACTCAAGTTATAAACCACATGAATTCACTTTCTTTTAAAGTTGCTGATAATGAGACTTCAGTGATGTGACGGCCTAGTCATTGGAGCTGATTTATACAATTTAAAAAGTTTCACATAAGCTCAAAATTAGGTACAGGATGCTGGTGTAGTATTTTAGCTTTTATACTTAAAAGCTAATCTGTTTGTATTTAAAAGAACTGACATTTAAACTTAAAAAATGTGGTAAGAAACATAAAATTTACCATCTTAACCATTTTTTTAATGTGTAGTACATTAGTGTTAACTATATGCTCATGGTTGTGCAATAGCTCACGAGTCTTTAGTATTTCATCATGCCAGATGTAAACTCTGCACTCATGAAACAACTCCTCATTTCTCCCTACCCCCAGTCCCTGCTAGCCACCATTCTTCTTTCTGTTTCTATGAGTTTGGCTGCTCTAGATATCTCCTATAAGTGGAATCATGCAGTCTTTGTCTTTTTGTCACTGGCTTATTTCACTTAGCATAATATCATCAAAGTTCATTCATGTCATTGTGCATGACAGGATTTCTTTTTAAAAATGGAATAATACAGGAGTCCCCCATTATCTGCAGGGGATGTGTACCAAGGCCCCCAGAGGATACCTGAAACCACAGATGGGACTGAACCGTATAGAGATGAGGATTTTTTTTTTCTATACATACATATCTTGATAAAGTTTAATTTATAGATTAGGCCCAGTAAGAGATTAACAAAAATAACTAATACTAAAATAGGACAATTATAACAATATACAGTACTAAAAGTTATGTGAATGTGGTCTCTCTGTCTCTCAAAATATTTTACTGTACTGTACCTTGGGTAATTGAAACCGCTGAAAGTGAAATCGCAAATAAGAGAGGACTACTACATTCCACTGTATGGATAGACCACATTTTCTTTGTGCATTCCTCTCTTGGCTGACATTTATGTTGCTTCCATCTCTTGGCTATTGTAAATAATACTGCAGTGAACCTGGGTGTACAAATACTTGTTTGAGATCCTATTTTTAATTCTTTTGGATGTATGCATACACCAAGAAGTGAAATTACTGGATCACATGGTAATTCTATTTTTAATTCTTAGAAGAACTCCCGTACTGTTTTCTAGAGCGGCAGTACAATTTTATATTACCATCAACAGAGCACAAGTGTTCTAATTTCTTCGTATTCTTTTCAGTGCTTGGTTATTTTCTGTTTTTTTTTTTTTTTCTTCAGTAGCAACCATCCTAATGGGTAGGAGGTGAATGTTTAAATATTTTTGAGAGATTTTATAGATATGCCAAATTTATATATACACCAAAGTTCTAATCTTTTATCACCTTAGGCTTATCCATAAGTAATTTTATATATATGGATAATGTACATAGCTGTCTTAAGATTCCTGAGCTTAATGCAATGCCTTTAGGTGAAGAATTTGTTAACCAATAATATTAATAGTAATAATAAATATATTAGTTTAATTTATAATAATAATGAATATATTTGATTTTGCAAAGTGTCACACATTGTTCTATGTGCTTTACATTAATTATCTCATTTCTTTAATCATCCCAATGAAGTAGGCACTTCTATCATGATTATATTATCTTCTATTATAGATGTGGAACTTGAGGCACAGAGAAGTAATTGCCCAAAGAACAACTGGGTCCCCGAAATCTTGAACCCAGAGCCTGTCCTCTTAACCCCTTCATTACACTGCCTTGTATATTTTAAAAGCTTTTAAAAGATTGAATGATTTTAGATTGTATTTTTCTTGAGAGAATTTTAATCCATGGGCAAAATCATTTAAGTTATTAAAATAAAAATGAGGAATTAAGAATATGCCAAATGTTATGATTAGATAATATTCAAGGTTTTTAGAAAGGAGACAGTAAGAACTAAGTCTTAAAAATACCTAAACGCTTTGCAATTCATTTTTAGAAATCCCTTAAATGTGAAGCTTGAGAGCGCAACTCTTCAGTGCCACCACCATTTCCATTTCCTGTGTCAGTTCTCTGGATTTTTATCATCTGACATTCCTTTCTCCACCCAATTTTTGTTTGTTAGTCTTAAACTGATCCTAAAAATCTGTCGCCACTGATGACACTTCTGTATTATTTAATTATTTATTTTAGGAAGAAAGAGGCTTATTTCTCTCCTGTTTTGATGTGAGAATAATTGTCCATTTGCATAAACTTTGTGACCACTCCAGAAGGCAGCTCAGAATCAGTCCCTTTTTGTTGTTGTTGTTGTTGTTGCTCTTGGTCTCTTTTTTTTGTTTTTCTTATGATGAATGATAGAAAGAGAAAAATTTTTTTAATCTATTTTTAACAAAAAGTTGCTGTATTATTTGGAATTAAATCTCATTTTATCTTGGTTTGAGCAGACTTAAAAAAAGGGCATCTCTGATAATACTAGAAAGAATACTACTGAGAGATTATTTAGTTCAAGGACATCTTTGTTAATTTAGAATGTAGAGCTGAAAATATGAATTTACCTTTAGAATGAATCTGAATACATATCCCAAATCTACATTCTGATATCCATTTTCTTTTCAGTGCATACTATTTACAGTTTCCATTTGAGGACGATCAGAGATAAGCACAAAAATCTTCAAAGGAAGGAATGTAGCCCAATGTGTTGTCCTCAAGTGTACTTTTTTTCCCCTGCTTTTGCCTCCAGAGCATCTTCACTACTTCCAAAGTACCTCCTGCTTTTGGAAAAACCTCACTGTGCCCCAGAGCTTTCGCCTATGTTTTATATGGAAAACAATTTCAAATTTTGTGATACTTAAAGTAAAAGTTTTCCAACTCATTCTTCCATCTGTTCTTCTCAGTTATTATCAATTTACAAAGATTTCTTTAAAAAGTTTCTGTACCTAACTTGGGGGAAACTACCTTACAGAGTCGTGAGCAAGAAAGGAAATAATGGATAATAGACTGTAAAGTATTTTTGTCGTTGCAGCCTTTTGTCCATATGGTTTAGACAAGAGATGGCTAAACCAAGGCCTGCGGGCCAAATCCATTTTGCTAAAGAAAGTTTTATTGGAACATGGCCACACCTATTCTAGTATGGTCTGTGGCTGCTTTTGTGCTACAGCAGCTGAGTTAAGGAGTCACAGCAGAGACTGAATGACCTGCAAAGACAAAAATATGTACAATCTGGCCCTTTCAAAAAAGCTTGCCAACCAAACCCCTGCTCTTCTGTGGAAGACTTAGAGTTAAACAAATATCCCACAGTGGAGGAGGCATTTTCATCCTATGTCCCTTGGACAATCATCAAACAGGAACCCCCCCACTCTCCCTGCTAAGTTTTCCTCTATACTTTTCTTTCTTACTCTTCCTGGGGGATGCGAGGCACTTATCTGAAATCCCTAACATAGAAGACAGTTCAGGTATACAGATTTTATTTTAAACTTCAGGTACAGACTACATGCCAGGAGCTTCCATTGTTTTCTGGGCTTTCCTCGCCTTTCTCTCAATCCAGCCAGCAGTGCTATCTGAGTTCCCTGACCCTTGGGGTAATTACTGTTTTTTGAATGTTTTACCTTCTTTTATGACTGAGTCCATGGCATACTCTTTGGTTGGTTTGTTTGCTTTTGCTTCTCACGAAGTGCCTTTTGACTCAGACATCAGTTCTTTGTCTTTTGGCTGACAAGCACAAGGCCAGAAGAAATTCTCTGGCTAGCACTTCCTTACTTCTGTGCTGAGAACCATTACCTGGGCACTTCTTGAGTCCCTCTTAGCTCTTTCTCCTGCATTCCTTCCCTGAGTACAGTAATGATGTTGTAATTATTGCTAATATTATAATCAATACTCACTCCCTGTCAGGAACTCTGCTAAGCATCTTAAATACATGATCTTACTTAATGTTAATAGCAACCCCATAATGTATCAATTATTATTACCCATCCACATGTCATTCATAAAGAAGGTAACTCCAAATTTAAGAGCTGCTCCAAAGTCACACGGAAAATGGTAGAACAAGGCAGCCCAATTTGACTCCAGTATGTTAGCTCGTAATCTATATGTTATACTGCCTCCTACAGCTTACACACAGATCAATTACCATTACTTATGTCAAGGAGTTCCCCAAATCAGTATTAATTTTAGAGGATGCAGATATTTGTTGAATATATGAACTTGATCTTAAAAGCAAACTCTAATTCCATTTTTTCCTCTCTGACAAACTTTGGGCACATTGATAGCATCCAAGAACAGAAGTACTTAGGGATAGTATTAGAAAGGGTTATACTTGTTTAAGGTAGAAGGGAAATCTCAAGAAGTAAAATTTCTATTTAAGAATCAACTGCTTTTATCATATAGGGTATCATCCAAATGCCCCTAACTGGTCATATGGACTTGTACCGGTCTGCAAAAGTCACCATAAAATGTACACATTGAAACTGTTTCTATCCAAAGATAGTGAATGCATTAGATGTAATTAGCATTGCTTTCTTTTCCAAGAATATTTTATTAACAAGGCTTTTGTTGTTGTTGCATGTTTTGAAAGACAGATAAGCAGACTTGCATCAAGGTTGTTTAAAATTCACAGGTAGAAGAATAACATGTAAAAATTGATGTTGGATAGAGAGCACAGCAAATTTGGAGGTTATAGTCAGCTCAGACATTATATATTTCTTGTGGCAGTGGTCACCTTTAAGCTCTTTTATAAAGACTTCTGTGACATGATCTGTGTACTATAAGAGCTTAAAAACTAAGAAGAAGAGACTGTACACATCATGTAGGATATGCATTTTACACTGTAAAAAACAGTTGCCTTTTACAAGAAGACATCATTATATCAGAACTAAAAACATTGAATTTCTTTAGTCCTTGGATGAGAGACATTTATATTCTCCATCATTTTCACCAATGTATTTTTATTATACACTTACCAGTCCTTTTTAAATGTATTTCAGAACACACCCTCATGATTATGGATTACTTTTTTTTTCCCATCAGGAACAAGAACATTATTTTGGGATTGTTAAAATGCATTGTGTACAACCTGACACCTGTTGCTTTGGTGACATGCTCTGTTTGGTTTCTGTGGAATTAAACCAGCCACCAACCATACTGGTACAGAGACAAGTTAAGGGATTTCTTTTTGAGGTGTTGAGAGATTCCGTTCTCTAAAAGCAACCCTATCCTATCCCACAGCTGCCCTTACACCATAAGTCTGACAACAGCAAAAGACAATGCCAAGATCCACCCTGAACCTATCACTCTCAGGCTCCTATGTCAGGCATCAAAATTTCCTTTCTGACTGGCAACAATAGCAACAGCAACAGCTACACAAAGTGCTCTTTCAGAAGATGGAATGTTCATTTTTATTTATATTCTAAACAACATTCAATTAATTACTTTTAAAAGATTAGAGTTAGGCAGCATGCCTCATATTTAAGAGCACAGACTTTGGATCCAGATTGCCTGGGTTCAAATCCTGGCTCTAGTGCTTGTTAGCTATATGATTCTGGGTATGTTACCTTATTCTCTCTCTGCCTTAAATCTCTAATCACAGAATGGTAGTTCATAATGTAAAGCACATCAAAGAGTACCTGTGAGTCTTAGTGTTTGTTATTCTCCTGTTCTTAGGTATTGATATCTAAGTATTTGTGGATGCATTTAAAGGCCATTGAACTGGATGTTGGGATATCTCAGTTTTAGTCTCATTTCTGCAGTTAACTAGCCCATATTCTTATAAAGAGGGTGGAGCAATCATAGGTTCTAGTGATAATAGATAAGTCCTTACATATTTACCCCTTTTATGGTCTTCTATATAAAACAAGGGGGCTGAAGCAACTGGAATTTAGAATCTCTTTGAAATCAAATATCCTATAAGTCTGTGTTATTTTATGCCAAATAATATAGTACTAGTGAATTGCTAACACTTTTATTCTAAATTTTTAATGAATAATTTGAAGCTAAACACTAAAATGGGGGAATGAATAACAGACTCACTAAAAATTAAGTTGACAAATGAATGTTTCCTATGGGTCATTGACTTGACCTGACACTCTCTTGGACACAGGGGATTCTGAAAGGAGTAAGACGCTGCCCTCAAAGAATATACAGTTGGGACAGGAAGGGGGCAATTCCACAGATACATATAATAAAGTGTGTTAAGTGCTAAGAGAGGGACTCACCTGAAAGGTAAGTACGGGATGAACTAGTTACATCCACAAAGACCCCTAACTCAGTCTTGGGAGCCCTGGGATCATCTCACTGAAGAAATGATAGAAGCAGCACATAGAGAGGAGCAATAGGAAAGGATGCTGCTTTCTAGGAACTTCAGGTAATGCCATGTGGGTTTCAGACAAGGGGGTGAGCTTGAGATGGGGTAGAAGTCGACCTGGGACTGTGGCAAGAGATAAGGCTGGGATAAGATTTTTGAAGAGCTTTGCAAATGTTTTGTCCTCTGTTCTAATCAGATCATACCCAGCGATAGGCACTGTGTGTGCTCCAAGGTAGAGACAGGAAGTGTTCATGAGATGTGGTTGATGCCTCACAAACTCACTTCTCAGACATTTCGGTACTTTTAAGAACAACTATCTTCCTTTCCTTCTCAATATCTGTAAAACATAGCTAAATATTCTGCCTAGAAGTGTTGCAAGGACAAAATCTTTCAGTGTTTCTGAGTGAATGGCATATTCATTTTCACATCCTTGTATAAATCTGAGGAAGGTGGTTTTATTTTATAATATTTGCAAACTGGAGAGTAAAGCCTTAGGATTCAAGGTAAATAACAATAAATGGGATGTTAAGACAGTTCTCTCCTTTTTCCTCAGAAAAGGGACCAAAACTGTATGTATATGATCTTAATATCTTCATTTCACATAATTCTTACAAAGTTATAAAGCAGATATGATTATTCCTCTTTTGTACTTTAGCAGACTGAGGGTAACAAAGGCAACTAGTTCAAGTTCACACAGCCAATAACATGGTAGAGCTGGAACTTGAACCTAGGTTTGCATTTTCTCTACTTTTCTTTTCTTTTCTTTATTTCTCTTCTCTTCTCTTCTCTTCTCTTCTCTTCTCTTCTCTTCTCTTCTCTTCTCTTCTCTTCTCTTCTTTTACTTTCTTTTTTGGAGACAGAGTCTTGCTTTCACACCCAGGCTGGGCTGCAGTGGCACGATTTCAGCTCACTCCAACCTCCGCCTTCTGGGTTCAAGTGATTCTCCTGCCTCAGCCTCCTGAGTAGCTGGGATTACAGGCGCACACAACCATGCCTGGCTATTTTTTTTTTTTTTTTTTGTATTTTTAGTAGAGATGGGGTTTCGCCATGTTGGCCAGGCTGGTTTCGAACTCCTGACCTCAGGTGATCCACCTGCCTCGGCCTTCCAAAGTGCTGGGATTACAGCATGAGGCACAGTGCCTGGCCTCTTTCTTTTCTCCTCCCCTCCTATCACACATTCCTCCTCAGACATTTTTCTCAACTGTATGCAAAGTAATATGCTAAAGATTGACATAGAATGGACATACAAAAATTTTGTCCTAAAATGAACATGCACAATGCCTAGTGTTTAGTTGATGGTTGTAGAATTAAAGTGATAAAGGAATGCCCATGTTTACAAAGTTAGGGGAAAAGTTAGGGGAACCTGAGGGAAGATGTAGTTTTTTTAAAACTGGAAAAAAATCAAGGCTAAGTAATTTGTCCTCATTTTATAGCATTTTTAAAAGCTAAGCATTTTTCATTCAATACAGTGGAGGAATAGAATCTTATTGTTAGAAATTTTGCACAGGGAGGTGGCCAGTACTGGCACAGACTGCAGCCTTGGTGACTCTCCCAAACACAGGACACTGTAGGATGAAACCAGAGTGTGTGATCTCCAGTCACTAGACATTGCTGAGGGTTTAAAAGCCTGCCTGCTTGTGAATATCCTTCCGGTCTTTTTTCCTTAAGGGCAAAGCATCATCCATTCCTATTTGGAAGTGAGGCTTGAGTTTCACCTTGAAAATGCAGCAATTTGCACCGCTATGCTGTATGCCTCTTATATACTACATTTATGATTGTCAGAATTTAATCCTATAGAATGCTAAAGAACCAACCTGCAAAAGGTCTTGTCTATACCCTCCTCTCCCCCACCTCATTTTTTATGGGGTAGAGAGACAGTGCAGAGGCAAAGAGCATGAGACTTGTGCACACTCCTGTGTATGAAATTGCTTTGATAAGAGCCAACTCTAACTATTATCCTGATGTGATGCTCCTCTCCTCCCACTTCAGTATGCCACAACCTCACCTGGCAGGTGGTCTGGGGTCCCATTAGTAGAGTGATAGTACCCATTCCTTATAGTATTTTTGGAAATCCTCTTTTAGAGCCTGAGACAGAGTCTCACAATAGCTTCAGTGATGGCAAATCATTGACCTTTAAGGGTAGACTTAAAATTTAGTAATGGACAAAAATCATCGGGCTTCATGTCAAAATGCAAAGGGCAATACGTTTGGGTGAAAATGAGGTATAATATAGGGCCTCCCAAACCCTGTTTATACCTTGTAAAGTGGCTCTGGTGGCAGTTCTAAAGGAAGCACCAAAAAGTATTTGGTGGAATCCCTTGAGAACAGATGTAGTGTTCCTACACAACTTATTTAAAGTCGAACTGTGGACGCCTTCTTTGAAAAACAAATAACTCCCTTAACTTACATGTGCATTGATGTAATTATGACTTTTTAAAAGTTACAGATATAGAATAAATTACTATTCCATAATATGAATCTCAGCTATAGATAGTATTATTTTCTCTTTCAGGTGGAAATGAGCACAGAATAGCTAGAAACGAAGCATTGAAAATAAGAAAGAAAAACAAAGAAAAAAAGGAAAGTTAGATCACTGTAAAAATGGAAAAACCTTTGCCACTATACAATAAAGACAGAGTTTTCTTTCTTTCTTTCTTGTTTATGTTTTAGGGCCTTTAAAACAAAAATACTACAGATTATTGCCTGCATGATTCCAATGCTCTGTAATTGTGTACTGAGGCAAATCCCATTATTTTTAAATCACTTAATGTTGAAAAGCAACTGGATAAACCCCACTTGGAGTGCCCTGTGGGTCATTGCAAGCTATTTAGTTCTGTTAATAAAATTAAAACAATTGGGAGAAATATACAGATGCTTTCAAATTGGCTTTACAATTATGATGTCTGTATGTATGAAAAAGAGGACAAGTCTTAGGAACTACATAAATCCAAATGCATCATTACCATGTGGGAGTGATGTTATTCAGGAATAAAGATTTGACATATATTTTTATTTTGAGATGCCATGCTAATTTACATCATTCAGCCCTTTCACTGCCAAACTGTAAAAGTCCATTAAGTGACTGAAAGGAATATACAAATTATCCACTGGCGCTCCAGGCTGGAGTTTTACATACACCCTGTTATTCTATCCGCCAGCTAGCTGCAAGATTCTATTAAGCAGTAAGTGAGAAAATTATATTGCCTGCAAACTAATTGCACAAAAGACTCTGAAATAAGTAATCAGAGCCCGGGACTTTTTGAAAAGCCGCCAGGAGATATTATAAATTGCTCTATCTTTCTTGTCAGCCTGGTTTAAAAACCGAGAGCTTCCATGTTGATTTGGTTCCCTCTGCAGCAGAGCACACTTCCCTAGCTATTGACAAAACTGGGAAAATTCCAGTTGTGTCATCAGTAGCTGCCCAATTCAGTCCCTGGTGCCATCTAACAAATGTGTCCCAGAAAATAGCAAGCTATAATCCAAGAAAACTCCGTGTCTGAAATGAAAATCCTATGCTGTGAACAATAACTTCTGCATCCTCCTGAGTGAATATCCAGTGTTCACATTCCAGGTGCCCATAGTTGCTATTGGAAATATTTTCGTCTAGTTTCCACTTTTAGAGAATGGAAGGAAAACAAGTGCCCCATAGAGATCATATGGTCTACTGGGAGTCATGTCTTTGAACCATTACCAAAATAGACGTAACATTGTTACCCAGGTGCTTGGGGCAGCACATTTTTAGGATAAAATGCTTTCTTTATTGAATAGAAAAAGCACCAGGGAAGGTTTTTCAAGGGCACAATCTCTGTAGACTCTAACATGGATCAAAGACTTTGTTGGGTGGGTGATCATAGCCAACAACAATGAACTAAGTAACTCAATGGGAGGGCCTGGAAATTAGAGAGGTTTTCCTCCAGCAAATAAAGCAAATAAGTTATTTAGAATGATGTTGACTTGTTTTTCAAGATATAAACCAGAGTCACTTAGTGAAATCAAGGTTATTATCCGTATGTGTCAAGGCAACTTTATTGAAAGAAAATATTTGTGAAAGAGACCCCGTTTATCAGAAACAATTTCTATACACTTCAGCTGAAACTATATCATTTGTGAAGATGCTAGGACCACTGATTTCCATCCATTCATGGTGAAATTTTTATACATATGTTGTATTTGCTGTCGCTCTGGGAAGAGTCCTTTACCCCAGTGTAGTCATTTCTTTACTTTTCATGTCATAGTTCAAGCATTTGCCCCTATTTGGAGAATTTGCTGATCTTCCTAAGCATAATTCCTGTGTTTGTGGGAATGTATGTACTTGCCAGTACGCCAGTACTGCATCCTGAACCATGACACCACCCACTAAAATGTATTGTTTATTTACACGTCTTGTCTCCTCTCAGTGGACTCTTTAATATCAGGAACTACCTCTCTCTAATCCAAACCAGCCGTAATACAAAACTCCTGGCTCATTGATTAGCACTGAGGATTCAACAAGGAATAACACAGAGGTTCTACTTTAAGACTTCATTCTAACACACTAGGAAAACCTCCCCTGCTTTTACATTTCTCCTTATCATTGAAGAATTACAGAATGTAATGGATAGAAAGGAGACCAGAGTCCTTTAAATGTGATCTAAAACTCTCATATCATTATTTGACAGATTCCCTTCTGCCTTTTGAAGAGATTTAAAATCTTTACGTAATTATTCCTAGATGAGTCATTCATAGATTTAGCTACTATTATTGAATCAATCCTAAATATTTTCTCCAATGTAGCTCCAATTATAAAGTAAGATAAAAATTATGTAACTCATTTAGCACCATCTATCTGTATTATTTTGTTTTCCTTTTATTCTTATCCTATTCATATCAGTATGGATTTTTATTTCCTGTACATATAATTTCCTTTATGATTTCCTCTTTTATTCACACTTTACTCCTCAGAAGCTTTTGTATTTTTTTCATAATCTTTCCCCTTTTGCCACACTTTTTTTCCATTTTTGTCAAAGCTACTGTTGACGATTTCAAAAAATTAACTAGATTTTTTTTTTTTTTTTTTGAAACAGAGTTTCGCTCTTATTGCCCAGGCTGGAGTGCAATGGCACGATCTCAGCTCACTGCAGCCTCCTTCTCCTGGGTTCAAGCAATTCTCCTGCCTCAGCCTCCCACGCAGCTGGGATTACAGGCATGCACCACCACACCTGGCTAATTTTGTATTTTTAGTAGAGATGGGGTTTCACCATGTTGATCAGGCTCGTCTTGAGCTTCTGACCTCAAGTGAGTGATCCACCCTCCTTGGCCTCCCAAAGTGCTGGATTACAGGTGTGAGCCATCGCACCTGGCTTTTTCTTCTATTTTTAAAGTTATTTGTGGAATGATTTTCCTACTGTTCTTAACATTGCTTCCTAATGGGACATGCAGCTCACTTGATCCTGTGACACTGCATTATAACACCATAATTGATATTCATAATAATGACCCTGAGATAAGAAAATTCTAAGTTATTATAAGTATATTCTTTTACTTATATATTACTTTTTGGTGGATTTTTTTTTTTTGGAGGGTGGGGATGAAGTCTTGCTCTGTTGCCCAGGCTGGAGTGCAGTGGCATGATCTTGGCTCACTGAAACCTCCGCCTTCTGGGTTCAAGCAATTCTCCCACCTCGACCTTCCAAGAGGCTGGGACTAAAGGTTCACACCACTATGCCTGGCTTATTTTTCTACTTTTTTTTTTTTTGGTAGAGATGGGGTTTTGCCATGTTAGCCAAGCTGGTCTTGAACTCCTGACCTCAAGTGATTCACCTGCCTCGGCCTCCCAAAGTGTTGGAATTACAGGCGTGAACCACTGCACCTGGCTTGGATGGTTTTTATACTGCATTAGAAATGTCCATTGTCCTCTAGTGTCTTACCATCCAATGGGTAATATGTGTATGAAAGGTATAACAAAATATTATCTGTCTGGATATGATGAGAGTACCTGAAAAAATATGAAAACCAAGAAATCGTTTTCTGCTGGGATAGTCAGAGAAGTTTTCATGAAAGATTGGGATGGAGTTGGAGTTGAACAAGGAGGCTTGGAAATAATTTTAAGAAGAAAAAGTGGCAAAGATAGATAATTCTCAGAGGAAAGTCTGAAGGACACTTAGCAAAAACTGAATAAATCAAATTGGCTGCCTCAAAAAGTTCATGTCAGGTAATAATAGCAATATTGCTGGAAAAGTAAATGAAAGGCTGGGAGAAGACCCTGTTTGTAAGCCTTATAGTTTATATTTCATTCAGGAAGGCAAATAATTCTATTGATTTTTTAAAATCAGCATAATGACGTGATCAAAGCAGTCCTAGGGAAAGGAAGATGACAGCGGTATGCCACATGGATTAGAGTGGGTCAGGACGGAGGCAAAAAGCCCAGGGAGGGGATAACTGCCATAGTCCAGGTGTGAGCTCACACATGCCTGATGTGCATTCTTGTCAGAAGTTTGTTGATGTGAAGGATGGGGATACAGTTTTCAAAGAGGAAGTGGAACAGGTTTTAAAAGAATGATGATTATGTTTGTGGCAGTGGATCATCCTGGTAGAAGTTTTTAGCACTGGGTTAAAGGTGCGTAGGACTAGCACTCATGCCTTGATAAGGGAAGTGATGAAAGTGTTACTTCATACTGACTTTTCAGGCAGAAAAAAGGAAAAGAATGCTGTTTGGTAAACTTTTTTTTTTCTTTCTTTCTGATCCTTTTAAGCAGTCACTGTTCAGTCCTTCCTAAGACAGCAAAGGCCTGTTTCTTTTTAAGTAAGTATAGGGGGAGCCGAACAGGGTGGAAGGATCTAGTAGTAGAATACTAATTAACCCTTAGAAAATTACTAGCAACACTCTTTTGATGCAAAATAAATATTCAGAGATGGTTGAAGAAACTCTGCAGTGAAGAGTGGTTCATCTAAAGTTCAGATTATAAATCCTTTTATTCTTAGCTGTGACCCGGCCACCCTGGTTTCTTTGACTTATCCTTGGTTTTCTAAGAGTATAGCATCAGTAATATCTCCAAGGAAGGTGATGGTATATACTTCTGTTGATGCAATGAATATTACTCTTATTATTTAACCTCCTGTTAAAAAGTTGTTGCTTTTATTATTATAAATGCCCTGAATTAGAATGCTAATTTAGGCAATTCTGATAGGCTATCTCAAACTATAATGTGTTTTTTTCAAGTCATGCATACTTAACCAGTTTTCAGTAGTTAGAAGTGGTTAGGTATTACTTCTTGTTGAATTAGCAGTTGCTGAGTAGTTGAGTCTTTGTGCTACCCTGCAATCCACTAATGTGATATTTAATGAGGAGACGTCAGTCTGAAGAAAGGTAGTCAATATAAATCAGTGTTTACAAAGTGTGATTAACTCTGAAATATTTCATCAATGCTGTGGTCCCAGGCAGACTCTATGCTAATTACTAGAATCTGCGCATGTTTCAGGGGACTTGGACGGACCCTGAGTTTTGCAAACATGGAGCAGCAAAATTGCAATTATGCTCGGACCGTCTCTGATGAGAATTTATGCATTTGGTGTGATGACCTCCCCCTTCCCAAGAGGGCAATAAACAGAATGCATTTTCATTAAGATACTAATGCACTTAATCACAAGGGGAAAGGGTTAGGAAGTAACGAAAGACCTTCAAGCACTATGTGACAGAGCTGATTGGGGAGAAAAGCTTTATTTTAAAGGCAGCTTCTTTACAAAGCTGTAGGCAGCCCCAGAGCACATCCCACACACTGCCATTGGTACTAATTGAAAAAAAAATTTAGTTTGGATCTTCTTCTGGTTTCTTAGTTGCCATTTTAAATATGTAGGTACTACCATAAATGATACAAAGTCTAATCTTAAAAATATATAATTTCATAGCAGTTTATTCTTTGTTCTAACATCAGGGAACTTCAGTGTTTGGAATTAATTATGCAAATTATGTAACACACATCATGATGAGGATGATAATGATGATGACCATCATCTTCATTATCATCACCATGATCAGTAAGCATTTACCAAGCACAGAATTGTGTTGTAAGGCTCTGGTAAGTGCTAAAGCAACAACTATGTAATTTCTGTCCCTACCCTCTAGGAGCTTACTATAACATGCCATATTTGTTTACATATCATTTTCCACAGTGAAGTTTATACTGTTCAGTGTCAGAAAGACAATAAGCCTGATGCACCAAAGTATTAGGAATCAGAATAAATCCAGGATTGACAATCCAAGAATCTGGTTTTGATATTTGTGTTTTCATGAACATAATCTATTTTGAAATTTCTTTTGGATCATAAGACTCTGGAAGACTCTTACTTTGCATGGGTGGACTCAGCATAATGTTTTGAAGGCTAATTTTAAACTTCATCTTTTGAAGCATTTCACCATGTTTGTTCTCCTTGCCCCATGTATCTTTTGTGATTATAGCAGAGCATCCAGCTTGATGATATTTATGACATTTCTCTTGAGTCTCATGTGACATTTTTTGGGGTGGGAGAGTAAGAATAATAGAGTTGACATTGCCTTTGGGAAGCTAATGTTTCCTGGATCTTGTAAATATGACAACTTTTCTTCAAACTTGTGTTTTAGGCAATATAGAATACAGCTGCCCTGCCACGAATGAATGTGAAATCACAAAGCGCAGACGTAAATCCTGCCAGGCTTGCCGCTTCATGAAGTGTTTAAAAGTGGGCATGCTGAAAGAAGGTAAGGCTCTTTGCTAGTGCCCCTGAGGTTTTGATTTTGCTGTGGGGATGGGAGGCAAAAAATTCCACCAGTTTTAGAGAAACCAGAAAAAGATGAGGTAACAGTAAGTACCCTGACTCTGATGGCAGAATACTCCTTTATACCTGGACTTTCTGATAACTTATGGCTAACCACTTCACATTGACAGGAAGGGACAAGGTAGGAGGATCTGATGTACAGCGAAACACACCAGGTATGCTTGACCGTAGTGCTTTTATCTTCTTTACAATTTGCAGAAAGCAAAGGATGAAGACAAACCAAGAGGCTACTGTCATTGAATTTTTGGTTTTCTTCTCATTACTAGGTTTGCAGAGAGATTTTTTTTTTTTAATTAATCTTGGGTTTAAAGCACTCTTTGTTCTTTCCCAACCTTATCTTTTAGACTTTATTTTCTATTACAAAGAACTTAAAATATGATATTAAAATTGCTTTCTATTTGCTTTCAGTTGGGGATAACAACAACAAACATAAAATAGCAACAGTGACATGTGTTCTGTGCTAAACAAATTGCTTAAGCTCACACAGTTTATAATTGGTGGAGCCAGGAACTGAACCTATTGATTCTAGATGCCACTCAACTATTCCACACATGTCAAAGGTCCTGAAATATTTGTATATTTCATCATTTCTAGTGAAATTCACATGTTAGCTTGGAGATGGATAAAAAGTTTTCTTTACTTCGTGAGGCCTGTGATTCAGTTTTTGTTCTTTAATGCATTGCTATACTTGTGTGTGTGTTTGTAAATGTGAATTTTACATGCTGCATTTAGAATTTTCTGTTTCCCTTTCTTCAGAAAATTCACCAGAGTTTGAAATAAACACAGTTTTATAAAGTAACACAATGAAAAGATGGTAATTAATGTTTGACAGAAAATTAGATTCATTAAATATTTAAATGTGTAACTTCTGTTGCATCATAGAACTATGCTTTGTTTCTGGGGCTTGTCCTATTATTATATTTTGTTCTTACTGGAGATCCCCTATTTTTTAACTTTTAAATCCAAATAGGCTCACATATTAATTCACCAAGAGTGAACCAGAGTGTCAATGAGTGTGTGCCATCACGTGGTGTCATAATTTTTCCTGGTTTGTTCTTCTTTCAAGATTTTTACTGTGAACAATATTATAGGAAGATGAGTGGATCAGATTATGTTTGGATATATGGAATTCACATTGTATTTCTCTGACTTTCACTTATCAAATAGGAACAAAGAAGACACTCTCAAATTCTTCTAGTCTTCAACTTTGCTCTTCCCTTGAGAAAGAGCTATACACAAAGAAGTGTATAATGTTATAATAAAGTTTTATAAAAAGATGACCAAGATACATTACTAAGTAAATATATATATAAGAACAAGTTTATTAATAGTATGATTCATTATATATGTATGTGTGTGTATGTATGAGAGTGTGTGTGTGTGTATATGTATATATATATGTATATAGAGAGAGATGGAAAGGAGAATGGATGGCAGACATCATACACAGTGATGGATATACATGTGTATACATGGAGAAGTGGAAGGAAGGAAGGATACCTAAAGATTGGTGACAGTGTCACATTGGTGAATGAAAATGAGGATGGGGGTACTTTTTATGGTATAGCCTTTGGCCCTTTTAGGATTTTTCAGAGTTAACATGTTTTACGTTTGTAATCCTTTTGCTGAATATGTACTAAGGTCTTCCCATGTTCCAGGCACTATTCCAGGCTCCAGTGATACAACAGTGAACAAGACAGATAAGGTGGTTCTTGCTAAAGAAAACTTATGTGAAATTGCCAGAAGGACAATTTTGATAAAGGAAAACATATAATTAAGACAACAACAACCCAACCCACATGACAGAGTTTTTCTTTCAGTTAGGATGATGGTGGTAGCTTACGTTTGTGAAGTGGAGCTCTTTATCTTAGCCATTGCCTTAACCCCTATAGCAGAGTAACAAACAAAACATATTTCTGAAAGTTAATGATCAGTGATTGACAGTCAATTTCTGGCCTTAATTATATTTATGTTGCCACTTAGTTTTGTTGTAGAGACTCAAACTAAACTTATGCTCATTCAAAGGGAATTAAGAGTGATTTCAAGTCCTTGAAAGTTGAGGAATCATTATTTTTCAAAAGCAAATCCATTTTTTAAAAAGTTCTAAAATTAATACAACAATGAACACTTGTATTGATGTGGTATTGATCTATATTTAGGTTTTATTTTGAAAAACTGAATTAATGGAGACACTTCTCCAATTTTAGGAATATATAATTTTTTATTAACTTGATTTACTGCTATGATTTACATACCATTTGCTTTTCCAGGTTTAAAGAAGATATTTTTCCTTAAATATTTTTTCCATTGTGATTTCTAGCAGGAACAATCCTGAAGGGCGGTAAGAGTGAATGAAGAGGTGTGAACTGTGTTTAATTAAACATTGTTGGTGAAAGTGAATGGGACAGTGCTTATCTATAATTCACACCTCTTCAGTTGCTGTTATCAAGCAAGTATCTGTTTTCTAGGGAATTGCTGCTGTTGCTGATATACTCAAATAATAATTTATTTTCCTTTACTTCTTAATGCCCACTTCGATGGCAAAATATCAGTTTTTTAACCACCTCCCCCCACCTCCCACAACCACCAAATCGAAAGGATGGGATGGTTATGAGTAAATGTGGAATATTCTTTTTCTATTATACTTTAAAAATGCAGTGAAATATTGCATTGTACCCTGCATCTAAATGCACAATTATGTTTGGCCATCTCCTTGGCTCAAGACTTGCTTTCTAAGCCTGGAGAGAATGATACTGTCTGAAATGTATCTTTATGGATGGAGAGGGATTTCAGTCCCATGAAGTATGTCAGAGAACATGATGTAGTAAATCTATTCAAATGTAAACCTGTTCAATTCAATTTCCAGTCTGTAATAAAATTTGCTGCTACAACCCCCGTGTTGACCACAGCAGTCCATACAGGCTGATGGCACAGCAGGTCTGGAAATTGACAGACAAAATCTATTTAAACAAAAAACAACATTAGTTCTAGAATCTGAAATGAAATCAGATTTCAACAGCTTCGATGGGAACTTTCTCTCCTTTAACAGGTATTTTTATTCAACTGGCCAAATCCATTGTAGATAAAGTGTTGCCTGAAGGAAATGAGGTTTTCATTAAAAGGGTAGTTGATAGAAAAATGAGAATTACACTGTTTTAAAAATAATAATCGTTAGCTTTATTGACTGGCATTTCTATTAATTATGGCATCTCACTTTGAGAAGATATCTGAGCGTTGGTGGGAGTGTGAAGGAGAAAGTGATGGTTTAGTAGGTAAACAATTCCAGTTTCATCACATTGTACATAATTAAAATTCTTATAAGATATGCTTTCTCATTAGCAAGCAATGGAATTATACTTGAATACACTACATTTGATTTTAATGTTAGAATTTTTCAAAAAAAAATTGTATCAGTTGAAGAAAAGGAAAATGTGTTGTCTTAGAGAAAGCAACAAAATGCTACACTACAACAAAACTTTGAGAAGTACAGTAAAACAAATGATAATTTGTTGAAATCCAAGTGGTGGCACCATTCAGCATCCTGAAAAAATCCTCTTTGTCTTTCTCTCTGCTCTACTTAGCTGGTAAGTGTCACAAATGATGGGCCAGCATTATTTTTTTGTCATTATACCATACTGTATGTCAGAGAAAGCCCATCTATTATATGATATCTGGTCTCAACATTCCCTTTTCATTTTTTTCAGGTATTGCTTATTTGAAGGAAAATAACAAGAACTAATCAAGGTGCACCTATAAATCTGGTCAAGATTTATTTTTATTTTGATCTCTCTCCTTGGTTATTTAAAGGCTGTTGCAGGACATACTAGCTCAGTTTGCTCACTGTCAGTAGCAAACAGAGACATTTTATGAAAGCAATAATCATTTCATTTAGGTATAGAATTCACTGATCAAAGGATTAAAGGGTGTCTTGATGTTTATTGGCATGATGGCTTTCACCTTGGCAACTCAAATATTTTTCTTTTACATTTGCAGGTGAGCAAAAGACTCACATTCACGCACATTATATTCTTTAGCCAGGCCAGCCTGCATGCCAAAGTGTAGGTGAAACAAGGCAACTTAGAGGACCAGTTTTGTTATTTCATGCCAAAAAAGTGTGCTTTTTCCTTTGCCTTAAAAAAATGCTACTTAACTTTTCTAATCTCCTATTTTGTCATCTGTAAAATGATGGCACCAATAATAGTATTTGCAAACAACATGTTATAAATAGCCAATGAGATACTGCAGGTTGAGAGCTTAGCATACCATGTGGCCTAGTGTAAGGAAGAGGTCAACATTAGCTACTGTGGCCAGAGACAGTAAGGGTCAAGCTTCAGGGCCAGGTGGCTTGTAGATTCAAGCCCTGGTTCTACCACCTCTGAGACTTGGAGCAAGTTAAAGAACTTCTCTAAGACTAACTCGCTTTAGCCTATTTATTTATAACTATGAGACTGAAGGTGGAACTTAGTTTGTGAGGTTTTTGTGAAGACCAAGAGATTTAATGTAGATACAGGGTCTAGTACATGCTTAGCAGGAGACACTATGAGCTTGACTTGCTAGACCAACCCAAGGTCATGTAATTTGTTATCCTTTGGCAATGTCAATGGCCTTAGGGGTGCTTTCTAAACTTTTTATAGAAGCACATCAATAAGTGAAAATTTGCTCAGAAATTTCATGAGGAAATTTAGTCTTTAATATCTGACCTTAGGTCAAATGAAGAGAGACAACAGTATAAAAAGGAAAAAAAGGGGCTTTAACCCAAGCAGAGGTTTTCACTAACAATATTCGAGGTGAAGGAAGCTTTAAAATTACTGGTTTAGCTTCAGAAAGGAGAACTTACTCCTTTGTCTTGAAAGGAAAAGGAAGAGGAGGAAGAAGAGAAAGCAGAGAGGGAGGAGAAAGCTAATGTCCCACCAAAGAAAATGGACAAGTGGCACACATTTTAAAATGAGCAAGGAGAATTGTAAGAATCCTGTTAACTTCATAAGTAAATTTTTGTGGGCATTTTTTTTTTTTTTTTTTTTTTTGAGAAGGGGTCTGGCTCTGTCCCCTAGGCTAGAGTGCAGTGGCATGATCTTGGCTCACTGCAGCCTTGACCTCTGGAGCTCAAGTGATTCTCTTGTCTCAGCTTCCTGAGTAGCTGGGACTACAGGCCCATGCCACCATGCTACTTTTATTTTAATTTTTTCCTTAGAAATGGCATCTCACTATGTTACTCAGGCTGTTCTCAAACACCTGGCCCCAAGTGATCCTCCAGTTTCGGCCTCCCAAAGGACTAGGATTACAGGCATGAACCACTGTGCCTGGGCCTACGCTTTAGTTTTTAATTTTGATTTCTCGTCTACCTAATACTGTGATGTGATTTGGAGCAAGTCCATTCATCTCTAAGAGTCTCCATTCCTGTATCTTCAGGGGACCAGTTAGACTATATTCTTTCTTAACCCTTCAAATCTGAAATTATATATATTTTATTAAAAATGATATAATGCCTATAGAAACATTATTCCAATATATGACACCAAGAGACTTATAATTACAATGATGATGATGATGATGATGATGATGACTATATCAATGAAGCTGGAACTACCATAGGAGCTCTGGTTTGATAGCTATGGATAATGAGATGTTCTATTTGTGAATTTTGTCTTAACTGAAAATTCTTCTAATGCTTTTCATCTTCCTAGGGGAGCAAGAAATATGTTATTTTTTTCAAAGTTAACAGACGTGAGAGTTGAAGGCACAGTAGAGCAATTAATAGGTATTTAAATAAGTAGGAACTGAAGTATTGATTGTGTATTTTTGCCTGTGTGTGAAAAACTTTTGCTTTTTATTTCCTCACATTTCCTTCCAGCTCTTGTCAATATATTGAAGTGCAGTCAGTATGGTTTTATTTCTGTGGGCATCTGAAATCTCAACACAGATTGCTGTGATTGCTACCAGTCAGATTTTATTTGAAGTTTGTTACTTTTTAAATAAAAATATTGACAGCAGTAGGAAAGGAGAAGAGCAGGCTTATATAATTTTAAATGGCTTCTAAATATTTCCTATGGAGGAAACAATAAGTTATTAAAACAAGCAAAACAAATCAGATAGTTATGTGTTTTATTGATACCCATTTTTGATTTTCATACTTGATTTGATCTCTTTAAAGTATCTTTCAGCCAGGCGCAGTGGCTCATGCCAGTAATCCCAGCACTTTGGGAGGCCAAGGTGGGAGGGTTGCTTGAGTACAGGAGTTTGAGACCAGCCTGGGCAACGTGATGAAACCCTCATTTCTACCAAAAAATAAAAAGTAAAAAATTAACAAGGTGTGGTGGCACACACCTGTAGTCTCAGCTACTCCAGAGGCTGAGGTGGGAGGATGGCTTGAGCTTGGGAAGAGGAAGTTGCAATGAGTGGAGATCGTGCCACTGCACTCCAGCCTGGGTGACAGAGTGAGATTCTGTCTCAGAAAAAAAAAAAAAAAAAGAAAGAAAGAAACATAAAGTATCTTTTAATTACAGAGATGCTCAGTGTTGTGTGTGAATATTTTCTCCACTTTGTAGAAGTCTAGAAAATACACACAGTATGAAGATTCCAGGTAGGCAGTGCAAACAATATAGTAGAATTGTGAGTGCCCATGTTCCAGATGAAGTAAAAGCAGAGGTTGAGAATTGGCATTTGCAATAAGTCACCATTTGTGGTGAGACAATACATGGTATTAAGATTTAATTATCATGTTAAGACCCCACCCAGTATAGAAAATTGGGACCCTGGGTATCAGATTCTCATTAGTCAGATAAGGAACCCAAGGTCAGAGAGTTTTAGTGACTTGCCCACGGCCCCACTGCAGATAAAGTGGAAATGGGATTAAAAGCCAAGTATGTCATATGCCTAGGACCTTCCTGTATCTATGCCAAGCTGTGTGGCAGCCTTGGCCAAATAAGAGGTCTTTCCTGCTCCATGCTTGGGTTGATTGCCTGCATCTGTTGGTAGGCCAAGAGTGACCTGAACTACTTATTTGGTGGGTGGACAAAATGGGAAAAAGTCCTGGAAATCCCAATAAGCAGCAGAGTTTATGAGTCTAACAAGGGGTTTTGAGCTTAAGGTATATAAATAAATGACATAATTTAGGAGGTGACTTTTCCTTAGGATTCTGTTCTGAGGGAACCAGGCTTCTTACCTAAAGTTTGATGGGACTGCTGAAGTCAGAGATAATGATGGTGATTGGTCCAGGAAAAGTCTTTATGGGATAACTGAGCAGCCTAGAGTATTGGACTGATTGTGAGTTAGAGAAGGCAGTGTACATCAGGAGTCATGAAGGTCAAATGGTAAGGTTGAGGACACTGTATCTCAAAAGGGTCACGCCATTTTTGCCCAGCTTAAATCCTTTAGCTTGACAAATTATTTTAAATCCATCCAGAATTGCCAGTCTCTATGAAATTAAAGGTCTTCATCTTTTTCTCTGACTCATAGATTAACAGTGCTGACCTAATGTTTAGGAAATCCTTGGGTGGAAGAAATGGTAGGAGTATGGAGATCCTCTTCTTTTACATTAGGGAATTAGTTGTCCAGATGTTCTGTTTATTCTGAGTGATCTCAACACAGTCCATGGAGTATATTTTCTGTTTCCACCTTTTTAGAGAAGACAATTTGTGCATGTCTACATATACACACATATATGAGAGAGCACAGATTATACATTTACTCTTTTAACTGCCATTACATCTCTCCAATCAGCTGGGCTGAGCCTCCAGGATATAAAGAAAAATTATCCCAGAGCTGTTTTGCTGGAACCACAGCTTGAGTCTTGATTTATATATGGCAGTGGGAACTCTGAGAGTCTTCTGAGTTTACCCTATCAGCAGGAGTAGCAAAGAGCAACTTACTTGTCTAATTACCCTTCTGTTTCATATTTTCCATTTTAACAAAATGTTCATTTAAAGAGCGTAGTGTTTTCCAGGTAGGTTCTCTTTAAAAAATATAAAGCTACGCAGGTCATTTAGTTACAAGTGGATTTGTTTTTGCTTAGTTAAAGAGCCTACTTAGTATAATTTATCCTAACAAAATATCTTCTGTAAAAACCTCTGAAGAAGACATTGCCAAGGTGATTTTTTTTCCTCAAGTCTAGTATCATTATGCTGCCAAGTCAAAAACAGAAATTATTGGTAGGGAAATTTGGGCTCCTACTGCCTTCAAAAAGCAGAACAAAGAAACGGAGAAAGCTTTAATGGTATTCAAGGAAAATATTTCTGTGTTAGATGACAGTTAATAGAACTGCGTTGACCTCACAGGTATTTCTTGCACTCTCTGTTGTAATATTATCCTAAGAAGCTCCCTCATTAATGCAGAGTATTAAACAAAACTCCCAAGTTATAATATAAGCAATAGCGAAGAGCACCTTCTCTGTGAGCTTCGTCTTGACATTAAGCCATTTGGGAATGTACTTAAGGTACCACAAAAAGTTATTTTATGTGCGGATACTGCATTACTAGATGGTGATTTTTTTTCACGTTTTGTTGATATGAAACTTGAATAGTCAGTCTCAAAATGAATAGTAAAGATTTTGAAGGTAAGACTAATAACACAGATTTTTGAGAGCTGAATATACCTTAGGCTATGTGCTGTGTGCTTTTGTTGGGGTTGGTTAATCTTTATAATGACCTCAGTGGTAGCTATTTCCCCATTTCACAGAGCAAAGGGAAGCTTAGAGAGATTCTGTTACCTTCCAGTGTTCTCATAGTGTATGAAGGAGTCTAGGTTCTGTAGTGGGTATTTTGATTCTACTGCCTCTGCTGTACATTTATTTAATGTAGTTATTCTTTGGGAACATCAGAAATATTCATGTATGTATTTGGCTTGGGATTCTTCAGAGGCTATGGGTATTATGAGATACTGAGCTCTTAAAAGATGACTTAAGTAACCCATCCCCCATTTTTTGAACTATGGCTCTCTTCAGTGCTTTGAATTCTTCACTTAATGTCCAGAAATAGAATGAACTATGTTGGAAGGCAATAAGTTTCCCAGCACTGTGAGAGATGTTGTAGGGAACAAGTTCAAGTATCATGTGAGGATTAGACCAGACTATCTTTTACAGTGACTTCCCACTCAAAGTCCTGACATCCCAACATAAACTTTGGAATAACTTAACAGTTACAAACTATGTGAATAAACATCAGTAGTACTGAAGCTGTTCAATTCCTGGGAACTCTATTTAGGGGTCTGTGTTTTTGTCAGTGTATGACATCTTATTTAAATCCAAATTGGAACATAAAGAAAAATTTTGCCTTGTGGCATAGCTTTAGTCTCTGGCTGAGTTTTTAGAAAATGAACTATCAGAACCACATTTCTTATAAGTTGTGCTTTTGTAGAGAGGAATGAATCTGATCCACTGACTTTGTGCACCATCTGCCTCAGTTGTTTTGAGGATATGGCCATAGTGTACCACTGGAGTATTATAATCTCATCTATTATATAAAAGGGGAAAATTGAAGTTCTAATGTTTTAAAGATTTGTCCATGATTCTGCATGTAATCCGTGTGGCTCATAGAAGACTATCACATACTCCTTGCATACCTGGTTCTCCAAAACAATTTTATATTTATGTATATATTTTAAAATCACAATTACATTAGAAATGAAGTAGATAGAATCTTTGATGTGAACTAAACAGTTGCAGCACTACAGATTATTTCAGCTGAATAAATCTGTGCTCCCTGCATTTGTCTTAGAGAGGACAGAGAGAAAGGCTGAAATCCTAAGAAACAGTTCCTTTAGCTTTCTTCCCCCTGATTTAGTAGGGATACTATTAAAAGTTAATCATTTATTTGATTGTCCCCATTTGTCATTTCCATTTGTGAACTTGAATTAGGAAGCCAGCATTTATCTAATATGTTACATATTTTTATTCTTTTTGGATTAAAAAAATCCCTGATGGATTTAGCCCCAAGCAGGGGAAACCTGCTTGAACATTTGCTCAGGCACTAGAAGGCCAGCCTGGTAAGTGGTGAGGGGTGGCCAGAACCATATAGGACTCTGTTTAATGTGGATTTTTTCCCCACCAGCCTTCAAACAACAGATTTTTGTTCCTTGTCACCAACGCATACGTATATCAATGTGACATTGATGATGATGACATTGTGCCTGAATGTAACTAAAGGAATTCAGGTGTACACTTGAATAAGACTCATTTAATGAAGTGCTTCATGGTTGTATTTCATTTGGGCCCCATTCCTAAATGCTCAGTTACCTTTCTGGTTAAGGCTATGCAGACTTCTACTCCACCTACTAATATATCAGGTATGAGGCACGATTTTGTTCATCTCTAAGTCCCCGTAACTGACACTGAGCACTGGTCATTTTTTGAGAGACTGTTCTGTAGTTCGTCCTCTCTCGCTTTCTCTCTCTCTCTCTCTCTCTCTCTCTCTCCCTCACTTAGTAGGTTGAGGAGCCACCAACCAGCTTCCCTAAGGCAAGCTGTCTGCAAAGGAACAAGCCAGCTGGCTTGGCCAAGGTTGATCAATGATGAGAAGCAGGCTAGGTTCCAGGTTCACAAAAGCCACTCAGTGGAGAGTAGGTCAGCGGCTTCCCCAAAGCCAATTAGCTGGCAGAAGTCTGAGGTGCCCGGTGCTAGCCAAATTCCCTGAGCCTGATGGTACTAGTGGGGAGTCCATCCTTGGGCTTGCTGGCAAACCAGACTTAAGTGAATGGCAGATTGTGCTTTTTGAGAGCCAGTGCGGCTTTGTGGCTACTAGAACAAATATCAGGACCTGCCACTGCCACTCAGCCTTACCCAAGTAGACTGCACAGCCCCAGCACAGTAGTAACTGACCCTCAGGTGTGATGGATTTCAGCTGATTATCCACAACATAAATTTGTTTTTACCTTACTTTGGCTTCAGTGCTTTTTCAAGTTGACATGAATATGAATCATGCCATTAGAAGAGAGTGATATGGAAATGGTTTTGGAAGCAGGAAACATTACAGAGCCCTTTGACAGGAATGTCAGGACTTCTGCTATTTTAAAAGCCCCAACTGTAAGATACTCTTCTTTTATAGATGACTATCTGAGATGAAATGGGACCTATGGCAAAACCCAAAGGGAGGGTATCTTAGCAATTGCCCTTTGGTTAACCTGTTTCTCAAAAGATTATGTGTATCTAGGATCAAAATCCCTTTCCTATTTTTCTCAAGAATTACATTTTCATCTATTAAATCTTTTCTACATAGGCTGCACAATCATAATTTTATTATGTCTGCACCATTTTACTAGCGTTTGTATGTGTCTTGGGGATATGGGAAATTTAAGGAGTAGAATGTGTAAAAATGAGGTAATTTACATTACTTGGTTTAACTTAATATGTGTTTCTACTTAGACCTGGTTTCTGTACCAATTTCTGGTTTTGTGTCTCAGTTCAAGCCAGCATGTTGCCCCCATAGGAGGTCAAGTCCGTTTTCCCTGGCCTCCCTCTCAGTTCTCAGCTGTAAGTGTTTTCCTTGAGGCCACCTGAGCCCTTATTTAGTGGCTTCTCCCTGGA
Source organism: Homo sapiens (assembly GCF_000001405.40). Lineage (NCBI taxonomy): Eukaryota > Metazoa > Chordata > Mammalia > Primates > Hominidae > Homo > Homo sapiens. Next base: position 216,639,380 of record NC_000001.11, on the reverse strand, counting down.
TTGTCCAATTAATATCCCCCAACCAGGCTTCTGCACACAGAAGTTTTGGAGCAAATACAACTTTCTCTCCCTTCACCCTCTCCACCCCATTAAGTTTGTTCTTTTTTGGGAGCGGGTGGGGGATTGTTGTTGTTGTTCTCATAGTTTCCTCTAAAAGCCAAATTTCTTCACAACCCTACTGAATTACCATTTGGTGATTTCCAAACTTGTGACTTCTATAATGGTCCCCTCCCTACTCCTGCCTCCCATTAATTCACCTCTCTGCTCTCTTAGACATTTGTCTCCAGGCCTATTAGGTTCTTCAGTATCAACATTATCATAATCATTAGTATATTTGAAGCCAATTAAATGGCAATTACTCTGACCTTAGCCAGTCTTAGGTTATTATCAATTCATACGTAATTTGGAAGTATTTGGAAGGAACGTGGATTCATGCCTTATGGTTTGATCTGTGTAAATATTTCTATCTGCTATGGCAGAAGTACATCCTGTTCTTTACAACATCTAGAGTTGGGGTGAGGTTATTCTGCCCAGGAGCTGTTTTCTAGCTATCAGTCCAAATAATACACATTGTAAGTCTATCTCCAAACTTTTATTCACTCATCCTTGACTCATCCATTCAACAAGTGTGTTTTGAGAGCTGGCTCCATACCATTCACTTTGTGAACATGGACAAAAGAGTTTCTATCCTTGTGGAGTTTATGATCCTTCATAAGCCTAAAGACTTAAAATTACAGAGATGTTACCCTTTTCAGAATTTCACCAGCGTTTATATTCAGTTTCATACTGTTTAGCATTTAATTTCATGTTTTCCACAGAGGGAAATAGAGCATAAAGATTAAGAGCATAGACTCTGGGTCAAATGGAGTCTGTGACTATTGATTGAGCCCTTGAAATGTGTCTAATGCAACTAAGGAAGTCAGTCTCTAATTTTGTTTAATTTTTATTAAATTAAATTAAGTAGCCCCCACATGGCTGATGGCTACCATATTGGATAGTGCAGAGATAGACTCAGAGTTCACTGTCAGGTTTACTACTTACTAGCTGTGCCATCTCAGACAAGTTACTTTACCTTTTTAAGCCTTACCTATGAAATGGAGATTGTAATTATACATACATCAGAGGATAGCTTTGAGGGTTAAATGAGATAATATATGTAATATTCTTGGTACAGCATCTGGTAAATGACAGCATTAGGAAAATAATAGGTATTATTAATTTTTAGTATTCCATTCTTCACTTGGGATGTCTCATGGAGCAAAGCATAAACAACTTGAGAACAGGAACTGTTTGTATTTTAGTCTTTCATGGCACCTAGTACAATAATGATCACATAGTAGGTGCTCAATAAAATATGACTTTTTTTTTCTTTTTAAATCATACTTCAGTATACTTTTCAGTTGCATTTTTGTAATTTGGGTGCAGGAATAATTTTTCATAAATAATGATTTTTAGAAAGCTTTCATATATGCATTACAAATAAATGTTCTTTTATATTCATATGACCATGACAGAATTGTATTTCAGAAGTCCTGTTTTATTAAAAGTATATTGACTACACTGACAATATAGCAATTGGTATCCAAAAAAAGGAGAAAAAAAAAACATGAGGAATAATGTTGGTTTTGATCTGTCTTCTCCATAGACATGTGATAAGTTAGTGAATATAAATGAGATAACAACTAAGACTTATTCTAAATAACTTGATAAATAACTTGCCCAAGATCAGACATCTATTAAATGGTAAAGCCAGGATTCAATCTGAAATTCTCTGACTCTGAAGCTCATATGCTGTACTGATATTTATAATGATGTCTTTTGGTTCTTCTCTTAATTAATCTTACCAGAGTGTCAAAAGGTGAAATATCCTTTAAGTCACATGGAAGCTGCTGTTCTCTGCTATTACTTCCTTTGTGAGCAAGGAGACCTTTATTTTAGGGAATGGTCTTCGTGCTGGAGCTCTTACAAAGTCCAGCATCATTTCTTGCTGTAGGCATTCTAAAACAGGAGGGCTGTGCAATAACAAGAACATTTTCTGATTTCTGTAAATATTGCTCTTTGCAGGACTAGAATGTGATTGCTGAAATGTCTGTATAGAGTATTTCTGCTTTATCCTAGAGATGGTTTGAATAATATTTGAGCTACGTATATTTCTGAGTGGCACCCCTTCCGTGTAGACTATCATAGCCTATTGTTTAGCAGAAGAGGTTCTGCCATTGCCCAGCGTCTGTCCCCGAGAGGCTGTCCAGGTTGCTGTCTGATTATTTCATTTTCCGTTTGTAGCATCACTTTCATGCTCTGTAGATAACTGGTCCAAATTTGTGGTCCATGAACAAATGTACTTCTCAACGATTCTGTATATGTCTGCAGGTCTCCCCAGCAGTCATTAATTAGGATCTGGAGGGGATAGTGTAGAAAAATAAAGCTTCACTAATGGTGACAAAGTAAAAGGAACAGAAATTCAATTCAAACCCTGGGTGCCTAAGAAATGTTAGAGAATCTCCTGCTTATCTCACAAATCTTTAACTATTTGGTTATGTGCTCCAGCAGAGAAAATCTATCAAAAGTTTTGTTAAGGTAGGAAAGAACAAAATCCCCCAGCTTTTACAAGTAATGCTATTTCTATTTTAATGCCACTCAGGAACTGGCCTCTTTGAAAGTTCCCAAGCTTGTAAAGCTAGGAATTCTTCCCTTCCTCACCTGTCTTACTTAACTTGCAGTTCTAGAATCTAACTTGCAGCCTCAGTTAATGCATTGATTTTAACTGGAAACCCAAAAGGAGACAGTGCTGTAGTCAGCTGAACTCTTAAACAGTCCTGGGAGACCAGAGTGATTTGCACATTAGAAAATAGCTAATGGGCCAGAGAAGCAGAGGTTAGTTGCAGGGCCTTTACTACTGTCTCTTTTCGATCACAATGAGAGAGATCACTGAAAAAAAGTATCTAACACGAAGTGCTAAGGCATACCTTATTCTTTTTCTTTATTTTGGCTTTTATTTTTCTTCAGGGCTGGGTATTTTAAAGAAACTCAAGCCTGAGAAAAATGGAGGAAAAAATTATGGTCATTAATTTCTTCTCCCATTGCAAAATTTCAGTAAGTAGTATAATATCTTACAAAGTTACAGGTTAAATACAGTTGAAAAATGAAGAGGATGCATTTGGAATTGTATTGTAAACACATTATTCCACATAGCATACTAGTAAGATCATAGAATTTGCTAATAGACAGCCCTGAGTTGCTATTAAGTCGCCAATTACTGGCAAGATTCTTTATGTCTCTAGCCTCAGTTTCTTAGTCTGTAAAATAGTGATAATAGTAATGGCCTATCCTACAGAGTTTGCTCTGAGGATTAAGGTAATGTATTTAAAATGCTTAGCACAGTGTCTGACAAATATTAAGTCCTCAGTAAATATTCATTATTATTGTCATCACTATTAGTTTGTTGCTTGAATGTTTAGGACCTTGCATAGCTACACCAAAGATGAATTGGTTCTGCTTGGTCTCAAATGTCATCTTGCTGGAATTTTTTTCCCTCCAAAATGACCAAGTGCTATGTTCACAGCAGGCTTAGGTTGTCTTCACATTGCTCGCTGTCCATGTCTCGCTGGGGTCAGAGGTCCCCGATAATGCTCTGTGTGACTCTGGCCCAAGACCCTTTCCTGTGTGCAGGAGAGCTGAAGGTGACAGGCAGGGTCAGCAAAACCTGCCAGAATTACAGAGACCCCTCAGTGGATTGTGAGGAGACAGCAAGAAAGTCTGTCATGGACCAGAAACAAATGACCTTGAATCCATGGAATCACTTCTCATCCGGACATTGCTAACTTTTTCTCAGGAGTAATTTATGAAGGCATCTACAGTTACTTTTGCACATGCTAATCTGTTCATTCAGTTCTAGCATTTCAGGACAAAAAAGGTATATTATAGGTGAAGAAAGCACTTCTATCACCACCTAGAATATTTAACAACCATATTGTCCCTTAAAAACCATTTGCTATAGTTGTTGTTTTTAAGTCTCTAAACAACTTGGGTTCAAAGCTGCGGGTAGCTTAGAACCTGTGAGCTCTTTACTTGCCTGCTCAAGTTCTGCCTCAAAGGCATTACTCTAGCCAGAGAAGTAGCAAGTACAAATTGTTCATGCATAGCAATTGTTTCCCTCTCTTCTCTGCTCTTTCTCCTTCCCCTGCTACCTTTCCACCCTTGTATTGACCCCTGAACATCAAATTAATGGCAGCATATCAGGATTCTGTGTGGCACTTATATCCTTTGATGCTGGTTTTGTGCCTGTACTACAGTTCTCATGGCAATGGTTTCATGGTTTCAGTCTCAAAATATGGGGTTTGGAAGGAGGCTTGGTGGAGAGAGAGAGAGTAGAGAGAGAGAGAGCAAAGAAAAAAGGAGGGAGGAGAGAGAAAAAGGAGGGGAAACAAAGAAAGAAAAAAATAGGCTTCCATAGTGCAGATGACTTTGTTTTCTGTTCCCCTTAAAACTTGGATTCTTTAACACACTTTCTGTTCTTTTTCTGTATGTATAATGGTAAACTGCCAGAATACTGATCAGGCCAGAATGATGTTTGAATCTTTCTCTGTAACCCACCAACCCACACGCATCCTCCCATTTTGTTTTGGGGAAGGAAGAAATGTATCCACGCCCCTGTCTGTCCCTTCACCAGTTGCATCAGTGAGGTGGAGACTGTCCCCCCTGGGCAGTCTGCTCGCTGGGTGGACGCACTGCCTGTCCAGCTATTCTGCACTGGCTCGTCTCTAATTAAAGTACTTGCTATGAACGATTTTTAAGTACTGGAGCTTAATGAAGTTAGAAAAAGGATTTGGATGCAGTTTGTGAAGACTTCAAATTGTTTGAGTTTTTTCTCTAGGGAGAATTGTAAAGTCTGGAGGCATTCTGAATTACTTACAATGTATTCCATTTTGTTCTTTTCAAAAATTCTCTCATAGTGGTGAATAGCTGAGAAAAAAAAAAATAAAAGCCCACTGCCCATCTTTTCCCCCAGGAGAACACTGTAACTCTTGCTTTGCAAAGTGGCTTCTTGGGAATTTACAAGTCTTTGAATACTGTTATCTAATTAAAGGGATCTTTAATTCTCATTGGCAATTCTACCTTTGACCCTACAGTATCTAAGAGTTGAAAGTAAAATCACATTCATCCAAGATAACCCGAAGCTTGTACATTTGGAAGCTTATCCCTGTCACTGATACCTGAAGCATTATGCTTCAGAGATACTGGGCTGAGCGTGGAAAAGGAATGATCAGTATAGTTCTATGTAGATCTATGAGGTGAATTTCTTTGTCCATTGGTGGTTTACTGCTGACCAGTAAAATGCTGGCTAATACCTTCTGTTAGAGATTGGAGTTGCAGTAATTTGTCATCAATAACTGTAATTAGGTTTATCTACCCTTTTAACCAATACCATAATCTTTACCAAATTGTTATTGTTTAGAGCTATTGAGAGAAATTCTGGAAAACTATTTTGAAGATTGATCTCAAAGCAGTTCAACTCTGTAGGGATTCTTCCTTTTATCCATCTCTTAATAATTTTCTTCTGAAATATTCAAATGCTTTCTCAGAATAAAATGTCATGAAAGCATGTCATGTATCTGAAAAATAATTAAAATAATTGACAGGAATGTCAGTTTTCTGGTGAGGTGTGTTTCTCCTAATCCCACTGTGCAATCTTTAATATTGATCCAATTGTTAGGAAATCTTGTCACTCTCCACTCACCATACCTGGGCTAAATATTTTCAGAACTGAGGATCCTGAAGGTATAGAATATTTACATCTGTATCATAATCATCATTTGACAAAAAGAGGTTTCCTTTCACTTATGTGCTGGGGCATTGTGTACATAATATCTATGTATGTAAGAGGTATATGCAGCATATGTACAATGCTTGCTCGGATTTGACAGTTTATTCATTGTGTACATTGCATATAATATTGCAAATGACACATCAGAGTATTGGAATCTAGGCAATAGGAGTTCAGCACTGAAAGTGTCCAGGTTGCACCTGAACTAGTTGGAGCCTGCCAGCCCCTGCAAGCCCACTGAGAGCATCTGTCTCGCCACCACCTTGCTCATGCTGTCTCCTCCGCAGGCCCTCCGATTCTTCTGACTATGAGCATAAATCATCCACCTGTCAGGAGCTCTTGCTGCCTGGATTATGCAATGTGCCTGCCTTCATTTGGAGGTGGTGTGAGCAGGAGATTGCTGCAAATGGTTTGCATTCATTTTAATGCCATCCCAGCATTTCTTTAGCTTTAATGAGGGGATTAGGGTGGTGACAATGACTTTCAGAGACAATGAAAGTCTTCAAGATTCTGGAATTTGCTTTGTATGTTGAGGATAGCTCAATTTGAGATCTCCCTCTCTCTCTCTCTTCCTCTTAAAAAAGAAAATCCCAAATGAACCAATAGTTTAAACATTTAGGCAAAGGAAAAGGATATTATACAAAGCCAGCTGTCTATAGCTCTATTTATTGACTTTATAATAATTCCCTCCAGCTGACAAACTTAAAATCAGTCAAATTTATTGCTGATTCTCAATGAGTTACTTTCTTTCGGGCATTGACTTTATACATATTGGGGAACCTCCCCACTTTTTTTTCTTTGATGCCTTTTCTTACTCTGGAATTAAAAAAAAATAAAAAAACCTAAAAACTCTTCAATAATTTTAGCTTCACTAACTGTTGACTAGTACAGGTAAATCATACCTTTACAAAAATCTCTATTTTGTGTTTTAAATTTTAATCCTTCCTGGTATACCCAGGATAATCTCTATTGCAAAAATTGAGATCCCCCTCCTCAACCACCAAAATATATTAATTTTTAGTTAAGAAAACATTCTAGTCATGTCAGCTTTGTATCTATGATACATACAAAAACATGAAATTATCATTTTCTTTAATTAATAAGTCCTTTTGGCTTAGTCAGACTTCAACTCAAATGAGATATAACTAGGATTGTGTTTATTTTACTTGAAATTGGAAGAATGAAAATTACGGTTGTTTTCTTGCTTATGAATAGCAAAAAGTTTTCACAAATGCTATCATCACCTATAGATACATAAGTTGCATAGAACAGATGAGTGAAAGAAAATATTGCTTTGAAAATGAGACTTAAGTCAGTGAGCCATTAGCTAAAGTCAGGGTAGGGAGACACAAGGTTATGTATGTTTGGTAATATCTTTAAAAAAGTGTTTTGATATATAGTTTAATATAGGCATATTGGTGAATTAAATGACATAGTAGTACACTGGATAGAGTATGTGTTTTCTAAAATATAAGATTCTTTTATTGTCATAGAGTTTTAGATAAAGTAGGCATTAGATTTACATGTCTACCATGTTTTCTTTCTTAGAAGCCTTCGGGACCTCCTGTATGTGTTTATTTGCTTATGGTACGGAGGGCACCTCAGGAGGGAGAGAGTGACAGTTCTTGCTGGCTTCCTGTCCCCCTGCTTCCTCATCCCAATCCTTGTCCCACCTCTTCCACTGTCAAAGCCAGAGAGCTTCTCAGTTTTCCTTGGGCCCATGCATGTGAATTTCATCAAATTCTGAGACACTAGTATTCACAAAGAATAGACAGTTGTATTATTTCTACTATGTGTGTATGTGTGTGTACCTGTATTTGTACCTATGTATGAATGTATATTTCATATACATATATAATATAGGTATGTGTGGTATGTATTTTATATATCGTATATATACTTATATACGTACATATATCCCTTTTGAGGAAAGACCTAAATTAGGTTTTTTGCATTAACACTGAACACACTGAGATTTGGTCTACATTGGAGAGGGACCAAAGGAAGAAAATTAAATGATGTTTAGAGAGCCTGGGCTGTTTATAAGTCTTCATAACACAAGAATAATTATTTTTCCCTTGACAATAGTACTTCTAAACATCTTAGTCACACACAAAAATCTTTAATCCATTGAAATATGATGTAAATGCATTTTCCAAGTATTCCTAAAACAAACACTATTTACCAAGATAATAAGTAGCCCATGAATCTTGAAGGATGAGCTTTCTCCTTGCTACTAACATGGTTACAGATTTTCATGTGCACTGAGAAAGTGACTGTATACATACACAGTTTGAACGTAGCAACTTCCTGTGACTATTTTTGGGGATGCAATTGGCCTTATGAGTGATGCATACAGAATCTGAGTTCCATCCTTGAAAGTTTATCAGGTGAGGAGTTAACAAGTTAGCCTTCTACTTTTCTGCCCGTTTTTAATGTGATAGAAAAGTATCAGGATTTTTTTTTTTTTTCTTTTCCCTCTGTTTAACCTGATGGACTCAGCTTCCTAGAACAGAAAATGTGTTTCATCATCATTTTTCCCCGTCACTGACAAATCTAAATTTATGTATATTTAAAAAAAGAAAACAGGAACATTTGAAGAGATAAATGCAACACAACACTGACAAAATCTGATGAAAAATCTCACTCTTTTATCTATGGAGAAATTAGGTTTATCATCAGGACAGCATTCTCTTTTCATTTTCTGAAAGGTGCTTTTTGACAGACCCTTTGCAGTGGACGTCACACTCACAAAACATGCTGTCACAGGGCTATTTGAATATGGTGACAGGCTCATTATCATGTTGAAGACTCCTGACAACACTGCAGAGGGGAAATGGACAGGGCTGCCAATCAGCTGTTGAAAAGACTGTGGTTGAAATAGGGTTTTTTGTTCAGAGAACAGTAGTACAAATTGACTGCATTAATTCTTTTTATTATAGCTGTGCACACTATAGTTAAGGGCTCGGGAGGGTTTCCATTATCAACCCCTGTTTTCAGCAGGTTTATTAGCTAACCATAAAAATTTGTTCCCAGCTGAAATTTGGCAGAGGTAGACGCCTTTTCCTATAAGATTTAATTGTGTGTGTGTGTGTGTGTGTGTGTGTGTGTTCACACGCACATGTGCATGCACATGTGTTAGTCTTACTAACAATTTTAAAAATTGTCAAAATGGAGTTTGATGAGCAGGTAGACATGACTTCCAAAGTCTAACTGTAATTCAGTCATCATTCTGTGTTGAAGGGAAAAATAATTCAGGCTGATAGTCTATGATTGTGATTTAGAGCACTGAAGTCTCTCTGACCAGAGAATGAATGAAACAAAATGAGAATGAAAGTAACAAACGAAAATTCATAAATGTTGCTGTCATGAAGCAAATAGTTTTTCATAGCACTTCCCCTAGTATTTATTTGTCATCTAATCCTGACTTCGTGATAAGGAAAGCAACATGTGCCTAAAAGTCAAGTTACTTCCCCAATGTTTTCAGTGACTTCACCAGGGTTTTACTTAAAATGGTGGTGTCAAAAGTTTTCATTTTCGTGGGTAATTTGTGGAGAGGGAGTTGGCCTCAAAAATTACTGTGTATATGTGGCCCTTTTTCTTTTAAAATTTTTACAAGCAAAGAATTAACTTGGGAACATTATTCTAACAGTGTTTGAAGCCAACAATAGATGAGAGGAATTGTAAACTGGCATTTCCCCCCTCTTAATTTGAGCTCTGTGACTGTGGGTATGATTTGGTATTTTGCCTAAGTCTCCACCCCAAGGACACCAAAACAAAATCATCAAATTCTAACCTTCACATAAAGCAAGGGTATTTCTGTTCTTAAGTTTTGCATAACTGTTTCTAATGATCCCTGTTCTATTCAGTGCGCAAGTTACTTCCTGGTGGTAAGACACTTCAGGAACCCACAAGAGGAACATTAATTCTCCTCTGCCATTTGGTGTATTGCAGCATCTACACACTTGATTAGAGTCTGCTCTGGTGAAAAAAAGTTAGCATTCCTATATAAGAGCCAAATTCTCCCCAGGGAGTGACTTAGATATTGGAGTTAATAAGTCCAATAGGGAAATTTTACTTATTTTTCATAGGTATTCCATTCTGACTTGACTTGCTAACTATGTCTTAAATTTGCTTCTCAGGGTGGTGTCTTATATCCATATAAACCCAATGGGCAAAATTATGTGGCTTTTATACTTTATGCTTAAGAAAAAAAAATCTTTCCTTCCCACTTTTGTCTTTAATAAAACAACCCTGAAATTTTCCACTGTCAGCTTATTGGTTTATGTGCTGATGTTTCTCTCATGTCTTGGTTTCATTCCTTCCTTTATACATTGACTTATTTAGCAAAGATATATTGACCATCTCTTGTTCCAAGTGGTAATCTAGGTGATGGAGAGTTCTAGGTGAACAGGAGTTTGAAGAGTTTGCCATATAACTGGCTGTGGGGTATAGGACAAAGTGGCATGGGAGCACAAAGGAAGGGCATCTGTCCTAGTCTTGTGATGTGCAAAGTGAGACCTGAAGAATGAGCAGACATTAACTCGTGAAGGGTGGAGGGAAAGAGAGCAGATATTCCAAGTGGAGAGGTCAGTCATTGCACAAGCTCAGAGGCTGAGAGAGAGTTTTGCTCCTTCGAGGAAATGAGAGTTGTTACAAATGGCCAAAGGGTCATGGATGATGTGAAGAAGCAGGTTACTAGTGATGAAGATGGAGTCAGGGACTTGATAATGAAGGATCTTGAAATCAATTTAAGGGTTTTGGACTTTGCCTGAGGTTAATGAGAAGTTTTGAAGGTTTTGCTTTTTCTTGTTTGGGATCATATTAGATTTATGTTTTAGTAGGAACACTATGGCTACAACTTCAGGGAATGAATGAATGAGCCAATGGTGTTGGCATCAGGGTAGGGTATGCCTAGACTTGTTGTCATTTTCAGAATGAATTTTATTTCTTTCCTTCCTAGTTGATTTCTATGATCTTTCTGTCCCCAATCAAATTTAAAAATAAGACTTTTTATTCATTTGATGATAATAATTGGCCCCATGTTTATTCACATATTTCTCAACTCCAGAAGTAAAATCATAAGGGAATCTACTCCAAATTGGCTGTTAGCTTGAGTCTTTAGGATTTGATCCTTGGCCAAGCACAGTAGATCGCACCTCTAAACCCAGCTAGTCAGGAGGCTGAGAAAGGAGGTTTGCTTGAGCCCAGGAGTGCAAGTCTGCAGTGAGCTGTAATTGTGCCATTGCACTCCAGCCTGGGTAATAGAGTGGGACCCTGTCTCTAAAGTGAATGAATGGATGAACAAATAAATAAATAAAGATTGGATCCTATCAGGTTCAACAGAGTTATTTGTATTCATTGAGTGTACACTGGAAGTATAGAAAGGACATGAATTAATATTTGTGGCTCTAGACTCTAAGATACTTTCTAGACCTAAAAATCCATTATTCTAATCATGAAGATATCATACTTAGATTCATCAGGATACATCTGAAGAAAGTACACCATCAAGCTCTAAGTTGATTGTGTAGTTCATACGCATGAATATTGTAAAATAACTGTCTAGATAGAGGAATATATGTTTTCCAGAGAATCATACCCATGCCTTTGTGATGAAATTAATTTTCACATGGTTCCAAGTATACCTTGCATACTGTAAATACAAAAACAAGCATAGGAATACTTTCATTCTCCTAATAGTTTAACTTTTGTCATTCAGTACAAGAAAAAAAAAATAAACTTCTTAATGGTCCCTGGAGCATATTTCACAATTATCAAATAATTTACATTAAGAAGACTATGCTAACAAAGCTTAAATAACAGAGAAAATAATCATTTGCCTTTTATTTCTTGATGGAGTAGCCGTTTTTGAGCCTAATGCTGCCATTGGATTGAACATGTTTCCACTTTCTTCACATAAGCATGCTCGTGGAATTCTGGTTTCTGTCCAGGTATTTGGGAAATGATACTTAACTTATCTATCAAAGGTTAAAGTTTGGTTTTGTTTCAATGTTTATATCTTGACCCTGCGCAGCAAAGTAGAGTAAGCAAAGCTGGCACCATACTGTAAAAATCAGCATTCCACTAGATGGAGCAGAGTGGAAATAGAACTAAACAGGACTGAGATGTGTTGAGGAAGCCGAGCTGGCATCTCAGAGAGTAAAAACCAGATACAATGTGACCAAAAAGAAAAGGAGGGGAATTCAGGAATGGGGTGCATGGGAGGTAGAGGCAGAGGGACCTGGTAAAAGAGAAAGGATTGAGTGACCAGGAAATTTATACATTTTAAAAAATGGCACCTATGAATTAAGAGGTTTCCAAGTTTACAGATACAATCTTAAAATTTGTAGCTACAAACTAGTTATTCCTATCTGGATTCGAGATGTTTATTATTGATTTCTACAAAGAACAAGGCTCTCCGTATCAAATCATGCCATCATAACCATATGTAACATTTCTTCCAGTTCTGGAAACAAGTCCCTTGAAAATGGGTTAGAAAATCTGCTTTGGAGGATTTCCTTGCCGTTTAATAGACTTTAGTGGTCACAAATTCCAGAAATACTGCTTATCTTATACTTTAGGTCTTTTAGGTTCTGGCAGAGCCCTGGGCACAAAGATAGAGAAAAATAAACCTTAGCTCCATGGAATAACTTACAGTGCTGTTACTTTTGATTCTAATCTATTTGGCTATCTATGCCCTGACTCTCTCATTTTTAGAACAATGAGTCAGACTGCAGTGTGGCCAAGGGATAAGGCAGCGGGCAAGGCCAGTTACAAAGATACCAGCGAGGAACCTCCTGCAATAATCTAGGGTAGAAACAACGACAGACTGAAATAAAATATTAGTCCTGCCTTGAAAGAAGTGAACAGAGTGGGGAGGTAGTAAGACAGAGGAATGCACCAAATGTGGCGGGAGGGTTGCTGGACTAGGACAGGGACAGGCATCTCTGACTGTCAATGGTGCTGCATTTCACTGCCCCAGGGCACCCAAGATGAATGGGATTTGGGGAGTGAAAGGGGAGAAGGTATGCATATAGCTTTTGAAGTACTGAGTTGGAAGTGCGATAGTGGAGCCACAGTATCCAGTAGGCAGGATGGTGTGCTAGAAGAGATCTGGACTGCAGATGAAACTGTGGAAGCTGTCAGTGTTTGGATGGGAATGAAAGATAGAAGTCATGGGAAAAATGCTTTAAAACACAAGATGGGAAGTGAGTTCAGGACAGAATCCTGGGTTTGCTGATAATAAGCCGAGGGTAGGAGAAGAGGAATTTAAAGGAGATGAAGATTGGAGTTGTAGGAAGAAAACCCAAGAGAACGTGGTATTGCAGAAACTCAAGAATGGAGATTTAAGGAAGAAGTAGTAAAAAGAAATGTGAAGCACTGCAGAATTGTCAATAAGGAAAACTGAAAATATCACTGGGATTGCCAACAAAGAGGTCAAAGCTGATTTTGGCAAGAATGGTTTCATTAGAATGGTGTGGGCAGAAATCAGGTGCTTTGAGGAATGCATGGGATGTCATGAAGTAGAAGTAATGAGAATGAACAACTCTTTCCTCCAACTGGATTGTGAAGGGGAAGAAAAACAGACAGAGGGAGTGAGAGAGGAGTCAGAGAGAGAAAGGCATACGGAGACAAAGATAGAGACAGTAAGACAGGGAGAGATATAGGAACACAGAAAGACACAGAAAGAAACAGTGGATAGTGGCTAAAAGAAATACATAATTACTGAAAATAATTGAGTGAGTAAAATGCCATGTCCACCTCTAAGCACTGTATATGTATGTAGAAGCTCATTTGATTCTTATAACAACTGTATGAAATAGATATTATTATCCCCATCTTACAGATAATGATGGACACGAAGACACAGAAGTTAAAAGGCTTGCCTGAGCTCATATAACTTTTAAGTGCTGGAGATGGAATTTGGAGTTGAGCAGTCTACTCCAGAGTTTGAATCTTAATTACTACAATATATTGCTTCCTATGTTATCATCTCTAGACACCTGGAATTTAGTGTTTGTGTAGGGAAGCATGATGTTTCCAGGTGAAAATAGGAAAAGCAAGACGTTATTATAAGGATCAACTTCATATGGAGAACAAGTGTTAATATAGATTTTTTTTTTTTTTTTTGCCAAATGAGCATCAGTAAAGAGTTTTCATAAGTAAAGTGAGGACAAAAATGATCAAATGGTACTATTGGGACATTTGGTAGGTGATAAGGATTGATAAGCAGGGTGGACCCAGTTTAGAGAAACATTAGAATAGATGTGGTAGTTAAGAGTTAATATAACAACAGTTTTGAGCCAGTACGTGTTTCTGAGAAAGGAACAAAGCTATTATTATTGTTATTATTTCATGAATACTAATCCTGTAGAAATAGTAGAATTAGATGAAAGGGGAAAGAGACAGTTCATAATTGGGCTAAAAGAGGAGACAGTTTCATTGGCCCACGTATAAGATGATCACTGTCTGAGGGTGGTAGCATTCAGAGTTAAATCTGACAGAGTCTGTTATGAAAGAATTGAGATATTTGGTGAGCATTTTGAATGAAGGTTCAATGAGGGGAACAACGTAAGACAACTCAATTATTTCAGAGAAACAAAGTAGGGTACCAGAAGCCAAGTAACAGAATTGAGGAAATTGAGAGTAGAAACTCGGATGAGAAGAAATAGTAATTTACTTAATTAATATTTAGAGTACTTTCTCTGTTTCTTATAAGCCCTCTGATAAGTACTGAACTTATATTCATCATGAGTTTAGTTAAGGTATGCTGGGTTTTAGGTAATAATGGGGTGTCCAAATCAAAATGACTTAGAAGCAGTTAAAAATTTGAAGCTTGAATTTGGGTGAGACTTTCAGGGATGGAGATATTAACCTGAGAACAGAGGCATAAAGATGAAGGTTCGGTTATGTATTAGCTCACGAATAGCCTAAACTGAGAAAGAATGGCAGTTTTTTTCCCTTTGTCTCTGTGTGATTTTCCATGTGGTATTGAAGGCAGGTATGCTGAATATTCATTTCAAAAGATATTATCTGTTCCAGGTAGGGCGTAAAAATGATGTCTTGATCAGCTGTCATCAAATATCTCATGACACTTTTTTAGAGTTAGCACTTGGACCTGAGGGTCATGGCCACAGTCTACTGTAGGGTCATTGTTTCTTACCTCTGGGATATTTTGACAGGTTTCTTAGAGGGCTGGAATTATTTCTGTCCTAAACTGTCTACTATTATTAGACACCGTTAAGTATCTGAATGCTTTTTCATCTTTGCAATGATAATTGAACACAGTAACAGAAACTCACAGTATTGCTGGAAATGAGCAAAGACATGTTTCTATTCATGTTCTAGGAATTTATTCCTCTTTGGCCTTTTAGAGCTCTAACACTCTCCTGCCTATGGCTTAGGGAGAAAGAGACCAAGGCCGGCCTTTGTTGATTGCTCATGGGTTTTTTGTGCCTCCCTGGGTATTTTTCTAGGTGTTAGTGGGAACCATATTGGCTTAGTGTATCTTAGAGGAAAAGAGAGTGTTCCAGATCTTTTCCAAACATTATTGGTCTTAGGTATGGACTTGGCTAGTAGAGTTTGAGTCATAAATAATGATCCCACTGGTGTAGTACATTTGGACCACCTGAATATATGCCCTTGAGTGCAATCAATATCTGCTCTCGGTGTAGACCTGTCTTTGTTCTATATTTGTTTGTGTTTCTGGGCATTTTGCTATGTATGCACACACATGGGCATTTTCCTTTCATGCCCATTCCAGCCTGTATACAACTCTAGCAAATCCTCAGTATATTTTTCATATTTAGTTATTATTAACTTTAACACCATTTAGAGGTTATGTCTCCTAGAAAGGTCGGTATTTAACGTGACATTGGGTAAGTTTTCAGTGCTACATGGTCTAGTTATTCTTATCAGTATTTGTAAGCATTTGGCTAGCTTTGTTTTATGTTTCCTTACACCCTCAGAAGTTGATAAAGTAACTCTTCAATTTCCTTGGTCCCTCAATAGTATAGTTTTGTCACTGGTACCTTTTCTCTTTGCCAGAAGAACAGGGGCAGGGAATATTTTATGTTGGTATGTTCTGGTCTCCACATGTGGGTGTGTTATTTACAGGATGCAGGAATTTAGTGCGATAAAAATGGTATAACCTATATGGGTGATGCTAATCTATATAATGCTGCAAGCAGTATCTTCCCTGTTCTATGTATCATATTTGTTCTTAAAAGTTAGAGTTTAGGTCAGGAGATCGAGACCATCCTGGCTAACATGGTGAAACCCCGTCTCTACTAAAAATACAAAAATTAGCCGGGCGTGGTGGTGGGCCCCTGTAGTCCCAGCAACTCGGGAGGCTGAGGCAGGAGAATGGCGTGAACCCAGGAGGCAGAGCTTGCAGTGAGCCGAGATCGCGGCACTGCACTCCAGCCTGGGTGACAGAGCGAGACTCCATCTCAAAAAAAAAAAAAAAAAAAAAAAGTTTAATGATTTCAGCTGATGACAGTTTTAGTCATAAGTTGCATTGAACTGTAACTACAGAAGTAAATATTTTGTACTTCCAGAGGAAAAAAGGATGAATATTTTAAACATGATGATATCTTCTATAAGAACTGTTTAGCTTACTTCACATGGTTGTATCTCCCTTTTTCCTTTATTTCCATATCTCTAATAAATGCTAATCCCATCTAAAAATAGAGAGATTCCTTTCAAAATATACTAGTAATTTATTTTCAGGCTTCATATGCTCAAATTAATGTAGAGTATTTTGATAAAGAAATGTGTAACCAGAGTGGTTGATACGCATCTAAATTTCTTCTTCAGGAAAATTCTGAGCTTATAAACTGAGTTTACAAGAAGCAGAACACTGATAAAAGGCATGCCCTACCAATGAAATAATTAGATGCACTATCTTATGGGAAGCGTGTGTGTGTGTGTGTGCGTGTGTGTAATTTTCATTTGTTTTCCATTGGAGCTACTTAATAAAAAGAAGAAACATACCTTTCTCTTAATATCATAGTAAACAAAATTTTTACAACGTGTAGGCCATTCTAACATGTGAGGGAATTTCAAGTATGGAGTCTGTATTCCTAAAGGGCTGAAGGTTCAGTTGAGAAGGATCAGAGAATGCCTAAAAGAAAACTAATAATTCAAGAAAGCAGAGATGAGTTTCCATTTAAAATGGCAGGCACCAGCCATCAGGGTTCGGTTCCTGAACTGATTTAAGATGACCAGAGTGTTTTAAGCAGTCCTTTGGAAGTGAAATTTCTACTGTTCTTAAATAAATGTTAGTTCTTAGAACTGCAGAGGTCAAGACAAAGGACTTTCTCCATTGAGGTCATTGTGGTCAAATGAAGCCTCAGAAGGATAACTTTCATGGTGTTTTCCTGATATAGTAAGTATCATTTTGGCTAGAGTCAAGTTTTTGTAAAAGGCAGAATTTGGAGCTAAGGATAGAGAAGTAGATACGATCCAGCTGATGGAAGGTGTTGCTTGAATTCCATGCCAACTATTCACTCTGTAGTTTGTAGACAGTAGTCATCCAGCTCAGGCCTTTGTGCAGGGAAGTCACAAGTGCACGTCTGTGATGGCAGAAAGGAGAGGATAGGCGCAGTCTAGTAAGCACATCACTGCAGATACACAAAGTGTCAAACAATGAGGGCCCTCATCAGATTGGTGGCAGTGGGCCTAGAAAGGGAAAGATGGACTTGAGAAACATTCCTAAGGCAGAATTAACCTGACCCAGTGCCTGACTGGATTTGGGAATATTGTTGGAAGGAGCAATAATCACTTCATGAGGAAAATCAGTGGAGCCATCTGTTGCAATAGACTAATCCCCATATGCCATCAGTCTGCAGTTCTGAACAGCAAAGCCAAGATGACTTTGGAGAGTAAAATTTTGTCTTCAGTGGTTGATGGCCTGCCCCAGATGGCCTGATCAGTCATGGGGCATTCAGTTTCCTCAAGATGACAATGTAGAAATGGGACTATGGACAACTTGAGATGTTGACTAGAGATGAGGAGTATCAGAAGGAATCCTTTCTTCTAAGGGGCGTGGCTTTACCATCACATACCCAACACATGTGGGCTAAGATCTTTCTCCATCTCCTTTTTCCTTACCTAGCAACAAATGGGCTGCAACCAACAGTCATCTTTTGATTCAATGTATGGAACTGACAAAAATAATTACTCTGTGTGGCTCTTGATATTGCACATCTTTGTCAAAATTCTTTTAAGCACAGATCACTGGGATGGTTCTTTTAGTAGTGCCATGAACTAGACAGGCATAATTTTCCAATAAAACATGAAGAAAAAAATGTTTAAATTGGATAATAAACTGAATTTTTGCCCATTTCGATAGGGTAGGTCAAGGTTAGTACTTTGAATGTGTTAGCCTAGAATAAGTAAGCAAAATTTTATACATAAATATCACTTATTTGCCACTTACATTAAGCTTCTACTGTGGATACATATCTGGGGCTGCTTCTAGGATCTTATCCATATTCATTGGATGTTGTAAAAGCAAAATGGGATGGGAATCTTCATTGGAAAACACCCTGCATCTTGACGTCTGGTGTCCAAACATGATGTCAATATTGATATTATCTCAAGGGATAGCAGATTTCAGATTGGTAAGCCAAACATATCTAGAGATTAATTCCTTTTTCTATATCATTCAAAATACTGCTTTGCCTTGAACTATTTTCTTAAAACAGAGAATATTTAAGTAGCAGAGATGTTCCAAATGGTAACTATAGACACAGTTCAAAGGACAGTGGATAAGGGTATATTGCCACCTATCAGCAATGCACCTTCTTCTAAATACTTACATATTTTTTCTCTAGGTCAAATAAAATATGTCTTAAGCATCGTCCTGGGTCACATATAAATGACTAAACCCCTTATTCATTTTGTTACCACAATGCAATGTGAATGAATTAGAGGTGAAGGGAGGATTGGCTTATATTAGTCAATGACTCCAGCTCACCAAAGTGCATGCTTATTGTCACAATTAGGCCTCATTAATTCTTTTTATAGGTTTGCCAGTCCTTAAGTGGTATATCCTTCTCCAAACTGTTTTTGAGAAAATGAACAATGGAATAAATGAGTGGATGAAAAATTAAGTAGATAAATAGGATTCTCTGAGGGCAGTGTAACAGTTAAACTAGCAAGTTGGTCCTGTGGTGGTGGACGGGTCTAAAATATATTAGATAATACTGATGGTTTACAATTAGGGCTGACCACATGTTCTAAATGCTTTACACGTATTAAATCATTTCATCCTCAAAACAATGCTATGAATTAGATACGATTTTTAACCCATTTTGTGGATGAGAAAATTGGGGAACTGAGATATTAGATAATTTGATCAGAATCACATAGCTGGTAAGTTACACAGTAGGGATTGAAACCCAGAAATTGGCTTCTGAGCCTGGACTTAAAAAAACTACACTATATTCTTTGCTATTAGAGTGTGGAAGGCTCCTAAGTTATAGGAAAAATTTTTCTCTACATGTATTTATGTAGATTTTTAGTACCTAATAACAGGATTATGTTTGACTTGTTGAAATTTCGAGAAAGATCATAGACAGAGAAAGTGTGTGCTTTCAATCTTCTTGACTCGGTGTTGCCTACTTAGAGCTTTTCTAATTCACATTGAATAGGCATATTAGTTTGAAAACATTTTAAGGCATTTTACTGACTAGATATTTGTAGTTCAGCTTGACTCTCCTGGCCACATGCATTGGGTGTACTCCGTGGATTATTCAGTTATCAAGTCAATTCCTTAGGCATCTGTTAAGTCTTCAACTAAACAAACCATTCTATGTTGTGAAAAATACAATTGGATTTTAATGTTAACCTCAAAAATTATGGTTGGGAAGGTAAGCAGGCTTCAGGAAAAGGACCCATATATTACTTGTGGTCTTTTGTCTCCTGTCACTGTTGCATATATTTCAGAACATAACAATATTTGTAGCTTAGTATTAGATACCGTTTCGAAGAGAAAAAAATACTGCCCTTCCTGGAAAGCTCTTACGGCTGCCATATGAATTGTTGCTCAAGCCTACATATTTGAAAGCCAATGAAGGTAAGAGATCTTACTTCCCATTTCTTTGAAGAGAGGAAGCAGGAACCATGAAGATAATGGGCTGTTTGATGAATTGGTGATCCACAATAGAATGAAGGTGGCCCCCAATATTTCCAATGATGTCTTTTCTTTGCCTATTTAGATAGACTTCTGGAAACATCATTTGACATTTTGTTTTGTATTTAATATTTTTAAATAAATTTCTGATTATAGGAATCATTAATGTTCCCTCTTCCACACATGTGAGCATGCACACATGTGCTTAAGC
Source organism: Homo sapiens (assembly GCF_000001405.40). Lineage (NCBI taxonomy): Eukaryota > Metazoa > Chordata > Mammalia > Primates > Hominidae > Homo > Homo sapiens. Next base: position 216,619,202 of record NC_000001.11, on the reverse strand, counting down.
ATGGACACACATACACATTCCAACCACCAGAACTGTGCAATATTAGGAAGTCTTTCCCTTCTCTGATTTCATAACATTAGATGTAGTTGTAAATGCATTAAACAAGGAAAAGAGCTAAGAATGCATATGTTGGTGTGACTTTTGTATTCATCATGGGATCTGGTGGAGCTGAATGCCTCGCCAAATTAATTTGCCACTCATGAGACTCAAATTCTGACAAAGCCTACAGGGTTCTAGTGGATGTATTTGCCAGTAAATCACACGTGCCAAGGAAACCACAGTGACCTGTGTCAATGGCATGGGCTGTTCTCAGTAGGCTTGGTCGTTGACCCCAGGCCACCCATCTTCTCTGAGTGCCTACATATATCTCTCTTTGAGAATTTCAGTGACCTACTGTTCACTCAAGTTCATTGAATTTACAGTGATCACTCCTAACCTTAAACATAGAAGGCAAAGAAAACAAATCACACCATTTTTTTTGAGGTTTATGCTCTCCCCTGGATTAGGAAAATTTCGAAAATTATTTTCTTTAGCATTCTAAGATGCAGTGAAAATCAACTAAGATGCTAAATATCAAAATTGTTAAGGGCTACCACTTGCATAAATACTGTCAAATATTGAAAATGAAAGTAAGCCACATAATGTATACATACGGATGTCTGAATCGTTATATACATATTACTTATTTATATATATGTAAATTAGGTAGATGAATATGTAAGATTGTAGCTGAACAAAATAGGACATGGTACCAAATGAGGCTAAGGTGGCAGATTCAATTCCTGTATAACCTACCTAGTTAATTCTGTTCTTTATTCATAGATTGAACCCCTGATTCTTAGTCAGATCTTGTATAATGTTTATAATGTTGCAGCTGGTCCAAAAAGGCAGTGTGAATGAATCAGTGCAACTCGCCCCACTATTGGGAAAACACGCAAATCTATCAGGGTATATCCATAATATATCTGTTCTTTTGAGGGCAAGTGTAATTTTACTCTCAAATTCAATGTGTGATTTTGATATTACTATGTGAGTCTTGTTAAAATATGTAAATAGGGCATTTGCTAAACTGTCTTTATTCAGTGTTCTTTTAAGTGATCATAAAATTTTAATGACTATTATTACTGATACTCTAATAAGTACTTCAATGAATTTTTTGATGGTTAAATATAATTTGTATGTTACTCTAGAATCTCAATATGGGGATTTTAATATTGAAGCATTACCGTAAAATATTCATGCCATCAACCTTCCATATTGCTGTACCATAGAATAAATGCATGTTGATTTGAACTTAAATCTTTCTGACATCCAATGGTTTGGGTATCACAAAATCTTGTAAAGCATTAGCCATTCAGCTGAGGGAAAGTGACTTGCATTTTCAGAGTATTTATAAATTGATGTTAAAAAACATTTTATTCTAGTCAAGCAGGCTCTTGCTTTACAGTCTAATTTTGGACATATATGTGGGTTACTTAAATAGAGAGATAACATTAATCTTTCAGGAGCAACAAGTGCTGGGTGGGGTTAAGGCCAAGAGATTAGCATTTCTGTTATCAACATGCTATTGTTGGACTTAAGTACCACAATATATGATCATTGCAGAATGTTCAAATAATTTAGATTCCTTTGAACTCTGCTGTATGATACTACATTTCCTCACATCGTAAGTCCCCATCCTCAACTTTTTTTTTTTTTTCTAAAGGCCAAGCAGCAATTAGTAGGAAATGTTACATCTAATATGCCTATGATTTGCTTGAGGCCAAACAAAGCAGCTCATGATACTGCGTTGCTGCTGCTATTTATGTAGACATTAGGCACAGGAGCAGGTTTTTAACAATAGGACTGCTTGGGCTTTATGTTACACATCAAGAAACATTTTGTTTATGCTTTATAAATAGTGTCACCTATTTATAACCTTCAGCCACGATTCTTTTAATGGCATTCTCAAGTGGCGTTTGGTTTGGTTAACATCAGCCACTCATGCCTTCTGTTCTGTTGCTTGAGAAGTTAAATGGGAATATGTGAGTTTTAGCTGGCCAATCTAATAAAACTCTGGGAAATCGTTAGGGTAAAGGAAGTTAAGCTATAATTGACATCATATAACAAACATTGAAAATGTTGAAAAGAAACAGATTGGATGAGTTTTATATTATGAAAATGTCATCTGACAGATGCAGTACAGTAGTTTCATTTGAAAAGATCTCTACATACACTGAGTCTTCTATTCCATTAAAAGAAGAAAAAACCCTGAGGTGACAGGAGATTCCTATGGGGGATTAGCTGTCTATGCATATCTCAGGGAATCTTTGGGGGACATTTATTCTCATCTTGGAGGTAGAAGGAAGATTTTAAAGTTAATAATATTTCTGCCACCCTACTCTTTCCTCCCGTTGTGCTTACAGGCAAAGGTGAAAACCTGCCCTGTATCTCCTGTGTCTAATGGAGAATCTACATCAAAAGCAGGAAGTGCTTTTAGAGATAATAGAGAGAAGAGGGAGGAAAGTGAGATCAGCTCAGTGGTTTGTGGCGGCCTATAAAATCAGCAAAGGCCTTTACAGAAACAGGAGCCAGACAGAACTCACAAAAAGTAAAGGATGTAATCTGTTCACAAATGCAGCCAGTTGGCAAGCCTGAATGACTGCCCTCTGTCATCACAGTAGGTACAGATCAACACACAATCCTAACACATTTGCATTTATAAACAAAATGTAGAGAAATCGATGAGAGAAAGAGGGAAACAAATCAACCTTTCTAAAATTTTTTTAATCAGACACGCTTGTTTTTTAGTCTGGCACTTTTTGATTTGAGAAAGATAATTGTGAAGAGGACATTAGCTAAAGCTGCGTTTTTCTATGTCACTGCGCCCATTCCCCCAAATGGTTCAGAGTAGAGCATGTATCTTGAATTTACTACCAATCTCCTGGTAGGCTTTCACTGTTAACAAAAGCCACCTGCACCCACGGGTTTGGGTAGCTTTGAGGTAGTTACTTTCCAAGTCTCTGTGGGCACACAGTAGTGACAGCCAGGATCCAGTGGACCCTCTTCTGTGATCATCCACCACAGCGACCCTAGTATAATCCCAACACATTGGGCTTAGGACCTGGAGCCTTCTTATATGGGGTGAGATGCTTTATCCTGGCTATAGAAAGCAAATGACTGACACCCACAATGTGATCAGGCTGAGGTGGAGACCTTGCCTAGAAATAGGCAAGGTTGGCTGGGCCTGGTGCTCACGCCTGTAATCCCAGCACTTTGGGAGGCCGAGGCGGGCAGATCTCCTGAGGTCGGGAGTCTGAGACCAGCCTGACCCATATGGAGAAACCCTGTCTCTACTAAAAATACAAAATTAGCTGGGTGTGGTGTGGGTGCCTGTAATCCCTCCTACTCAGGAGGCTGAGTCAGGAGAATCTCTTGAGCCTGGGCGACAGAGTGAGACTCCATCTCAGGAAAAAAAAAAAAAAAAGAGAGAGAAATAGGCAAGGTCTGCTGGTCTTATGGACAGTATTTCTTCTTTCCACATATGGGTAACACTAGAGTGAGGACAGCATTAAAGCCTGGAGAGGATAAAAAGGTCTATGATGGTAGGGGGAGATTAATGTTTCTCACAATGCCATATACCAAACACAGAGTTGACTTTTCAGTACCAGCTGACCACTCTGAAATGCCAAGAACTGGGGTCTTCCCTGTAGCTAGCTGGGCTTCTGATGCAAAGTTATTAACAGAGATTGTACGTCATGCAGGAAAGCTACCTTAAAACATGTGTAAACAAGCCCTACGTTAAGGAAATAGACCAGGGTGAGTAGACTAACCTACAGAATGAGCTCCGTAGTAGAAAAATATGCCAAAGAACTTGAAAGTATAACCCGATTTCTTTAGGAAAGAAGTGCTCAAAGAGTCTAGATATATTTTTGTTCTTTGTAAGCAAAGTTATTTCAGAGTGATTTCCCTGAAGGTTGGTGTTAACCTGCCTAAAGGTTTGTGGTCAACAAAAGTCTTTTGAAAAAGCTCCTCAGTCACTTTGAAGTAGGAAGTCAATGCCTGTTCTGAAATGTGACAGGCTCATCACCCCCAGACAGGTCTGAATAGAGTGGAGGCATAAGAGAATCAACTCTCCCTGCCATTCTAGTAGTTAAAAATACTAGAAACTATCTTCAATCAGTCTCTTGAATTTTTCATTTTACTCCTTATGACCAAGCCGCCTAGAATAACCTAGCAGATTATATAATTACAACACACATAGAGGTCTGCTCATTTATCTGGGCCTTGGGTTCTATTGTGCATTTCTCCATTATTTCCCATAGTCAGTATTTTTTAAAGCCTGGCAATAATGTCAACTTCAGTAAGTTAAGATGCTGTGCTCCCTTCGCTGTTTATGCTTTGGTTCCTTATTAAATGCACCAGCTAAACAGAAAATGCGGTATAAATATGTTTCATGAGTCATTTAAGGATTTAGCCAAGAGACATTGCAATTGACTTTTGAGTCCATTTTTAGAACCAACTCTTTCAAGACTCTTCTCAACAGGAACACTTCCCCCTGCACTAGAACTGACAAGACTGTATGCATTACTTTATTTTGATACTGACATTTAAACAATAAAATAAAGCCATTTAAAACAAATAGTAGTGCTTTAAGTGTCTGGGCTGTCAAGATATCAAATTATATAACTTGGAAAAAATCAGAATTCATTGTTAATGGTATGCACTTAACACAAAGGGTCGCTGGAGTACTCACCAGATATATATTCAGCTACCATGTTGGAGCTAACAGGCTGTATTCCTTTAGATAGAATTGACTATATTCACTTAAATGGACTTGACTCTAGTACAATCACTGTATTCAAATGTCAAAAAAAAAAGAGAAAGAGGATGTCACAGAGGGTCACAAATTATGTTGGATTTTGACAGATTGTAGCCTTGCTTTACAAGAGCAGTAACATCTCATTTGTCACCGTTTGATCTGTAAGTGCGGGAATGGGAGCGGAAGGCCCTCCATCTCCGCCACAATTTAATCGCTCTGAGGCCGAGAGTGGTGGTGGGAGCCACCTGCCCATGCACTGCACTGCTGATCTGTTTTAATTTAATCGTCCGTCAGCTAGATGAAAGCATAAATCGTCTCTCTTTGATCTGCAAAATGGTGTGTTTTTGTAAAGCAGGGTGTGGAAGTCAGGGAGAAGGGACTTACAATTTAGTGCAGCTTGGACAATGTGGCCCTACGAAGACACCAAAGTTGCAAATCAAGCAAAGACTCTCCCATGAAACTTAGGACAAAGCGGGGAAAATGGCAGAAGGAAATCTATTTGTGTTAAAGGTTAACAATAAGATAAAAGCTTTGTGCATAAGATATTATTCCAGAAAACTAAAACTAGTTCTCCTATTCATATCCATCATCTTTCAAATATATTTTCCATTGTTAGTTTTCGAACGTTGGCTTCAAGAGAAGAAAAAGAAGAATGATAAAGGAATTTTTATGTTGCCACTGTGAATGGTCAGCATTATTAATGTAACCTGAAGTTTTCTAAGCAGGATGTGAACAGTAAAATACAACGTTGTTAAAATTGGTATACGTAGAGAGGCACACACTTTTGAGTAAAACAAATGATGTAATGGTTGAACACAACAATGTTATATCACAGTAGTTATTATGAGGCTTTACGTGGTCTCATACGTAAAGATTTTAAGGTGCTTTCCACGTCATTTTGTGGTCAATTTCCCAGAATTACAGATAATGTATTTTTATAAATAAAGAGGGAAAAACTTATAGCACCTCTGCCAAAAATAATTTGGGTCATGAAGAATTGTAATAAACACATTCTGTGTTTGGCGCTTTAAAAAATAATGACTTCTTACTGCAGAGATTAAAGCAGTGGTATAGGGTTTCATAAAATTAATAGAAATATTGTCACCATTACAAGATGTTACCATTACAATAATATTCTTATAAATCCTATAAACAGAAAATTGGGGGCACATTACAAATCTTTATGTAGAAATTTTCCAATATAGTATTTAAACTAATGACCAAAAGACTTCCAAAGAAGAAGAATCCATTTCTGGAAAAATTCCCAACAGTAACCCAGAAATTTCCAAAAAACTTCCCCTAGTCTGATCACTCCACAAACCAAACAAAAATTCCCCCTGAAATCCCTTTAAGATACTATGGAAAGCAGAAACAATTTACAGTTCAATTCGAAAAGCTGAAAATTTCTTCACTGGTAATGGTTCTAATAAAATTACCAGCAGAGGAGAAGGCCCCTGAAGACCAGTTGAATCATCCTGCTTATTCTGGCCCATGTATTTAGTTGGCTTTCCCCTTCCATAATTCCCATTAATGGCTTTTGTAAGCAGTATTTGCATAGGAAACATAAAGGTGTCTCTGCCACTTCCATTTATTAAGTTATTCCACTGCGCTGCTGCAGGCTCACAGGTAAACATCACTGAGCTTTTAGGTTAAATAAGTCCCACAAAGCAGTTTTGGAAGAACCTGAGTTTTTATTGTGGGATTTTGAGGAGTGTAAAGTAAACTGTGGTTGCGACACTGATGTTACTATGAGTGAAATGGGAAAGCAGATTATATGGATTCTTCCTGCCTTGTGGGGCTAAGCTCTGCTGATGTGTTTGGGCTAGCACAGACCAGAGAAGTGGGGAGGGAAACAAGAAAGGAGGGGGGTGGAGAGGAAGGAACTGTAAAGAATGTTATGCATACATTTTGGGAAGTGATAAAAGAGTGCCAACAAGTTTCTTTGGATGACTTCTCTGTAACCCAAGATATCAGCTAATCTACTTAAATTTCATGACACCTGAGGATTGAAACAGTTCTATTCCCGCCCCTTCCTTCCTTCCCTCCTTCCTCCCTTGTCTTCCTTCCTGGTTGGGCAACAGTAAATGTTAGGATTATTAAATATACAGATTGCTACCATTAGACACATCCTGGAATTCATCCTTTTCCTTCTCCCTACATCTCTTCAGTTACTAAGCCTAGTAGGTTCTACCTACAGAGTATCTTTTGAATCCATCTCTTTCTGTTCATCCCCTTTCCCGCTACTTTAGTATAGATAATTTCCCTTTCTCACCTGGGTTACTGAAATAATCTCCACTAGTCTATATATCTTTGGTGACTTGTGCCTGACCTGTCTTTTTTACTGCATAGGAAAAAGTCCAAACTCTCTAGTAGTTATATAAGCAGCCATTCACAATTGGAACTTAAAATGTTCTCTCCCTAGCCTTCTTTAGGCACCAGATGTTTCAGCCACTTGCCTGCTCATAGCATGCTTTTCATGCCTCCATATTTCTGCTTCTTCATTCTCTCAACCTGGAATGCTCTTCTCACCCTCATCTTTGCCTGGAGAAATTCAACATATCCAAAAGAAAGCACTTCTATTTTGTGAATCCTCAGGAAGAATTGTTTCTTGTCCTATATTCCCATAGGAATTTTTTTTTTTTTACATACCTCTAGCACAGTACAAAATATATGACAGTGAGTTATTAGAGTCCCCCGGTAGATTCTGGGCCCTTGAGGGCAGGCAATAAGTTTTATTCTTGTCTCACCTCCTCCTCTCACTGCCTCTAAACCCAGTTTTGTGACCAAAACCCATAGTTTTGTGACCTGAGTTCATGTTCCGTCAATACTGATGATAAACTCATTGGCAGCAGATATTCCAGGAGACTTTCTTTGAAGGCTTATTTGAATTTCCTATGTGTGTCTGAGTGCACACATGAGTGCATGAGTGTGTTTATATGTGTGTTACATTAAGTAGACTTCACATTTATACACACCTTTATAAGATTTTGTATCTAATGACTCCCTGCTAAGATCTGGTATACCAATGGAATTAGGTCTTCAGGCTACTCTAGGAGAATCTGATTATTGATTTATATGAAAAGAAAACACAAGAAACAGACAAATGGAGAGAACTTACCACTTATATCAAATACCTGCCGTGTGCCAAACTGTGTCTGAGATGATTTTTTTTTTTTTTTTTTTTTTTTTTGAGGACGGAGTTTCACTTTTGGCTCTTATTGCCCAGGCTAGAGTGCATTGGCATGATCTCGGCTCACTGCAACCTCCACCTCCCGGGTTCAAGAGACTCTCCTGCCTCAGCCTCCCGAGTAGCTGGGATTACAGGCACCTGCCACTACGCCCAGCTAATTTTTGTATTTTTAGCAGAGACGGAGTTTCATCATGTTGGTCAGGCTAGTCTCGAACTCCTGACCTCAAGTGATCCTCCCACCTCGGCCTCCCAACTGAGATGCTTCTTGCAATGTTAGTTACTCCTCTCAGAGGCAGTACAATAGCTAGATTCCAGTTCTGCCTCTACCATTTTAAGGTAAGTAAACCTGGGCACTTACTTAACCACTGTTTCCTTTCCTTTTTTCTCACAGGTTTGTTCTAAGGAATAAATGAGTTAATACATGTAAAGCACTTAAGACAATGTTTTTCACAGGATTAGTGCTCAACATTATCAATAAATAAAATACACACATGTACATATACATATATATTTATTTATACACACACACACACACAATTTTTTTCTTGGTAGCACTTAGCTATCCTCATATCCTTACAGATGAGGAAGTATTTGGTTATCCTTCCCTAAGTCACATAGCTAGTAGGTGGCAGAGCTAGGGGAGAGGAATATCAAATTAAGTGCTTTAGGCAACTTGTTTCTCCTACACTGCAGTGCACCTTCCCCTCAAACACTAACGATCAGAGACTGTTTAAGATGGTCTTATCACGCTAAAGCTAAGTCAAATGGAAAAAAAAATGTTCCTTTAAATATTCTTCAAATGCCTTCAAGCCCTGCAAGCTGCATGGACTTAGCCTATTAAGGATATGGGGAAATTAGGCAGGGATTAAGCTGGTTGATGGGCATATTGTAAGCCTATATTTTTCTCAGCTCAGCGTTATCCTGCCAACAATGGGAATTCTGGTTTGGGCAATGGCAGCATCTTTAGAAACATTTTGGAACTGGAGCAAAAAAAAAAAAAAAGCACTGAATTTTGTACAATTATCCACACTTTAAGGTCACCTAATGTTTTTTAAAGATGACAAGCCTATTTTAATAACTCATATTTCTATTGCTAAATGTATGACCACTAAATTGAAGGCACACCTGCTATGGTACACTCTGCCTCTGTACCAAATACCATATAGGGAAATAAATGAGGGCTAGGCCCTTCTGTGACAGTGAACTTCACTTTTGTGGAGACTGATCACTCTTGAGAGGTGATAAATGCCAGTGGAAAGGTACAGTAAGCCATCATATATTAAATATGGAAAAGTACTTTTAAATAATATTGAAACGTGCAAAATACAAGCTGACAGCTACCACCAAATAGAAATGTAGGCCAAGATTTTGTTTGACAGAATTAACCCCTAATGAAGATTTTGACAGGAAGTGCCAGAATATACAACATCTATGTTAACTAATGCGTCAATAATTTTGCTATTTTTATGCTTATGTCTCCTGTCTTTTTCATGGCAGATTATCTTAAGAAAAAAATAGACTAGTTATTTCTAAAGTTGTTTTTAGCTAAGATTATTTAGTGAATCACAGAGGATTCCATTTTATTGAATCTGACTTAAGTAGTTAGGGATCCTACTTTTCATTTTTTCATAAAATGGATATTATTGAATTATGAAACTTCAGTTATTACTTCTGTTATTTCTAGAAAGAAGTGGAAATACAGGAGTACCAGGGACTATACTCACCTGGGGTTCAGGGCTCTGCTGCAGAAGCCGTGGCAACAATGAAATGTGTTCTCCAGGGTAGATAAAGGTGTGACCCACTCAAAGGCTCTCCTGAGACAAGTACAGAATAAGTGTTGACTTCTTTGAGGGATGGTCTGTGTTCTTTTCATTTGATGAATGTTAATATGCCAGGTATTGTGCTAGGCTTCAAGTTATAATCATAAACAAAAGCCACATTCTAGAAAAGGTTATAATCTAATGTGTGAATCTGACAGGAATCAAATAATTTCATGAATAAATGTAGAATAAATGTAAGTGGGAAATCCTATGTAGCAGAGGTATATGATGTCGTAAGTGTGTGTAATAGATTAACAAGCACAGCTGGTATGAACATCTAAGGTTCTACACATTACAACGTACTAATTTTTGACAGATTCATTACCAAGTGTTAGTTTTCATTGGAGATTGTAGAGTACAAAAGAGAAGGTGAAAGAAAATTCAAAGCCTGTAGCCAAGAAAGATGCTCATAGGTACTGGAGACCACTGTGCTACAAAGAAGACATGTATGTCATTTATTTGTACATCTTTCAGAAGACACAATTCCTCCTCTTTTTTAGCTATATTACTCTAGATATATTAATTTCAGAGGTGTTTTGTGAACTAGAGGGAATTGGTAAAGTGGTTTTTATAACAAGATGCAATCTGATTGCTTCATTAGATTTTAATAATATGGTTAGTGATTTCTGCCTATTTTAAATGAGCTTAGATCCCCAAGAACCATCAGACCTAAGGAACTGTTTAACAGTGCCTCCGGTTGAAAAGGTGGATTAAATTAAAGGCGGCTACTCATCAGTAAAGAGCCAAAAATGGAACACTGGCTTCTGAGTTCAGTGTCTGGGCTCTAGAATATCCACACATTCCATGCACAAGGGCCCAGTAATGTTGTCCAGTCCTATCATTTCTGTGAATTGAACTCCAGGAGCTCCAGGAAGGATTAGGTTATGATTTGGTGAATCAGTGATTCCCTAAGAAGGTCTTAGATGTCTAGAAGTATCTCCCTCCTTTTCTTTCATCACTTAGAGGAAATTTACTTTATGATCCCCTAAGAAAGAAGATTGAAATGAATGTATGACCTGAATGCCTATATTAAATATTTGCCCCAAAAGCAATGAGACCAGGGCAACTATGCATACATGAAATACGCATTGTTTCAGGAGAACATCTTCAGAATCTACAGTCATGACAAAAGCAATAAAGGAGGATAATATTTAAGTTGATAAAAGATGCAAACATGGCTTTATTGGGTTTCTAAATTCAAATTAAAAGAATAAATATTTCATCAGTGATACTAATTAAAGATTGGTCAAAGATTTGTCTGTGTCTCATATAGCAAATACCAATCAGAACTGATTAAGAGAAGTAACATTTATTGGACTGCTCAGTTATAGAAAGAAATGATTACTATGAAGTCCATTTTACTGAATAATGGTTATTTGATTATAACTTGATTTTCAAATGACATTAGTACTCCTTGATATCATGCCACCCTCTTCTTTCAACAGAGTAAAATTGTGATCTAGGAGAAATAATGCTTTGGGACGTTTAATTATATAAACTTATTAGTGGTTTTGTGTGATTACATGTGCTTTCAGTGTTTTCATTTGTTATCATCCTTGCTTTTTAAAAAAGCCACGCAAAGAATTGATTGCAAGGATTATGATATTCAGGCACTTATCATTTGATCATCATAGTCACATGTTTCCTTTCTATTTTGTTTGTACCTCTCCTTAGATGCAAAATTCTGAAAATAAAATAGTTGTGGTCTCAGTAAAAAATAGCCACTGAGAAAATAGGGAATAAAGGAGAAGGAAATGTAATATTCAGGTTGTGGTTACTGGCGTGGGTGCTCTGGTCTATCAGATTAGAGTCATTTTATAGTAAGGTCTAGGGAGTGGTGTTTCAGAAACAGGCATGAATATGCACACACGGAGTTGATGCTGTAACATCTCTTCATTCAGTTTCTTTCTTTCAAATATAAAGCATGTAAATTGCCGTGCAAGCGCCCACTCTGTCCAGCCTTCCTGACCATTGTGCTCACCCTGATCTCATTTACTTTTATTTTGTAAGTTAGGCTGATGCCGCAGTGTTCTTGCTTGTCTACATAATAAATGTAAACAAGTGACAGAGAGGTCATGATGGTCAAACCTGTACTATTGTCAGTTTTGGTGGCCAGTTTTTTCCACATCTAACTCCATCCACTTTTCTCCAGGCCAGGGTCATGGGGGTGTAGGGATTGTGGTCAGCATTCAGCTGGAACTGTCTTTAACCCTCTCAGGAGTCTGAATGTCATTGGAATAGACAAGATTTCTTTTATACTTTCTAGGTAACATGATTTTATGAATGTAGAAATTCTTTACAGTTTCCTAAGGACAACAAAACCATTATGGGTTCAATTGCTATTATATAACAAGAGGGTTCCCTGTGAACAGCCTCTTTCAAGGATTCCCTAGAATATCTACAGATCAATCTGTGGGTTTATCTAATGATAAATTACCTTTCTCTGTTAACCAGATGAAAATCTTTTCCTTTCCACCCCTCAACAGTGGTGCTGTGCAGTTATGTAGACACATGTCTACTTGAAGCCATTTTTGCTAGCAAATATATGAACAATGAAGAGTTAAAATAATTCTCAACCTGACCTATGTATGCTGCTCCCACACTGTCTCTTTCTGTATGTATGTGTTACATACCAGGTACATTAAAATTCACATTTAAATTTCAAATGAGCTAAATACACCATTGCTTTCAAATAAGTGACTGATTTTTGTTCCTCTCATGTTATATTAATATTAATATTATGGAATCTTCTGTACCCTTGCGTTCCTTGCTGACTATCTGATAATTGGGTTGTGGGGGGAGTGCTGAGGGTCATCTTGTTTAGCTTATCTCTGCAAGAGAAAGAGTGGCCAATAATAAGGGAAAGCGGCAATAAAATGGTAACAAAAAATTGAAAAGAAGATTTAATCTCTGGCCAATTTGAAACATATCCCAGAGAATCCATAGAGAAAAAGATAAAGTGTGACTATGAGTAAGTTAACTAAACACATTACACTGTGTGAGAGCAAATGGAGTTAGTCCATTGTACATGTTTAATTTCCTATTAGTCTCTGGCGTTTACTACCACGTCTGAGTTGGGGCATCTGTAAATTCAGTTAAATACAGTGCATTGTCTAAACATATCACAGCTCCAATCAGTCACCCCAGCTGCTGATAAGAAGCCTCTTGTATTATTGAATCTACAATGGGGAGGCTCTGCAGGCACCAAGATAACAGCTAGGTATTTCACTTTTAAGTGTGTGGTGGTTGGGGTTGGGGGTGGGCAGTGAAGGAACCTAGCTGCTGCCTTTGCTGTTACAGCTCTGACATTTATTACTGCTCTCTGATTTGCTTTATGCCAGTGATGTGATTTTGTTTTTGAATGTATTACATCTTTCTTTGGTTTTAGCTTAAACTCTGTGAAGCAAAGAGAAGGCGAGCAGGGGCAGCAAAGTATTGCAAACAAACAAAATCAGCTTTCTTGTTGTTAAAAAAGATAGCCAACAGCTTCTTCAGAAGGGTCTTTTTTTTTTTTTTAATTTAAGCTCTCTTTATTGATTTTTGCTTTTCTTGCAGATTGGGTGCATAAGGATGAAACCCAGTCTTTCGTTTACTTTTCTCTTTCATAGTTTCATTGAAATTTTTATTAGAGTTCCTCTAATGATTGATCCTCAGAAAGCAAATCATTTTGGCACTAATGAACTAGATGGCAGATCTATACATAATATAGCAAATGTCTTTCCCGAGTTCCACACAAAATTTTTCTTTCCTTTTGTTATTATTACCTTAATCTTGTATAATTATAGTACAACAATCATCTTACTATTGGTGACAGTATACATAGACACATATAGTTATTTTTAGATATAATCCTCTTTCACACCTTAAAAATTTCCTTTTGTAAGGGAGATGTTGATGCTATTCTCATTCCTGAGAGACATTCTCATACCCTTTTCTAAAATCTTACTCAGATACTGGCTAATGTGTTGTGTGAAGATCATAATGTTACCTGTTTCACACTTTGTTTTTTTTTAATAGAATGATTGATAATCTTTTGCAAACTGCTCCATATGTCTAGTTTTCTCATATTGTGAAAGTACAGATCACATTGCCTTCATTTGATTTTATGAGTTTATATTTCCTCTTTCCCAAACAGATGTTTTACTACAGCTGCTATTTGTTTAGTAAATTGGTTCACACGCCATAGTACTATTTTCATATAACACTGCAAATCTGACCAACAATATTAATGCAAAAAAAAGAAGAAAATGGAAAACTCCTTTAGTAAGTTCTAACTTAAGCTCTGTTTCTTGGTTACGTTTACTGGCCTAGTTCTGCACTGTGTGTTTCTTTACAGTCACAGCCTCATTGTACACACATATTCATACCTCCCACTCATATAAGCATCTCCCCCTCCCTCCTTCCATCCACCTGTCCATCTGGTAATGAGCCAAAGAAGCCCTAAAGCTAGGCAGAGGGCTAGAGTTTCAATATATTTCAAAGATAATTCATCCTACACAAAAATGTTACAGTGTATTTGGTGAAAAATGATGATATACTTTGTGGTTTTAAGTTAAAAAGGTCAAGAATGCATGTTTAGATCAAGGAACAACAGGCAAATATTTTAGATGGTACAGGCCAAGGAAAAGAATGTATGCAGGGTGGTTAGGGCGTGAATGCTAGGTATTAGCAACAGATTATTGGATCAAGAAAGTGACCCAATCCCATTCTAATGTCATAGGATGCACTTTTATGGAAAGGTCACTGTTTTTTAGAGATGAGGTTGATGATCCATTTATGAAAGCTCTCTTAAGCCTATATGCCCCTTATTAAGCTATTGTCTCTCAGCTCTAAACCTGCTCTTCTTTGTGATATGGGGGGCTGGGATTCAGGACACTAGGAGAGAGAAAGAATTGTATCCTTGTGTCTGTTTCCTATTAACTTGTTCCTGACAGTGCCACTCTATTAAAGACCCATTGCCCTGACATTGACAGTTGGCACAGTTTCTAGCTTTCTGTGACACTCTCAGATGAAGCCCCATTGTGCACTTGGGAAAGCCGAGCACTGGCCACTGGCTTTGACTCCTCTGATACCAGTCTCAGTCCAACAGGCCCTCTTCACTGAGCTTCTAGATTCTGATGTGCCGAACACTTCCTTTTATTCCCACAATTTCCAGAGGCAGTAGTTGCTTCCTGTAGTTACAATCCCTGTTCAGTTTTTGCTCCTGTAATTCTCCAACACCCTTTGGACCAAAGTTTTCATATTGAATTCTCCCTGTTGAAGTGCCTACTGTGGTTTCCGATTCACTGTCTGGACTCTAACACAGGTGGAACCGCAGTTTCCTAATTTTATGTACACTCTTTCTTTTAATGTCACGCCCTCATTTCCTCACAGGATGCTAGAATGTGTGACTAGGGTGTGATGGCATAAGTTAAACAATTTTTCTTTCCTTTTTTTTTTTTTTTTTGTTTTTTTGTTTTTTTTGATTCAGAGTCTCTGTCGCCCAGGCTGGAGTGTAATGGCACCATCTAGGTTCTCTGCAACCTCCGCCTCCTGGGTTCAAGTGATTCTCATGTCTCATCTCATCCCGCCGAGTAGCTGGGATTACAAGTATGCACCAACATGCCTGGCTAATTTTGTATTTTTAGTAGAGACGTGGTTTCCCCATGTTGGCCAGGCTGGTCTTGAACTCCTGGCCTCAAGTGATCCACCTGCCTCGGCCTCCCAAAGTCCTGGGATTATAGGCGTGAGCCACGGTGCCCGGCTGATTTTTCTGTCTTCTTTAATGGGAATCTCCAAGTTTTATAGAATGGCTTGAAAATTACTGAGGTCAGTGAATAACTGTCTTTGGTTTTTTATCTTTTGCTTATGTCTCCGACTTAAACTGATCTGCAATGAAAGCTCTTTTGTAGAATATTCACAGGGTCTTTAGCATTCAATAGTGTCTTTTTTTCTGGTGAGGATTAAGTACAAATCTTTCCACATCTAGCTAAGTCAAACCAGATAAGGCAGATAGGTAAAGTTATAACAAATATTTGCATGCTACTTCAATGAAAGTTAGGGTCAGTTCACAGATTGTATCAGTCTTTTGGAGAATGGATGCCTGAGATAATTTTGAAAAATTTTGTGTAGAACATGGGCTTTGAGTTATATTTTAAAATAAGGAGTTTATTGTTAAAAAAATAAGAGGGAATGCTAATGAAAATGAAATATTTTTAAGCTACATAGATTAATTTCATTCAAAAATGTCATTTCAGCATCTTTAATCATTAAAATGGGATTTTTTGTAATATCAAATATAAAATCAAGAAAATTAATGTGGTATTCTGATCAGTGTAGATAGCAACTAAATTCAGTAATTCAAGTAAAAAGATAATGCTTTAAGATCTCTATTATTAGATTTTGCTATCTATAGCAATTGAATTAAAAGAGTCTCTCCATCTATATAGATGGGGCTATATAGATGTAGTTTAACACTAAGTTATAATACAGCTGAAAAACTGTTTTGTCTTAGTTTTCTTCATGTAGACAATGAAAACAATGTCAGATTATTGATCAAGTATTAATTTAAAGACTAAATTAATTTATAGCCAATTTGCATTTATTTTCTGAACATTGAGCTTGTGGAAAATCATTTCAGTGTTCGGTTAAACTGTGAAGATGTTGCTTGGCTAGGCAATTCATTGTATCATTATTTTGAAAACATAGTTCATAGTAATATATAGTGTATGTCAGGGAAATTCTTGTGAAATTTTAGAATAATCCTTGCAGATCTTCTCTCCGCTGCACAATCACCAATCCACTTGGGAACATTTAACTCAGAATAGATAATCCGGGGAGCTTGGTGTTAAAATGGCCAAAGTGTTCCAGGTCAGGCTGGGGATTAAACTGACACAATAGTTCATGGAAAAATTCTATTAGCACCTGTTACAGTTGGCCCTAGTTCTGATTTTCTTATCTCAGTCTTATTGTTTGAAAAATGTAAAGAAACAGATTATACTTGGTATTGATGAATCTTTGCCTTCACAAACAACATTTTATTTTTCGCATTATGTTTTGTATCAAAAGCTTGTTACATGTATGTACCTAGAACAGTCACAAAGTCTTTCAGGCTCATGACAAGTGAGGGTGTGTGACCCTTTAGCCTCTTCTAGTAAATGTAATGGAAGAGGAACCATGTACAACATAGTTACTCCTCAGTGATTCTACAAAATCCCTGAAAATTTTGAAAGCTGCCTTTACTACGGCACTTTCTTTGCTAATGGGGATAATACCCCTAACTGTGTGTGATATAACAACTATATTTAAAATTGAGGAATTTAAGTAGAACACAGAAAGGCTAGGATTTACTCAGACATTCCATACATTTTTATCCAATGCTTATTTCCTAGCTGTGTGATCTTGGGCAAGTCATTCAACCATTTTAAGCCTTCACTTTGTTGTTGTTAATTAAGAGGATTTTAATAACGCTCCCAAAGGCCCTATCGGTTGTAGGGCTTTGAATGGATTTCAGTGTTTAAAGATAAGTAGGGTACTTTTTAAAAATTCCAGAATGTTACAAAGTATATTATAGAAAGCCTGGCAGATAACCAATAATAATTAAGGAGCTATAAACATAATACTCTTTTTTGAACTTGATGCAAGCCCCTTCATCTATGCCTTTATTTCTCTTTCTAAATCTTAAGTAACATCTGCCTCCTGTTGTGATTAATGAAATAATATTCCAACTTGTGGGCAAGAGGGGAGTGGGTCCAACAGCTCTTGCAAGGGACCTGGGAAATACGCCACTGAAAAGAACGCAACTTGTACGAAATAGGTAAATCCCAAAGCCACCACATTTCTGCCCTGATTAAGGGCACCCCCTTGCTTATTCACTTTGAAGTCTTCTTCCTCTGTCATAACCAAGACAACTCGCGACAAGGAATCCTCTTCAGGAAATGTGTTAAGTCTTATCCGCACTTGTGTCTCTGATGCGCTCCCTCCAGCTTTCTTTTCTAGGATGCTTGGAGCCCCCCTCCTTCGCGGCGTTGGAGCGGGCTTTGGTTTCTGTTTGAAGCCCGGCGTCGGCTCCGGACGCGCGCAGCGCCCTCCGCGGTGGCTCCCAGGAAGTCCCTGGGAGTCTGCGGAGGGAGCCCCTGGGAGGCCCAGGGGTGGGCGCGGTCCGACGGCCGGGTGTCCTTCACGGGGCGTCCTTTCCACCCAGCTGTCCATGGAGCGAGCAGAGCCCCTGGCCGAGCGCCCGCCCGGGAGCCCGGGGCAGCCTGCGGGTGGCAGTGGGCAGGAGCCCGCGTTCCAAGCCGGCCTTGCTCCCCAACCCGCTGCTGCCGCCCGCGCTGCCGGGCTTCCTAGGCCTCCGCGAGGGCCTCAGCAACCCACGGGAGCCCAATCCAGGCAGAGAACCGGGGAGGAACGCCGAAGCAGCTCTTTCTCCCTCATAATTTGAGATGCTATTTTATCATCAACAGTCTGTGTTCAGACAGGAAAGATTGGGCTGAATAAATGTGTCCGGGAAACAGGATGCAGCCTGCGTCCAACCAGAGCGCGGCGGTTGTGTCCTGTGACCCGCTGTGAGGCTGATCATTCTGCATTGTTTACTCTTGTGCGTACATTTCAAAACACGGAATTACATCCGGAAATCTGGGTGAAAACGACATGGTCCCTAATTGTAAAGTTTTTTCACAGGACTTCAGATAAATGCAGTCATCTGTATACCTCAAGAGTGGATTTATTTATTTGGGATTTTTTTTTAAGACTTTATTTTTAAAATAACTAATGGGTACTAGGCTTAATACCTGGGTGATGAAATAACCTGCACAGCAAACCCACATGACACAATTTTACCCATGGAACAAGCTGCACATGTACCCCTGAACTTAAAAGTTAAAAAACAAAACAAAACAAAAACCCAGCACTTTTAGGCTGACAGCAAAATTGAGCAAAAAGTACAGAGTTAATATCCCCTGACCCGCCCCCCTTCATCCATACCCTCCCTCATTATCAACATTTCCCAGTAGACTGGTACATTTGTTAACAATCGATGAATCCGCATGGATACGTCATTATTACCCAAAGAAGTCCATAGTTTATGTGGGGGTTCACTCTTGGTGTTATACATTCTGTGGGTTTTGACAAATGTATAATGACACGTATCTACCATTATAGTATTACATAGAATGGTTTCAGTGTCCTAAAAATCCTCTCTGCTCTGCCTAGTCACCCTTCCCTTCCCCAACCCCCGGCCAAAATGGATTTAAAAGAAAAATAACGTATCAGACCAGAAGTTTCTCCCTAATTAGTTGCTTGTTTTCCTCATGGACTGCTTCCGGCTCCTAGAGAAGACATCATAGCATGAAGCATTCTTGCACGGTTTAGGTTTTGTTAACAGGGGCTATTAGTGTGTGTGACTTCTTAATCCCCCTTCTGCTGAGGGGCATCTCCAGCCCAGTTTTAATTAACAGGGAAATGCTCATATTATTTTGGTACACTGATTATAGGCGAAGCCTAAGTGGAAGTCACTTTGGTGTCCCAAGGGATTTCCGTGTTAAAAATGCATAGGGTACCTTTTTCTTCTCTTTCTTTTTTTTTTTTTCCTGTTAATTCTCCTCCTCCATGAACTCCAGATAAGCAGCAGGCCCGAGCCAGATTTCATTACTATCACGCACTCTTCATGGTCATCTTTTAATATTTGAAAGGATCATTTGTTAACTGGAAATGGTCAATTTTTTTTTCTTTGGCTTTTGAAATATAATTTTCAATTTTTAATTTGATTCATTTAGATGAAATCATTAATCAGGGTTGAAACTGAGTTAATTTTCTGGAAAATAAATGAGGTTGTTAGAGTGAACATTATTAAGTGGGCTCTTTGTAAGAAAGGGATAATAGCTGAAAATATGGAATACTTGGAGAACTGTAGCACTTGGGTAAAAATCGAAAGGATTTTTTTTCCTTGTTAAGTGGAATAATTCATTTTCAAAATTAGATCAGAGGATTTTTAGCATTAAGCATAATAAACACCCCATTAATTATATTAGAAATTGTAAATAGCAAAGCTTCAAGAAATTGTAAGGAAAGTACACTGTGTAAAGTTCTTCTTGTTGTGAGATGTTAGGACATATACTTTCTGATGTGGTTTTACTTTTTCTTTTGAAATGACTTGTGAACCAGTACTAGCTTTGGTATATTTCATCTCTTGTGTCTCTGGTTAAATTTTCAAGATCTTTAATTGTGGGTTGATTATAAAATAAATCAGAAAAAATTTATTGGAACCCCCTATGAATATCTAAACCTCTAATATTTTTCATTTTCTGACACTTTGCAATCTGATTTGCAACCAATCTCCTTCAGATAATCTTCTTTTTTAACTACATGTACCATACCCATAACTTCACCTAAGTTCCCAGATCCCTCTTGCACTCAAGCATTCAATTTATAACATATTATTTTAAATATTGATTATTTAATATTTCTTTCTATAGGTATGTTTTCTTCCTTACCTAGATTTCAAAAGCTTTGAGTGTCAGAATTGTGTCTTTGTATACCATATGCTCTTCTCTGCACACAGTAGGCATTAAATTAATTCTTTTTGACTGACTGACTCAGTGAATTATGGGAAACTGATGAGGTATACAAATAGCTTAGAAGCAAACCCAGATCCCAGACCATATCAAGCCTCTTTTTTTTTTCCAGCCAAACCTGGATCAAGTTTTAGCCATTAAAGAAGAAAGCATATTTCACTGACTTGCTGTGAGAGCACAGCATGACTTTAAGTGATTAGGATGGTGAGCAAAATACCCTTCCCAAGAAAACAAAGAAAGCTGAGATTTGGCCAGACATCCAGCCACCTCAATTCACCATTTAAGTAAGATGCAGGTCACTGGAGAATTCCCTGCTCATTGTTGCTTCTAATTGTTGCCTCCATTTTTTCATTTCTTACAGTCTCACAAGGTGGGTTGTTCCATATGAACAATTTCTTTCAGCGATTTTTGTTGAATATTCTATATAGAGAAGTTCCCATTAATGCAGTTCAAGAGATTTTTATTGGCACTCCCACAAATGCCACATCTATTTGCAGATACATGTAGCAGCCACAGTCCACTCAGCCACCAGAGGTTCCAAGCTAAACCTGCTTAGAGCTTAAATTTAGCTGGCAGGATGAATTGCACCATAGATTCAACCTGTCTATGTGTTTCTCTACAGTTTTTCTATTCACAGTTCTATATTTCCTATAAAACAATATAAATGGAGGATTAAATTGAACTATTGGTCTTTAGAAGTCAACATGTATCTCAAAGATGCCCTTCCATTCCTTGATCTTGGTAAGTTAATATGTATGAAGTATTCAGGGCAGTGAATGTTCCACAATATACATTTAATAAATGTAAATTATTGTTATTATTATTCACTGAAACAATAAAGAAGGGAAAAGCCTATATGGGTTGATAGGTATACTGTGGAATATTGTATGTGAATGTGGATGTACATATGTGTCACCCTTCACACTGTAGGTTGAATGAAGGTCTTTCTAAAATACGAGTATGATCAAGTCACTCATTTTCTGTCCCCTTCATTTATCCACACTACGTCACTCCTTAAATCCATCAGTGGCTCTAGAAGTATTATAAGCTGAAATCTCCATTTCATTGAGTGATTTCTCAGGATCTACAGGACCAAGTCCCTTCATACATTTCACATTTTGTAGTATCTCAGTTATCAGTAATCCACATTTCCAAATCAGCACTGTCAAATAGAACTTTCTGCAGTTATGGGAGTGTTCCATGATTCCACTGTCTAATATGATAGTCACTGACAACATGTGACTGGGAAGCATTTGAAATACAGCTAGGGTACCTGAGTAGCAGCATTTGAAATTTTATTTTATTTTAATTAAGTTACATAACACATGTTAGAAAACACAGTTCCAAATCCTGCTTTTTCCTGCTTTTCTGCCACAGCTGTTCTCTGTGACTGAAATATCCTTCCATCTTCTTCATGCACAGACACCTTCGCAACTCAACACAGTGATGCCCAAGTTCCTTCTTTGACCTCTCCAGAAAGAGTTCAGTTTTCTTTCTTATACTCCTTCTAGGGTCTAGCCCATGCTTTTATTAAAATGCAAGCATTATACGGCTGTAATTATTTTCCTGTGTACCGGCCTGACTGTGACAGTGAGCCCTGGAAAGAATGCTCTGGTATTGTCTCATGCCTAGCACAGTGCCTGGTGCGTAATAAGCACATTGTACACATTTGAATAAATGGAATTGGGTGACTATAATGAGGCCAACAGGTAAAGCCAATTTCTCTTAGCTGTAATAGACAATTAAATGTGGGTAAATGTGGGTTCTGTTTATTACTATTATTGTTATTATTATTATTGGATAGGGAAATTTTAAACATTTAAAAAGGATAACAGAAACTCCTGTAGTTGGTCAGCAGCTCTTACCTGTATCACAAACATGGTAGATCTCCAAAGGGCCAAAAAAACCCAATATATATTTTTAATTAATTAACCTGCCCCCTCTGGTATTTACAATACATTTAACACTAGGAATTGTATAGCCTTAGTACTCAGGATGCCATGGCCAGATCAGATTTGGCCCAAGTCATATTGTAGACAGATGCAAACATATGCCACTGATTGCAAAAAAATTAAATTTAGTTACTGTTTGGACGAGGAAGCCTAAGCTGGGATTCACTTATTTCGAAATTGACTGCATTGTAATGGTTTAGCCATCTGTCCCACATGTGAAACGTTCAGCTCACATATACTTGGAGCATTGATATTGGCTAGTGGTGTTGGCCAAAGTGAATGCAAATGTTTAATGTTCACAAACAGAAATTGGTTTAGAGATAGCTGGTCTGTTCTCCTCCCACTCTCCCTCCCTGCACTCCCAAGCCTTCAGGCATTGTAAAATAAAAGTGAAGCTAGCGGAGGAGTATAATGGCTCCGCTTTAACTTCCTTATTCCACGGGAGGCTCCCTAGGTCAGTTTCAATCCCTTTCAAACATCCTCCTCTGACTTTGAAGAGAGAGCACTGCCCCCTCCATCTCTGAAGCTGGGCAGTGGCCCTTTTTGTTTTCACGCACTGAAAATGAAGTGTTCACATGAGCTCATTTACAGAGAGTGGAGTTGGCAGTCTTATCAGGAGAGGAGAAAGAAGCCCTGAAGATGAAAAGCTCTCGCAGTGACAGAAGTCTTTATTACTTTGGGCAGTAAGGGAATGCGGTGTACACAGGGTAAAGTGACGGCTACCTAGAGCATTTAGGGAAAACTAGAGCAGTGATCGTGTTTTATGTTGTTCCTCATTCGACTTTCTCAGTGAGCCAGTTGACCCCAGGGATGGGGCTTGTTCAAGTTGGAAGCAACGTAAGAAACCCATGTTCTTCTCCAGAGTAAATGAATTTGCTGCAGTCCCTGACTGCTGTTTGAATTGGCTTTGGGGCAGCATGCATCAAAATCATGCATATGAAACATGGCAATAAACCCTTGTCTTTTCTTCTACACTGCTAAAAACACCCAACTTGTTGCTGAGTTTTATTCTTAAAGTCCTATAGTTTTTCTACCAAAATTATGTGGAAAAAAAATGCTATTGATGCTGTGTTTTCATAATCCAGCATTGTAGAAAATAAAATTGGCAGTTGATCCCAGGGTCTTTGAGGGAGTTTAAGCATAAATTCAGCATTCTAAAGAATCAGAAGTTGAGAGGAAACAGCCAAGAATACCCTTAGCTTTTTCACTGAGTTGTGCTTGAATAGACAGCTAATTAGGCTTCCTCAAAATTTATTTGTCTCTAGAAATAGAGAAAAGGTGCTAAAAGCATAATAGAAATGAAATGTGCTGCACCCTTTCCGAGAAATTGACATTTTATGCATTTGACATTTGATACTAGCAGTTTATTTTTTGAATTATTTGATATTTAATTGTTTAAAATAATTTAACCAGGTTCTTTTTGTGCATGTTTCTCAATGCATTTCCAGAATATATTTTATCAAGTGGAAAAATAAATAAATTCAATCATAATTGATTATGCAAGAATATAGCAGCTGTGCCATGTTGGAGTTTCCTACTTCTATATGTATCATGCCCTGTCATTTTTGAGCTAACCTGAGTTCTTAACATGATGAGCACTGAGTGCCATGAGCACTAGATAATTTTAAACATAAGTAAGCCTTCCCAGGTAATAATATCAACTTTGAAAAAATGAGCTATGTTTTCTATCATTAAACATTTTAAAAATGTGCTATGTAATGTTTAGTTTTAATCATACTGGTTTTTTCATTTTCAAACATTTGTCTAGAAAAGAAAGTCCCTGTCCTCTTTCATAGAGCAAGGGAGATAGATTTCCTGCTCTCACACAAGTACTTGCAGAATTTTTCCTTGGGGAGTTTATAGAAACATCACCTCTAGCCATAGTCTACTTTCTGCAGGATGGTTGAAGTGGTTGCCTCTTGTGATATGACAGATGCTAGAAATACTCCAGGCCTCAAAATATCTTCCCTACCAAGGTACTACTGAGTCCCAAAGTTCTACCACTAAAGACGAATTTCTTTGCATTGCAATTGTTTTCTTCTTATGTGCATCCTCCTAGAAGGGAGTGAAATGAAGGCCATAGATAATTAATATTTACTGAGTGACTGCTGTGTGCCAAGTAATGTGTCTTTTAGTGATGCTGTCTTTCTAAATCCTAAGTCTCCAGGAGAGGAGGAAGGTGATAATGGTGTTAATGAACTATGTATGCAAAGGTCACATAGCAAGAAAACGATAGAGCTGTGATTCAAACTCAAACCATTTTTTTCACTTCACTTTATTGTTAATTGAGTGCTCAGATTTCACTAGCTGGTTCTAGATGCTGAGTGCTCCAGTGAGCTGATGAGATGGAGGTAGAGGACCACTTTAAAAGGCAGGGTTGATAGAAGACAGTTTGCCTAAAGTCTTCCCTCTAGAGTAGATCCCTGGCCATGCAATAGGGCTGATGGCAATACTGAGCAAATAGATATTCTCAGGCATTTTGCTCTCCTTAAAATATTCTAATTTGGAATAGTATTCAAAGAAATTTAAATAATATTATTGTCTCTAGATTACATTCATTTCCAGAGATGAGAGTATTTATATTTGTAATACAAATGTAAATGCTAACAATAACGAACATGTTTTGTACCAGTGACACCTCATCTCATTTAGACATCATGGGTCTGAGAGATACATAGTATTTTTACCCCCATTTTACATATGAGCAAGCTAAGGCCCAAAGAGATAAAGGGCACACATCTGAGAAGAGATGAACCAGGAATTTGACCTCAACTCTCATAAATATGAAGTCACAATTGCTTCTTTATGCCAATAAGTTTCCTTATAACAGGTTTCTCTTGAGTTTCAGAATTCATACTATTAAAATTCACTCATGCCTATAATCCCAGCACTTTGAGAGGCTGAGGCAGGAGGATTGCCTGAGCCCAGGAGTTTGACACCAGCCTGGGCAACACAATGAGACCCCTGTCTCTACAACAATAAAAAAAATTTAGCTGGGCATGTTGCTGTGCACTTGTGGTACCAGCTTTTTGAGAGGCTGAGGTGGGTGAGACCAGGAGGCAGAGGCTGCAACAAGCCATGATCGTATCACTGCACTCCATCCTGGGTGACAGAGGGAGAAACTGTTCCCCCCAACACACACACAAAAAGTCAGTATGAATGGAATAAATCCTAGAATTATTCACTGGGAATCCGTTCTAACTTATATGCAGTTTATTTTGACTTAACATTTGCCAGCCTTACCAGATTACTTCAAACTAGACAATGATTCAAACTTTACAGAAGTGTAGAGAGCAGTGGACTTGTTATTAGTTGGATTTTTAGAGGAATAATTAGAATGCAGGTAGTTATTTACAATTGGCTGTTATCAGAATCTAATCTTCTAAACCGTGGTTAGCCTAGTTGTCCTAGATGTTCCACTTAAAACAGATGGGGTTGGGATATGGGGAAGGCCCAATGTCAGGGTTTGAATTGTCTTTTTATTGTCTTTAAAACAATGAGCCTATATTTCCATTTAATTAAAACAGTAAAGTTGTGCCTCAAATATATGGAATTCACCAACAAGTATAATTGATTTTATTCATTTTATTTTTTTCCCTCTTCTTTAAAAAGAAAACAATTAACAATAGAAGACTGTCCATTTTAGTTAAAAAGCTAAGCAACAATGGAAAAGAAGATAGATTACTGCAGTCATCCATTCATTAATTGAGATGGCATAGTGACTGTTATTCATTCACATTGAGCAACCTGAACAATACCAACTTATTTCGGTGGCTGTTCTTTCTCTAATAGATTTCTTCTTCTTTTTGATAATGCTGAAATGCAAACAGTCCCCTGTATGTAGGGAAGACAGCTGTGTAGTACTGATGTTAGAAGTACTCACTGTAATTCACAAACCTTGTAATGGATTGAATCTGCCTCACCTTCCTCATTTTTAAAATGAGAAACATAGTAATACCTATCTCATACAATAAATATGCGAATCAGATGAGGTAAGCTAGATGAAGTGCTTCATAACCTGAAAAACAGTACACAAATTTCCTTCAAATTATCACCTCTGCCAGATTATAACAAGATGGTAACACCAGCCCAGGTGTGGTGGCTCACGCCTGTAATTCCAGCACTTTGGGAGGCCGAGGTGGACAGATCACCTGAGGTCAGGAGTTTGAGAACAGCCAGGCCAAGATGGAGAAACACCATCTCTACTAAAAATACAAAATTAGCTGGGCGTGGTGGTGCATGCCTGTAATCCCAGCTACTTGGGAGGCTGAGGCAGGAGAATCGCTTGAACCTGGGAGGTGGAGGTTGCAGTGAGCCAAGATCGTACCACTGCACACCAGCCTTGGTGACAGCAAGACTCTATCTCCAGAAGAAAAAAAAAAAGATAGATGACAGCACCATCTTGAAATTGTAGCAATGTCAGTGCCATTAAAATGAATGGAAAATATAAGAGGTGTGGAAAAAGAAAATCAAGATCCACTGGAGGTAATATTACTTCCAGGCAACAGTAACTTTTTGGAGTCTGGAGAAAAGGAAAAATAAGGAAAAAAGGAGAGAATAAAAGAAAAGAGAGTGTGAGCCACATGGAAGGAAGTAAAAATAAAGATATTCAAAGGATTACTGGAAATTCTAAGACCAGTTTAATTTCATTGACACAAAATATGAGTTTCTAATTAAATTGACATTCTTTCCCTGACTTTCATGACTAGCAATTTTGAAGATTGCAGACCAGTTATTTTGTAGAGTGTTCCTCAATTTGGGCTATTATGGTGTTTCTTCGTGATTAGATTCAGGTTATGTGTCTTTGGCAGGAATATCACAGAAGTGATGCAGTGATCTCATCGCATTATATCAGATGGCACAAATTGCCCTTTGTCTCATTACTGATGACATTATCTTGGTCACTTGACTGGGGGTATCTACCAGGCTTTTCCACTATAAAGTTGCTCTTTCCCCCTTGGAGAGTAATAAGAATTTTGTGGTGCGATAAATTGAGACTATAATTATTCCATTCCCCATCAGCTTATTCATTTATTTATTTATGTCAAGGTAGACCGATGGATTCCCATTTTATTCAATGAGTTATAATCCATTGCTATCATTATTTATTTTGATCCTCAAATTGTCCCAGATTTTTCCAGAGAGAGCCCCTTCAAGCTGCCTTCTTGTGACTTATTGACACATCCCCATAACTCTTGGTTCATTTTCTTACTTTTCTGGCACAAAAAGATGCTCCAGGCTGGTTTTGTATGTTCCATGCCACAACCTCAGTGTCAGCCATGTCTCCCAGGAGCTTTATTTATTTGTGGTATAAAATGAAATTAAGAAACCAAGATGTAGATACTACTGTTATTGTTTTTGAATGTTTTCAAACACCAACAATCAGTTCTCTGATTCTCTAGGCACCAACTGGGTATCCAGTACTTCAGTTCAATTCTGATGCTATCTACAATGCTACTAGCAACAGGTCACACATGTAAAGAGCTCAGTCCCATAAGCCTGACTGGGAGGGGCACAGAGCTTCCATGCTCTCTCTGGCACACCACCTTCCAGCATGTTGATGTGTTCACCAGCCTAGAAGCTCTTCGAGCTCCATCTGTTAGGTGGTGTTACAATGTTTCCATTATGTAGGCATGAATGATTAAATCATGGTCATCATTGATGAACTCAGTCTTCAGTCCTTCTCTTCTCTTTGGAAGTTGATGGGAGTGTGGCTGAAAGTTCTAAGTTTTTAATCAAGACTTGGTATTTCTGGTGACCAGCCCTAATTCTGAAGCTATCTGGGGGCCTGCCAAGAGTCAATTCTTTAGAAAAAAAGAGGTTCTCCTCACCCTTTTCACTCAGGAAATTTCAAGGGCATTAGGAGCACTGTACCAGAAACCAGGGACAAAGACCAAGTATCTTCCTATGATACCACAGTTGTTGTTTGTTTGTATAAATGGAACATCACCTTATCGCAGGGTTGTGGTCATGTGTCAGTAAAGCTTAAGCTTAGAAAGTCATGTACCAACAAAGTGTAAGCTTTAGGAGATAGAAAAAGGAACTTACGTTATCATCCCCTTCTTTAGTTATTGAATTGGAGTCTAATTGAGATACTGTCTTGTGGCTTATACTTTCTTGTATTAAAAAAAAACAAAACCGGGTTTGTAGTTGATTACATTTCTCCCATACTCTCACAATACTGTCTAAAGACTTGAAATTACTGAATAATACTCAGTCTTTTTGGCAATTCTATTGCCTTCTGCCTTCATTTTCTCCAAAATTCTAACCAGATCTTTAGCACAGAAAGCATATTAATGTCCTTCGTAAGTGAAACAATTTTTCAGGGTGTAAGATTTCAGTAGACTTCTTATTTCTTAAATTCCAGACAGAGAGGAGGGAAGAAGCCAGTTTGGACTTTTTAAAAATGTATTCATCCAAATTATTTTGTCTGTTCTTAACATATGTGACATCATTACATAAATCAGTGTTGATTGTATGGTTTATGTTCATAATGTTCAGTGTAAAGCACTCTAGAGTGGTATCTCATGAGTTTTTTTTCTGGAATTTAACAACAAAAATACCAAAACTAATCCAGTTCCATACCACGAATCTTAGAACTGTTTGAAGTATGTAGCTTTGTGGTTTTTCTAGAAGATACTAGACTACTAACATTTTTCTAGTTTAATTATAATATGATGCATTATTATATATTAGTCATATTATTAATAATCAACAACCATTACTGTTAGAGGGTTTTGGCATAGATAAGGATCTGTGATATTGAATATATTTTCATCAGGATTGATTGAAAAAGAAACATCTTGGAGAATATGCATTTATACTATTTTTAAGATACTCACTTTTAAGTTTTATTATCTTGCAGTAATATCACCATGTTTTCATTAAATTGCTGTTATATATATTTTTTCAATTTTACTCTCTCTATTTTGTGGGCTAAATTTCTATGAACCTCACCTCTTTTTTTTTTTTTTTTTTTTTTTGAGACAGAGTTTCACCCTGTTGCCCAGGGTGGAGTGCAGTGGCACGATCTCGGCTCACTGCAACCTCCGCCTCCCAGGTTCAAGCAATTCTTCTGCCTCAGCCTCTCTAGTATCTGGGAGTACAGGTGCACACGACCATGCCCAACTAATTTTTGTGCTTTTAGTGAAGATGGGGTTTCACCATGTTGGCCAGGCTGTTCTTGAACTCCTGACCTCAAGTGACCCACCTGCCTCGGCCTCCCAGAGTGCTGGGATTTGAATATCACTTCTTAATGGTTTCTCTTCCCTTAGTTTGGATGGTACAGTAGTCACCAATTTTCTCCATCCTTTCTTAGTTTCCTTCTCTGGTTACACTTATTGCTTCTCTTCTATATTTATGACTGGTTTCCAAGATTAATCCTTGTCTTTTCATTCTACATCAGGGGTATCCAATCTTTTGGCTTTCCTGGGTCACATCAGAAGAAGAATTGTCTTGGACCACATATGAAATACACTAACACTAATGATAGCTAATGAGCTAAAAAAGTAATAAACACAAAAATATTCTCATAATGTTTTAAGAAATTTTATGAA
The DNA here is from genome assembly GCF_000001405.40 of Homo sapiens. Lineage (NCBI taxonomy): Eukaryota > Metazoa > Chordata > Mammalia > Primates > Hominidae > Homo > Homo sapiens. Next base: position 216,589,330 of record NC_000001.11, on the reverse strand, counting down.
TTTGTGTTGGGCCACATTCAAAGCTGTCCTCAGCCACATGTAGCCCACATGTGGCCCACTTGTGGGTCGGATAAGCTTGTTCTACGTCCTGCAAAGCAAATCTGCACTTATATTTTCATATATCTATGTTGGTGGCTCAAGTTTACAGCAGTAGTCCTGCATTCTTACCTGAATTTCAGTTTTGAGGTCCGTGCAATACATCTTGAATTTCTCAAAATCATCTCAAGTATAAAACCATACTTCTTATCTTTCTTTAGAAACTGATTCCATCTTCCAGTTTTTCCATTTTGGTCAGGTGCACTGTTTTTCTTTCCTTTAAAATCTGAGTTTTGGCATTTGCTTTGACTTCATCTTCTTTTTCCTTACACCTTCAGTCATGAATATTAATGATACACACTTGGTGGCTTATGGATTCTTGCCTTTCACTTTGTTCCTATTGACTGAAAGTCCTCAGAGAAGTACCCGATAGATTCCCAAAGCGCTTGTTTTGGGGGTGGGGAGAATCAATGAATCAATTATCTGCTTTCCTTGTTTCCCTTCTTTTTCTATTTCTTCTTATTAAAAAATTTGTTTAGAGTTTTGGAAAATGGAGATATCAAATGATAGTACTGATGCTCTTTAAAGAGGACTTGGAATTAGAAAAACAGGTGCAGAGTATTAATCGTGAATTGCTTAACTTCTCTGAGCCTATAAAGCAGAGATAGTAATCCTATACTTACAGCACAGAATTGTAAGAATTAAATAAGATGATCTATGAAAGTGCTTTGTAAACATTAACGAATCGCTTGGGTGTAATAACTGATTTTATTCCAAAGTCTTTGAAATGCTGATGACTAGTATATTTGAAATATCTAGAACATAAAGGCCATAAAATTATAGTTATTTATTTCTATTTTATGTTTGATAATGCCAGAGTTAAATTTATTAATAAAAACAGTCCAGATTGCCTTGGCTTTGTTGTTGTTGTTTGTTGTAGTAGCTCCTAACCCTCAGATCTTTGCAAATCAAAAGGTTACAGAAGAATCAGTAGCCCAAGGGAACAAGAGACATAATAGCAATATAATTTGTAAGTTTGCTAAACTCAAATAGTACCAATTTCATATGGGAAATCCCTAATTATCAATGGACATCCATCAAGTTAAATCGTTAGATTGAAAATAAAGGTGAAGTCACAGGTATACTTCACTTATTTATTGATATTGGTTCACATAATTAGTTGAGCATCCACCAGGGGGAATACATGTTAATGTACCATACCCACAAAAAGACACAGAAAAATTCACAGGACTATCTGTGATACATTTTATATTTACTTCCTATTTATACTGTTGCTGCTAAAATAGGATCTTACTCTGTTCAGAGCACATGGAGTTTCACAAGATGTTTAATGTAGAATTAGGATTGATGACTCAATGTAACCTTTCTAAATAGTCATGCTTAGAAAATTGACACACTTCAGCAATAATGCACTGCTTGCATGAACACTAAGTTTCATGTCTTATGTTTATATCAAGCACTGTATTTAAACTGCAGGCTCTCCCTGTTTTAAGAAGGTTTATTACTAAGGAGGTGAACTATACATGCTTCTTACTCCTTAATGGTTTCCTTGCAGATTCTTTTCCTTTTGTTTCTTTCCAAATGGTTTTATTTAAAAATGTGAATTTTAAAAAAATTCTGAGCATAAATGCTTTTCTAAGAGGGGGAAGGGAGACAAGTCTTCTCTTGTGACAACAATTATTGTCCTTTTTTTATTTATTCATTTTTGGGTTAATTTAGTCTGGCTAAAATTACATACATATTCATGTTTCTTAATAAGAACAAAGCTTTACTCTTGGTTATTTTCCATAAATTTGTCCTCATAAGCAATTTGATAGACATCTACTTTAACTATTAGAATGAAAGTTCACAGTGAATCCATGAAACCCGGTTTCAGATCTGTAATTCATTAACTCTTTCCCCAAAGGTCCAAATGCTTCTTTATCAGATTACTATAAAATTGCTATTCCTTCTTTTTAAAGTTCAGAGTGGGCACATACTGTAATCAAGGTATAGATTGTCTAACCATTACTAAATGCACTAGAGATTTTTCAGATGTAATTCCATTTTGGTCCAAATTATAAGTTTGAAGCAACATTACGGATTGTGAAACAAGTTATAATTGTGCAAAAATGATTTTCTTGTCTATTTCATAGACATACTATGGAATGTATGTCTAAATTTTTACATGAAATATACAGCTATTTTACTTCCATTGTCATTTTATCACAGATATATATAGGATTTATAATGTCTAATTTGTATTGAAGTATCAGTAATGTGATATTATTTATTAAACACTTACTCATAATACAGGTATTTGTTGAACAGCAGATGTTGAAGTTTCAAGGAGGATAAAATGTCACCTTAAATATTATGTTGGTGCTGATAAAAGAAAGTGTTGAAAGCTTAAAATTTGGCCAGATGTGGTGGCTCACTCCTGTAATCCCAGCACTTTGGGAGGCCGAGGTGGGCAGATCATTTGAGGTCACGAGTTTGAGACCAGCCTGACCAACATGGTGAAACCCCGTCTCTACAAAATACAAAAAAAATTAGCCAGGCATGGTGGTGGGCGCCTGTAGTCCCAGCCACTCTGGAGCTGAGGCAGGTGAATTGCTTGAACCTGGGAGGCAGAGGTTGCAGTAAGCCGAGATGGTGCCACTGCACCTGGGTGACAGAGTGAGACTCCATCTCAAAAAAAAAAAAAAAAAAAGCCCAAAAGTTACTTAGGTTACTAGTTTCTTTGTATGAGAAGAAGTTGACACAGAGTGCTTTATGATTTCACTTAGTAGTTGTTTAATTACTACATATTATATTTCGGAAATAATTAGCCCATTCCTCTAATGGCCAAAATTAATGAAACTTTTAACTTTGCTTTTAATTTACCTTAAGCTTGATTTAACAGAAAACATTAACTATTATTTTTACAAAATGTGCTTCTTTCATCTATGACGATGATTTCTTTAGAAGCCTTTATTTTGAAATATTGTAGAAGTAAGTTTTATTCCAGCGTCTTAAAAAATTATGCTAAAATTTGTTTTGGTAAAGAAACTGAGACCCAGGTAACTTCAGAAATTGGGCTTATACAATACTGGAGGGTGGAAAAGTTCATGAAGATTTGAATGTTTAACTTACAGAATCATTACTCTGGTTGTGAATTATCTGTTTAAATTTCCATTTTATTATATGAAAAGTGGGATATTGTTTTTACTAAGACTTTTAAAAAATAACTTTATTAATTAATTTATTTATTTTGAGACGGAGTATCCCTCTGTCTTCCACACTGGAGTGCAGTGGCACAGTCTCGGCTCACTGCAAGCTCCGCCTCCCGGGTTCACGCCATTCTCCTGTCTCAGCCTCCCGAGTAGCTGAGACTACAGGCACCCACAACCACGCCTGGCTAATTTTTTGTATTTTTAGTAGAGATGGGGTTTCACCATGTTAGCCAGGATGGTCTCCATCTCCTGACCTCGTGATCCGCCCACCTCGGCCTCCCAAAATGCTGGGAAAAGTAACTTTTTAAATATAAAATTTAGCTATATTTTAATGTACTTTTTATTGGAATCAGTTATTAGGATCAATAAAATTTATATGATTTGATTGGGCCTATTTTTCTGTTTATGTTGCCTTATTCAATAGAATATGTCATAATGATTTTTTAAACTTATTCACAACTGTCCACAAACATCTGTTTTGACATTGTTTAAAATAAGTAGACTTCCTTTGAAGAGTCATTTTTCTCAAAGATGTTAGATCAGATTTCTTCCCCCATTTTTTTTTTTCAGTGAATATTTTGGGATTTATTTACTCTTTTAGTTTTTACTTTTTGATTTCAAGAGAAATTTTACAATTATGTATTCTAAATTCAAATCTGTTCTCCTTGTTCTCTTCTAAATAGGCAAGGTATGAGTCAAACTTAGAGACTGCAGCTTAAATTTAGAGAACACATTGGTGCAATTCCACATCAAAGATTTTACATGAAAATTAAGAGGATGTTGGCAGTTTACTAAATGTGAGTTAATATAAGTCTATAGAGCTCTGCCATATTCTTTATTTTTCCATATTTCCCTAAATGTATCCTATCCTTGAAAAACAAAATCCGTAATACTCATCAAGGAATCGTGAAAAATGTCAAGCAATATTTTCTGTAGGTGATTTTTTTTTAACCTTTCTACTAGACCCCTACCATCTTAATTAGCTTTTTAAACTTTTATCAATTTCAGGCTGAACACGTATTGATAGATGAATGAACTCTCACTTTATTAGAGCCAATAATTAAAATAATTCCAGCTATTTTTATTTCATTCTTGTTAGCAATGAATTTTTATTGAATAACTTTGGCCCTATGGCATCTGAAAGGTTTAATACTTACCATCATTTAGCAGACAGCTGGTCTTAAAACTACTCTGTTACACATTGATATTCTCCAATCATATCCTCAGCAATAAAAAAGTAAATCAAATTAGGGAGGAAAATATAGGGAATTATAGAGCTGAGCTCTATTTTCCCCATCTGTAACACCAGGTTACTAGTACCTTTCTTATTCGCCTTGATTTTATAAGTAGCAAGTAAAGTACATGTAGAAGTAATATGAAAAGTTATAAAGGATCTTAAATTTCTTATTATTGCTGGGAAATTTTTTAAAATCTGGAATAATTTGAGTAGTGGCTATGCAAGGAATGCTCAGAAGAGTTTACAGATGTATTATGTTTTTTCCCATTTATAACTTGTAAGTTTTGGGCCGGGCACAGTTACTCACGCCTGTAATCCCAGCACTTTGGGAGGCCGAGGTGGGTGGATCACGAGGTCAGGAGATCGAGACCATCCTGGCCAACACGGTGAAACCCCGTCTCTGCTAAAAATACAAAAAATTAGCCAGGTGAGGTGGCGGGCGCCTGTAGTCCCAGCTACTCGGGAGGCTGAGGCAGGAGAATGGCATGAACCCGGCGGGCAGAGCCTGCAGTGAGCCGAGATCACGCCACTGCACTCCAGCCTGGGCAACAGAACAAGACTCCGTCTCAAAAAAAAAAAAAATTGTAAGTTTTTTAAAAAAATAGAATTAAAAAAACAGAGAGCACCTTGGTTTAGAAAAAAGATAATTTAGTTTAGAAAGATCTTATAAGCCCTATATGTATATACATAATTAAAGTGTTTGGCCAAAGTGGGGAAGGAAAGGAGAATGAGAGGAAGAATGGCTTTTCTATGTATTTTCATGTCAAAGCATATATTAACTCTTGGCTATGCTCTCTCCTTTATGACATGGTGATATGGTTTGGCTGTGTCCCCATCCAGATCTCATCTTGAATTCCCATGTGTTGTGGAGGCAACCAGTGGGAACCAATTTAATCATGGATTCAAGTCTTTCCCATGATGTTCTCATGATAGTGAATAAGTTTCATGAGATCTGATGGTTTTTAAAAAGAGGAGTTCCCCTGCACAAGCTCTCTCTCTCTTTGCCTGCTGCCATCCATGTAAGATGTGACTTGCTCCTCCTTGCCTTCCACCATGATTGTCAGGCTTTTCCAGCCACGTGGAACTGTAAGTCCAATTAAACCTCATTCCTTTGTAAATTGCCCAGTCTCGGGTATGTCTTTATTATGACATTAAAGCATGTTCCTGGGCTGCTTTGGTGGCCCAGTTTCTGTGCTTTCTTTACCTACTGTATGGTAACTTGAGTTCAATTTCACAGTCTTTCATTTATTCAGCCAGAGGGACTCTGAATGCTAAGAGGCCAGCCATGAAGCCCCTGTAGAGGGAGGGGATGCCTCATGCTGCCCAGCAGCAACCTTCTTGACTGATGAGGGCACTGCAATGACAACTTCCAAGGGGATTCCAATCTAGTTTCCTCAATGGCAGCAGAGATGAGAGGCTTTGTAGAGTGAGTTTTTGAAATACATACATTGAGAGAAGCCAGTACTTCTGTCAGAGGCCTTGCTGAAGTGATTTGGCATTGACAGGAATTATGGAATAACCATTGACTTCAGTAGGTGTACACATATGACTTTCATCTGTTGCTAACAAGTTCATATGTTTACTGTCTCTAGCTGCAATGATACTAATATTCTGGTGGTCTAGGATATATTGCTGGCCATCCAGTATGTGTCATGTCCTGTTTAAAGATTCATTTTTTCACCCTATGTAATGTGCTATTTGGCATATGGGCAGTTCTTCATAATATGCCTGCATAGTCTTGAAAGTTGATAGAAAAATGATTTTTACTGCCTTCTTTCAAATTTACAGTTTTTTTTTTCTTCAAACACTCAAGACTCTTTTTAATTTCCTTCCCTTCCCCCTTTCTCATGAAGTCTTTCCTGGCCATTCTCCCATTCTCCCACCACTTTAGGTTTTCTATTCTAGCAGTTTCTTCCGCTCCTTTGTACTCTAGGATTGACAAACCCTAAGAAAGCACTATTAAAACCGAATTCCTCCTAGACTGTTCCAAAAAGCATTTAGGATCCTTTTCATCTTTTGCCACTTCAAAGACCTTCTCTTTCATACAATGCAAGAAATTAGAGAAAAAGTGTCCAGGCCAACAGAAGAAAAATTCTTTGTCAGCTAGTTATCAGTGATGATGAACTTGGTGTAATCTGAATGAAAATGGAGCTCACCACTTGTGCTTTAAGAATTGACCACTTAGACCAGCCTGGCCAACATGGTGAAACCCCATCTCTACTAAAAATACAAAAATTAGCCAGGCATAGTGGCACATTCCTGTAATAACAGCTACCTGGGAAGCTGAGGCAAGAGAATCGCTGGAACCTGGGAGCAGAGGCTGCAGTGAGCTGAGATCACGCCACTGCATTCCAGCCTGGGTGACAGAGCAAGACTCTGTCTCAAAAAAAAAGAAAAGAATTGACTTGCAGTTTCCAACAGATTTCACTTGGCAAAAAGACATTCCTTCAGAGCATGAAAACATTTAGTAAACACAATGGATGAATTTAAAGACCCTTTGTTGCCACCTGCTATAACTACCAGTGGAGACCAGAGCTTAGCAAGAAATTCTTTAGGAGGGGTTTTTGGACCAAAACAGGTCAGCTTTCTTAATTAACAGGTGCTAGGTCTGGATGTGTGGGTGATTAAATTTTTACTCTTGTTTGAAATGTTTTCTAATGAAAACACATGTATTTTATACATTATTATTATACTTAAAGCCCTACAAAATCACATTTTAAAATCAGGATTTCAAGATGTAGCCTATAGAACAACTTAAATAGTTAGGTAATTTAATCTATGCAGATATAATGGAGGGCCTAAATAAATAAAAGAGTAAGTTCTAAATAGTGACCAACTTATAATGTAACCAGCCAATTGTCAAACTTGACTTCTATCAAGAAATTTCTAACATTTAGCCCCTGTGTAACTTTGGTATAGACACCAAAGACTAGAAACGGGTGGCCTGAGGGCCACACAATTAGCAAACATTTTTGGGAAACACTTAAACATCGGATGATTTTATAGAAAGATCTGGATTGCTGCCTTCTTTTCGGAGTGGAAACTCTGATAACACTGAACTCACATTCAAGATTGCCCACCCCACTCCCACAAGGCAATAAATATCTAACTGGCACTGAGCAGTGGCTGTGTCCTTTGGGGGTAAATGCTCTTGGGTTCACCACAGTTCATGCCCATTGTTTTTGTTTTCTCTCTCTCTCTCTCTCTTTATTTAAACACATAGTCCCTTTCATTCACTCACTTTGTGTAGGTAGTCCCTGTAGTTGTCTGAATTTGTGACTTGATGTAAATGCTAATGTAAACTCATAGAACATGGGTTCTTTTGGGAGGGAAACTTGTGCAAATGAATAATTCTCACAGAATCGTGTGGCTGGGCCAAATCATTATCAGAAAAATAAAGAAATTTGATAATGTCTTACTGGTTTAGGATTGTGTCTGTGTTTTTATGTTTATCTCTATGTATGTACCCCTGTGTGTGGATATATGTACAAGTATGCATGTATATACATATATACAGAGGTATACATATATATCTATACATAATGTGATTTCTGCCAAAAGGGTGACTGTAGATGTTGAGATGAAACATTAATTTTCACCATTGTGGCATACTTAATGAAATCTGGTCATCTTTAGCCAAATGCCTTTTGATTTTTAAGACATTAGATGGAATTCAGCTAAATAACAGAACAGTCATTATCTATTCTTTGGTTGCTTTCAAAATATGTTATTTAGTCATATCCTCCTCAGCTCACTTTTTGTCTATATGTTGTAAATTTCTACAAATCTGAAGCTGTATATGATTTCCCATACTTCAGTTTCCATAGTGATGTGCAACAGACATTGATCTTTTCCTAATGCAATAATAAGCTAGAAGCATTTTTCAAACATGGGCACTTTATTTGCTTTATTATCATCAAGAACAAAAGGAAATGCATTTGGCCAAGGTCAGCGTGAGGGGAACGCTAAAACCTGTGCCAGAAAGGCTTCTGCTCTTCTGTTTCATTAATGCTATCCATTTGGCTCCAGTCTTCCCTGATTTAAGATATGAAGTATGTTGATGTTTCCAACTGCCAGGGCAGTTGTTGGACTCTGAATCTGTGGGTCAATTCCATCTTTTTAAGTACACCATTTCATTCATAGACTTTTAGAACTGGAAGAGAGCTTAACATGTGATCAAACTCATTCATCTGCTTCCAGGCAGGAGAGCAATAAAAATGTCTCAGGAAGGGAATGGTTTCCCTCATTTGTCAAATTTCCCAAGTATAGCAATCTATGATCTTTCTTGTTCAATATTCAGTATCTAAATATAATTCTCTCATTAGTCAGTTCTTCTTAATATCTAACTGAGGTTTTCACAGCATATCAAATGCTGTTTTATGTTATCTATGATGAATAGTTAAAAAATAAAACTGAGTCTACCTTTCAGCCAACTCCTTTTTTTTCTTCAATGCTTCATGATATGTTGTTATCTTCAAGTTTTCTATACTTTTCTTAATTTACTGTACACTGGTGCATTAAGAAAACACGCCAAACAAGAATTACTGAAAAAAATTGACAAGAGGTTCATATTTGTCTGTGTACATTCCAGTTTTAGAATTACCAAAAGAAAAACAAAAATCATCATAGTGCATGGCTGTAAAGCATGTTGTACATTTATTTATTCACTTACTCAGTATTTTTGAGTACCTACTGTGTAGCAGGCATGTGATACATACTGCATGGCTAATGATGATGTATAGACACTTTACAACATACACCAAAATCATTTGATTATGTTTTGATCCTTCAAAGCTTTTTCAATTAGTATGTCATTTTCACTATGCACTCCACTCTCAAATTTTTATGGAATTAAGCTGAATATATGTAACAAATGAAATACCTTGACGTTTGCAGTTAGGCCGGTCTATATTCCAAAAACATAGAGGGAGACAATTGACAGAAAAGACTAAGAAATTTAAGTTTGGAAAATGCAAGGAAATTTTCATGGGGAATTCTGCCTCCTTCTACATGAGGGAGTGACATTTGAAGTCTCCATTCTCAACATCTAGCCTTCAGCTGCCTTGTGAATGGGAAAATGTGTTTGTTTTTTTCTTGGCACACACTAGAATTTAGAGATGCATCCTTGCATTGAGGATCATGTTGACTAGACTGGCAATTGCCCATCCTACAACCCCTCATATAATAACAATACACAGGGAAGTCTGTCAGGAAATTCATGACTTGTTACAAATACAAACTTTTTTCAGCCAAGACTCAGTATGTTTGGTGTCTGGATATATCATTGGTGTTTTCTATATTTTCACACGTTTCACTCAGTCTGAGAACAAAAATACAGGCTATGGACTTCACCCTACTTCACATGTACAATACTTCACATGTACAGTTTCCTCACTGGCCCTCAGAGTATATACTTTCCCAACTGTTAATTTCTTTGACAAAAAATTTTGGTATGTTTAGATGGACATGTAACTATGAATACACATACGTATAACTCTCCTCCAAACCTTTAACATGATATATCAATTTAATGTGAATCTGGAGTGGATCCATATTAAGACCTAGTTGCTCAGAGTAGCAAAATAAAAATAACATTGAATATTTAGCTTGTAATCCAGATGTCCAAATATAATGCCTTTTGTATGCATATTGTGTGCATCAAAGCAAACAGAATTTATAGTCATCTTACTGAAACCAGATAGAATTGAGATTCTGAAAACATACAAGAGATCAAAAGATGCTAGATGGAAATAAATTGAACAGGAAACATTGCTTATTTAGTGTGTCTGTAATCTATAGTATTTTCATATTTGTGTTCATTTTAATGAATATACATCATTTATATATACACATAGATTTCTTATTTTCACCAGTATTCATAATTCTCTTACCTCAGTTTCTCCCATGAGACCTTACATTCCTCAAGAGTTGAATTGTTAACTCTAGGAGAGAAAAACTGTGTATTAATTGGCTTGAAAATGTGCCCTCAGGGGGCTACAGGCAACTGTGGATAGCTCAGGTCTCAAGGCAGCTGAGAATGTGCTCTGAATCTTTTGTGCTTTTCTTTTCAATTTCTGAATTTCTACAGAACTTATATTTTTCTCTCGTAATCTCTGCTGTTTTTTCTTTGCTAACTTTCCTCATGAATATTTAAGAACACCATTGGTAGATGAATGGGGTTCAGTAATGGTATATAGAGTTGGTTGAGAAGGGGATGGAAACCACTGTATTCTCTTGATTTCATATCAGACTCTGAATCAACCCATTTTAGAGTATCCTTCTAATTGCTTTTTCGTGTTCCTTCATTACTTCTTGTTTATTCTACTAAGACTTACAATTGAGTCATTAGACTCCACTTTATTTCTCTCTATTGGATAAACAGAGAGACTGTGGCTTGCAACCAAGCAACCTGAAGACCAGCTTGCTTAGTTTTATATTTAGTTATTTTTTATGGGGTTTGAAGTTTGAATAAATAATATTTGGGGCTTCTTTTACACAGAGCATTCCTATGGGGGTGCTATGCACTGTTATTATTACTATGACTGTGTAGACTTATTGCTACCAATGTTACAAGAAATAAGAAGTGTCGCAGTGTAACAAGACATCTCTCGCTTGTATTGTATTTACATTTAATCTCTATTGAACTATTCTTTTCCTAAGAGGAAACATTTTTTCCTAAAGAGGTATAATTCTCTTTACACATGACCTGGGAACATATACCATATTCGTTATACTAGATTTACTTTATTTTGAATTTCAACTTTGCCAAGTTATAATGATCACCAGAGAAATATTATCAAACATCATGCCTCTCTTTGGTATCTAATAATTGACACACTCAGGATTTCTGCTCCAGTCTGGTAATACATTTTATTGTCTTCAGTGAATTGCTAACACATTGGCTCAGAGATAAAGTTTTCCCCTATTAGAATTTCCATAAGTTCCTCTTTGAGCTTCATAGGCTCTTCCAAGGTTGCCCGTATGATCTAGATTCACATATGCTGAAACCAAATGCCCTCCAGGCTCATATGGCACCTTTCTCTGCCATCTATTTCCTTTTTTTTTAAAAAAATCTATATTTTAAATCCATGTCTGCTTTTTTGATCATTAGACTCTACTATATTCCACTATATTCATTTCCATCAAATGAACCAAAGTGACTGTGGGCTCTCAACCCAGCAACTTGTAAACCTGCTTGGTTGATTTCATATTTAATTCATTTTACAGGGCATTGAATTTTGCATAAATAATATTTGTGCTTCTGTTTATACAGAGCATCCCCATGGGGTGCTGTGCACTGTTATAACTATTATTATTGGGTTAAACTTATTGCTGCCAGTGTCACATTTAATTGTGAATTAGTAGAATCACTTCTGATGTTGATGTACAACCCCATTTCATGTCTTTACCCATGAATTCATAACTTTATTCATATGAGAAAGCAATTTTGAAAAGGATAAAGAGAATATTCACCCATCTTAAATAGTAACAAGATAAAATATAGTTTAGATATGTATGAACCATAGTAGTATCTTTTTTCAATAGTTTAGGAAATTTTTAGCAGGCAAAAAGAAGGAAGGGAAGATTTTCCTTTTTTCTTTAAAGACAATCCCTATGTTCAGCAAATGCAGGCCAAGCATCTTCTCATTCTCGTTCTCTCTCTCTCTCTCTCTCCCTCTGACATCAAGCAAAGTAAGAAATAGTGCCTTTTGAATAGGAGATTTCCTTTAATTACATTGGGGAAGTGATAATGGTAGGTATTGCATGTTTAATGTAATGTTCTGGATGCCCCTTTTCTTTCTTTCTTTTTTTCCCCCTTCACAGCCACCTCCTCTTGAGCAGAAATAAAAGGTTCGAGGCTTGTCAGCATCAGTTTATAGATAGCTGTTTAAAAATAATGAGATATTGGGTATTGTAAGGCTCAGGGCTGTCTTGCCAGACTCATTTATTTCCATTCACCTTTGTCAGAATTGCAGACAGAAGACATTCAATTAAAACTTGTCACCTGTTGCAGATGACATAATTTGTACTTGTATGTGTCATAGATTAGGGCTCCATGCTTCAGATGAAGCAACCTTACCCCTGGTAGAGCAACATCTCTCCTGTTAAATATTTTGTTTATGGCTATTCCGATTTCTGTCATTGCAATCTCAGCTCCAGTGCAGATTATAAATTTAGCACATGATCCCCAGAACCAGCTAAGAGCAGTCAATCACATTGTGGAGGGGAAAAAAATAGAAGAAGAGACTTCTTTGGGGTTATGTCCTATGCACAGAAATCCACAACTGTATTTTGGATGCAACTTGAATCCGAAACGGAGGGAAGCCTTTGTAATTTCCTATGCAAGCCTCACATGTTTAATAGTCCAGATAGCTATCAGGAGACCAAAACGAAAGACTTCCCCTTGCTAATTGTTAATTCATCTGTAGAGCAAGGAAGCTTTAATGTGAGTCATGGCTTTTATCTCTTTTAGTGACTGAGGACTCTGTTTAAAAAAAAAAAAAAGCCCTCCTAATGGATATGCATTTTCTCTCCCTGTGTGATTTTTCTCTTTTATATCATCAGACCTTATAATGTTTCCACATGCAGCCAAGCAGTTTCCAATGTTTCTGAATTGTTGTCATGATATTCCAGCACAAGTAAATGTAATCATTGGCTGGGGGAGTTTAGTGGAAAATAGACTCTGTGGGACTCCCTCCTGAACTGTAAAATTCAACTGGAAGGTGGCTCTGCCTCCCTGGCCCTTGAAATACACACCTTGTCTAATCTGCAGTGAAGACCAGGAGCAGGGAAATTAATATCCCTCAGTCTCTGCCTCAGTGGAAAAAAAGAGGAATGGAATCTTTTTATCACTTTTGGTTTGTTCACAATCTCATAGCTGTGAACTTTTAAAGGTGAAATCACCTTATAAAGTGATAGAGGCAAAATCGCCTAGCCCTTTTGAGTAACAGTGTTCATTATTTTTTCCTCCTGCTAGTTCATCATTCTTCCTACCTTTTATATGTGCCCCATATCATGATGCAGGTATTGTTTACCTCCATAATTGGTTTTCATCTGCCTGTGTTTCTGCTTTTGGAATATATACCAAATGCTCTCTTCCAAAAATAGACTTTGATGGCAGAGAAGCAGTTTAAACATAGTGCTTAAGAACGTGAGTTCTGCAGCCATTCTCCCCACTTCCACTCCTGTTTCTGCCTCTTACTAGTTCCGGTTTTCTCATCTGTAAAATGGGATGATAATAGCACCTGCCTCATAGGATTGCTATAAGGATTAAATGTGTTAATATGCATTAAGTCATTAAGCCGTTGCCTAGCACATGATAAGTTCTCAATAACCAATGACTGCTAGTCACCGGCCACTATTTTGTTTTATCCCAAGATACTTCATGCACAAATTGATTAATTCATTTAACAACAAAGACGTTGCTTGGTAGGGAGAGGAGGTAGGTATGATGAGTTAAAGACTGTTGAAATAGGAAGAAAGAGGCTAAATAATGAACCATATTTAACAATATCATAATCTATTTTGAGAACAGGCAATATAGTTAGAGAAAATATCTACTGTTTGGTTTCTTTAATTATCTTATATGATCCTCAAGAATTTAATATGCTTAGATCCTCCTTGGAGTATACGTGTGAATATACAAATAATGTTCACTACTCCTCTTACTGAGAAGCCTGTAAGTATGCACAGCTACTCTAGGTTAAACTGGTACACTCTCTCAGGATATTGTCCCGAAGGAGAACCCCATCAGAGGCTGGCACTAAAATTGCCACTGCTGTGTCTGATACTGCTAATCTGCCTTTGCTTCTTTTCCTGCCGCTCTTCTAAGGGGTGTTTTCTCTGTTTATGATGGTTCCCTCATAGAAATCTCAGGAGAATTCAAGGGTGCTGTTGGATATTTCTCTTTCCCAAGGGAAGGAGGGAGGTGGCTTTAGGCAGCAAAGTGAACTACTGTATCAGGAAAACATATAGTGCAGGAAAAAGTTACTGTCCTCTTTACCTTATTGTTTCAGAAGTCTTGCCTTTCCATTCTGCTCCCTATACTCAATTGCAATCTATGTTTGATAACATTTATTTAACACAGCAGTTTGCTTATTGTAGTGTTCATTAACGATCTTTTCAAAATTATTATTACTTTAATGTGAATATTTGCGTCTTTCTTAACTATTCCATGGGTCTAGATAAATTAATGCTTTTCAGCAAGCTTTTATTTGGGAATAACATATTAAATGTGTTATCTTTAAATTGGGAAAGTAGGCTAGAGTATCCTTGTGTAATTCTCTGAAGGGAAGATTTTTTATTATCCTATGAAATGCCTCTGACTTTGTGCTATTAAAGATGTGAAAAATACTTTTGACTTTGGACTACAGAATATTATAAAAATTTGCATTTGGGCACAAAATGTAGTCTCAAAATTAGCTGACCTAAGAAGACCTTGGGCTGAACTATTTTACTTCTATTGGTGTTTATTTGCCTCACAGCATTTTTTTTACTCCTTGCCCTACTCTTGCTTTCTCAATTTTGTAAATCCTGACAATGTATAAGATTTGTAATTCCCTTGTGGCAATGTAGGCAAATGCAGTATATGAAAGAAGAAGCAATGTGAAACATTCTGGTAGGTAGGTAATGCCAGCTATTAAAATCTTTTATTTAGAAGAAAGATAATGGCAGTCTACACATGAATGGAAAATCTAATTGCCTTAATTAACTTCCAATCCTGTCAAACATTGAACACTGTGGGTCTTTTATTTCCTGGGAGAAATCTTATTTTTAAACTTCTTCAAAAGTGGTTTTCAAGTGGAGTCCAAACAGAAATTGTTTGTGTTTAAGATTGAAAAGGTATACAGAGACAGGCTTTGCCACCTTTAGTAGAAATATTTGGATTATGTTGTTGTTTGCTTATGACAAATCTGGATTTCCCAGGTTCTGATCATAAATATTATTATTGTTTGTTTCTGCTAAAATGGTTGGTTTGAATATTTTAAAGGTATTAGTTTAATTAGATAATTATGAATTCTCTATTTAACTTTGTGTTGTGTACTTACAGCTAAACTCAGGAAAATCATCTTTTTTAAAAAATAGAATTTTGATTTGTTTCTGTATCTCTTCTAAAATAATCACAATCTAAATAATATTATTAGTGATGGGAGGGGGCAGGAAATAAAACATGATACTAGATATTTCTATAAATCACTCAAACATCAAATAGTATTATTATTTGGCTGTCATCCTTTAAGTTATTTTACCGTTCGATCATATCTCAAATCTGTTTACCTACAGAATTGATATGGGATAGATTGTAACACTCTATGCAGATAGATGTTCAATAAATGATCTTGACATTTTAAGATTTATAAAATATTTTTAAGTACATTCGTATAATAACCATAATGTAATGTTATTGGATCATTACAGCAAAACATCATGGAGGATATACTCTTTACATCCATCTTATATTTGGAAAAGCAAATAAGTTAAGAGACTCATCAAAGTTTATAGAAATAGTTATGGAAAGAGCCAGACAAAGAATTGAACCATTCTGACTAGCAAACTATGCTTTATTTGCTTTGACATATTCTTTGCATAATATTTAAGATAAAGGATTTAAGATAAAGTATTATGTTATTACAGTTGAAAACCTTAATAAGGGAAACTTTAATCTTCACAAAATCATGATTGCAGACAATGGCCCAAGCTCATAGGGATTTAATGATTGATTATTAGTTATCCTTCATTTTGATGTATGCAAGGCTAAAAATTTTAGGCCAGAGCATATAATAAAATTACTATAAATTAGTGGTAGTTAGAAACAATTACATAAAAATAATCTTATTTGGTAATTTGTATTATATTTCTCTTTATCTGACCTCTCTTCATTTTTTGTTCGATTTGTATTTATTTTTAACTCAACATGTTATTTGCATTTATTACTACTAATGAGAAATCATAGCTTAAGTCTATGTCCAGGGAATGGTGATAGAGATAGAATTTTCATTCAATGTTTTTGACTTAGAATATTTTAATCTTCATAGCGTTACTTTTTGGTTAAATACTTCTGTCCTTTGCAATGTACCTTTTATCACTATAAAATTTGCTTTTTAGTAAGAAGAAATGTAGTATCCCAATTATGCAGAGTTTGTTTTCCAATGACTTTTCTAGAAGTTATGAGAGGTGCTTTTCATAATTTGATATTTGATTTTCTGAGATCCTGCCTCATTTATGACATGGTGCTTTAATTGTATTGGTGTCTTTAATTTTTAAAATTTTTTTTTTCTGGAAAAAACATTAAAAATAGAATTATGTTGAAAATATACAGATATCTTCATGATATCTATACAGTATTGTTTTATCTGACCATTTAAAATAACATTATTGAATTTAAGTACATGTATTATTATGATTTACATGAATAAACCTATTTTCAAAGTTGCACAAATAAAGAGGCTTTGTCCACATGTTTGAATACATATTTTGGACTGTTTTAACTTTTGGAGCTATGTCCCTTGTTTGTAGGTTTTTATTTGATTGTCCTGGGGGGAAAAATCTGGTTTTACTGGGTGGTGTTTTCCCCCAGTGTAACTAAATAAATTGATGATTACTTTCAGTATGATGTGGAAGTAGTTGCGTCTGTCTTTTACTAGGATTTTGGTTCAAACATTTCACCAAGCATGAAATCAGGTAAACCAAATAATACCAATAATAAGATCATCATCCTACTAGACAATGCATAGAAGACAGATTTTTCCAGATTTTGAAAACGAGTTAAAAGCAGTATAAATATTTTCTACTTGAATTGAAAAAGTTGGAGTTGGAAATATTAGCCTGCTTTTGACAGGGGATGAAAAATCACGAGTATCAGTTCTTATGATCCTTTAAAATATATTGGCTCTAGAAATTTTTACCATTAATCGCTATCTAAACTTGATGAGTATAATATTGCATGTGGAGTCCCTGTCAATTTTTACTAATAATTATGTAATCTGTTTTTATGAGTATCAATAACTAATCATTTTTCTACTATCATATAAATAAAATTACAAATAAAAGAATGCATTATCTAATTAGTCTTTATTTTAGGAAATAAAGTGTAAAATCAGGACTTATGTGAAAGGTTTTTCACTGGATAGGTGTATAGCTAGGATAAATGAATGGATAGATGGGAAGGATGAGGTAAATGTACGAGTGAATGCATAGATAGTTATTGATCTACACACACACAGGAAGGGATGTGGGGGACATAAGACAGCACCCCCTTAGATTTGTGACGCATGGAATAGGTAATATGAATTTTTCTATAGTCACCTTTTGAAGGTGAAAGAGAAATGCATAGTAATGGAATGTATTTGATAATACTTTTTGTTTGTTTGTTTTATGTTTGTTTGTTTGTTTGTTTTTTGAGATGGCGTTTCACTCTTGTTGCCCAGGCTAGAGTGCAATGGTGCGATCTTGGTTCACTGCAACCTCTGCCTCTCAGGTTTAAGCGATTCTCCTACCTCAGCCTCCTGAGTACCTGGGATTACAGGTGCCCACAACTACACCCAACTAAATTTTATATTTTTAGTAGAGATGGGTTCTCGCCATGTTGGCCAGGCTGGTCTCGAACTCCTGACCTCGGGTGATCCACCCACCTCAGCCTAATAATCCATAATACATAATAAAAACCCTGTCAATTGATCATGCATATTTTTTCTTCATGATGTGTAATAGCTAGCTTTCATTGTTGCACTTCCTCTGTAGACTTAGCCCAGTTGGCTAAACTACTTGATGGCTTTAAAGTGATGTAACTGTATGTCTGAATTGTTTTCCACCAAGATCTTAAATCAAGTCACTCAGCTATGGTCTTTTTCCGCAGATCTTCATGATGGACAAAACTCCATTGTCACAAACTCACTAGCTCTGACTTCTGGGTTGGAGAATATGTAGTGTTTTGTTCAATATATGAGGACATATTGCTAACAGTGAATACATTCCTTGACAAGCATGAAAAGCAAGTTTAGGGAGTCTACAAACTCAGTCAAGATTTATTCTGTCAGCTTTCTTGGCTCTAACAATTTTAGTGATGTCCAAAAAATGTTCCCTCTCTCTTTAGCTTTTGCCTGTCATTGTTTCTCTCTCTCTGCCTGCCTTCTCTTCACACTTCTAATAATATCAGATTAAATGTTCTCATTGGGTTGGAATTGGATGACAAACGTGAGGATATAATTAGTGTCATATGCTTTTGATTTTCTACTAAGATTTTTAATTTTCAAAATTCTTATAATGAAAGAGGTTTGAATGTATCTTAGATGACCAGAAAAAATGTGGTCACCTTCAACTGGAAAACTATTCTGAAGAAAATTTTGAAGAGAAAGAGATGAAAAAAAATAAATCATGATGAAAGTGGAGAGAAGTAGAAGGCATTAAACTTTATTAAATATAGATGCAATAAAAACAGAACATTAGAAATTAGATAAACAAAGGAATACATCTGCTGTAGGCATGGAGTGCTTTAAAAGCAGCAATAAAGAAATATAACTTCTTTGTGAACAACATGCATGGCAATTTTCAGTGAATGCTTAATAACCTTACCTAACTTTTTTGGGTTTTGATATTTGTTTGTTTAACCTATTTAACTTTTCTCAAAGTTGTCTCCTGATGTTATTTACACTATATTCTGATACTTCAATATGACAATTCAGGCTTTATCTAGAACCAAGTATTTGTGTGTTCTCCTAAAAGATAATCAACGCTTAAAGTAGTATTGTTAAGATAATATGAAAAATTGTTTTCCTAATAATCTTTAACATTTGAGTAATATATTCACTGTAAATATTCACATAGAAATAGATCTGCTTTTCCCAAATCGTTTCATGTAACTCAGATAACCCACAGCTCACATATTCTGCGTGACATTAATCGGTATTCCAAAAAAACTGGAGCTCTGGTTCAATTGGTTTGCAAAACACTGCATGTGCTATGTAGCTTCCTCTTAGAGTTTTACAGAGCCCGTCGCATATTAATGGCTCTGAGGGGGCTTAAATGAAATAGTAATACTGATGATGCTGTTAAACCAAATCTATTTCCTAAACAGTTTGAGACATGCCAAAATATGTACAACGAATTACATGGTTGAACTTCTTAATGAATACTTTTACATTGTTATATCAATTAAAGTACAATGTAATATTGCAAAAGAGTGTCTCCTCACTTCTGCTCCCAAGCAGTCGTCCTTATATTTGGTAGGGACTTATATGGTCCTGTGCTAAACTTTACAATTATAGTCTGGAAACTAGATTGACAAGCTCTTCCCTATCACTTCCTGATATTAATGAAATTTTCCTATATTTGTAATCCCATTCATTCCCTTGGCTTTTTCCTTAATCTTTTAAATCCGCTGCCAGAAAATCCCCTTTGAATCTTGACCCAACCCATCACTATTTGGGAAAAAGTTCTATTCCTGTCAGTCTACTTTTGCCCACTTTCCAGCTTCACCCTTTAGCCCTCTTTAACATTCACTTCCTTCGACATCCAAGCATTTGGAATTCTTTGGGAAGCTCTTCTTTTCCTTCCTTCTTTCCTTCCTTCCTTCTTTCCTTCCTCCCTCCTTTCCTTTCCTTTCCTTTCCTTTCCTTTCCTTTCCTTTCCTTTCCTTTCCTTTCCTTTCCTTTCCCTTCCCTTCCCTTCCCTTCCCTTCCCTTCCCTCCTCTTCCACTCTTCTTTCCTTCTTTCCTTCCTTCCTTCCTTCCTTCTTCCTTCCTTCCTTCCTTCCTTCCTTCCTTTCTCTCTGTCTTTCTCTCTTTCTTTCTTTCACAGAGTTTCACTCTTGTTGCCCAGGCTGGAGTGCAATGGCATAGTCTCAGTTCACTGCAACCTCCGCCTCCCGGGTTCAAGCGATTCTCCTGCCTCAGACTCCCGAGTAGCTGGGATTACAGGCATGCACCACCACGCCTGGCTAATTTTGTATTTTTAGTAGAGACAGGGTTTCTTCATGTTGGTTGGTCTGGTCTCAAACTCCCAACCTCAGGTGATCTGCCCGCCTTGGCCTCCCAAAGTGCTGGTATTATACAGGCGTGAGCCACTGCGCCCGGCTAGGAAGCTCCCCTTTCTATCCTGTGTTCAGCCCAAACCTGCTCTCAGTTTTCTCACATATGAGAGGAAATACAAATTTGTGCCAAAATGTAAATAACATTCCCCTTGAGACATTGACATTTTGATAGAGAACAATTCTTGCGTCTCTCAGGACTGAATCTGTGTAGTGTAATTCTGGCCTCCCTCCTCCCCAGCACATAGGTGCTCTTTATTCAGCTCAATTCCACAGGTCCATCCTGAGGCCTCTGGCAGACTGGAGGGAAGTTGGATAGCTCTTGGTCTACTCAGTCCTACACATTGAGCTTTCAGGGCTGACTGATGAAAAGGATGCTAAATGCCAGGGTCTTTAATTTAAGAAACTATACTAGCACCAAATAGCGGCTTCTTTGTATTAATCTACATGGAAATCTGCCTTTTCTTTGATGTGCAAATAGTGACCCTGATGGCTTTGCATGAAATGTCTTTCGGATCTGTCATCTGCTGACAGATTTGGTTTTCAACCTCTGGCAAGTTTGATTTAGCCACCACTTATTTACATTATTTGAGTACCCCTGGTCCATTCTGCATTCTACTGTTTGTCACCTATGTGCTCTTGGGGGATACCATCTAGGTATTTGATTGGTCTCAAACATAGCTACCTTAATAGTAAGCCGGTGCCTGTCTTTGCTCACAGGGGTGCGTCTTGACAGAGTACGTGGAGGTCGGCAGAAGTACAAGCGCAGGATAGATGCGGAGAACAGCCCATACCTGAACCCTCAGCTGGTTCAGCCAGCCAAAAAGCCATGTAAGTACAGCAGATGTGTCTGGCTTCCCAGAACACGAAATCCTCCCAGTTGGCTCTATGTACATCAGCTTTGGCATGCCCATCCCTACTGACTCCAAGGAGACTTCTCTTTGTTGGAGAACAGTGGCTCTATTCCCAAAGATTGTCTGTGAGGAGCGACAGCAACTCAGCTTATTATCTCATTTTTTCTTTTAGAGATATCTGTGGTTTTCTCTCTCCAGCCTTTTTTTAACCTAGTCATTTTGTGGAAGCATAAGCATATTAATACATAGCTTATATAGTGTGAATTTTACATTTACTGGTTATCTTTATTTGCAGAGGTACATAAAATGGATCATACTGTGATCATTAGTTCATTGGAGCTCTTAGTTTCAGATTTCACAAGAAAGTGATTTTTGTAGTTTTCACTAACTAAATGAATTTGACTGCTCAACCTCCCAATGAAAATACATTAGGGGCCTCATTAATTTGGAGCTATAGAAGTTTAACACACTAGCTAGCAATAGATTAAAACAAGAATGGGCACTACTAATAACAAGCATAGGTGGCTGGTTCCATCTGAGATGCCCTTATGGACGGTATGAATTGTTTTTAAAGAGCTCATGGTTTTATGGAGCCAAGTTGCAATTTGAAAGGATGACTGGTACATTGCTAAAATGCAAGCCCCATTCTTTTTGTCATTAACGAAAAAGAGTTGGAATATAGATTGAGGCAATCACTGTATCCTATTTTCTGAAAATCAGTTAATAGTTGTAGTGCAACAGAACTAGCGTTTTAGGATGTTTATGAATAGGGATCCTACTGGGCATGGAGGAGCGCTTTGGTGAAAACGGTTTTCCAATTTAGCTGTCTTTTTCTAAGAAGACACAACCAGCACTCATCAGAGGAAAATGCATCTGTAGCAGTTCTAGGAAAGACATGGGTAATTTTTGATCTGCCTTCAGGGGAAGAGAAGATGTCCACTTCTAATTCAGATTCTCCAGGAGGGGTCACTGCTGTGCATCATACATATGTGAGCATATGGAAATCTGTTAAATAAATAAAACAGACCCTGAACTGTAAATGAAAGGACATTTTAGCTATGTCAAAGGAAAAACAACCAGTTTTACATAAAATTAAAGCTTAAGTGAACATATGGCATAGTTTCCTTTTGCCTTTCCAAAAAACATTATGTTGATTATACCTTCAATTGTCCAATCTGGCATCTTCTCCTCAGCCTGCATAAGCTGTTTGGCATTCTGCAAATACAATCGAGGACTGCATTAAACAGATTTTGCACATTATAATAAAAAACCTCTCTGATAATACAATAATATGCAATAAACACTAATGCTTAATTTCATTAGAGGTTTAGTTTTTCTGAATTCACTAATATACAGACTGCCCATTTCTCATTTATTTTATGCAAACATTGACTGAAACCATTGATAATTTCCTCTACTGAAAGAAAAATGAGCACCAGCCCATGTGTAAGTTGAAATGATAGAGGAGCATCTATGGTTTTCTTCGTAAACCTGAGAAATTGGGAAGTGGCTTGTCAAGTACCTTTAAGAAGATTACAGCAATTTCAGTGAGCTCCATTTGTCTCAGATAAAGAGGACTCCTAATAAATCATTACTCATTATCTAAAGGCCTCTGTGTTAATTTTCTTTAGTCCATCCAATTAGTGTGTTTTTGTAACAAACATTTATAAAACTTAATTTTCAGATCCTGTCAGATAAGTGTCAAGAGACTGTGCCTGAGCTTTGCTGAGAAAGTGGCTGGGGAGGTTTCTGGACCCTGACTGATTGTGTACTACAAAGAACCAAGAATGAAAATTGGGTTCTATTGATTCTAATTAGGGAAACATTAAATAAGATTTACCTAGAAACAGTGCTGCCGGCTATTCCATTTTCTGAATGATGGGAATTTCTAAGCTTCAACCAAATTTCTCTGACCTCTCGTGTCAAGTATCCATTGACTTGGATAAAGCCAGTGCTATGTTCCCTGTACTAAAAAAAAAACAACTAGAATCATGATTACTTTCGGATATATTTTTATGCTCTTTACTATTGGATTTTCTTCTAATCCTGAGAATCTAATGGTTGCTGACAGGTTTTGTTGCATTGTCAGAGCAATGAAAGTTGAAACTTTTCCAAGCATAACTAAAAGTATGGGGTGTTGTTTCTGTAGCATACAAGAAAAATCCAAATTAAATATTAAAAAATTAATCTCTATTTAATTTTTAATTCTTTTCTAGTCAACGTAGTATTTGGGAATATTTCCTCCCAAATCTGCCTACTCAATTTGATGATGATAGAATATTATCTGTTGTGTATTTGAAATAATTATAATTAATATGGGAGCCATATTCATAAATGTTTAAATGTTATGTTAGAAAAAGTGCTAATTATAGCTTGGACAAGCCACATTCTTTCATAAAAGGAGATAAAATGAATGCTATATTTAACTCTAAGTTATGTGAAGTGTTTTTATATTGGGTTAAAAAAGTTAAAAACTTAGAGCGAGAGGCAAAGAGTCTGATAAACACATTGGGAACTTTGGCTGTGTTCACAAGAACCTCATTTAAAGTCCTGGTTTTCTACAGTAATAGTACATAGAACATTTAAATATGTGGGTTTATTCTCACCCGTTTGTATCTCCTCACTTAGAAGAAAGCATAAAATCTTAAGCTACATATAGAAATTGAAAATAGGGCCAACAAGAAAAATCATTCTGTTACCAAGACTTTACAGCCCCTTCCATAAACCCTCACATGCCCCTGAGCAATAAAACACATTTGATGTGATGCTTTCCATTTGTCTCTAGTGTTTATTTTTTGAAGGATTTTTAAAACATATATCACAAATTTCAGACAGATAAATCTGAACCAGAGAATGAACTAAGGACAACTGATGAAAATAGAGGATTAAAGAATTTGACACACAGAAGAGAAAATGACTGTAACATTTAAGGAGGAGTATTTTTATGGAAACATATTAGCTGTATTTGGAAGACTGGCTGGGTGTGTGGGGAGGGGGAGAAAAAAATAAATTCCTATTTAATGCATCCCACGGAGATAGAGTTATATAGTCAGTAATTCACCAAGGCAGAAGGGCTCTGACCTTTGCTCTTCTTTAAAGGAATTAAGACAATTAATGACTTTCATGCCCATTATGACTATAGGCATTAGTAGTTCTTTGCCTCCTGTGTTATGATCTATATTTCAATAGTTTACTGGGGGTTTTATTTTAAGCTATTTTATACCATTTAATCTACTTCACCAAATCCCACTTAAGAATCAAAGCACAAACCCAGAAAGCATCTAACTTCTCTTATCTGTTTGCTATAAAAATTTTCACTACAGGACAGACGCTTCATTCCAGCAAAAGCAGGTAGAGCAAAGAAGAAAAAAAAAGACTACATTCTATCACGACTGCAGTGGCATATGTCTTGCTATGAGTTTTCCTGCACACCGTTTAATATATACCTATTGAGCCATAATTGGAATATTTAGCGTTTATTGTAGGATATTTGGATTGTTTTTCAAAACACAAAATGCTCTAGGGTTTATAAAAGAGGGATGATACTACTAGTGATCTTGTAGTGCTCTGGTCTGATCCTGCAGATAACAAGATTGTCTCACATTTGTTGGTGGCTGAACCGGAGAAGATCTATGCCATGCCTGACCCTACTGTCCCCGACAGTGACATCAAAGCCCTCACTACACTGTGTGACTTGGCCGACCGAGAGTTGGTGGTTATCATTGGATGGGCGAAGCATATTCCAGGTACATTTTCTGAAAAGAAAAAGAAAAGAAAAGGTTGCAATTAATTCCCTAGGTTATGTATATAGATTTGGGTGAATTCAAATTTTTCTCATTTAGACTTAAAAAAACCCTTTACATTTATTTTTAATCATAATTTAGAGTTTTGCATATCCTAATAGAATCCTTAGACTTTATATTATTTATATTGGTACCACCTTGAGTTCTTGTTAGTTTTTCATATGTACAGGTACTACTGCCAGTGTAAGCTAACGAGAATATAAATTTAAAACATTTCTTTATCCTTTGTCAAAATTCTTACCTTTTTCCTAGCAAATACTTCTACTTTTTCTTTTCACTTTAAAAAATGTTTTTGTCAGCGGTAGCCTAATGTACTATTTTCCCAACTAAGAATCACTAGTTTTGTTCATAGTGGCTAGTTATATCCTATTGCTGGTCATATTCACAAGCTTTGCTTTGGCTTACAATCAGATATTTATCTTTACAGATAAATTGTGAAAATAAATATTAAATGGACATGGTAACTTTTCCTATATGGTAATTTAAAGTTAGCATTTAAAAATATTTCTCTTCTTTTTTTCTTGACCCATCCTGTAATATGAACAAATATGTACATGCTTGTAAGTTTTGAGAATTTTAGTATTCTACTTGAATTATTTTTTATTTGTTTGGAGTTGAATTTTCAGATAGTTTATAAACAAGTTTTTGAATGATGAGCAATGTTTTTCTGGTACAGTTAACTTATTTCTGTCTCCTTAAACTAGTTTGTCTTTATGCTTTGAATGCTACAGTAATTTCTTTAATCAAATTGATGGAAGTCCCTTTCCCAGCCCACACTGAAACCAATTTATTGGTCATGATACGCCAGCTATGTTGCTAACAGTCGTAACGAACTGTCAGGCGATATCGCAGTGAAGCTAATTTGAAGTCATTAGGTGTGCAGCGTTCAGGCGACAATTTGTTACAGTGGTTAGGAACACAGCTGACATTTCTGAATGGCTTTGTTCGTTGTAGTTCTAGATGAGGCCAAGCAAATTGTAAACTAATTTAAACATCACTCTGTATTATACCAGCTACTTTGTCTTACACTGTTTGCTAATAAAGCCCCCCAAATTAAGTCAAAACTAGTTAAATAGGTGAGCTTGTATATTCTTTAGAAGACACCTACACAAGGATTACTACATATAAAAGAAGAATAAGAATTTGATTGTGTGGATATTTGATATTGCAGTTGGATTGTAATCACATCTGTATGACTTTTAGAAAAATAAAAAGAAAGGATTTACTGCAAGATGTAAGACAATTGTTGATTAATGCAGTGGGAACAGCCAGAATTTACTTCAACAGTGTATGAAAACTTATTTGTAAGGAAAGCACTATTGAAGGGTTTAGAGATGAAAGAAACAAGACTCACATTTGTTGAAGTGTCCATAGACACTTTTTTAGGTGATTGATATATATCATTTATATTAATATATCATTATGATATATGTATACACACATTTTAAATATCATCATTTTCACCCAGGATTTCTCAGCCTTGGCATTATTGATATTTGGGACGAGATAATTGTCATGAGGGGCTGCCCTTGTTCATTGTAGGAGGTTTAGCGGCACCCATGGCCTCTACCCACTAGATGCCAGTAGCACCCCTGAATTGTGAGAAACAAAACTGTCTTCAAACAGCCTCAAATGTCCTCCAGGAGATAAAATCGCCCCAGCCTGACCCTCTTCCCCCAAACTGAAAACCACTGTTCTAACCCAGGAATCAGGTATTATTATTCTCAATTCAAAGATAAGGAGATTTGAGGTAGAGAGAGGTAAAAAACACTTGCACAAATTCACAGCCATATCCAGTACCTTCAGAGTGGCTTCCTGGAGTAGAATCAAGATATTTTAGTCTCCAGTTTATTGCATTTAAAAAACCTATTTCAAAATGATAATGATGATAATATTGTTATTAACAACAGCGTGAAAAGCTGTGTCACTATGGTTCCAAACCACCCATTATTTCGGAGAGTTCTGCTCAAGTTGTCCCTGAAATAAAAGATTTGTAAGGCCAATATTTTGATATCATACAGATAAAGCATAATAAAAACCAATAAAAGTCAACAATTTCTTTTGAACTTTCTAGTAAGGAAAGTGAGTGATAAATATGTAGGTCCGACTGTGCATCCAAGTAGAAATGTCAGCTTACAAAGGGACTTGTCACAGTAAAGGGGCTCTAGTGACTTTTGTAAAGATAGCAACTTTAAATAACTATGAGTAACACCATTTCCAGTGGTGGAAACAATTACTATACGATTATGGGTTCAGTCTTAAGCTGAGGCTTAGAATTGGTGGGGACTGACGTTATTCTCTCTCTATAGCAAATGTCAGAAGAGTTCACTGTGGAGTAGTGATTCACAGCTCTGATTTTCGTGATACCTGAGGGTGTTGTAAATGATTGCAAGGAATATCTTGGCTTTTCAGAAAGGGATTAGCAAAACAAGAGTTAACAGAAATTTAAAAAAAAAATTTAATAATACCTATGCCATACAGCGCTTGAGGTAGAAGGAGAGGGTGTTCTGATATCAAAGTGTGCTGCCTTACCCTGGGTTCAGGAGGTTGGTCAGTAGAGGACCACACTACAGCTATATGGACTGAGAGACAGGGAAGTAAAGGCTGGAGAAAGTAAAGATAAAAGTCACATTTCTGCCTCGATAAAAGTGAAATTGTGTTCTTGATAACATGAACCAATCCTGATAACTGGGGTCATAGCCGGAATTAAAGCCAAATCAGAACTGAAATTTCACCTGTCTTGGTCTTAACTTTAAAACTCTTTGTTTTTGTAAAGCTTATGTTAAAGTGAAGTCATTTTTTAATACACTAAAATTCAAGCCCCTGTTATCTTTATGCTGTTCTCGGTTTGTATAATTACACCCATACACGTACATATATGTTTTTAAAATTAAGTTTAGCATCGAAAATGAGTAGTTTTTCTGTGCTGCTTCGAATGTACTTTTGCACACTTTCTTTATAAGAAAGTGAAGGATACAACAAAAGAAGCTATTGAAGAAAATACATATGGAATAGGTTTTTTTTATCAGTAAATAGAATTAGTTGACTTACATTAATAAATCATATAAATGGGAAAGTGTGTTGTTATGAAACATGACCATACTTTATCTCTAGAAGAAAAAAAGATCACAAGGGCTTTAGAAAATGCTTGACTTTAGTTGGAGGAGCATAAGGGCACAAGAACAGATGATGGTGCCCTAATAGCCCTTTTTAAGAATGACAGGGCCCAGCCATTAGCATCCTTTTATATCCTTGGAAATTGCTCATGCCTCGCTTTTCTGGTTCCTATCTGCCTGACTCTTTTTTATTTCTCTTTCAATTTCGTCCGCGCTCGGATAAGCGCATGCTAACACAATATGATTGAGCTGTAAAATGGAACGCTGTCGCCTCTAATCTCTTTTATGTAGATACGGAGGTACTGCACACTCCACTTCACTCCCTCTCCATTGTTGGCCTTTTTTCGAATGGGTTGCCAAGTAATGGAGGCTCTGTCAAATATTAGAGCTAGGTTTCACAGGGTGTGATAAGACGATTATCAGCCCAACAGTCAGATCTATTATTGTTCTTTTTGGTTGATTAAAATATTATTATGTACTGTAACTTTGTTAGCAAAATGCAGAATGTGCTTAGTCAGATGGTGCTTTAAAAAGCATAACCCATGTTAGCTGACCTATATAAATGGCTTAAACATATTTATGGATCTTGCCAGACAACTTGGTTTAAAATAACAGAATGGTATTTTAACAATTAAATGAATGAATGCATTTTAGAAAAAATTGTCTTTGTTTATTAATATGGCAAATCTTCAGGTCTGCTTGTTTATTTTTAACGTGACAAATTAAATAATTACCCATTGAAGAAGGAGGACTTTGCTCAAGTTTGGGGGGCCTCAGTTACATTTTTCAATTGATCTCTATTGTAATGATATCAAATAGAAAAAAATTCCTATAATTTTTCTTCCTATCAACTGGAGGCAGGAGTTATTAAACTCTAAAAGAAAACTACATAAGGAAGATGATGTAATAAATAGTCTTTAAGTATATGTATTCACATAAGAAACAGAAATCTAAGCCACATAAACCAATATTTACTATTTGCCCTGAAACATTTTTTAAATAAAAACATTCAGTTAGGAGAACATATCAAAAATTGCTCATTGACTTAGCTTTTTATAGTTTTCTCAGAAGTATTTAGACTTTTCTAGCAATGAAAGGAATCTATAAAGAACATGGATAAACTGTTTCTACATTTAGGGTATAAACTTTGGAAAAGAATAGCCAAGCATGTGTAAATATTTATTGCTAAAGATACTGCTTGAAGATATATTTATTGTTCTAATAAATTTTACAGAGTCAAATTTTTAAGATTATATCATCCACCAAGCAAAATTATGGAGGTTTCATTTTTAAAATACTCATTACTGGGTACTGGTGGATAAAATACCCATCTTAAAATAGTAGCACCATTAAGTGATTAGGATACGTGCAAAAGCACAATAAAATGTGGCAAAAATAATTTAATGTTATGTTTCCGTTTATAATGTAAACTATGTTTCTATGTATATATGTGTGTGATTAAGGTTTGATGTACAGGACACAGGACATGGTTGACTAAGGGTGAGTTATACCATATGTTAGTCATACCTTATATTCTGTTTTGGGTCTGTATCATTGGCACTTGAAAAATGTTTATTGATTTGTTGACTAAAAATGTGCATAGCACAAAACTCTTAACTGGCTCCAAGTTTCCACCCTCTGCTGCATCCCATAACTCAATTTACGTGGACTTATAATATTTCTACTTTGCTATGAATGAATTAAAACACTTGTAGCCTCTTTTTTCAGGATTAACTTTTCTTTTGTGTATGTAACCTAATGATTTTAGAACTGTGAAGTAGTTAAGTCTTTTAGTTAAGTGGAAGAAAGTTAAATATAAGACCCAAAACCTTGGCACTTAATAAGACTGTTTAAATTATGAGAATATTCAATTATGGAATGGGTGCGGTGGATCACGCCAGTAATTGCAACACTTTGGGAGGCCGAGGCAGGTGGATCACCTGAGGTCAAGAGTTCAAGATCAGGCTGGCCAACATGGCAAAACCCCGTCTCTACTAAAAGTATAAAAATTATCTGGATGTGGTGGTGTGTGCCTGTAATCCCAGTTACTCAGGAGGCTGAGGCAGGAGAATCACTTGAACCCAGGAGGCGGAGGTTGCAGTGAGCCCGGATCACGTCACTGCACTCCAGCCTGGGTAACAAGAGGAAGACTCCATCGCAAAAAAAACAAAAAAACAAAAAACAAAAAACAAAAAACAGAATACAATTATGAAATATTTAAAGGTTATTTTTAATGTACCTGGTAGTTATATACCTGTATACCTGTAGTTGTGATTAATAAGGGTCGAATGATTCTGAAAGTAAAATCAGAAAACTTGAGCTGTCATTGAGTAATGTTTTGTAAGTTACTTAATTACTCTCACTATCAGTTAAAATAGAAATCAAATGAGGAAAAAAAATACATGCAAATTATTTATATGTATAAATAATTTTCAAATTATAAAGCATGATCTAAATGTACAGCATTCAGTGTTCATTTTTATTTTCAAGGTACTGCCATAGATTGTCATTACAATTAAAACCAAGTGATCTAAAAAGTTCATATTCATAAAAGCAATTTATAAAAATTCAGAACAAACATCAATTTTAATAGAGAGGGGAGAAAAGCTTATTTAACCAAGAGAATCATTGTGTAGATACTGTCATAATTTTATTCTACATGGGCAGGACCATTGGCGTCTAAACGATTTAGTCCAGCCTCTTTGGTTAAGCCTAAAACAACTGAAAATTTACCAGTTTAATAGTTTCTGAAGTCACAACTATGGCATCGAAATAGGAACCAGTAAGTTGAGAAATAAGTTTTGAAAAAAATAATCTGAAATATTACTTAGGGACTCTATTTTCTGCAGCTACCCTTGCTGGAAACAAAAAAGTAGACCAACAGAGAAGTAGCTAGGTTTCCTAGGCAGAGATCTAGTTCAAGAGACAAGCCAAAGTTGTGAAAAATGCTCAGAGAGGCCTGTCCTCACCACTCATGCCATTGTTTTTGACCTAATATACAATTCTGTCATCATACTAAATATCCTGTG
This sequence comes from Homo sapiens, assembly GCF_000001405.40. Taxonomy (NCBI): domain Eukaryota; kingdom Metazoa; phylum Chordata; class Mammalia; order Primates; family Hominidae; genus Homo; species Homo sapiens. The sequence continues at coordinate 216,558,016 of NC_000001.11, read as the reverse complement.
CTCATGTGTCTCCGTTCCAGCATTGCTTTTGCTTGTTCCCAGGACTCCCCAAAATATATTTGCCATCCATACATAACCCAGCTCTTATATACCTGTGATCAAAGTGAAATAATCATTTCATAGTAATCACTGAATGCAATTTAAGTATTTGAGTGTCTCCTGTATATTTAACACTACACTTTGTACTATGGGAAATTTAAAAGATGTGCATGACATGACATCTACCCTGAATGATGGATCTATGTCTGCATAAATACATATACATGTGTGTGCATACATTTGTGATAATCTATTTGGTTTACAACTTTATTAGTTCCAGAATTTATTCAGCTTTATTTTTTTTCATGGGATTAAGCTTTAAATATAAAACTAACTAACATCTCCATAGTTATTTATTGTTTACAAAAGACCCTTATAAACTTTTATGTGATGTCCACAACAATTCTGTAGGTAAGTTTCAATCTTATTAGTCCCACTTTATAGATGAGTAAACCTGAGATTCAGGAACCTTGACACACACCGTTGACAATGATACTTAGACACATAGTATATTTAACTTAATGTGTTTTTTTGTTTTGGTTTGGTTTGGTTTGGTTTTTTAACAGTGGCTTCCTTATATCTTTCTTTTCATTCCTTGTCTGCTTTTCTGTTGTTCATTGTCATTTGTTCCAGATTACCTACTTCTGTTTTATAACAAGTTAAGGCAAATGTAACATATTTGCCCTATCAATAAATCTTATCTATACATTAAAAAATGAAAGATTAAAGGGAAGGAGAGTGAATTTAAAAAGGAAATGTATGTCCTATAAATCAATAAAAATCAAGATGTTTGGACAAGAGTGTATTTTAAACATTCCTGATTACAAGTTTTACTGAAACAAGTCAATCACTAGCTGCTCATGTGAAGAGCTGGCGAAGTCCTTAAATGATTGGTTGCTAAGACTGGATGCTCCCTGTCTCTGACTCTCTTCAGATCACTGGGCAATTAATCTGATTGAAAGTTATAGGTAAATTGGAGCAGAAGTGAGTAGTTGTGCAAGACTTGACCATATAAAAAATGTTAGCTCTACCACTTAACAGTTTCTTCTTAGTTTCCTCCTCTCTCCTTCTTGCCTTCCTTTCCTTCCTTCCATGCATAAGCATTTAATGAGCTCTATGTCAGACCCTGTGCGCTAATGATACACACATGAATACAGCACAAATTCTGCTTTTAACATCTTCACTGTGTGGTGGGTGATTCAGGGAGGTGATTTGACAACTATAACTGAATTATGAGGGCTATGATAGTCCTCTCCTACAGAGTCACATGGAGACTTAGAAGGGGGAGCATGGGAAGAAGATGTGACTTGAGGCTGGAAAGATCTGCAAGGACCCCATCATGAAAAACCTTGAATTTTATGCTAAGGAAAACAAATTTTATTCTGAAGGCAGTGAAGTGCTATTGAAAGTTTTAGCTGAAGATGACCTGAGTTGAACTGCATTTTGAAAAGATTAAAATTGGAACTTTTGAATTATTTTACACACAGAAAGATTTCCCAATACTTTTGAAAACAATTCCTGAGTGCTGAGGATTTCTACATGTACTATGTCCTAAAATATGTTATCATTTTAAGGCAAGTTCATGGTAATTGCTAAGCTCTTTTGAACGATAAAGTGACAGGATGAGCTCAGTCATTCAGTTCACCACATATTATAATCTTTTAGAAGCCTGAAATTTCCTGAAACTTACCTGAGGATTATCAAAACATCAATATCCTATAGACCTGGCCCAGGTCATATATTTTTTTTTTCTGGCACTCTTCTTTTTTGTTAATGGAGCTGTTACCTCTGACTTTTTAGTTATTCTTAAGCTACTTGATAAGTTAAAGAGAGAAAGCCTCGTGGTTTTGTGAGAAAATTGTTATATAAAAGCTGGCATAATTAGTATAATTCATATATGCTTAAATGCTTGATTAAAAAAGCTTTTTCCACCTCTAAAAGAAAAGTTGGGGGAGGAGTGCAGAACATGATGCATAGAATGTTTTGTTTTCCCCTTTGCTCCTTTTTGACCCTCTCTCCAACCCTAATCCCACTTCCCTTCAGTGGGCTGGTCGCACTTTTTCCCCTGCGTCCCCCTTTATCTGCCTCAGCCAATCTCCAAATGAATGCGTGTCTATCCTGGCCTTGGCTTTGACACTCTGGATATATTGATTAATAGTTGCCCTAAGCTCCTTTTAGCAAATCAAATTTTCACTTTTAGCAAGGATTTCGCCTCTGATTTATTCAGCAAAGTGAAATGCACTAAATTGACTTTGACATTCAGGGAAAATGGCTGAAAAACAAAGAGCAGAGGAAAGAGATATAAATTGTGTGGCAGCTGGAGACATCAGGCATCCGAGAAACAGTTTTCTATAGAATACAGTCATTTAAAAGCACTTTTTAAACAGGCAGAGAAGTGATTTCTTAAAATTGTTTTAACTATTCAGGTTTTTTTTTTTTTTTAAAGAGGGCACCTGTATTACTCAGCTGAACTTAGAATTTCTGATATGATAACACACACTATATTTTGTGCATATAATAGCTGGGTAATCCAGCTTTGTACCTATCAAAATTAGTTCGTGAAAACTGGAAAATAACCTAATTATTTTGGAAAAGAAATATTCAAGTCATTTTAAACACAAAATAGAATTGTTACCTTGAAAGTGCTAGTGATTTATAGTAAAGTGTGTATGTGTTTTAAAGGATAGGGCTTTTTCCACTAGAAGGAGAATTTGAAATAATTTTGGATCACAAACCTCAGTAGAGAAAAGCCATGTACCTTTGCTCATCTGTATGCTTTTTTTCCCCCAAGAATGTCAGCCTTGGCTGTGTTCTTTTATGTGACTGAGTCAGCCTACCTCCTTGTTAGACCAAGGTTCAGTGAATAAGTAACCACCAGGTTCAAGAAACAAAGTGTGGTTTTGATGTGTGAAAGGCAATGGTGCTGGTGTGGATGAAGAAAAGAGAAAGGGAGTTGAACTGAACTCAATATGGACACTTGGGGAGGAATTAAAGGTGTGAGGAATATCAGGGAATATTTTTGATATTGAGATCTAATAGACTGTTGCATCACCTCTGTTGAGGGATTATCAGGGCAGTGAAAGGAGAAGAGGAAGGCAAACGCTACAGCAAATTCCTTTGCTGTTCATTTCCCTCTTTCTTGTTGATGATGAATTTTCCTTATTAATCACAGTAAGGGTCCACATAGATGTAGTCGAAGCACTATTCTCCCTTTAACTACACATTTTTATTATTCTCTTTTCTTTAATTTTCAACAAATCTAACAGGAAAGTTGTACTAACTGACAGCAAAAGTGACCCCAACTATCCATATTAATGGCATTTTACAAATTAGTTTTTTTAAGAGATGGGGTTTTGCTCTGTCACTCAGGCTGGAATGCAGTGGCATGATCATAGCTCAGTGCAACCTGGAACTACTGGGCTCTAGCAGTCCTCCATCCTCAGCCTCCTAAGTAGCTGAGATTACAAGCATAAGCCACTGCACTCAGCTCAAATGAGTTTTTCTTTGGTTTGTTTTTTTTTTTTTGAGACAGAGTCACTCTTGTCGCCCAGGCTGGAGTGCAGTGGCATGATCTTGGCTCATTGCAACCTCCACCTCCTGGGTTCAAAGGATTCTCCTGCCTCAGCCTGCAGAGTAGCTGGGATTACAGGTGCATGCCACCAAGTCCGGCTAATTTTTGTATGTTTAGTAGAGGAGGAGTTTCACCATGTTGGCCAGGCTGGTCTCAAACTCCTGACTTCAGATGATCCACCCACCCCAGCCTTCCAAAGTGCTGGGATTACAGGCTGAGCTACTGCGCTCAGCCTCAAATGATGTATCTTAACACCGTACCAAGTGTGTCCACAGCACTAGACTCTTACAGAAATATTATTTCACTAAAATCCTGCTGCTTCCTCCCCAATTCAGCCATCATAAATAACCTCAATTAGAAGATTTCAAGTAGAAGAACCAATTTAACCTGCCAAAATCACTCATTGGCAACAGTCTAAGCAGGCTGTGTTGTATGCTAAATGGTCATAACGCCCCCATTGTTTATACATACTTTGCTATGACTCTTAAGAAGAAAACTTTTTTTCTCTTAGAAAAAAACACACTTTTAAAATTTTTGATTTCTGGAGTAGTCCACAATTTTTATATTAATTTTTGCCAGGTTATTTTTTTTTCCTATAGCGAGTGTCAGGAATGATATACAAGGTATGTAAACTCAAAGTAGGGATTTTGTTTTAGCTTTTTATGTACACTTGGATCTCTTATGGTGCAGTAAAATATTATTTTCATATGAATTTAAATGTACTAGTGCATTGTATTTTGGAAAGGAGAGAAATATAATGAATAAACCCCATCCATGATAATTCTGAGAGCAATAGTCAATTCAACTTAATCTGAAACTCTGCTAGTCTCCAGTAATCACATAACTTTGCTTCCAATGAGGAAATTATATTTTCATTGCCAGAATGGGCATTATTCTGGCAACCACAAATTGTTAATATTAGAAAGTCCAGAAGGGGAAAAGACCAATTTCTTCAACTGGATTTCACTTAAGCAAGTTGAAAACTGAATGTCCAGGTCAGCAACACACCTACCCAGTTTCAGAGAATCATCTGAGCCCAATTAAATACCATAACACTAGGGGTGTCTCCAAAGAGCAGCCACCTCCTCTCTGTATGAGGGAGGCTTCACACCTGCTTAACCTACATTAGGAAAGGATTAATTACCTGAAGTGCTGGGCCTCCTCCACCAGTCAGCACGTTTGTGCCAGGGCACATGGTGGCCTGGGCTGCAGAGGGAGAGAGGGAGAAGGAGCAGCTGTGAGTTCCTGGAGAAACTAACTCTTCCTGACATGGTCAGCATTTTAGGAAAAAAAAAAAATAAGTCAAGCTGCTCTTATTCTTGTGATTTGTCTGTGTCATGGCAAAACCCAGTGGCAGGGTGTCCTCAGCACAGATTTGCATACCTAAAAGAGGAATGCACTCTCAGAGGTTCAACACAATGTTTCTTAAATTCATCTTTTGCGGAAAAACATGGAATAATTACTTCAGATTTTTCAGCTTTGTTTCTGTGAATTGCTGTTATTCTAAAAGAGAGAGCTTTATAATAAATGTTCCCAAACTTTCAAAATATGATTGTTTATTTAAAAGCATGTCTAGAGGAAGCTTTGTAACACCCCTTTCTAATATATGGAATAATATCAAAGCTAGATCCCTTTCCCCAAAAAGTCGATTCTGGGATGATAGAGCTGGAATGGCCTTTGGAGATAATTTGCTAGACCTTTGTATTTTAAGGGGAGGCACCATATTGTAGTCAGCAACGTACTGTCTTTGTAGTTAGAGACCCTCATTCAAATCTTGGTATTGCCACATCCCATGAACTCAGTATGCCCATATATAAGTTGGGGTTAGCAATACCTACTGTATGGATTGCTGAGATAATCCAATGAGCTAACGCAGGCCAAGTGCCCAGTCTAATCTTTGACATATAATTTCAAGTGTTCAACAAACGTTAAATGCCTTTACTTGCACATTCACTTATGGATAAAGATGCTTAAGATCAAGAAAGTTGAATGATCTGCATGAGGTCACAAGCTAGTCAGAGACAGAGTTGAGACTAAAACTCAGGTCTATTAATGCTCAGTTGTGCATTATTGATATTTATCATTATCACTAACAGTTTTTCAGAAAAGAGTATACTATTCCTGCTTATGCATAGTATTAGATATTTAAAAATTATCATCTTAACTTTTTCCTATATTATATCACATTTTATATATATAGATATACATGATTTATATGGACAATATATTTCTTGAAGATAGATTAATAGCAGTGAATATGTTTTAGGAAAGTTATTTTGGATATTTGAAAAACTAGATATCACAAAGTATAAACAATAGGCCTATGTTATTTGTTATAGCCTGGGTATACTCTGTGAATATATCAGATTAAATCTGTTTCTGAAGGACTATTAATTTATAGATATGGTTCAGAATCTTTCTATTTTGTGCAGAGAGATATAGTAGAGAGACTGACTGAGGTTTGTGATTGGGGAACATGGCCAACAGCCCAAGTGGCCGAGAGTTTGGTTGATGGAACAACTGCCAAGGATCTTGATGCAGAGCTAAATAGTAAAGACAACAGAAGGATAAAATAACATGAATTTAAAGATGCTTTAAAGGCACACCCAATAATAAATCTCCGTCAGCCTCTCTACTATATCTCTCTGCACAAAATAGAAGCATCTTTGAACATACCATGTAAGCATTGATGCTATCTTTGAACAAACACTGTTTCTGGCAGATCAGTACATAACATTTGGTTAAAATTAGCTTGTGAATAATCCACGGGTTTTAATTAACCCGATCGGTTGTCTGACCCTCTGCACTCTGAGGGTTTTAACACGTCTGTGTATTTGCCATGAAACTTTAACTCAAATTTCCAAGGCAATTTTTTATAGTTAGAATAGAACTATTTATTATTTAATTTAAATCTAACCGTACTATATTGTATGGTTGAGTACATTTTATATGGCCTGAGAATGGGTAGTGAGGTTATCACAAAACATCAACTAGGATATTTTTTGAGACATCTGAATATGGAAATAAGCTTTATAAATTCAGTTTGACATTTTCCTAAACACTTTGTAATATTCAGTTCCTCAACAAAAATACCATGTGCAATATATTTTTGTAGCAAGCTCATGCCTATTCATTTATGCACTAAACAAAGTATATATTAAGAGCCTACTATATGATAAGCTTTACTAACACTGCTATTCTTGGGAGACTGTCTCTGTGAGTATTTTATGACTATGATGCATGGTTTATGCATTATCAAAATATTTTTTGAAATTTTATTTCAAGACTGTTGTTCTGCAGCCTATTCGTGATCATAATTTTAATTCTTCTGTCTCACATAGTCAAGAGTCTTGAAGAAGTGTTTTGAGAGTGATGTAAGTCAGATGTCAACCACGCCTCCTGGCCTAGTATTTCAGCATTGACCGTTCTGCGGCTCTCTATTCCCATGTTCTGATTATCAGCCATAGTCTGTGGACTAAACTGAGAGCCAGAATCTGCCTGAAAGGACTTTTATGCTGTTCTTAAACTCTATATGCATGGTTGTTCTGAAACCATTTGGATTTTAAATAGTTAAACTACTTCAGAAATGGAGTCTCTTTATGAACAGAGACCTATTTTCTGCATTAAGGAGAATGGCAGTATCTTTACTTTAAGAAAAGATTCTTCATTGACCATGACTTAATATGGGAATATAGAACTGATTACAACCATTGTTTTTCTCAAGATTGTTAAGGTTGTGTTACATCTCCTGCCGTTGACTTTTGTTCTCTCCGGCAACAGCACAGTTCAGAGGTGTGGGCTCCATGTTGCGTCCATACTTGGCTTGTTATCCTCTTATCAAGCTCTTAGCATCCCTTTGTTTATTTGAGGTGACAGGAAGACTGTGTAAAGGCTGCTTAGTCAGGGATATCAGCCTTGTTGGCAGCGGAGTGATTGCCAGTTGAAAAACAAGGCATTATTGCTCATTTTTTCCCTCTTATTAGTTTGATTACATTTGCAAATCAAATCAATCCATCAGACATGATCAGGCCTCGTCCGCATTTTAAGGAATAGTAATCTCCGTCTAATAAGATGCAAATGTGTCACATCGGTAAGTAACCAATAAATCATCGTCTTGTCTTTGGCAATCATTAAATATCAGAACCAACAGTCAATTTTTAGTATTTTCAATTTGCGATATGCCGCTGGAATATAAAGATAGATGGACGTAATTACACAAACCAAACACTATTTCAGTTCATTCCAGACAGCAAATTTAGTGGAAGGTATAACTGGCTTGTCATCACACTACATTATTCCTAGCGGTTCATGCAAAGTTCACAGACAAGCTTCAAATGGACATTGCTTTTTTTCAACTTCTAACAACGTCCCCACAATGGCAAGCAAACTTTGATGTAAGGACTTGAACTGACTTCCGCACGGCTGTTGCAGTCAGATGCCAACATGACAGAAAACATATGCTCTCTCCCATCAGAAACTGCTGGCAGTGCCAGCTCCAATCTTCTATATTTCCTCTCTTAAAAAAAATGAACTTACAAGTGTAAAAATAAAGAAAAACAAAAACAATCAAGAACTCTTCAGGTGATTTATGCCATCCTCATGTATTTGGATGGAATGGTTTTCCTTCAGGGGGAAAATGTGAACAAAAACTTTATTTTTCTAAGTTTCACATTTTAGAGCTTCTCTGTGTGGGCAATGTATTCTTTTGATCTAAGCCATTCTCTGTGAAGACGTGCATGTATGCAGTGCCCCAGTATGGCCAAGAAAGAGAAAGAGTGTGTTAATTTGGGGCACATACTGAAATCTTGGTAGATATAAGATGTTATAATTCAAAGGATAATAAATATAATTGTATGGATGGACTATCTGATCTGAATGTCTTTTCTCTAATTATGCTCTCCTGGCAACTCAATATCTGCTGATGACCTGTGACACTTGTCCCTTTATTTCTTTATTTATTTGCAGAAATTGTCCTATCACAAATGGAGGACCCTCCCCAATCTCTCTTGGTTCTATTTGATTATCTCAATGCAATCAATATTCATACTTTTCCCTCCTTTCCAATATTTTTCTCTTATCTATTTCTCTTTCTTTTGAGTTCTGATATAAAAAGTTCTTTTCCATCACTGATCTTACGGTATTTAAAATTTGCAACTCTCTGATTTTCTTTTTGGTCTTAGCCTTACCTAGTTACTGACATCACTTTTGTTCATTTTCTTTCTTCTCTGTAAAAGTTATTTGCCTTCTCCAGTGTAAGTTGCTAAATAGCATGTGAAGAACATATTTATATGACCTTGGTGCACCTGCTACTTATTTCGGTGGCACTTGAAATAGTCATTGAGAGATTCTAGTTTGTCTTGACAGATTTGTCATGTTCTATACAGTTAAAATTTAGAGCTTAACATTTGGCAGTACCAATCATTTGGCCTGCTAGGTCCCTTATTTGCATGGAGAAAAGCAAATTCTTTGGAATCTTACTTAATAAACACTCTCATTTGAAATTGACAAAATTAAAATTTTTACTGCATTATTTACTTAATTATTTTAAATGTGTTGGGTACCTTTACGGTAATTACTCTGCAAGGCAATATACAAAAGTAAGTAGGGTAGATGGGGGCACACTTTCCTAAAGCTTAGAGTCTATTGGGGAATACGGACGAGCAAGGAGGCATTTATAACAGTGCTCTATGTGCACTGATGGAGTAGCCCAGCGTACTATAGGTGTACCATGGTGGAAACTCTAACATTTGGAATCAGGGTAGATTTCTTGAAGAAAATGACATCGCAGCTGGATTTGCACAATGTAGAGTAATCCAGTAAAGATAAATGTATGGGAAGGTGTCAAGGTGTCAAATGTATGTGAAGGTTTAATTACTAGCTTTGTTCTTTTGGTTAAACCTATAGTATAGGTTAAACAAGTCCATTTTCAAGACCTCTGCCTCATCTGTTAGCAGAACTGAAGGACATCATTCATCGAAGAAAGAGCATTCTTTTAAATTTTAAGGAATTATACTATAAAAGTTGTGTTAGACTCTAGTTATAGACCAAGCCAAGAGGCTTCAAATTTAGACAATGAGAACATGCAGTCACTTGAGAGAGAGGTCAAGACAAATTTTTGAATCAACATAATCAACTTATAAAATGTCACATGTGTACCCGTTTGATTCACCTTGCATGCCATACAGGTGGGCAGGCAAAATGAGCCAAACCTTATGAAAATGAGCCAAAGTTTACAAAAGCAATTTTATGCCACTTCCGTACCTTTTCTTTTGTCCATATCCACTCAAAGTTTGATTTCCGGCATTGTTTTTCTTTCTGCAAAACCGATGTGAATTTTTAAAAATACTGTCCAGGTCTTTCTAGGTGATTGTTTTGCTAGCCAACCCACGTAGCTCAAGGAACCCCATATATAGCAGCAATTGCCAGGAACCCCTAATGAGTTACTGCTGATGAAAGCCATATAGCTCATGCCTTTGAAGCTTTGTACCAGAACTTTATGCTCTCTCTAACCAATTTACATACCACCATGGTATGTTTAATTTGCTTTTTCATCAAATCAATAATGGGTCTAATTGAAAAAATTGGCAGTGCTACGTGCAACCTAACTACTGATCTCAATGTTTGCCGGCTAAAGGGAATGTTGCATAGCTGTGTGTCAGACACCTGCGTTATTGGTGTACTCCTGCTACTAATGTGTACAAAAACAAACATTAATACAGGTGGAGCATCTGCACCAATTGATCACTATGCTATGAGAATTAATCACCTGGCTTTCAGCTTGAAGAATAAAATTTACATCTTTAATGTATGAAATGTATTAACACACACGCTTGCACCATTGACAGGGTGATGTCAGCAGACGTGTATGTGCAGCCCCATTAAATGTGTGCCTCTGGACAATTAATTGTACCTGGGAGTGTAAATGTAGGGCTAAGTTTTAAATACTTGATAGCATTTTTAAAATTTAGAATTGAGACTTTTTTGTTAGCAGTGATGGAAAAAATTTGGCAGTAATTCAAACAAATGGACTAACATTGAACTCTGGAAATCTGCCTTCAAAAACTGCATGAGGAAGGTTTTGAGGTTGAATTTTACTCTTTCTCATCCCAATCCAGAATGGATTTTGGTATCATCATCATCATCATCATCATCAACAACATCAACATCATCCAGCTACATTCACTGAGCTCTTGCTAGGTGCCAGGCCTGATACTGATTATTTTACATATATTATCTCAATTAATCTTAAACCTAGATTTGAAGATGGCCTCTCCTATAACTGTGAAAATTGAAGTTTAACGAAGTCAAACAACTTGCCTGAGATCTCAAAGCTAGTAAGATAGCAGAGATGAGCATGTTCTCACCCACTCATAAGTGGGAGTTGAACAATGAGAACACATGGACATAGGGAGTGGAACATACACACCGGGGCCTGTCAGGGGATGGGGGGCTAGGGGAGGGGTAGCATTAGGAGAAATACCTAATGTAGCTGATGGTTTGACGGGTGCAGCAAACCACCATGGCACATGTATACCTATATAACAAATCTGCACGTTCTGCACATGTATCCCAGAACATATATATATATATATATAAAGAGATAGCAGAGGTGAAATTTAAATTTAGGTCTATGATTCCAAACCCTGATCATTATCCACTATGCTAAACCAAATTACTAATGTAGACTAGTCCTTTTTAACTTTCAACCTGATTTTTTTTTTTAAAGCACATAGTATCTCCAAAACTTAGGCTGACAAAATGTAGATTTCATTGATACATCTGATAATGTCGATTTGATCATTATTGCAGGACTGGCTACATAACTGGCAAAGTCCACTGCAAAATGAAAATGCCGATCCTCTTGTTAAAAATTTATTATGAATTTCAAGGTGGTGACAACAGAGCATTAAACCGAGCATGGCTTCCTGCAGTTTGCACGCCCATGAAGCCGGCCTAGTATTGCTATGAGAGTTGGAGATTTTGCTTGGGAACAAGTTTAGGAAATAGAGGAGGCCCTTTTGTTCAAGTTTGTGTAGATTAGGTTTCCAAAAATGCTGCACAGACCCAGACAAGCTTTTTTGATACCGTTATTCTCAACAACGAATAATTCATTTAGGAAGGAAAATGTTTTACATCATCACAAGCCAGTAGTTGACACATGGGGCAATTTTGCCTCACAGGGAACATTTGGTAATGTCTGACAATATTTTGATTGTTACAGTCAGGGGAGGGAGATCCAGTGGGTAGAGGCCAGAGCTGCCGCTAAATAGCCTACCTCGCACAGGACAATCCCCCCACCTCCTGCTCTCATCAAAGAATTATGTCAATAGTGCTGATGTTGAGAAATCTGTCTTAAACCATCCTATGAGTGAGTTTTTTAGTTTCTTATTCAATTTTGCAAATCTTATAAATTAATACATAAGTAGGATAGTTTTATTATCATCTCTAGTCTCTCACTTGACAAGAAGTCATCTTCATCAATAAGATCAATAAATATTTTTTGGGCAGAGCAGACAGGGTATATTTTCATGAGCACTCTGTGACCGAGCAGTACATTTTATCTTTGGTATTTAAAAATAAAACAGAAAAAATAGTGAACTCTAAAAAGTGGCCAGGGAACATTTGAATTAAGAGTTTTCTTGGAAATTTCATGGGAGATATTTATTGCATTGTTAATTACATATTCACATATAATGGGGAGAAAGAGGCCATTGTAGCACATCGAGTAAACAGCATGCATTTTAACAAACATATAAGTATGTGTGTATTCATCAAACAATTTCTTATTATTTGAATATCAATAAAATTTTGAAAAATTTATAAACAAGTGATAAATGTTCTAAATACTTAGATCAAAGCTATGTATATTTGAAGACATTTGAATTTTTAATAGGTAAGTCTTTTATATGAATTTATACAAATAACATCAGACTAATTCTGAATGTTAATGTTAATCTGGACATTTTTAGAACGTATGCATTGGGGTGGGTATGTTACAAGCTTGACAATGAATTGTTTAAAGTTTATATGAAATCATTAATACAGGCCAGGTACAGTGGCTAAGGCCTGTAATCCTAGCAGTTTGGGAGACAGAGGCAGAAGGATCCCTTAAAGCCAGGAGTTTAAGACCAGCCTGGACAACATAGTGAGATCCTGTCTTTAAAAAAAAAAAAAAACATAAAAATTAAAAAATTAGCTAGGCATGCTGGTGTATGCCTGTAGTCCTACCTACTGGTGAAACTGAAGCAGGAGGATTTTTTGCTTGAACCCTGGAGGATGAGTAAGCTATGATTGTGCCACTGTACTCCAGACTGGGTGACAGAGCGAGCCCGTCTCCAAATGAATAAAATAAATGGGTACATTTTAAAAAATCATTATATGTAATATATTGTTATATTGCATAAATACCAGGCAATTACTTGAAAATATATGAGGATACATAATTCAATTCTTATTGTCATTTTCTAATTCTTAAATTGTTTTCCTAATCATTTAAGAGAAAAACACCCATAAAACCATAGTTTTATGCAGAAATTTTTATTAAAGTCAGTTTCATGTCACTGTCTTTCAATTCAGTTTCTCTCCATCTAGGACATATTTTACCAAATTTTGAATAACTCCAATTCCTTACAGCAATGTTACAAAAACAAAACAAAACAAAACAAAACAAACAGTGTTTTTTCTAGGTGACCTGAGAAGGTATTATATTTGTAATAGAGTCCCCCAGCTCTTGAAACTCGTTCTAGGTACCATTCTAACTAGATTAACTCTTCTTCCACTCCACAGCAGTTTTGAGAGGAGGTTGATGCTAAAGGGAATTCCACGGACAGCAATTAAAAGTAAGGGAGCCTGCATGAAAAAATATGAAACGCAGATTAAGCACCAAAAAGCCTAGCACTGAAAGCTGTGTAATGTGGGTTTGGGTATCCCCCGTATTCCTCAGTAACCTTGGAGGGCATCTCCTTACAACCCTGGATCTCCTGATTGGTACCTGATATTGTGCAGATTCTGAGTCAGCAGGAAAATTAAATAGTATGTAATAGACTTTGTTTAGGAAGAATGAGAAATATGTAATTATTTTTAAGGAATTTAATCAGGGTGACTAAAATCTTTAAAACATGTTTTGGAGTTTTATATAATGAAATTCACCTATGTGAAATGTCTCTGCACTTTGCAGTTCTGAATTATTATTACTCTTGATGAAAAAATAATAATGACAATGATTATCATATGCACAATGATGTTGAGATTATAAAATCATTCTAAATAAATTTAATATTCACTTGCATTTGATACCTACAACATCCCTGTGAAATTGTTGTCATCATCCACCTATTTTGTCTGGATGAGGAAACCAAGACCCAAAGTTTATTTCCAAGTGCACACAGTTATCTCTGTATGAACATTTGCCTCCTGAATAGTATCACTCAAGTAATTGCTATTCACATTTTACAACACATATGAATTCAAGTTATCAAAAGTTTCTATTCAATATTTGAAACAAATCTCTAAGTTTTTTTGCATTTTCAGCATTATTGAACATAAATGCAAAAAAATAAGATTTTATAATCTCTTCATGTTTTTAACTGAACTATCTCTTAAAAAGACATGTTAGTAACTTCTACTTGTCATTATCGTGTTAAACATAAATAAAATCCTGCAAAGTGTAGAATACTGTTTCAACCCTGTTCATCTGATGGTGGATACTATTTTTCCAGTGAACAGACTGAGAGACTACACAGCAAATGTAATCATAGCTTTCGTAGTGAAGCACCAGAAACACATTAAAAAATGTGATAGTACATGTTGAAATTCCATGTATTTGTAATCCAAAATTTAGTGGTAAGCCTCTAAGAGGCAACAATTAAACATGAATATTAAGATGATAAAACAAAATTAGAAGCTTGCTGGGATCCTGGTGTGATATAAACCCATGTTTCCAAGATGAACTTTAAACCTTGAGGTTCAAGGCAGTTATTTCTTTACTCATCAAGAGCTGTCAGGGATTAGAAGAGGCATGGAAGAAGTTTCTTGGATGTTTGTACAAAAGAATAAAATAGATTTTTATCCCTAAACTTTTTTAATGATGATAGAAAACTTCAAAAAATACCTGATGAATACAAAATGATAATCTTGAAGGCAGGTTTGGAAACAATACTACAATCCAAACAAATAGTGTCATTCCATGGATTTAATGGATGGATAGTACAGTGCTGCAGGCAATATCAGAACACACAATTTCTTGTCAGTGATTTGAAGATTGTCCCATGTGCATTGTTGCACGTGGCAACTAGGTAATCAATTTCCAGTTTTATTTTACAGTGCACTTAATTCACAGTGTTTGTCAATAGGGTGCTATGGCTATTTTGAGTGGAAACGTATGTGTTTTGTGGAACTTTTAGCATTCTTTGGTTCTTCCACTAAATCCCTCAGTTCAAAAACACTGCTGTACATTTTCAAATGCCATGTGCTTGGGGGGAAGGGGGAGATAGAAAGTAGTAGACTTAATTGAGAAAGATTTGAGTGCAAATAAACACTAAATTAAAACCAGTCCCCAGCAAAATGGGATTATTCATGCATGAGACATGCAAGACTCTATTGTCCATGCAAAGTGTGGACCAAGAGCTACATTCATAAATGAATAAATAGGTAGAGAGAAGAAAAATTCAATTCTACATTATTGATGTATTTTTGTGTGGAATTCAATGTTTTAAAACACAGTTGGAGTCATTAAGAACTTTAATTTTATGTAGTAAATGAGTACAAAAATGTGAAAGTTTAAAAAAAGTTTTGAAGGACGATTAGAGATATATGTGTAACAAATGCTACAAAATAATAGTTTTCTGAATATTATTGAAGTATAAGCCTTCATATGGCAGCTTTCTATCTGTTAATTCTCCCTGTTACATTGAGACCTAATAGGAAATTCCAGGGATATGTGTGATGCATCATCCACTGCTGCTGAGATGTGGCTCTCTCTTTCATTATTACATGTTGATGTTTCATTTATATTTGTATTTAAGAGCTATAGCTACTTTTAAAGAGTTGCTTTATAAGGAACCAAAAAGAATTGCATCTTTTTATTCTTCCAAGAGAGAAAAAAGCCTGAATCCTACTGAAGTGGTTAAATAAGAAGTCCCACATCTGGGAGGAACATAGAAAATAGTTCAAAAAAGAGGAAAAAAAAATGGAATTCAACAGGATGTGAGCATTAAAAGAGATGCCCTTTATAAACCAGATGAAAAGGATAGGAACTGATCAACAAGGATTAGTACTAGAATCAGAAAACATTCTATCTCTCTCTCTCTCTCTCTCTCTCTCTCTCTCTCTCTCTGTCATAGACACACACCTTATACCCACAGAATGTAGTATATCCATTTCATGAAGAATTACCAAAGAATACATCTTAGGCCAGTTCATTACCAGGGAACGTCTTGGGCTCGGCTCCCGAAGTATGGCCAGAATGAAAATCCCAAACCCTTAGTAGTCAAAGCTCCCAGGAATCTTCTGTGTGATCACTCTCAGGGATGCACAAGAAGGTTTGGTGTGAGTCACGATTTTCAGGATAAAGGTAAATGGACTATCTGAGAAAAACTAAAGGTTTGGCTGAAAGGAATTCAGTCACAGTATTGGTCTAAAAATGATTACAGACGTAGAACAAAAATAGAAGTTAAAAAAATTGTAAGCTATTCCCTATATCCTGGCTTTGTTTAACAAGCAAAGACTTTGGTCATTATAGCTTCTCTTTATATGTCCCTCATCTTAAGCTCTTGGCCAGGGTATGAATAGCTGATCACATACACACACACACACACACACACACACACACACACACACACACACACTAACCAAAAGACTCAAATAGCTGAGCGAGCTTCCCTTACTTCAATATCATTATTTCCCAAACTTATTATTAAACTGAGGTTCACACTCCATAATGTGTAACAACATACAGGAAATGATAATGCCATTGACTAAGAGATAACATTTAGCTCTCAATCCTTCTGTGATCCTATTGAATTTGCCTGTTAAGTTCTTGGTGTAATTAAAGCAGATAGAAGCATTCATACATTTTGTTGCAAATTGATATGATCTCTTTTGTCTGTGATCTAAGTGAGATTGCCCTGTAGTTTTTAATTTAGCAGGTTAAGAAGCACAATTAAAATATCATGAAAAAGATCATAATCAGAAACCGTCTTTTGGGTTGTTCCTGCCAAGTAGATAAAGGGGTTGGTGTATTTAATAATTACCTCCTTTGCTGTACATTTGTTCTATTTGTGGGTTGAACTGTTAATAAATACCTTGCACTATTCCAGTGGGAAAAGCTTTCCACCTAATTAATAAAACTTGGAAGAATACCTAGGACATTGAACCATATCTTTCTTATTAGTGTTGCCTGCCTCAAAAGAGAATCCCTGTCTCTTCAACACATTAGTAAATGTCATCTTCCCGGGTTATAAAGAAACATCTTGAAAAACTGCCTGTTTTCAGAAGGACTAAAAAAGCAAATTCTCTGATTTTTTTAAAGAAATAATTCTACTGTAAAATTTTAAGTAGTGAAAAATACTAATCAAGCACAACAGGAATGATTCTATCTAAAGAGCATACCTTAGTAAAAGCACCACAATAAAGAAAGGTTCACATTGGGATATAATTGGCTTTGAATTAGTCTTTATTTCTAGCTATTGTTTCTCCTATATTTCGGTTACTCAAGTGCTTTCTAGGTCTTGATCCTAGAGAAACTGAAACAGAAATTAGCATGTAGCACTATTACATCTACATCTTTACTGTTATTAAAGGCCATGTTACTTGTAAATACATTTATTTATATTAAAATTGAATTTAGAAATGAAAAATTTGAAAACATATTACTTTAAACATAATATTGACTGATATAGAGAAGTTGCTCTTGTGAGTTGGTACATTTAATGAATATTTTAGCACATATTTTGTGGTTTGAAAGATAGAATACTCAACAAATTAAATAAGGTCCCTTGTCTATGGCCATGTCTAGTCTTCAGTTAGAGGCTTTAATTATAAGTCTGATATTTTACATTTTAGTTCTAATTTAAAATGTGTAATAAATGAAAAATATGTGTGCCACATGATCTATAGAATCTTTTTCTGCATAGAGTACGGAAGTTTACACCTGTTTTATCATATATGAATTTCTGAGTCTATTGGCTTTTCTGAGATTCTTCCAAATATGAAAATTAATAACAGTATATGAATTCTATGGGAAATATTAATAAGAGAGAAGGCTCACAAGGCTACCTCTATAATAGATATGCAATAAGGTGGAAATATTAAAGTACATAAATTCTACATACAATGTGGCCAGACAGCATCTCCAAGAATGATTAGGTTAGCAGAAATAGGGCCTATTTTAAATTTCTTGGTTAAATTATGATTTTTTTAATTTTTCACTTCATTTCAAGATTCTTTTAATAAAATTAAAATTTAAAGTAACTTTTTGACTGTTCTTTAGAGGGTAGAATTAAGAAATATTTTGGTAGTAATGAATTTTGTATGTATTTTTACATCTCAAATTAACTTAATTCGCTTTTTTTTTGCGTCAAAGGTGAGACAACAAGCTAATATATTTTGAGCACATTCCATTATAAAACTACTAAATTCACAATACACTGCTAATGCTGTGCATATTGTCATTCATCTCTTCATTCATTTTTTCAAATATTTTATAGAGCACCTAGTATGTGTAAGTCTCTGCTAAACACTAGCGATCCAGCAGTGAACAAATGTAACCAAAAAATCCCCACTCTTGTGGAATGTAAATTCTAGTGAAGGAGACAGAAAATGGACAGGAAGGACAGCATATACAAAGGTCCTGAGGCAGGAGTGTGCTTGGACATTCCAGGAACAGGAAGGAGGCCCAAGTGATTGGAGTAGAATGAACCGAGGGTCAGGGAGGGTGGCTGAAAACAAGGTAGGGGGGAAGGGGAACTGACTGTCCTGGTATTTTCAAGTGTGTTGTCTCACATAATAACCTATGTGTTAATGGCCATACTAAGCAACCAAACGAAAATTGTATATTTTCAAGTGATGTCAGGGACATGCCATTCTTACTAAAGGCTTATATATATATATATGAAAATTCTTCAAATTCACTAAATAAAGAAATTGTCAGCAAATATATTTAACCATTAGCTAAGATGTGGATTGGTATATATTGGTATATATATATATATAAAATCTCCAGGTTGACTTTTTCCTTCCTTATAACTGAGGAGCAATCCCTCCAAAGATCTGAAGTTAGACTTTATTTATACAACTAGAATGGTCTTCCTCATCTTCTAGACTGTGTTTGAAATATTAGAATTATGATTTGAGAAATAAGCATGTATCTCAAAATCTGTTTTAAATGTATATCATGACAACAAATGTTTAAGTCCTATGCTTGCTAGAGTAATTGTTAATTGACATGACATGCCTAATATAATGGTGGAATTTGTTTATCTAGGTGGCATCATCTCCCTTGCCTGTTCGATGAATATTCTGCATAAGATAACTTCTAAAATCATTTCCTGAGCTTATTTTCTATTATCTTATGGACTTTATTTAATAAACATCTTGCAACCTCATCATACTGGTGCATTTAACTTTTCAGAGTTACCTTGAAACAATTGCTGTTAATTGGGTGCATGCTTGCTCTAGATGTAAACCTAAGAATGTGTAGCAGTAACTTGGTGTTAAGCTGAGGGATAGGAAGATGGGTAGAGTTCATTTAAGAGGTTTTAGCTTGTTCTTTTTAAACTAGGGGATGCATTTGCTGCGTTTTCTCTCTCAAACTCTTCAAGCTTCTCAGGCTTATCCTGCGTTTCCCTGGAGGAATTACTCAGCTGCCCGAGTCACCTCTGGCTGTGCGGTAGCAGTGGAAAGGTTTCACCACGTTCTGATTTCCCTTTCCATTAGAGCAGAAAGACAGACAGTAGTGGGGTGGGGAGATAGGTGCCAGGAAGAGCTCTAGGGGCCATGCTCTTAAGCGCTTCTCACAGACTCACGCTTTTGTCCTCATTCAAGATGTGACCATTCCCACCAGTTGTTGATTTTTCAATTCTGCAAACATGAATTAAGACAATTTAGGTCCTTGAGACCTTCCAAGTTCTGGGCACACACACACACACACAAAATTTTTAATTTTTTAAAAACCAAGTATTTGCCAAGCACTAGAATTACAAAGAGGAATACATTTTGATATCATAGAAGAGATAATGACTTTAGTAGTGTCGACACAATGCAGTAATAGAAATAGGGCCAAGTAGTAGAGGAGAAAGCAGGAGAGAAGGAAGTGCCTCTCTGTTTGAGGTTATTAAAGAAATACTTAGAGAAAAATATTTCAGATATGTTTGGATTGTTTAAGAGGTATTTGCCTGCAGAAAGGAAGGGAAAAGGCATTTCACACAAAGGTGAAGAAATATCCAGTGCACAGAAATACAAAACAGCATGGCTTGTTTGGGAAAGGGAAAATGATAGTTGGAACACAGGAAGACAAACAGTGCTGCATGGTGGTTAAATTCTAAGTTCTCAAATGGCATCGGTACAAATCATACCTCTAATAATTTTAGTCAGGTGACTTGGAGTGGGTTTGCACCTCAGTTTCCTCAAATGTAAAGTGGCAAAGAGAATAATGTGTTCTCCATAAGGTTTTAGTGAGAATGCTTTTGACTGCCTTACTCCTATCCCATACCTAGTCAGCTTTCAAAATACAAATCAGATCCTGTCTCCTTTTTGTTCAAAGCCCCCAGTGACTTCCCATCTCACTTAAAGTAAAGGCTGCAAAAGTTTGCACAAAGTTGCAAAGCCTTTGTGACATGCCTGCCCCATTCTCCAGTCAGCACCATCTCCTGCTACTCCTCTCCAGCTGCACTAGCCTCTGTAAAATTCTCTGAACCAAAACAAGAAGGCTCCTTCTTTGGTATATGTGTCTTTTCCATTCCCTCTGCCTGAAAGTTCTAGTGTTCTAGTCCGTTTGGGCTGTTACGACAAAAATACCATAGAATGGGTGGCTTATAATTAACAGAAATGCATTTCTTATGGTTCTAGAGGCTAGGAAGTCCAAGATCAAGGTGCTGGCACATTCAGTGTCTGGTGAGGGTCCCCTTTCTGTTTCATAGATGGCTCTCTTCTCACCATGCTCTGTTATGGAGAAGGGGCAAAGGGAGCTCTCTGGTCTCTTTCATAAGGGCACTAATTTCATTAATGAGGGCTCTGTTCACCTTCATGACCTAATCGCCTCCTAGACACCCTCCTTCCTAATGTCATACCTTTGGCGATAGGATTTCAACTAAGAATTTTAGAGGAATATAAACTGTCAGTCTATAGCACCCTGATAGACAAAGGACTTGCTCTCTCACCTCCTTCAGATCTCTGCTCAAAGCTCAGGTACCAGTGAGGCTTTCCTTGACCCCCTCTCCCACTGCTTACAACAGCAGCTCCTCTTTCCCCATGCCCCATCCCAGGGCCCATTTTCCCTCATAGTTTTGTATTCATGTTTCTCTATTGCAGTATTATACCACTGCCTGCTATATTTTTATTTATTCCACCCCACCCCTTGAATATAAGGCCCCAAAGAATCCATATTTTTCTTTTGTTGCATTCATAATGCCCAGCTCATGATAAATGGAAGCACTAGCATGGTGACTGGAATTTAGTACTCAGTGAATTTTACAAATTTTAATAGTAATAATAATTGTCATCATCATCATTCTTACCAAAAAATGAAGAAAGAAAAGTAAATTGGGCCCTGACAATGAAGGATTCTGTGGACCTCACAGAGAGAAACCATCACAACAAGGAAGAGGTGACCCCTGATTAATACAGATCTAGAAGAAAAGAGACTTGAGTCAGGGAAATCATAAGTTGGGAGGCTATTGACTTAGTTCAGGTGGAAGATAATGAGGAACTGAGCTAGACAGTGGGACTAGAAATTAGTTTTGGAAATGAGATATTTCATAGGAAAAATTAGACATAGAAGTCAAAACATAGCTAACTCCCAAATTTCAACTCTGTGTTGTTCAGTATTTAAAAATGATCTAAGTCTGGGAGGAAAATGAGTTCAATTTTAGACATTTTGATATGAGTTGCCAATGAGACATTTTGATGGGAATGACCTGTAAAAAACCAGAAATATAAAGGCTTGCTCTTTGGGGAGAAGGGGGTACTGGTGATATAGTTTTGTTACATCCATAGATATGTATGGATGGGCAGGTAGAGGAAGAAGAGAAGAAGTGAACACAGAATTATTTAAAGTATTACATTAAAAGGATTGGCATAAAAGAAGAAAGACCAGGAGAAAGATGTCTTATCAGTGCAAAAGGAGGAAAGAGCTTCAGGAAGTAAGAGAGGGGTCAGTCTGGACAAAATAGTCCAGAGAGATCAAATCGGATCTGAACAGGCCATGGGATGGGGCAATTAGGTCATTGGTGATTACAGTATGATAGAGCTGAGATGCAATCCAGACTTTAGTGGAATGGAGATGAATTTAGTGCAAAAGTGCATGTACACCATTTTGTCAGGAATTTTCGTGGTGAAGGGATGCAGTGAACAGAGAGGGAAAAAGACAGATAAACAGATAGGCAGACAGACAGAGACAGAGAGCTAGCTATTGGGGAAAAGCCAGTATGGAAGTAAGATTTTATCAGAATAGAGGGATGAAGGAATGGAACTTGAGGAGAAGGAGAGATTATAAGTATAAGAAATGGAGAGGGGCCAAGTAGAAAATTGGTGGATCAAAATCTTCAAGGTGGCCAGAGCAGATGGATTGAGAACATAGGAAAGGCCTTCCTTAGGAAGAAAGAGCAGTCTCTTTAACTTACAGACAAGTGAGAAGGTGTTAAGAATTAGTCCTGCTACAGACAAGAAGGGAAGTAGGTCAAGGGTATTTATATCTGATGTCCTTCATTTATCTAAAATATGGGAGGTGAGATCATGTTTGCAGGATAAAATACACTCAGCCTTGATTCGGGCAGGAAGACTGTCCATTCATGCAGGAAAGGCTTGTTTTGGATTCATGTTTTCCCTGCCCATATTGAGGAACATCAAAGATGTTCAGTGGAAGGTTTAGTCTGGAGCATACCATAGACCAGAGAGAGCATCATCCAGTCTAGCAACCTTATTTGGCAGATGAGGAAATTGAGCAATTCAGTGACTGCCTGAAGTTTACACAGCTAGTTAGTAGCTGAGATTGCACTGAAGTCAGCTTCTCTCACTCTTAATCCATACTTTCAGTGAACAGTCTCAAGCTGTGCTTTCTGGAGACTTGATGTCACTTCAACCAATATTACATTCTTTTGCCTATGAACACCCTTGCCTCTTACATACACCCATACACCCTAACTCTCTGTCAGTCATCAACCCCACACTCAGCCTCCATGCATCCTGCTGCTTTTCTTGCCTTCTCTGCATGGTCCATCATTTCAGTTTGCAGGCTGACTTGGATTGACCCACTGATGGGCTTTTCCTTTGGGATAAGCCACATTGCAGACAAGCTATCTGGTCGCATTCGTGAAACGAGCCAACATGAGGCTGATGCCGTCAAAAGGACCGAGGGCATCAGCTCCATGATGTTGCCACAACCTAAAGGCAGAGTTGAGCTAGATGTTCCCTGGAGTGTACCCCTACGGTTGTCAAACGAACCTCCTAGATGACCTTTTTACATTTATGTGTAAAACAACTTATGGAAATGCTTAATTCACCAAAAGAGATATGTCAGAAATACGTTAAGCAGAATAGTTGCATCAGTTATTCGGCTACATGAACTCCTACATTCCAAAATGAGTCAATACATGTGAACTACAAACGTTTTAGTTATGTATAAATACAATGTTATTTTCCCTGCCTACATTTCAGCATGAATTTTTGTTGTTCTTGAATTATTGTTTTAAAGATATTAATATCCATGAAAGAGATACTCATGAGCTATAATCGAATTTGTCTCAGAGTACTTATTTTGGATTGCTGTGTTAGTGCTATGTGCCAGGAATAACATCTCATATATCTAGCTTTCTCTTTCACTACTGAAATAGACATTAGGATATCTGAGTAGTCTCTGCCCTTTAAATAATGCACTAAATACAATGCTCATGGACACCCTTTCCTTCTCTCATTTGATTTCGAGATACGGAGAATAAATGAGATGTTCACTGGGGTTTTGCTGTCTTTTATAAAATCCACCCCATTCTGGAGTGAATGAGCGAGAAGCACAGGAGGTGGCCTTCGTGGGAGCAACTACCTTTCCCAAGTGTCTCATCCTCTCTCCTCTGTCATCCCCAGGCAATGTGCCTGCATTTGTGTGTGTAGATTTATAGTTTATCTTTATCTATGGCTTCATCTGTAGGTAGCTATTATAGCTGCCTCGCCTGGATATTGTTTGGGCCTGATAGATCTGTCTGTAGTTCATCAAAGAGGAGCCTAGTGCCTAAAAGCCATTGGGTCCAGCTGAGGATGAATTACGAGCCATCAGCCTTGATAATGGCTGTAAAATTTCATAATTACATGGCCTTTATTACATTGCATAATGATCCTGAAGCAGTATGGAACAATTAATTAAGATTTTCAACCGTGGCTCTTTCAGAAATTAAAAGGTGCTAGTAGCTGAAAAATGGGATCTGTCTTGTCCTAAAAGCATTAGGGATGCTTAGGAAATACTTTCCAATTGCACTTTTATTTTTTGTTAAGAGGAACATCCGCTAGTTAGGGAACATGCGTTAGTATACCCTGCCTATTATCGAGTTTTTATTTCAACTTCAAAACTGATACTTTAAAAAGAATGGGAGTAAAAGAGGCAGCTAAGGATCTCTAGAACTCCCCAACTTCCCTTTTCTTTTCTTTGAAAAATTCTATTCTGCCTCCTGCTGTAGCCATTTATCACATTTATGGTTGTTCATCTCTACACATTAAATAAATGCAGGCTCTGAGATAGGGGGTCAGTTAACTGCCTACTATAGTATACTGACCAAGGAGTTTTTCTTATACACTCTCTCATATCTTGAGGCATTAAAATTCTTTCAAGATCTCTACAGTTTTGACAGGCATCCCCAAAGGAAGACTTTACCGTTTTCATTTATTATCCTGCGAATGCAGCATGTCACATCTAATATATACCTTTTATTTTTTTTTCATCTCATCTTCACACCCCATAAAGAATAATTAAATTTGGTGAGGGCCTGTAAGTGCCACTAGGAATTTGCTACATTTAAATAATAACAGAAACTAAAGTATTTAGTATTTATACACATGGATGTGCATTTACACATACAAATTATAACCCATCCTGGACTTTATTTTCTATCAAGGAAATTATAATTGAGCTAGTCAGGTGCAATAAAATGCTAAAGAAAAGATAGTGAAAACAAGTCCAATATTTTTATTATAATTATTCTAAGCTGTATCCCGAGCTTTCATCCATGTACTCGGTAAGAAATAGATATGCTTCCAGGAAACATCATCAATGGTATTGTCAATTTAAATGAGAGAATATGAAAAAAGAAAACCCCCAACCTCGTTGTGATTTACACATAACTTCTGGATATTTGTTCCCGTCAAGTATTATTGTTTTTAAATTGACAATCATCATATAATGTTTTACGGATCTAAATATTTCATGGGAGACTAAAACTTCCCTTGGGCCTCCCCAATAATAAACTTTCAGCAGAAAATTTGGAAAGGATTATGTGCTTCAAGGAGGAGCTGGTGCTCAGAGTAAATTCTCTTGTTGAGGCATTTAGTCCCTTAATAGGAATTTTCTGATCTGCTGTCATTCTTACTCACACACCGAGTGTCACTGCCTGTAAAACACTTGTCATTCTTTAATGGAAACAAAATAGTCATTGCGGCCAGAGCCGCAATGTCATTCCACTACCCCTTGCTGCGTCGGCAATAGTGAAAATGACAGAGCAGCTCTCAGTAGGGGTAATTAAAATGTAAATATTGATATTTTATTATTTGAAATTACTTTCCAGTGCGGCATTTAATATCCCTCCATCTGTGCAGCTCTGTTTAGCGGTCACTTTAGTGCAGCTCTGGGATACCAAGCAGCGGCTTGATCCCCGTTATGTCAAAATGCTTGTTGCTGCTTAATTTTGATATCTAATTAAGTGGAAAAGTACAGTCCACACTGTAATCCATGGCATCTTAACCAGCTGCTTGGGTATATTTAGAATTAATCTCCACTATGGCATCATCCTAATGTATGCAATTAAGAGTCTGCCGATGGCTAATTAGGTGTATTAGAATCAGGCAGCTTTTTTTTTTTTTCCTCCATTTCTTCTCCCCCTTTCATTTTGGACTGTTGTAGACAGAAGAGTCTCTGCCTCCAGAGGTAATGTTCATGCTACTCAAATCTAGTTAGGAAACAGGACAACTTCCAAATATGGTAACCCTTGTATTTTCCTTCACGTATTTCCTTGAATCAACCTGATATAAAAACTTCTAGGATTTCCTGGGTTTTTTTTGCAGGGTTTCAGTGACATGAAAGGAAATGGTCACAGCCTAGGAGAGAGGTGGGATACAAAGGTAAATGCACTCTCCAGCAGATCAAAGCGGGAAGGTTAGAGGGACTGCTGTGGGTGCTCTTGTTTATTTGGGGAGGAGAAGAATTATGGCTTTTAACTGCAGCTACATTTGCCTTCTCCATTCTACTTTGAATGGAGGATCTTCACAGAAAGAATTATTATAAGAGGCACAGGTTTGGTTTGTGTATCATATATCCATAGTAAATATATACCACCGGCAGCCTTTTACCACTGATAATGATTCTGCATTCATATGGTTGAGGAATTCCGAGAGCTGTGTTGTTTGATGTTTTTGTTTTGGTTTCATTTTAACTTGGCTAGTCATCCAAACTGGGGATAGTGTAGAGAGGAAGAAGGGAGGGCTGAGAGGAATCGAAGGGGTTGCCTCTATTGTCAATGAGAAGATAACTGGTCGCCTCCCCAGTGGAACGTATGCCAAGCCATAATGACTTAGCTCTGCTTGAGCCAGCAAACACGAGCCGTGAACTTGGGAGTAAATATTCACAAACAGATCTTCATTAGCCGCAGAGAAAAACAGTGTGGGAGCCTGACTTTAAACCGAACTCTCAGAGCTAGAAATTCAGAGAAGCTGCTTTTCCATGCTGTCCAGAACACAAATTATGCCTAGGTCTTTAAGCATCAGTAGTAAGGATTTCTAATATTATTTGAGTGTGGAGTTTCAGGGTCAGCATGCTATAATTTCATATCTGTGACAAGCATCTCATGGATAACATATTTCTTCTACGTTCTTTCATGAATACATATGGCACTTTGTTTTTAATGGCCTATGCTGTAAATCCTTTAACTTCCATTTATGCAGAAGACCTCCTGTTTTGTTTTGTTTTTTCTGCCTCTCCTCCTCCTAGGGCATATGTTAAAGACACTGAGTTATAGTTTCTATTTTAGGAAAATTGAGAAAAGCACACCTGAAGGATTTTCATTTTTTTTTCTGCTTTACTTGTAACTAGTAATAGTAAGACAAGAAGAGATAACAGCGTTAACTCCACAAACACCAAGTCTATAATAATTAGTGCTTTTATTGGAATTTGTATTTCTATATCAAGGGACCAATTAGGTAACTCTGAAAGGATTTGAAGTTATGTTTTTAAAGGCAGTACAGAAATTATAAGCAATTTTTCTTTTAGGGATCCAAGATAGAATTGATTCTTGGTCATTTCAGTGAAAGTACACAAGATAATCACAACTCCCTTTTGTACGTGGCAGCTTAAATACAATTTTCAAATTTTTAGGTTAACCCATATGAAATGACCCAGGTTCTCACAATGCCTGTCATTCTGTGCTTAATGTGCGTGTAGGTGAGGCCTTCACAAACGGGAAAACAGTTACACAAAGATCTTTTTGACAAGATACCCTGAGCCTTAAAGCCAGCAACTCTACCTTCATTAATGCAAGCAGTATTAGGAAAAACTTTGAACTTTCACCTTACTTGAATAGGCAGTGTTTAATCCAAAATCAGACTGGGGTCCAGTGAGCACTTCTCTTTTCCTTCTAGTTTTGTCTCTTGTACTACATCAGTGAAGATAGATAGATAGATAGATAGATAGATAGACCTTAATATATCTATCTATATTTTAATGTTAATTCACTACAGCTTATTTCAATTTATTCAGTGTGTGGAATGTGCTTTTTAAAAGGTTCTTACAATATTAGACTCTAATGTTGGATTACAAATAACAGAAATGAAGCAACCATGGCAGTTACTATTCTTTCCCCCACCCCCTTTTTTTTTTTTTTTTTTTTTTTTGATGGAGTCTCGCTCTGCCACCCAGGCTGGAGTGCAGTTGTGCAATCTTAGCTCACTGCAACATTTGCCTCCTGTGTTCAAGCGATTTTCCTGCCTCAGCCTCCTGAGTAGCTGGGAATACATACCCATGCCACTATGCCCAGCTAATTTTTATATATTTAGTAGAGATGGGGTTTCACCATGTAGGCCAGGCTGGTCTCGAGCTCCTGACCTCAAGTGATCCACTCACCTGGGCCTCCCAAAGTGCTGGGATTACAGGCATGAGCCACCGCACCTGGCAAGCTAAGTCACTAATTATAAATTTCTTTTAATTGTGGGATATTCCCAAGAAAAGCAGTTCATTTCACCTTTAAAAATATTATTATTAAACTTCACGTGTGGGAAAATGAAAATTCATAAAAATTCATTTTATACTTTAAATATATTTTTGAGTTAGAAATAGTGAAAATCAAATCTTAAAAAGTAGAAAGGAAGGCAGAAGTGCCAATAATTTGTTGTTTGAAAAAAGTTAACCAAAAATTACAGCTGGGATTGCCTCTTCGACAGCTTTAAAGAGTTTTAGAGGCATGCCTATCTCTTTTTGAAGCCCGACAAATGACATTTTCTAGTAATAACATATTGGTTAGTTTATTAAAACTTTGCATGACTTAAAAAGCATATTTTTGATCCTAAAATGTATATTCACAAAATTCATCTGCTTGTGTTTCTCCTCATATCTCTATTTTCAATGAAAAATTATAATCTTTAACAGAATAATTTTCTCATGAATCCAAACTCTCAGCCAGCCATAAATGGAAAAACAAAGTTCATATCAAAATAATGTGATCCTGGTTCTGACCTATTAAAAAATGTTTTTGGTTCCTGCTTCATTTCCTCAAAGTCCCACCTGATTTCTTTTAGATTTAAATAGATTCTGCTTGACTTGCCCAGATTATTTGCATAGAGCTATCTATAGTTATGCAGGTTCCCACAGCAGGTAGAACTGGTTCCTGTTTGAAATTATTATGTAAGAATGGATACACAAACTAGTCTGATAAACCTGAAACATGTCTAAGTGGCATTTAAATTACATTAACACCTGTGTGTAAAGACACAGTGAAAGGACATAACAGACAAGAACCCTCCTTGCTGTTTGTAACTGTCTAATCTGCTGCTTTATCATAGGAAGGGCCCTTACTCCCTTGGTGCTGCAATGACTGTAGTGTTGCAAGTACTTCTGACAAGTGAGTGTTTACCTAGTGAGGACCCATTGTTCTAAACTGGACTGAGAAGGGGACGCCTTATGTATGCATTTTTATTGCCTTGTCTCCTCCTTGCTGTTTTTGATTCAGAGTGAAGCAGCCCATAATGATAAAATGCCAGGATTTCTCAATCTTCTTGCAAGTTTTTTAGTGTGGAAAATGTTCTCATGAGAAGCTCCTTCTTACACTTGACAAAAATTAGGTTGGGATTGCCTAAAAATTTACGTTAAAAAAGTAGACATATTATATTTTATTCCTGCAAGTAGAAAGAAGCAATGAGCATTGTTTTCATCCATGACTTCACTAGGTTAGTATTTCAGAGGCTTAAAATGCAAGCTACAGAACATAAATGTATACATATTGTCAAAATAATTGTACAACTAGGATAGGTAGATAAATTAATGACAGTACTTATAAATAACAAAAAAGTAATTGTGACATTATCATGAAGTCTGTTGTGAATGGTTACTTATAAATATAAGAGAAGCAGCTAGTCCATATGACTGAAACATCAACTTTACTTCTAAATTGAAGAGAACTGGCTGAGGTTAATAAATTTAGGCAGGACTTTATCAGAGTCTAAGTGGCTCCAAATAAAAATCCTATATACTTTATAGGCACTTATAAGAAAAGAGCATTATACGAAATCAGTGCCTTAATAAACATTCATTGAATTAATGAAAAAGCATTAGGCACCCCTTTTTGTTATATGTTGATGTATTTTCTGTGGGTGAGGGATCTGGTTCCTGCAATGGTCTTTTCATTCCTAACGTCGCATCTTTTTGAAAGCCAGTCAATGAGCTGTTGAGGAATTCTCTATTCATTCATTTAGCACATATTTACTGAGCGCCAGCTATGTGACAGGCACTGTTTGAGGAGCTGGAGACATAGCAGGAAACAAATCAGAGATCTCCACCCTGAAGAGTTTATCTAGAACACAGCAAACCACTGTCCAGAGGATACAGATACATCTATCAAGCAGCAGATCTTCACATCCACTCCCTTACTTCAGGGGTCACTTACACTCAGCTCTGTGTCTCCTGCTTATGTCTTCATCTTCATCTTCACATTTATATTTTACAAGTGCCCTTAGATGCTACCCAGTGACAACGATCATGGCAATGAGAATGGAAAGAAGTGTGTGTATTTGAGAATGATTTCACATGTATAAAAGAGAAAACTTGGTGAGAGATCAGTGAAGGGCCAAGAGTAAGGTGGCAGGTGGATGGCGGTGCTTAGGGAAATAGTGGAGCTGTAGGTTTTGACATTAGGATTAGGAAAATGAGCTCACTTAACATGTTAGGACATCCATGGAGGAATTACTAGAGGAAGATTTTTTAGGAAATATGGCAGGAAAAGGGAAAAGGAACAAACAATGAAAGAAATTCTGTGTTCTACCAGAGAGTTTCAGTTTTATCATGTAGGAGATATGGAAACAAAGAAAGCATTTTGATGAGGGAATGGCATAGGTTTCATATTTTAAAGATTGCTTGACTAGCCCTGGGTAGGATGGAAGAAAGAAATACAAGATATAAAAGGATTTTGGTAAGGATGCTGTTAAAATTTACCCCAAAAGGATGATGAAGGCCTAACCAAAACTGGAATGGAGGGGAGGAGAGAAAGTGATGGATATGGATACATTTAGGAGAATGTGTACAACCAAGCACTAAACTCTCCTTTTCTGCATAGACATGTACTTGGATCCATCCTTGCAATACTTTTCTTTTTTGGTTGTTATGGTCTTATCCACTTTTACTGTGCTATAAAATCTTAGATGACAAGGATTATGTCTTATTCATTTTGCATATTCCAATGGTACTGAACATAGTGCTTCACTTGTAATAGATACTCTAAATACTAGTTGATTTGAACTTTGTCACAGTAGAACCATTGGAAGCCTAATAATTTAAGGCTGAAATAAACCTTCAGGAATACTTTTTCTACCTTCTAGTTTTACAGATGAGAAAGCAGAAACCAGCAAAGTTGAGTCATTCCTCAGTGTTTCACAGTTCTTTGGTGGCAGAGATGGCACCCAATTCTAGGTCTATTTACTCCCAGTCCATGGATTTTGTCTGAGGTGCTCACCGTTACCCAGACAGCCTTGTGCTTCATGATTAGCTCGGTTTGTTATTCTGAATTAGAAACTGTTGGAACTGGAAGATTCCTCAGAAGTGTGTAGTCCACAGTTTGCAATTGACAGATAAGAAGGTCACCTGTGGGTCTGTATTAGTTTGCTAAAGCTGCTAAAACAAAGTACCAAAGACTGGGTGACATAAACCACAGAAATATATTGGCTCACAGCTCTGGAAGTTGGAAGCCCAAGAGCAGGTGGCAGGAGGTTTGGGTTCCTTCTGCGGGCTCTGCAGGCTAGTCTGGTCCATGCTTCTCTCCTGTCTCTCCTGGCTTCTGGTGGCCTCAAGCATCCCTTGGCTTGTAGGTAGTATTCTCCCTGTGTCCTGACATCATCTTTCCTCTGCACACGTCCATCTCTGTGTCCAAATATCCCCTTTTTATGAAGATACAGTCATATTACATTAGGGCCCACTTTAATGACCTCATCTTAATGTGATCATCTACAAAGACCCTATTTCCAAATAAGGTCATGTTCCCAGGTCCTGGAGGTTAGGACTCTAACATCTTTTGGGTGGGATGGCACAAGTCAGATCATCACAGGGGCTAAGTTAATACCATTGGTTGTAGTCAGATCTCTAGACCTCAAAGTTATAGTTCCCCTCACTATCCTCTCCCCTCAGACATCACTTCCTGACTATAAACCTTTATCTTACGGGCATTTATTGCTAAATGTTTTCCACAGACTCTTTAAAGGCTTGTGGAGATATCTGTCAGCTTTCTCCAAGGTTCAAGATAGAGCCTGTATGTGTTTATTTTGGAGGCTTGAATTTTAAATTATTAGACCAAATTTGATGGGGACCCCTTGGGAATTTCCTGAAGAGGATAGTGTTTAGATATCTGGTTCCAAAGTGGGACTGGTTTTCTATGGACCACTGGTCAGTTCCCTGAAGCACTCTGATATTTCTTGACCTAGTTCTACCAGTACATTGGTAAAGCAAGTCAGATTCAAGCATAGATCCTTTTTCTTTCAAATCAGAAGTGTGGCTTCCAAATGGTGTTTTTCCCTATTCAGTATCCATCTAATCCCAAAGTTAGACTGAAAAATGCCTTTTTTAAATATATTTTTTAGAGTCCTATATTATATGGCATTGCTTTCCTATTTTCTTGATGGCCAAACAAATTTCAGTCAGTCTGCTTTCCAGGCAGAACTTATTTTCAACTAGTAAAAAATAAAGGTTGTAGGAAAAGAAAGCCATTAGATTTCCCTCTTTAACTTAAGGCAGCTCAGCCCATACTTGCCTCCATGCCCCCCCACATTTTTTCTTTCTTCTTGGCTTAGATGAAAGGACAAAAGAAGTAAACTTGAGGTCAAGTAAGAGGGAGTTTGGGAAAAGCTAAGGGAATTATTTCAGATCCTCTCCAGTCATTCAGAAGTACTAGGTAAGTAGGGGTAAGTAAGGACTTCCAAAGAGGAACTGCACACTCCGTGTAGATGGTCTTTACATTCTTATTAGGCATTCATTGGCCCTGTGTCTAGTACTTTTCAAAGTAGGCTGGCAGTTGTTAAAAAAAACTCCCACTCACAGGAAAAAAACAAAACAAAACAAAACCTCTTGTCATCATGTTGAGTCTTTCCTGTATTGTCACTTGAAATATTTTTTCTTAGCTGCTATTGTATTTTAAATTTTTCTAGCAAGCTGATTGGAAAACCAGGAATAATTGCTAAAGAAAGCATTTCACCACGTCTATGGGGGCATGTTTTCAATTTCTGTTCCTATGATTGGGCTAATTGTAAACTCATTTGGTTGTTTATGTAATCAGCATGAGTAGTCAGTGGTCAATTGCACCTGTAAATTCAGTTAACAGTGATAATTCTGTTTTGGACTGGTAGATATTACCTTTGCGTTTCTGTTCTCCTCTCTTTTAGTTCCTCACAACTGCTTAGATCATTTGCTCAGTTTTATGGAAGGTGGTCACTTCTGCCCTTATATACAAAATTGTATTAAAACCTGAGTCCTGCCTTTTAGATTTTAGGAATATGTACTTGTCTTGTTTGACCACTATTTTAAAATAATAGTTCCATAAAATCAATGTGAAACCTAATTAAAGTATAAAAACAGAGATAAAGAAATAGATTTCTTATGGAATCAACAAATGTTGAAACAAATGACTAAATTAGCTAGCAAGGGACCTATTTTCCATTTTTGTCAATTATTCTTACATTTCACCCAATTGTGATTGAATCTAAATTATTGAAATCTGGATTAAGGTCAGCCCAAAAGAGTAAAGATTCAAAGAATAGTATTATAGGTATTGTATTTAAGGCTTAAGTACAAACATAATATAATCATTATCATCTCTTTTAAAGAAAAATTTTAAATAAAATGCTTCTGATAGCACCATGTAGATGTTCCAGCTTTCACTTCTGCAGTTAACCATCTGTAGCTGCTTAACTCTAGCTCCTACTGAGTTCCAGTTCATGAAAAAAAAGTGTGTGTATATATATATATAGTCTCCTGCAAGAGACTATATATATATATATATAACTTACATATATATATATATGTATATATATATATAAAGTTTCCTACAAGCCCCTGAGCTGTGTATTTTGTGAATCATAGGACAAAGTGATATGTCTGCCCCATATGTGAAAAGAACATCTGGCTTAAAAATACAAAATAAGTTTATCTCTAGCAAGGGTTATGCATCTGTGTGTCTATTGGTAGCTAAGACCAAATGTTAGTGCCACTGTTATTCTTTTCTTCTCTGGGTCCTGTAAACATTAGGTTTATTTGTACGGGAAAGAAAAGAATCTAGCTTACGTTGCATTGCTTAATCAGCTTCTCAAAATGAACTTCATTTGTGATCTCAGTGAGTCATTATGGCATAATTACAGTTCTAGCATGATATGCTAG
This sequence comes from Homo sapiens, assembly GCF_000001405.40. NCBI lineage: Eukaryota > Metazoa > Chordata > Mammalia > Primates > Hominidae > Homo > Homo sapiens. The sequence goes on along the minus strand of NC_000001.11, from coordinate 216,523,877 downwards.
TTGTTGAAAAATGTTGATTTTTTTTTTTTTTGTGGAACAGAAAAACTACAGTTCAAAAACTGTGATCAGGCAAGTCAATGCCATGATTAACTGATATTAACAGATGCCCTGAAGATTTAAAATGCTTGCTCTCTATTTCAAGAAAGCAGCCGAGAAGAAAATGCCTAGCAGGGGTTAAACCCAAATGCCTGCACTGCAGCCTATTTCTGTCAACACTCTGTTCAGGAAATAAACATTTATGCTTTCTGAAATGAAAGTGTATTTTTGAAGACTAGCCGTCAGATATTTTTTGCCCTTCACACTTTCAAATGCTTAGCCTTTTTTGTAAGTTGACTGCAAAGTGCATCAGTTTGCCAGGCTAAAAAAAAAAAAAAACAAAAAAAAAAACAGTGCTTGATGAGTGCCCATGGCACCACTGTCAACCTCCAAAGTTTCCAGTAGAAGAAGGCAAGACGGTTGGCACAAAACATGCTTTCTTCAAGCCTATTACCTCAGGGGTACCTGCCTCTTGAGAAGCTTTTCAATCCTTCCAAATGATGTTATTCCCAACTGTCATCTGGTTTATTTGGAGCACACTGTATTGCAGATAAACATGCTATTTAACTGCGGGTCAAGGTAGAGAGTCATTCTGCAAGCAAAATGCCTGAGATACATTAAATGGCACTGACTCTGGGACAGAGATGAAGAGAGATCCGAGTTGTCAGCGATATGCAGGGAATGGGCTATAGCTGTGGAAGAAAAAATGTGCCATGGTATCAGTGCATTTTAAAAAGCTGTAATATGGCTGAACATTTAAAACTATAACCTGTCACACACCAAAGATTAAGGTCCCAGGATGTACAAAACATGAAGTTCAAACGACACAACTGCAAAGCATATTTTATTTCACTTGGGAAAGAGGTTTCTCTCCAAAGATAGCTAAATATTACAGATGATGAAGACCTCTAACTTGTAGCCCAAGAGCTATAAACTACCATTAAATACCTGGTATAAACATAAACAAGTAATTATCATTTGGATACAAGCATGTGTAAGCCAATAGAGCAATTATGTTTTAAGAAAATTCCTTAGACTCAGCTTATTAAAACATGCATTTTCATTTAGGCCTTGGTTATTTAGAATTTTATACATTGTTCAGGTCTATTGATAAAAATGTTATTTTATCCATGCGTTTTTATGTATGTGCAACGTAGCTAGTACTCCTAAAGAAAAGGTAAAATAATTTTATGGAATTAAGATAAAATTTCTATTATGTATTTGGTCTCCTTAGTGACCAGATGAACATGACTATCTTATAACAAGGCTGTCTTAACTGCTGCTCAGGCATTTGGGCAGGAGAGCTCTTTGTACTAGCTTCCAGATTGCAGTGGTGTGGTAGGAAAGGGGTAAAATGAGAGCCAGCAATTTCTAGACCAAGAAAAGATAGAAGAAGTTCAGACTTTTATTTTATTTTGTAAGGCATAGATTGTCCTTTTTCCTTTGGATTTGCAAAAAGTATACTTCCTTTAATCAGCTGAAATATACTTGAGGATATCAATCAAGCAAATGTGTCAAACCTTTTGTGCTATATCCGTCTCCTCATGCTCCCTCACCAAAAAAAAAAAAAAAAAAAAAAAAAAAAAGGAGAGCTGTTTCTTCCCCTTTTTTCCTTCTCTTTATTTCATAGAGAAGCAAAAGGAAAAAGTTAGGTTTGCAGGAAGGATAAACACACACACATGCACACACATATACACACACACAACCATCAATATAGAAGAAACAAATTGCAGGATCAACTTTAAAAATGAAATTTTATTGTTTTTTGTTCAATTAAACCCCAAAGAAATGTGCGAAATGTTGTTATGGCTGTAACATTGTTAATTTGTAAATCACAGGGACAAAGGGGGCCCGGTGCAACTTTAAAGTTTCCGTGCACGTAAATGTCGCTAGCGTGCCTTCTCCATCATCAGCACTAAATTCACATTGATGCCTCTTTTCTTCTCCGTATTGATCCTTCCATGAGAACGTAGATTTGTATCTGTTAATTAATGTGTCCTGAAACAGCGTTTGTATTAATCAGGCAGATAAGAAAAATTGGATGCCTGCACCCCCCTGACAACCGTAAAAGTGCTGGCCCTGATAAAATCGTGGATGGACCTCAATAAAAAAGTTCCTCCTTCCACTCAATAAACTAATCATCCTGCTTTTAATTATTCGGCAGAAAGATGTGTGGAGATTGGAGAATGTGTAAATCTATTTACTAACAGCAGTGTCTGGGAGGGAGAATAGGGCTGTCACAGGAAGGTGCTGCGGGCTACACGCTCTGTCCATCTGCTGCTGCAGAGAAACTGCGACTTGGGAGCATGAAAAGGAACAAGAAAACTAAGGCAAATTGAAAAGACCCATTCATTTTTGCTCCTAACTTTCCAGATGATTTTTTTTTTTTGGTATTTTAATTTACACAAGAAATTCTTACTTAGTATGTTTTCTTGAGATTGATATTTGGATTTGCATTGCACCTTTTTTCCTTGGAGGGGAATAGAAAAAAGAGCAGTGTGGTTTTCTGTTTGTTTGTTGTGAATATAACATTGCTAAAATTAAAAGCATCTGGAGCCTAACCTATTTAGGTTAAATAATTTAGTTTTCTGTGTTGAACCGCTGTTTAAAATGTTATCAGCTATTATATCTCTAAGAGGATATTTATTAATTTAACCCCAAATGCAATGACAAAAGCAGAATAAGAAACAAGACTTACACAGCCAGTCCAAAAGAAATCCTGTCAAATAACATGTAAGCACCATGATAAACAACGAAAGAAATGCATTTTACACATATCTTAAAGATTCCCTTAAGAAAAGCTTGACTCATCTCTTCTGATGATTTTATTAAGCACTTATAATTAATGGTACCAAATGGCAAACCACTGTTTTTCACCAATAGGTCAGGAAATCCTTTCCTTTTCTTTACTGTGCTGTAGTTTCTAATATCATATGGGATACCCACAATTTGATATGATTGAAAAGGACAGCAACAGTGACCATAAGCAGCAGCCTAAAAAGGTTGGGCATCAGTGGCTACTTATGATTTGGATAATAATGTCTAGAAAGGGAGTAAAAATAGATTTCTTAAGTTGCATTATTAAAAATGGTCCTTCCTTTCTGTAGAATTACTGGTGGCAGGACCTTAAATGATGGTACCACTGTCCTCAGAAGCCATGAGGTGGATGGTTACCCTTAGAAGTCTTAGGCATACACTTGGAAATAAAAGTGAAGTTTTAAGAAACATTTCTTTTTTAGGACTTGAGAAAAGCTTCTGATCATCAGGTATCTTCACTTTAGAATACAGATCTAGTCCCTCTGATATATAAATATATATCTTCACTCCTAAGTAGGCTTAATTGTACTGCTTCCTCTTTCTCTATTGAACAACATTTTCTTTTTAATTTTTTTGCATATGTTTTCTCAAGCTCAGAGGGACTTTAAATATGCGTGTATGAATGCATCCCAGATTTGCAGAAAAGAATTGATCACATAGGTAATTCAGATAAAAAGAACATATATTAATCATACAACAACACTTACTGAATTTCAGGTTATAGCTTAATGTTTAGGTAGGTGATATTTTATATTTCCCAAATACGAAATTTAAGAGACAAGTTAATTTCTCTTGCTCAAGGTGAAAGAGCCAGTAGCTAAGTGGAGCCAGTATTTACATTCAGAATCTGACTCCTTTGCACCAAACCCTGTTACCTTTATTTATATTTAACTTTTTAAATAATTGGAGCTTAATAACAATAGTGAACGAGGCTTTTCTCTTTGGTGGGGAGGCCAGGCTGCTACATATTACACTTTCTTTTATACCTATTATCACTAATTTTAAAAGAAAGTCATGTTAAATATCAGTGGGGAGAAATAGCCAATTAAGAAGGCTCACCTATTTGTAACTCATCATCCATTGTGCTTGTAATTATTAATATTATACAGAAATGTTTCCAAGTTGTGCTGAGCTCTATGGCCTAAATTGTTTGTTTACCTTTTATTTTTAGCTGCTTCTTCTTCTCCTTCTTCTTCTTTTTTTTTTTTTTACTTTTATGTTGTTTACCAATAGTAGTTTTTAGAGATGAGATAGTTGAAAATCTGACTTCCTGTAAGATTTTCCTAAAGACTTCAACCAGAAATCAAGTATATTTAAAGATTACATGGTATTTTCTTCTCGAATGAAAGAAAGCGACATCTCTATTATATTCCCCTAAGCTGTGTCTATAAAACTTATAGCAAATACCCACAAATTGAAGAAGCTGGTTTGTGACTTTCACTTTGCTGTTCGCAAAGTGATCCAGGGAAAATTTTAAGAGCTTCTAATCAAAGCTCAGCATAATTTTGAGCACTGATGCAGAAGCCAGCTACCATATGAAACTAATGTTGCATTATGAAATTATGGCTTTAAAGTAACTTGATCTGCCCATCTTTCCATGCAGGCTTCTCCACGCTGTCCCTGGCGGACCAGATGAGCCTTCTGCAGAGTGCTTGGATGGAAATTTTGATCCTTGGTGTCGTATACCGGTCTCTTTCGTTTGAGGATGAACTTGTCTATGCAGACGATTATATAATGGACGAAGACCAGTCCAAATTAGCAGGCCTTCTTGATCTAAATAATGCTATCCTGCAGCTGGTAAAGAAATACAAGAGCATGAAGCTGGAAAAAGAAGAATTTGTCACCCTCAAAGCTATAGCTCTTGCTAATTCAGGTTGGCATACTGACATAGTCATTGTTACATTTTTTTTAATATGTCAGTTTTACCCCTCTCCTTAACTTCTTTAGGGATTTGCTAGACCTGGTTTGTAAATTTTGTATGAGTCAGCAAAATTATAATCAGTATAGCTTTCTAGTGAAAAGTTAGAAATAAGAAAAATATACTTAAAGGGAATTAATTTCATTTGACTTGCTTATTGAATGCTTTGAAACTTTTATCAACTAATGCATGTACTAATTTGGATCATGGCAAAGCAAAAGCTCTTGTAGTAATAGCATAAATGGACACTCCCAGGACAAAATTATTTCTATTGTATTTTATGCGTAAGTTAAAACAAGGGAATTGTTGATACACACAAACCATTTTTCCCTCAAAAATGCAAATTGTGCAATTGGGAAAATATATTTAGTGTTGCTTTGAGTTTTGGTTATCAAAGAACAGTTTTCTTACATTCTGGAGTTCTTTAGAAGTCAAATTCTGCCTATGCAGTAAGGGTTAAGAATTATGGGAATAACTGGTCTTTACATTCGAACTGAAACATGCTAAAATAGCAACCTCTAATAAGTAAAAATCGTTGGTGCTTTGTTGTTTTTCCCTTTGTGCCTCTCTTAATGCTTTATTATGGTCTTAAGTCTCTTTTAGCATTTGCATAAAGTTCAGGATAGATCCCTCCTTAATGACGTGCCGATCATTAGATACCTGCGTGTCAATAACGTGCTCTGATGCTATGTACCACTGACAGTCACACCGTGCCCCTCCATCTGCTTTTGTTTTGACCCTATCTTTGAACTTTATCTTGGTTGCCGGCCAGTAGTTTTCCCTTTAATTACAAGAAGGAAACTGTCAATAAAATCTGTTAAATGGGATGCAATGAGTGGCTTGAATGGGCGGACGGCTATTTGTTCAAATTCTGCAGCATTCAAGGTATTGACAGTTTGTTTTCTGGGGCCATATGTGACGATCAATCTCAGGCTGGGCTCAGCCGCGCTGAAAAATGAAAAACCAGATTGCTTTTGCTTACTTGTGGATGACGACTTTGTGATTTGGCGCGGTCCTAGTGAGATGAGACCTTCTGCCCAAATTGCCCCCATGAGAGCCAGGGACGCGTGACTGTTTTTAGAAATAATTTTTAATTGATTTTGTAATTAACAGTTCATCTACAATATTGATGCATGAATCCTTAGACTGATAGGAGGGAAATTGTTTTCAACAATGGAGTTGTACTTTCCTATTTGTCTTCATAATGCAGTTTAGCATTTCACAGTTTTAATTGTGAATATAACCCTCTTCCTCACCACACCATGCACCTCTCTTCTTCTACGCTCCTGTGAAATTATAAAATATGATTTCTTATGACAAATGACATTGTTATTATGAACCCTGAAGAATCCCCTGCCCTCCCTCTCCAGAAGATCAAAGTGAGAGATGGGGTAGAAATTTTCTGAGGATTTATTAGTTTGTATGGACTTCACATTATACCATCTCTCATAATGAGATGAAATATTTTATAACAGTGGTTTTGGGAAGAATTTTTATTTGGCAATCATGAAACGATTCTAATTTAAAACATTTACTTGGTTAATTGTTTTTAAAATATACTAAAGCCTGTGTTAAATCTTTTATGTTTCAAATTGCTTTTAAAAATTATTAACTAACCATGAATGCTGAGCAATGCTAAAACTTTATCAACAAAATTGCTAAAAATGTATAATTTTAGATATTGGATGTGTACTTTATGACTATTATAATTTAGAGTAACTGAATTAATTAGTAGCAGCATTTCTGTCTCTGTTGCTTAGAAGTATAAGCATTAATATTTCTGATAGATAAACGTCCTAATCCACATATTCTACTTCTGGGAGAGGAAGTGACTACCTCACAGCAGTGACTGATGATTAGAAAGTCTTTAAAGAATTAGTTCATTTATTTTTCATGTCTAAAGTCAGAAATGGTCAATAAGCTCTCCTTTCTTCTCTTATCATGGTAGTTGAGTAACATTGCTTCTTCTAAAAAAAAGTCTCTGTCCCAAAATATTCTTGCAGGTGATTCCATCATTGACTTAGCCCCTCAATACGGAGAAAAATCAATTGAATCAGAGTCCCTACTAAAGAATAACTGATTAAGAACTCTAAGGACTATTTTAATCTCCAAATTGTGCCACCTCTACTGTGTTGTGTAATTATGGCCTTTTCTTCACCCACCTAACCTGCAAGCCCCATCATTTTAGTTTGGGGTAAACAACTCAGAAAGTCATTTTCTTTGATATTGTTAATATGATGTTATTTTATTCCATTTTTGACTGTTATTTGGAGCACAGCAATAAAGTTATAGATCCAAGATTGAATGTAGACTCAAACTTGCTTAGATCCAATGTAGGTTTTTTAAACTGCCCATACACATATCAGTATAAAAATATTTTAATACTTTAGACACCCTAAAGGGCTTCTATTTTTTTTGTCGTTTCTCTCTCTCTCTCTGTGTGTGTGTGTGTGTGTGTGTGTGTGTGTGTATGTGTGTGTGTTTAGGAATTCCAGATTAACATAAGTAACTTTTTGTGCAAAAATGAAAATCTATTTCAGTGTAATTTAGGTAGGTATCTTAGCTTTTCCTACATGGCTGTAGGTATTAAAAACCATTGACTCATTTACTTAAATTTTAGCTTATTTTAAACATTGGTCTTTATTCAATCATTATAAATGTTGTGCTTATGCTTGGAAAACAGGCAACTGGCTTCCTAATGATGGCTTTCATATTTTTATAGCTTTGTTTCTGTCATAAGTGAATTCAGGAATACTTATAACACCAGAACATCACTGGAAACTCTATCTTCGTGTGTGTGGCCAAAACAACAATATGTCATGAACTGTTATAATTCTGCAGTTTTCACATTCAAATCTTTGAAAACCCTAAATAATAGTTCCAATTACTTTTGAAGATAAGAAACTTACAGTCTCATTTAAGCTATGTATTCTCTTATTTTTTAGTATTAACAACCTCTTGAGTAATTATTACATCTCTGATATATCTCTGTGCAACTGAATTTTAAAAGAAAACTCTAGGTCACAATTTTAATATTGTAATTCTGAGGCCCCAGTTTTTTCATGTATATAACGAGGTTTGACTAATATCAAATTCTTTCCGATTCTGGAATTCTATGATTCTATAATTAATTTCATTTATATATTAGAAAATATAGTAAAATATTTCTATAAGCACCTAGGTAAGATTATATGATAGGATTTATTTCTCTTCATTGAATCTCTTGATTCTTATATTAAGAATTTGTTTGAAATTATATACTATAAGATTAAAAGCAGTTTAAGCTAATGAATCACTTTAGTCTGACAATTCTCTGTTGCTCGAGTCATAAGAACTTCAATCTCTAAATCTGCCACTCACATCACAGTCTTTGCCACCCCTACCCCACCCCAGCCTGAAGCCAGGTGAGTCCAATCCATTCAAGAATAAACATTTTTCAAGTCAAGTTTTCTTTTTTACTTCTACACATTATTTCCAGAATAATAGCACCTATTGATATCAAGCTACAAATAACAATTTGGTTATCAATTTAAAATCATAAATAACTCTAACAACCTCATGACAGCATTCTGTTGTTCTTAAGGACAAATGGTTATGTATGCAGAGTTGTGTAATTTCAAGGTATAGAAAGTTTATGATTGCTGTAGGATACTGGAATGGGCACCATATTTAATTAGGATATTTGGACTCTCATATAGGTTTGACTTAGTGTGTTTTCATTATCACTCCATTAGGGGAGCCTTTTTAGATATGGTTTTCCTAATAACCCCCCGATGAAATAGTAATGCCATCTATTTAGGATATATATATACACATACATACATACACACACATATATACATACGTGTACACACATCCATGCATATATATATTATATTATATATACGCATTTTACCTAAAAAGAGGAATATTTTCTACTCTCTAATTCCAAATTTCACCTCCTTTGAGAATACATCGCTTAAATACATAACTGTTTTCTCATCTGTAAAATAAGGCAGGTGAATTAAATAATGTCTAATATCCCTTAAATGGCCTGAAAATTTTAGATTGATTACTTTTAAGTAAAGGTGGCCAGTTTGGTTTCATACATGTATATATATGTGCATATGTAAGTGTGTGTTGTGTGTGTGTGTGTGTGTGTGTGTGTATAAAGTAAAACTGGGCCTTAGCCAGTTTTACAAAATTTTGACTAAATTAGTTGATTTGATATTCTGGAGATAGTTTTAGCTGCTGGTCAAGAGATTATCCTTTTTCAGAATCTTTCTGTAGACATTTCCTTTTTTAAGCTTCTTCTAGGGAATCTTATTTGATTCCCACAACATGCCTGTGCAGTAGGCATGTCCAGTACTATTTCACAGGTATGCGAAGAAAGCTGATAATCATGCATGGCTATTATGAGGCAGAAGGTGGGACCTTCTGTCCTTTGCTATCAATGAGCTATTTCTATTCCACAAATAATTATATACATGTTTCTAAAAGGATTAATGCAGAAGACTTTACCCATTACAATTTCACATCTGGGAGCCTAAATTAGTATTTTTAATTTGATTGAGAATTTCATGCCCACTTCCTTTATCTTGCCATCTTCTTGGAGTTAGAGGAGTATAAAACTACCCAAGAAAGTGACAAAATTGAACATGAAATGTTTACCAAGAAATTATAACATTTTATGAGAAATGAATATATGTAAGCTTTGTGTGGCAGGTAGAGCTTTGTTCCTAATTTTTACCCAGAACAAACCATAAGTAATACTATCAGGTAAATAAGAAATCAAAATTATAACTTTTCATCTCTTAGTTTACTTTTCATTGGTTTTTATTCAAGGCTGCCTTTACTGGATTATTTTAATTCTATTTAGAATAAGATATTTTGGAAGTGAGTTTTTTAAATTTAATACAACCCTTAAATTTTAAACATATTACAGTATTGCAATTTTTAGGTAAAAAACATAAAAGCTGGCTCTTAAATATTTCTTTTCATGTTCAATGGTCACTGTGTCTTGGCATAGTATCAGAAATATTTGCTGCAAATAGCTTTGGCCTTCCAAAGGTATTTACCTGAGTAAATACCTGGGTAATATGTGCTTATTACCTGGGCAATAAGCACATAAAATACTCTGCAGTTGCTTATTTCCAGGAAATGATTATAGCATAAGATAATGAGCTCTGTTACAAAACGTCATTAGCATGGTGCAGATCATCTATGATGTTTTGAAATGTTGAACTATTCACCACCCAAATTGATATCAACATTCACTTACCCAGTATACTATAATTGTCTTTATGACTTGTAGCAAAATGAGTTAAAAACCCCCTGGAAAAGTGTAAGATATGGAGAGAGAGATGGAAGGCCTTAAGTAATTATAGAAAAATAGAAAAGACCTAGCAGGTAAATCCCATTATGCAAGGTAAACATAACAATATTAATAGTAATTTGGGACTTGTAAGAAGCCTGAAGGAAAGAAACTACAACCACGACCATGGAGGTTTTCTGTGGTTCAACATTTTATATAAATACAGTCAGAGTGATTTGTGTGGCTGGTGTAAATGTCAAAGAAAACTAGCTTTTTAGCCACAGCAAGAAATAAGGAAAACAGGCCTTCTAAAAAAACTAACAGTATCTTAATGGAGAGCTCTGACATGGAAAGTTATATTATTGTCACCATGGTTAAGCAGAAAAATCAGAATTATTATTACTATTTTCGATTTTAAAATCATAAGATTTCTGGGTTGGAAGAAACCTAAACATTTTTTTGATTCAGCTCCCTACTTGATATGTGAAAGGCTTCCTTGATATTTCTGCCACCTGTTTCTACAGCCGCCAAAGAATTCTGCTTGATTCATTACTTTCTAGAAGAGACCATCCACCAGAAATTTCTTTCTCTCTCTCTTTTTATCTATATCATTTTAATGCAAAAGAAAACACAAAAACACATAAAAATATAGACCTTAACGAGTATATGAGTTTCTTATGCTACATTGACAAATGACCATAACTTGATGGCTTTAAATGACACATATTTATTCTCTTACAGTTCTGGATGTCAAACGTCGATCAGTTTCACTAGGTGTAAGACAATGTATGGACAGGTTTTCACTCCCTCTGGAGACTCTAGGGAAGAATCCGTTTCCATGACCTTTTCCAGCTCCTGGGCCTGAATTCCTTGGTGCTGAGCACCCTCCTCCGTCTTTAAAGCCAGCAGTAGCATTTTGCCTCAGTGGTAACATTGCCTTCTTCTTCCTTTGCTTCCAAGGACACTTGCTTTCATTGAGGGCCCACCTGAATAATCTAGGATAATCTCCCATATCAGGGTCCTTAACTTAATCACATCTACAAAGTTCATTTTGCCATAGCAGGTAACATTCACAGATACTAGATATTAGGACCTGAATATCTTCAGGGCCATTTTTCAGCCTACCACGATAAGTACATAAGCAAGGTCAAGAATAAAACTTGTAACGTAACCCCTGAAAGCCCTTCAAGTGTCTTGTTCCTATCTCAGCCCCTTCCCTTCCCACAAAAGTAATCACTATCCTATCCTGAGTTTTATAGTCATCACTTCCTTTTATTTTATTATAGTTTTTTTAAATAAATGTGTATACTTAGTTACTACAATTTAGTCTTGCTCATTTACCCATAAAAAAATTATGGATGAATTTTTAAGTCTGTACTCCAAAGTTCCTCCTTCATTTTATTTTTCCTACAATTTATTAGTTGAAGATGCCAGGGCATTTGATGTACATGGTTTTCCAGTGTCTGGATTTTGAAGATTGCATAGTCTTGGAGAAGTTCATCATGTTTTTTCTGCCCTTTGCATTTTGTGCAAATTGGCTACTGGATCCCGAGACTTAATCAGACTCAGGTTCTATCCCTATGGCACCTATAAGTGATGTATTGTTCATTGCAAGATACATAATGTTTGTTTCTGTCTCTTTTTGTGATGTTAGCAACTGTTGACGTTCATTACCTAAATTTATTAATCACTGGGGGCTGAAAAACAGTGATTTGTAATTTTGTTGTTTTTCTTCTCTTTTTTCATTCAGTAGGTGGGATATGTATAAAGTAATGCTTTCTCTTATCTCTTATTTGGTTACCAGTGTTACAATTTGTTTAGGAAAAGTAGTATAAATGCTTGATTATTTCTCTTTATTTAGCAGCTTTCAGAGTAAATAATTGGTGTCCTATTGAAAAAAATTATAAACACATGTACTCAAACATATTTAATGGATTTCAATCAGTTGCAATTATAATCCTTTTTGAAGCCCAAATTGTCCCATTTTTTTCAGTGGGAACCTCTTCGGGTTGGCTTCTGAAATCTTTTTGAATACCTCGTAGTTCTAGATAATATCCTTTCTATTCGGTGTGACAAAATATTCCATGTTCATTTTAAATATTTTCTGGCTGAAGCCTAGAATCAGATTACAACCTGGGCACTCAAGGTGCCTTCCAGGGTTGGCCATTCTTCCTAGGCCAACATCATCTGCCTACATAAGTACGGAGCTGGGGATGCAGACACACATAGACCTCATTGTGTATTTGTCTGTGTGTGTGTGTGTGTGAATTTATGTATATTTTGGGAATACCCTGTCACCTAGTTTTTCTGTAAATGTCCCTGAATTTTTAGTTTTGTCATGTAGTTGCTCTGTTTGTTGTTGTTGTTGTTGTTGTTGTTTATGTGATCATTTGGAGAGGTTAAAAAAATTCTACCATCTCTGTTAACTTAAAGTCCATTTGACATGGCAATCAACCAGTGTTCCTCAGTACCCTAGCCAATTGCTACCCGAAGAACCACTCTGTTAGGTGGCATATATATGGCATATGGAAATTTAAAGATACAAAGTATCTTTTAGAAAATAGACCTTTTTCCACTTCTCTATTCTTTCCATGACATTCTGTTTCATTCATTCAATGATTGGAGAGAGTCCCATTCACCCTTTCCTTACTACCCATCTTTATGTAGGCAGTTCACAAACATCAAAGAAAATCAAGTCCTGCGTTTCACAGAAAAGTTTACACTGACTGTTGGTTTATGTTATATACTAGGCTCGACTCTGAATATACTGTGCCTGTATCTAATATTCAATTCCATACTCAAAATGAGATTTGGCACTCTTGAGAAAGTATTGCCAAGAATGGTCTAAAAGTCCAGAAGAAAGTTCCCAAGCAGGACTTAGGTATTTTGGAGTAGCTATGTCTGTGCACACAATGATTAATGTTTTCTTCTTTTTTTTTTGAGACGGAGTCTGGCTCTGTCGCCCAGGCTGGAGTGCAGTGGCGCGATCTCAGCTCACTGCCATCTCCGCCTCCCGGGTTCATGCCTCAGCCTCCCGAGTAGCTGGGACTGCAGGCGCCCACCACTACGCCCGGCTAATTTTTTGTATTTTTAGTAGAGACGGGGTTTCACGGTGTTAGCCAGGATGGTCTCGATCTCCTGACCTCGTGATCTGCCTGCCTCGGCCTCCCAAAGTGCTTGGATTACAGGCGTGAGCCACCGCACCTGGCCCACAATGATTAATATTTTCTAACATAGAGAAGGGCAGTATTTTATTCAAGGGAAGATATAAAAATAAAATCTTCTTTTTCAGTGGCTCTGTCTTATTCAATTTGCAGCTGCAAGGATGATGATATTTAGCTATCTTCCCAAAGTAAATGATCTGAACTAGACACATTTTTTTAGGATCTCTTTCACAGAGTAAAATATTGGAAGTTTTGATAAAGTTCTATTTTATTATTAGGTGTTAGACTTAATATGTGGGCAATAATATGTGTTTCATATACACTCTGGTTATCTTTTGAAATATTTATTCTTTTAGAATAGTATTTGCTTGTCTTATTGTCTAATTCAGTAGTAGTTCTTAATCCTGGCTTGGCAGTAGAACTACCTAGATTTTCAGCAATGCTGATGTCCTAGTTCTGGTCTCTTACTTCATAGATCTAGACTTGGGCCCAGTATCCAAGATTTTTAAGAGCTCGCCCATTGTTTTTAATATGTAGCCTAGTCCTGTCTAGTTAGTTCATAAACTTATGATATCCATTAAGTTTAGCTGGTTCCTATTAGCACAAATACTAGGAATATTTCCTTTAAAGCATAGTTAAAAAGAAACCAGCATGAACAATGAAAACAAAATAAATTACATACATTAATGCCAGTTCTATTGAGCCTGGTGTCAACGTGTAAATTTAACCAAAAGAACAAAACAGAGATTAAAACCACAGATCCAGAACTTGAACTAGGATCCCTAATGGAGATTAATATTTTCTTCAGCAGTCTGCCAGCTGAATCATTGTCTAATTAAATAGTTCAAATTTAGTGAGTTTGCATTTAAAGTATTAGCAGATCCGAGAATGGGTAAAGCTAAAATGAGTTAGAATCTTTTCTATAAATGGGAAGTTAAATTATCATAGTAATTTGATTAAATCATTTTTAAATCTCTCATGCTAAATCACAGCCTTGAAAGAATAGTTTGAAATCTTAATTGCTGTTTGTGAGCATATCTCTCTGCTATTTGTTCTTGTCTCATTTCCCATGACATCCTATAATATATCTCCTGCTGGGCAAGAGTAGTGGGAAAGGCAAGACTATGGGTAGGGCCGAGGTAACTGTGCAGCTGACTTCAAGCACTTAAAGATATGCCATGTAGAAAAAGGAAATTTATCCTGTATTGTTCTAGTAATTAGAAACAGGACCAAATGATAGAATTTGGAGACAGATTTAGGAAAATTTAAAGAGGAAATTCATAATAATTAGTTTTGCCTCTTATCAAGGAGAATACTCTACATACTTTTCATACAACTGGCAATGTCTTCATTAAGAATGTTGTAAAGAAGACAGCTGATGAAGATAGGAGTTTGAATAGGATGTGTTTAGAGGACAATTCATCCCAATTTTTAAGGGAATGCAAATTTAGTGTTCTACATTCTAGCAGCATTATTGATTTGAAGAATCCTGAATTTAAACCTGTGTCTGACACATATTACCAGTGCCACGTGTCTTCTAGGGCTTGGGGAGGTAAAATGAGGCCATGTTCACCTGAAATAGGTGCTTAATAAATGGTAAATGTATTATTTTTATTCTGGTGTGTTTTTGGTCTAGTTGGAAAATAGTTATTTCGTTTGTTTTGTCACTGCAGAGTGTAATTCCCATTTTCTCCTTCCATCTATTACTCTGTTTTCATGTAGAGAGCTAATTATTAGACCCAGGATAAGTTGGGAAAATCCAACTCATCTCTGTTCCCTTATGCACAAGGTCCATATTGCAGTCTTTTGTGTATCTAGAGACTCACCATAGTGTTTCCCCATACCTCCCATTTTTCCTTCAGGTAGCATTTAAGTGCAAAAATAGAGAGAAAGAATATCAGATCATGTTGCCATCATCTCTATGAATGTTTTTCTGTCCCTAAGATTACCAACCCCTAGACAACTTTAGAAATTATGTGTGTTTGTTTCTAAGAGACAGCACCATAGGAGGTGGATGAGATTGCCATGCTGAGAGGAACCAGACTGGAGAGAAGCTGGGTAGAAACAATCCACAGGGAAAGGCCAGGCGTATGTTGGGGAGTGACTTGAGTCCCGCTCCAGGGAACCACTATCAATGCTATTTCCCACTTGGAAAAATTCCTTCTTTTTGCTCTGCCAGGCAGAAATTGAGTCTTGAGCAGTAAATACTTATAAGCAACTTTATTCCAGATTATTCAAAAATTTTTTAAAGAGGTGTCATTAAACTACCTAATGTAAATAGTGGTCAGTTCACCAGTGATATGGTGGAATGATTCAAAATGACAATGTAAGTGAAAAAAACACTAAACAAAATACAAATAAATTTTTAAGACATGCTACTGGTTATCTTTTAATTAGTTTGCCATATTTCATTTTTATTATATATTTAGCCACTTGATTTTAAATTACATTCCCTCTCTTTTTGTTCATGTGATCTATGTTTGAATTGTATGAAAGATTAGGCTAACTACATATATCTTAGAGCTCAGCATTCTCAGAGAACTAGAATTATTAAACATGAAGAATCCCCCAAAGACTCCATTATGTGTAATTAACAGATAAACTGTCATCAGAATCAATAAAACGTGCTAAATGATTCAAACTTGTATATAATTAAGTGTCTGCTTTAGAGCTGGAGCTGTAACTTTTATTTTTTCCCCACATCTCACATTTCTCACAAGAATAATTTGGCAACCTTGTTAACCCTTTCTTTGCTTGATTGAATTAGATTTTCAAATTATTCATTTAAGGGCAAAGTTCACCTTTACAAATGCGAAAAATATTTCAGAACTCAGTGATCTGAAGACACCATTTGTTTTTCATCAGGGAAGTAGACTCTGTAAGGATGCTTTAATCAACTGATACTAGAACATTAAACATCCTGAAAGGATAAATAATTTATTGTGATTTCTGTATAGTGCTAGATTCAATGTAGTCACATGGAGTTCTTAGAATCTTAGTCAACAATTTTTTCCCCTGTTTGGGAAATATTGGCTTTTCCAGGCAAGATCAGAATTTTAAACAACCTTCCCCCACACAGCACTAAGATAATACTTTCAATAGATGGCCTTCCGTGGTTGTTTATTGAGTGAATGAATATATACCTGGATGAGACAATGAATAAAATAGTCAAGACTGTAATCTGTTAAAAGAAAGCCTTCTCTTGCTCAGCCTGAGAAAGAAAAATACACATTTTAAATCATAGATCTTTTCTAATAATTCCCATTTTCTAAGCTAGTATTAGAAATTATGTAGGGAAATTTGGAAAGAAATAGAGATTGTAGAAATGCAAGACTCTGAACAAATCATAGGTTCAAGCTCAGAGAAGTTCAAAAATAATTAAATTAATAACTAATTTTATAACTCTAGTCTACATAGGTTTGCTATTATTATTATAATTACTCATATCTTTTGCTTCATTGCACAGACTCCATGCACATAGAAGATGTTGAAGCCGTTCAGAAGCTTCAGGATGTCTTACATGAAGCGCTGCAGGATTATGAAGCTGGCCAGCACATGGAAGACCCTCGTCGAGCTGGCAAGATGCTGATGACACTGCCACTCCTGAGGCAGACCTCTACCAAGGCCGTGCAGCATTTCTACAACATCAAACTAGAAGGCAAAGTCCCAATGCACAAACTTTTTTTGGAAATGTTGGAGGCCAAGGTCTGACTAAAAGCTCCCTGGGCCTTCCCATCCTTCATGTTGAAAAAGGGAAAATAAACCCAAGAGTGATGTCGAAGAAACTTAGAGTTTAGTTAACAACATCAAAAATCAACAGACTGCACTGATAATTTAGCAGCAAGACTATGAAGCAGCTTTCAGATTCCTCCATAGGTTCCTGATGAGTTTCTTTCTACTTTCTCCATCATCTTCTTTCCTCTTTCTTCCCACATTTCTCTTTCTCTTTATTTTTTCTCCTTTTCTTCTTTCACCTCCCTTATTTCTTTGCTTCTTTCATTCCTAGTTCCCATTCTCCTTTATTTTCTTCCCGTCTGCCTGCCTTCTTTCTTTTCTTTACCTACTCTCATTCCTCTCTTTTCTCATCCTTCCCCTTTTTTCTAAATTTGAAATAGCTTTAGTTTAAAAAAAAATCCTCCCTTCCCCCTTTCCTTTCCCTTTCTTTCCTTTTTCCCTTTCCTTTTCCCTTTCCTTTCCTTTCCTCTTGACCTTCTTTCCATCTTTCTTTTTCTTCCTTCTGCTGCTGAACTTTTAAAAGAGGTCTCTAACTGAAGAGAGATGGAAGCCAGCCCTGCCAAAGGATGGAGATCCATAATATGGATGCCAGTGAACTTATTGTGAACCATACTGTCCCCAATGACTAAGGAATCAAAGAGAGAGAACCAACGTTCCTAAAAGTACAGTGCAACATATACAAATTGACTGAGTGCAGTATTAGATTTCATGGGAGCAGCCTCTAATTAGACAACTTAAGCAACGTTGCATCGGCTGCTTCTTATCATTGCTTTTCCATCTAGATCAGTTACAGCCATTTGATTCCTTAATTGTTTTTTCAAGTCTTCCAGGTATTTGTTAGTTTAGCTACTATGTAACTTTTTCAGGGAATAGTTTAAGCTTTATTCATTCATGCAATACTAAAGAGAAATAAGAATACTGCAATTTTGTGCTGGCTTTGAACAATTACGAACAATAATGAAGGACAAATGAATCCTGAAGGAAGATTTTTAAAAATGTTTTGTTTCTTCTTACAAATGGAGATTTTTTTGTACCAGCTTTACCACTTTTCAGCCATTTATTAATATGGGAATTTAACTTACTCAAGCAATAGTTGAAGGGAAGGTGCATATTATCACGGATGCAATTTATGTTGTGTGCCAGTCTGGTCCCAAACATCAATTTCTTAACATGAGCTCCAGTTTACCTAAATGTTCACTGACACAAAGGATGAGATTACACCTACAGTGACTCTGAGTAGTCACATATATAAGCACTGCACATGAGATATAGATCCGTAGAATTGTCAGGAGTGCACCTCTCTACTTGGGAGGTACAATTGCCATATGATTTCTAGCTGCCATGGTGGTTAGGAATGTGATACTGCCTGTTTGCAAAGTCACAGACCTTGCCTCAGAAGGAGCTGTGAGCCAGTATTCATTTAAGAGGCAATAAGGCAAATGCCAGAATTAAAAAAAAAAATCATCAAAGACAGAAAATGCCTGACCAAATTCTAAAACCTAATCCATATAAGTTTATTCATTTAGGAATGTTCGTTTAAATTAATCTGCAGTTTTTACCAAGAGCTAAGCCAATATATGTGCTTTTCAACCAGTATTGTCACAGCATGAAAGTCAAGTCAGGTTCCAGACTGTTAAGAGGTGTAATCTAATGAAGAAATCAATTAGATGCCCCGAAATCTACAGTCGCTGAATAACCAATAAACAGTAACCTCCATCAAATGCTATACCAATGGACCAGTGTTAGTAGCTGCTCCCTGTATTATGTGAACAGTCTTATTCTATGTACACAGATGTAATTAAAATTGTAATCCTAACAAACAAAAGAAATGTAGTTCAGCTTTTCAATGTTTCATGTTTGCTGTGCTTTTCTGAATTTTATGTTGCATTCAAAGACTGTTGTCTTGTTCTTGTGGTGTTTGGATTCTTGTGGTGTGTGCTTTTAGACACAGGGTAGAATTAGAGACAATATTGGATGTACAATTCCTCAGGAGACTACAGTAGTATATTCTATTCCTTACCAGTAATAAGGTTCTTCCTAATAATAATTAAGAGATTGAAACTCCAAACAAGTATTCATTATGAACAGATACACATCAAAATCATAATAATATTTTCAAAACAAGGAATAATTTCTCTAATGGTTTATTATAGAATACCAATGTATAGCTTAGAAATAAAACTTTGAATATTTCAAGAATATAGATAAGTCTAATTTTTAAATGCTGTATATATGGCTTTCACTCAATCATCTCTCAGATGTTGTTATTAACTCGCTCTGTGTTGTTGCAAAACTTTTTGGTGCAGATTCGTTTCCAAAACTATTGCTACTTTGTGTGCTTTAAACAAAATACCTTGGGTTGATGAAACATCAACCCAGTGCTAGGAATACTGTGTATCTATCATTAGCTATATGGGACTATATTGTAGATTGTGGTTTCTCAGTAGAGAAGTGACTGTAGTGTGATTCTAGATAAATCATCATTAGCAATTCATTCAGATGGTCAATAACTTGAAATTTATAGCTGTGATAGGAGTTCAGAAATTGGCACATCCCTTTAAAAATAACAACAGAAAATACAACTCCTGGGAAAAAAGGTGCTGATTCTATAAGATTATTTATATATGTAAGTGTTTAAAAAGATTATTTTCCAGAAAGTTTGTGCAGGGTTTAAGTTGCTACTATTCAACTACACTATATATAAATAAAATATATACAATATATACATTGTTTTCACTGTATCACATTAAAGTACTTGGGCTTCAGAAGTAAGAGCCAACCAACTGAAAACCTGAGATGGAGATATGTTCAAAGAATGAGATACAATTTTTTAGTTTTCAGTTTAAGTAACTCTCAGCATTACAAAAGAGTAAGTATCTCACAAATAGGAAATAAAACTAAAACGTGGATTTAAAAAGAACTGCACGGGCTTTAGGGTAAATGCTCATCTTAAACCTCACTAGAGGGAAGTCTTCTCAAGTTTCAAGCAAGACCATTTACTTAATGTGAAGTTTTGGAAAGTTATAAAGGTGTATGTTTTAGCCATATGATTTTAATTTTAATTTTGCTTCTTTTAGGTTCGTTCTTATTTAAAGCAATATGATTGTGTGACTCCTTGTAGTTACACTTGTGTTTCAATCAGATCAGATTGTTGTATTTATTCCACTATTTTGCATTTAAATGATAACATAAAAGATATAAAAAATTTAAAACTGCTATTTTTCTTATAGAAGAGAAAATGGGTGTTGGTGATTGTATTTTAATTATTTAAGCGTCTCTGTTTACCTGCCTAGGAAAACATTTTATGGCAGTCTTATGTGCAAAGATCGTAAAAGGACAAAAAATTTAAACTGCTTATAATAATCCAGGAGTTGCATTATAGCCAGTAGTAAAAATAATAATAATAATAATAAAACCATGTCTATAGCTGTAGATGGGCTTCACATCTGTAAAGCAATCAATTGTATATTTTTGTGATGTGTACCATACTGTGTGCTCCAGCAAATGTCCATTTGTGTAAATGTATTTATTTTATATTGTATATATTGTTAAATGCAAAAAGGAGATATGATTCTGTAACTCCAATCAGTTCAGATGTGTAACTCAAATTATTATGCCTTTCAGGATGATGGTAGAGCAATATTAAACAAGCTTCCACTTTTGACTGCTCTTTTGTATTGTGTTTCTTTTTTTCCCCCCGCTAAAGAACCAAATTGATAAACACTGCCCTTTGTTGCTTCCATTCAAAGAGTATCTCTGAGTACCTGTTCCCTAAAAATAAAGTCGGAGTTTAAATAAGTGCTATATAAAGGCTTGTCAGAATGAATTCTAGGGTGCCAAGAGACATTTTGCATATTTAAGAGTATGCAAAGTGTCTCATGGCACATTAGAATTCATTCTGACAAGCCTTTATATAGCTCTTATTTAATCTTAAAGCATCTCCACATCATCCTGCATTACTCAAAATCATCGCCTCTATGTCAATGTCATAACAGAAAACTCTCCCCCTATTTTAAGATCATATTAAAGCCTGCTAGAGATACCCATTATTTCCCTCTATCAACAATTAAATCATGCGCTTGCTCCGAGCTCTTTGGCAAGCTGCAGGCTATGTGGAGCAGCAGTAGAGCTGCTGACCAGATTTCCTGAATGAGAAGTCAACAAGCAGAGCTTAGAGATCCGTGTGAATTAGGAGGGGGAGCTGTCTTCGAATTCAAGAGGGTTAAACAGCACTGCTGACAGCAAATGGCCTCCTCTTGCCTTTTACACTCAGAGAGGTTACAGCCCTTGCTGCTCAGGGTCAAGTTGTAGCTTCCACTGGACCCTCCTGGAGCCATCACCGAAGTGCTAATATGTGCTTTCTTGGCTTCTCTGCCTATCTTGAGGGTGTTTTGTCATTGTGTTTGCCCACCGTATTTCTCACCTTTCAGAGGTGGTTGGTTCTCTAGAGAAGCAAGCTGATGACACAAAGGCCACTAAACTGAATTGGTTTTAGGGCCACGAGATTACCTAAATGACTAAGATGCAGTACCGAACAAGATAGCTCAGTATTGTCTTTTTTATATTTTAATGTCCTTTGAGTGGCAACAGTTCAACATAAAATCTGACATGTTTTACTTTTGATATTTTTTAAGTGCTTGGATGGGACTGAAACAAACAATGCAAGATACAAACCTAAAAGGAAAAATCATGTCTGTAATCTTCTACAAGAGGTCCTCATTGTAAAATATGTTAGGCATAAACACACACACACACACACACGCACACACACTTTAAAGAATTCCTGTTAGAACTGTCTTGCTGTTTTTATAACTTAAAATTCTTACAGGACAACTTTTCTGGTACTGACATATTTATCATGGTTGCCATAGGTGTAAAAGAAAATGAAGTAGGATTTTGACACTTCAGCATGTTGTCTTTCTCAATACATAAACAACAAGTACCTCTGACAAATGCATTATCTTTTTAAGGGATCACTTTTATTTTCACCAGTTGTTTATAAGTGGTTTATTTTTACGCCAGTGGTCCCCAAATTTGTCTGCATATTGAAATCACCTGGGGAGTGTCAAAATTCCTGATCCTCATGTCCCACCCACAGAGATTGTGGTTTCATTGATCCAAGATGTGTCCTGGGTTTTGGAATGCTTACACAAGATCTCCAGGTGATTCCAACCTGAAGACAAGACGGAGAAACACTTGCTTAAAATTTTTATACTTTTCTCAAATAAACCAAAAATAATGAACTTTTTAATATTGGTTCTAAATTTTTATTAGGGTTTCTTTTTAATAACAAGACGAAAGTACTTAACCTTTTGTTTCCTTACCAAACCAATGAAATGAACTTTGTTTTGACCTCCACAAAACATATGAAAAATACATTTTATTTGATGACTGCCAAGCCACATCTTCCTGTTATATCTCCCTATAAAGGTGGAGATGGATAGCTCCTCAAAAACTTGTTTGCAGAATATCTCACAACTTCCCCCACACCCCCCACCGCTTTTTAAATCCTACTCATTTGGCCCATTAATGTGCTTTAGAATTAATTTAGGTGGGATCCAAAAAACCTGTCTTTCCCTATTGACAAACAAAAGAGCAACAAAGTTAGAAAATTTTCATTTCTTGGAAGGACTTCTCTTACCTATATTTTTCAAGTTGTTGATTTAGGTGAGAGGTAGGAACGAGATAGAATGCTTCATCCTTGGGCCTCTGCAAAAAACTTTAGGTGCACTTTGCTTATTATAAAATTTAATTTGTGATTAACTTGTGAAAGAAGAGAGAGCTATGCTTAAGGCTTTTGTTTCATCCACAATGGTTTACATCCTGAATGGATAGCACCATAGACTAATAGATGAGAAAGTGTTGAAGTCAGTGCATCTGGCCTTTCGAATCTCTAAATCTAGCTTCTCATGCCCCCTGGTAGTGTGGAAAAAAACAAAAAGAAACAAGTAGCAGTAGATGGATTGTGTACTGCATCTTATTGTGAAACAAATAGAAAAGAAAGGAATTTCAAAATATAATCCCGCTTTCCCAGGAGTATTTGTCTTGTTCTTCATGAAGTTAAAGGTTTGAAATAATGTGACCATCAGGGGCTCAATGTTGCATGTCCATGCCAGTTGGTCCAAGGGCTTGTTATGATGGTAATGACCTACTGAAACGTGAGCTTGGATTGCACAATACAATCACTACCAGCTCACCCGCTGGGAGAAATATTTTATTATTGTCAAATATCCTCCATAGAGATTTGTTTTGCCTGTTTCTGTTTAAATTAAATTCAAAGCAGAACTGCATTACTATTGCTCTGGAGTATATTTCAGATAAACAACTAGTCTCAAAATTTAGGATTCCTGGCTAGTTCAAATTTGTTTATTAGCAGAAAAATTACAATAGGTGACACCATAGCTGCAGGAATATTATGATTGCAGCAACACCAGAGATTTACATACTGAGTCTGTGGCCTAAAAGCAAGAACTCCCTTTTTCATTACAGATACCAGCCAGATTAATAATTAACCATTTCATCTATTGTACAATCTTAAAAAAGTACCAATATAATCATGTATTGCCATAACATGTCACAGAATTTTAAACTTGAGAAACTTTGCTCCAAGTAAGAAGTGTTTTTTTGATTTAAGATCATAAACCAAAAGTGTATATGTGTGTACATTAAAAAAAGAAACAAAGTAGACATAGCAGAGCCCATGAATGAAAATGCTCTTTAAGCATAATATATATTTAACAGTACTATTTTTTAAAAGAACTGAAAAGAGGCTGGGCACAGTGGCCCATGCCTGTAATCCTGGCACTTTGGGAGGCAGAGGTGGGAGGATTGCTTGACCCCAGAAGTTTAAGACTAGCCTGGGCAGCATAGTGAGACCCCATCCCCTAAGAAACTAAATTTAAAAACAAAAGAATTGAAAACAATGTCTTAGGGTATATGGGATTATTTGGATAATTTTGCCAGAAGTCCTATATCACAACTTTGATGAACGATTCTGAAACAGTGAAGCTTTAGAATACAAATTTTGTTACATGCAATCAAACGAGAAATGGACTTTACTGTGAGAAAAAAAAAAGTGTTTAGCATTGTGAAAATAATAGCAGTCTGTGTGTTTCGCAATGTGGTGAACTTTGGAGCGCTGATTTTAGGTAATGCAAACAAACTTTTGGGAGGGGTCGCTAAAAGGGCCTAACAGGAAAACATTTCAGACTAGCGGGAGCATTAAATCACACTATTCACACTCCAATTCAATCTGCCATTCTCGGTCGAATTTCACAGTTTTATTGGGAAGTGAAGAACTGTCTGCTATTTTAAAAAGCACATAGAAAGCTAAAGTCATAAGAGCAATTTCCAAAGTGAAGTCTATAGCCATACAAGTGTTAACTTTTTCCCTTAAAATATGGGATTTTATATCATTACGAATGAAGAATACTAGCAATTAATATTAAACACTATTTTGCAGGTATTTTTGTAATAATCTCTCAGAGATTCTTTATATCCATTAGACTTTTATTTTGCCTGGGTCTTCCTTTTGAAATAAAAATGAATTGGCCATCCCTAATGTACCAAATTTGTTCATGCTTATAAATCAAAAGAAGATTTGTAGCCTATATTTTTAACTGTACATATAGAAAAAAAGCCACTTTCTCCTCAGAAATAAGTAAGTAGTTCAGAGTAATTCCTGTGCTGGTTATTAAGTAAGTAGATGTTTAATATGAGTATGGTTTTACACACAAGGAATTATTTGACACAGGACTTACTTGTTTGGGTTTAATAAGATTTGGTGGTGCTTAAATAGACTGCGGAAAGTGATGAGAAACAGTACGCCATACTGGTTACATGCATAAACTGAGTTTTTAATGTATAGGGTCAAAGCCAACTCTGCCACTAACTAGCTATGCGATGTTATTCCTAGTTAAGTATATTCTGCTTAGATAAATGGGGATAAATATACTATCGAAGGGTTGCTATTAGGATTAAATTAGATAATTTAGGGAAATACTTTGTTTCATTTTAAAAGTTCAATATGTTGAAAATGTAATTTCTTTCTTCCTCTTTATGTCTTTTCCAAGAGAGGCCAGATGATACTCCAGGATAATGTAATTTAAACTGGGAGAAAAGCCTTCAGGGCAGGGGAAAAATGCGGGTGTTTGGATGCAGATGCATAGGAGGCTGCTTCGGGGAGCTTCTCCTGAGTGGGAATTAAAGTAGTATAGAATCAGGGTTGACCTGATGCACAATGCAGGTCCAGCCAGAAACCAATCGTGGGCCTAACTGTGTGCTGGACACTATGCTGAGTTCTTTAAATACATTATACAATTTAATATTCCCAATTTCTTTATGAGGGAAATAACATTAATATCTTCATTTTATAGATGAAGAAAAGGAGTCTCAGAGAAGTTAAATAACTTGCTCAAGGACCAAATAATTAGTGCACGAGTCAGCTAAATTTGAATGCAGCTTGTCTAGTTCCTGAACCTAATATCTTAAAACACTAACCCTATGTTTAGCAGTTTCTTGAAACTGAATGATAGTACTTTTTTTAAAAATTTTGAATAGGTAGAATACAGAGTGAATTAATTCTTTTGCTTAGATCAAGAAATGCTCTCTCATTCCCTCATGGCTCTTTCATTCTGCAATGTCTCCTTGTGAGTCCTTGAAAAACATATAATGTTGGTTTGTGTAAGACTTTTAATATACAGAAATGGTGCTGTGTTGACTATCTTATTCTGTTTTTTATTTTTTACCCTACACTAGATTTTAAGACTTATCTGTGTTTTAGGAGGAAATCTGCCACATAGTAAGCCATTGAAGGCATATATCATATTTTATCTATTCCCCTTGTGATGAACAATAAGTTTGCTTTCAAAGCTTTAATACAATATGCAATGTTACAATGAACATCTTTGGATGCTTTTCCTTATGGACCAATGTAATTGTTTTTCTGAAATATATGTCCAGGCGTGGGGTTACTAGGTCATTGACCATTTCTATATTTATTTTCAGTACAGAAATTATCCTACAGAATTAGATTAGTTTGAACTCCCACTAGTGGTATGTTTATTTCATTTCCCCTCAGCAGCATATACATTTTATGTGGTTATTAAACTTTTTCTAATCTCATTATTTTAAAAATACTGTATTTTTGGTTAGATTTATATTTCTCTGAGCTTCTTTTCTTGTTTTTTGTACCTACTCTGTCTCTCCTTTCTGTGAATTTTGTATTTATACACTTTGCTTTTTTTATATTGGGGTTTTTTTTTGTTCATTTGCAGGAGTTCTTTGTATATTCTACATATTGATCCCTGTCACTTTCAGTTTTTGCAATGTCTTCTCCTAGTCTGTCATGCATCTCATAACATTGACCTTTGCCTTTGTTGACTAGAAATTATTAACTTCAATAAAGTCAAATTCATCAATTTCATCCTATGGCTTCAGAGTTTAAAATATATTCTTTCTTTTTTATGCAATTATTTTTATAATTTAAGTGTCACATTTTGGTCTTATTTAATCTAATTTGAATGTTTTTAATGTATATAAGATTCTATTTATATCAGAATCTCTTTTTTCCACATCGATTTGTGATGTCACTTTGATATCATACAAAACTACCCTAGGTAAAGAAGTTTATTTTGTTTTTTTTTATTCTGTTCTTTGGACAATTTATATGTTACTGCCATAATACCATATTATTTTATTACCATAGTGTTATAATTCATCTAAATATCTGATAGAGTGTATCCTGCACCCATGCCCACAAAACATAAGACAACACACTTTGTCTTATGTTTCAAATTCCTAGTTACTTGGGAAATTTTATTCTTCCGCTTGAAATTCAAAATCTTATTTTGAATTCTAAAACTGATCCTTCTATAAATATTATTAGATTTTTTAATGTAGAAATGAATTTGGAGAAAATTAACATTTTTGTGATTCAAATTCAATGAATGTTTATCTCTCCATTTATTCTTGTATATTTAATTTCTTTAATAGAGATATTTTTAAATTGTATCACCATAAAGTCTTTCTTTAACCAATTCCTAGATACTTCATAAATTTGTAGCTTTTGCAAATTACAAGTTATTTTATATGTTAGTGTATTGTTTTGTTGTGTTTTTGAACAGAGAAATGCTATTTCATTTTGTATGTTGATCTTGTACTTAGAAACTTTGTTGAATTTCCTTATAATCATTTGTTTATACTCCTGGATTTTCTAAGTAAATAATCTATATTCCCTCTAATTCAGCTTGCAAACTGACCAGTTTACTTCTGAGTATATCTCTTTCTCCATATTATAAATCCATTTATCTTATTATAGGCAGTTAGAGCAATCAACTCATGCATTTATCATTTTGACTATAAGCCATCTTTCCTAAGTCCATAAATGTGTTAGATTCATTTTTTTATTCCATGTTACTGCAGCCAAAACTGTTACAAATGAGTTGCTAGAATGTAGCATAGATTGCCTTCCCCACCCCCTCCCCCACCTTCGATAACATTCTTTTTCAGCTCTCCATAGATGTGTCCCCCCGCTGCCTTTGTCCCAAACCTACTTCCAGATATTTTAATTTTATGTTATGGCAGCAGCTCAACTTCTGATTTTTCTATCAGTCAGTTTTCGCTGCATAACAACCACAAGATCTCAGTGAGTTATAAAAATAAAGCACTTAATTCTTTGAGGTGGTTGTTATGGCTAGACAGGGCTTGACTGAGTGTCTCTGCTTCACCCTGCAGGTCTGGATGGCTGAGGTCTTCTCCACTTATCTCTCTCTGGGGTCCAGACTGCTGAGGTGGCAGCTACTCAGAAGACAGTTTTATCAGGATGATTGCAGAGGTACAAGAAAGCAAGTCTCAAGGCATAAATACATTTCAAGCCCATTGCTTGTCTCTTGTCTACCCACCTGCCATTGGCCAAAGTCAGTCGTGTAGCCAAGTCCAAAGCAGTTTTGTGGGATGAACTGCACATTTACATGGCAGATATACAGGAAAGTAAGTAAATAGAAACAATAATTCAATATATCACAATTGCTTTGATAATTTCTATTCAATTTCCATTTTTTAAATGAATGTGTTCAAAGCTATACATTTCCCTTTAGATACTGCTTTAGCAGTAGTCCACGAAATTTGACATGCAGTGCTTTTGCTGGCATTTAGTTCTAAGGATTCCACAATATTTCTTATGATGTTCTCTTTAATTGAGGACTTTTTAGCAACTTGAGGTATGTGTATATGTGTATATTCTCAGAGATGTATTCTAAAATATTTGTTATTAATGATGTAAAATTACATGTTGTTTATTTTCAGACAATGTAGCCTGTATGTGATTGAGTCATGTAATTTTTTAAACATTTCCTTTGCGGTTGAGTGTCTACCCAATTTTTGAGAAAGTTCCACTTGACCTTAAAAAAACGTGAATATTCTGAGTGGTAGGTGAAATACCTACTTTTAACACATTGTTAATGTTATTTAAATATTTCCCAACTGCTTACTTTTTGTCCAGTTGCTATTAGTTTCTAAGAGAAATGTCTCAATCCCTAATTACAACTATTGGTTTATTTCTGTCAGTTGATGCTTTGCGTATTTGGGGGTTGTGTTATCAATGACATGTGTGATCATTGTCATCGTGACATTTTAATATATCATTGTCTTCAAGAGTACATAATATCCCCTTTAAAACATTTTTAAACATAGCAAAGTGCATAAAACATAGACATTTGTTAATGAATTCTCATAAAGTTAACACTCATGACAGCATCATCCAAGTCAATAACTGAAACGTTGTAAGCTTCAAAAGCATATCTATTCCCCTTCCGCAAAACAAAGGTAACTGTGACCCATTTTTCCTTCTAAATACGCATCCAAAACATCATAGTAGAAGTTTGTCTGCTTTTGACACCTCTATAATTTGAAATATACAGTGTATAATATTTTGAGACTGGCTTATTTAAATCAATATTACCTTTGAGAAATTCACATGCTGTGCAGTCATTTGCTTATCTCCATTGCTGTATTCTACTGTTTGTTTCACCAAATGATGGAATTTGGTTTGTATAGAATTTTTGCTCTTACAAATAATGCTTCTGTGAATTTACTTGTTCACACATAGCACATGGCCGAAATGTACATGCATTTGTTAATACATTCCTAAGAGTAGTATTGCTGTGTCATAAGGTCTATATAGCTTTCAACTTCAGCAGATAATCCTAAACTGTTTTCTGAAGTGGTTGTACCAGTATACTTTTCTAACAAGAGTGTGGGAGAGTTTTTTAAAAGTTTGAACTTTATTGCATATTTTAAAATTTTAATTATTCTGATGACTGTGTAGTGGTATTTCATAAAAGTGTTCATTTTCATTTTCCTGAGGACTAATAATATTGAACACTCTTTTATACATGTATTAGCCATTTGGATATCTTTTTTATGAAGTTTCTGTTTAAGTAAATAATTGCCCTTTCAAATTTCTGGTGGTCTGTACTTATTGATTTGTAGATGTTTTTAATTTATTCTGGGTATGATCCAGTTATAAGAAAATAACTTCTGTAACTGTCTTGAATTTTTACTCTCTTAATGGTCTCTTTTAATGAAGTTCTTAATTTTAACATGATCCAGGTTATCAGTCATTTTCTCTGTAGTTTGTGCTTTAATTCTGTTTGAGAAATACTTCCCTTCTTTGAGGTTAAAAATACTGTCAAGGCTGGGCAGTGGCTCCGCCTGTTATCCCAGCACTTTGGGAGGCCAAGGTGGGTGGATCACGAGGTCAGACGATTGAGACCCTCCTGGCCAACATGGTGAAACCCCACCTCTACTAAAAATACAAATTTAGCCAGATGTGGTGGCACATGCCCATAGTCCCAGCTATTCGGAAGGCTGAAGCAGGGGAGTCACTTGAACCCAGGAGGCAGAGGTTGCAGTGAGCCCAGATGGCGGCACTGCACTCCGGCCTGGCGACAGAGGGAGACTCCGTCCCCAAAAAAACCAAACAAACAAAAAACTGTAAATCATTATTTTCTAAAGGTTTCATTGTTTTACTTTTCTCTTTTAAAAATTCAAATGAGCTGAAATTCACTCTTGCGTGTGATATACAATGGAGGTTAAGTATTATATCTCTTTGTTTTTCTATACAGACATCCAGTTGTCTAAAACACCCTTTGTTGAAAAGACTGACCTTTCTCTGAAGCTTGAAAGTGTTGCCTTTGCAATATATGGGTCTTTTTCTGGCTCTCCTTTTCTGTTCTATTCGTTCAACAATCTTTGTATCAATGCTACACATTCTTAACTACTTCCTAAAATACTTATAAGGCTTGATATCTGACAGAGCAGTTGCACTTTACTGTTGTCTTTCCCCTAAGTATCTTGGCTTTAGCATTTCTATAGAAAATATAGAATCATCTTATCAATTACACACACACACACACAGACACACACCTGTTAATATTTTAATTAAGATAGCATTGATTCTATAGATCAATGTGTAGATTTACATCTGTGTTACATTGAGACTTCCTATTAATGAGCATGTTATCTCCCACACTTTATTTAGGTCTTCTTGAAATTTTTGATGCTTTTATAAAATAGCATCTTAAAATTATTTTGAGTTTTTACAACATACCATAAATATAAGTAATTTGCTGCTATTATAAAGGGAAACTATCTTTAGCTAATTTTAAATTTTTCATGTTCTGCTTTTTGCTGATATATAGAATTAAAATTGATTTTATATGTTGATTTTTGCATCCACCAACTTGGATAAACTTGCCTATTAATTCTAATAATTTATCTGTGGGTTCTTTGGAAATTTTTTACACACACAAACATATTATTCACACATAATTATTGCTTTATTTCTTCCCTCTCAACTCTTTAACTTTTGGTTCTTATTTTTGTATTATTGCACTGGTAAAGACCACTAGCTCATGTTGAAAAGAAGTGGTGACAAGGCTGGGCATGGTGGCTCACTCCTGTAATCCAAGCACTTTGGGAGGCCGAGACAGGTGGATAATGAGGTCAAGAGATCGAGACCATCCTGGCCAACATAGTGAAACCCCGTCTCTACTAAAACTACCAAAATTAGCTGGGTGTGGTGGCATGTGCCTGTAGTCCCAGCTACTTGGGAGGCTGAGGCAGGAGAATCGTTCGAACCCATGAGGGGGAGGTTGCAGTGAGCCGAGATTGCGCCATTTCACTCCAGCCTGATGACAGAGTGAGACTCCATCTCAAAAAAAAAAAAAAAAAAAAAGTGGTGACAAGAGGTAACTTTGCCTTATTTACCCAAAAGAAAATGCTTTTAGTTTTTACCATTACATTTGATATAAAGTTCTTTATACACATCATTTAATAGACTAAGGATTTTCTCTTATTTTCCACTGATTTCTAAGAATTTTTGTATTGGCATGGACTTTGAATTTTTTGTTGTTGTTGTTGAGACAGAGTTTCACTCTTGTAGCCCAGGCTGGAGTGCAGTGGCACCATCTCGGCTCATTGCAACCTCCTCCTCCCAAGGTTCAAGTGATTCTCTTGCCTCAGCCTCCTGAGAAGCAGAGATTACAGGTGCCACTACCACGCGCAGCTAATTTTTGTATTTTTAGTAGAGACAGGGTTTCACCATGTTGGCCAGGCTGGTCTTGAACTCCTGACCTCAGGTGATCCGCCTGCCTCAGCCTTCCAATGTGCTGGGATTATAGGCGTGAGTGACTGCACCCAGCCAGACTTCGAATTTTATTAAAAATAGTTTTCTTGCATCTATTGAGCTATTCTCTTATTTTTCTTCTTTTATCTGGTAATGTGACAACTTACTTTGATTGTTATTTTAAAGTAGAATTGATTTTGCATTCTTAAAAAAAAATCTAATTTTAACATGGTGTATTAATCTCTTTATATATTGCCGGATTTGGCTTGCTTTTTATTTTTTAAAAGATTTTTTCTATCTCTGTTTATAGATAAGAAAATACTACAATTTTCTCTTTTTATAAGATGATTTCAGGCTTTGATATTTGTAAAGTTATTACAAAACAATTTGGGAGAGCAGTATCTCTAACTTTTTTCTTTGAATCAATTCATAGGAGATGGTGTTCTTTGGTAAATATGTGGTAAAATTTGTCAGGGAAGTGGTGTGGGCCTGATATTTTCTCTAGATAAAGATACTGATTTAATATTATATTTTTGAAACAATTATAACACAATTCAAATTGTGCATCTCTTGATTTTTTTAACAAAACAAGCCAATTAAAATATGCATTACCTCACATACTTATGTGTGTGTGTGGTGAGAATCCTTAAAGTTTATTCTCATAGCAGTTTTCTTTTTTTTTTTATTATTATACTTTAAGTTTTAGGGTACATGTGCACATTGTGCAGGTTAGTTACATATGTATACATGTGCCATGCTGGTGCGCTGCACCCACTAACTCGTCATCTAGCATTAGGTATATCTCCCGATGCTATCCCTCCCCCCTCCCCCCACCCCACAACAGTCCCCAGAGTGTGATATTCCCTTTCCTGTGTCCATGTGATCTCATTGTTCAATTCCCAGCTATGATGAGAATATGTGGTGTTTGGTTTTTTGTTCTTGCGATAGTTTACTGAGAATGATGATTTCCAATTTCATCCATGTCCCTACAAAGGACATGAACTCATCATTTCTTATGGCTGCATAATATTCCATGGTGTATATGTGCCACATTTTCTTAATCCAGTCTATCATTGTTGGACATTTGGGTTGGTTCCAAGTCTTTGCTATTGTGAATAATGCTGCAATAAACATACGTGTGCATGTGTCTTTATAGCAGCATGATTTATAGTCCTTTGGGTATATACCCAGTAATGGGATGGCTGGGTCAAATGGTATTTCCAGTTCTAGATCCCTGAGGAATCGCCACACTGACTTCCACAATGGTTGAACTAGTTTACAGTCCCACCAACAGTGTAAAAGTGTTCCTATTTCTCCACATCCTCTCCAGCACCTGTTGTTTCCTGACTTTTTAATGATTGCCATTCTAACTGGTGTGAGATGGTATCTCATTGTGGTTTTGATTTGCATTTCTCTGATGCCCAGTGATGATGAGCATTTTTTCATGTGTTTTTTGGCTGCATAAATGTCTTCTTTTGAGAAGTGTCTGTTCATCTCCTTCTCCCACTTTTTGATGGGGCTGCTTGTTTTTTTCTTGTAAATTTGTTTGACTTCCTTGTAGATTCTGGATATTAGCCCTTTGTCAGATGAGTAGGTTGTGAAAATTTTCTCCCATTTTGTAGGTTGCCTGTTCACTCTGATGGTAGTTTCTTTTGCTGTGCAGAAGCTCTTTAGTTTAATTAGATCCCATTTGTCAATTTTGTCTTCTGTTGCCATTGCTTTTGGTGTTTTAGACATGAAGTCCTTGCCCATGCCTATGTCCTGAATGGTAATGCCTAGGTTTTCTTCTAGGGTTTTTATGGTTTTAGGTCTAACGTTTAAGTCTTTAATCCATCTTGAATTGATTTTTGTATAAGGTGTAAGGAAGGGATCCAGTTTCAGCTTTCTACATATGGCTAGCCAGTTTTCCCAGCACCATTTATTAAATAGGGACTCCTTTCCCCATTGCTTGTTTTTCTCAGGTTTGTCAAAGATCAGATAGTTGTAGATATGCGGCGTTATTTCTGAGGGCTCTGTTCTGTTCCATTGATCTATATCTCTGTTTTGGTACCAGTACCATGGTGTTTTGGTTACTGTAGCCTTGTAGTATAGTTTGAAGTCAGGTAGTGTGATGCCTCCAGCTTTGTTCTTTTGGATTAGGAGTGACTTGGCGATGCAGGCTCTTTTTTGGTTCCATATGAACTTTAAAGTAGTTTTTTTCAATTCTGTGAAGAAAGTCATTGGTAGCTTGATGGGGATGGCATTGAATCTGTAAATTACCTTGGGCAGTATGGCCATTTTCACGATATTGATTCTTCCTACCCATGAGCTTGGAATGTTCTTCCATTTGTTTGTATCCTCTTTTATTTCCTTGAGCAGTGGTTTGTAGTTCCCCTTGAGGAGGTCCTTCTCATCCCTTGTAAGTTGGATTCCTAGGTATTTTATTCTCTTTGAAGCAATTGTGAATGGGAGTTCACTCATGATTTGGCTCTCTGTTTGTCTGTTGTTGGTGTATAAGAATGCTTGTGATTTTTGTACATTGATTTTGTATCCTGAGACTTTGCTGAAGTTGCTTATCAGCTTAAGGAGATTTTGGGCTGAGACAATGGGGTTTTCTAGATATACAATCATGTCGTCTGCAAACAGGGACAATTTGACTTCCTCTTTTCCTAATTGAATACTCTTTATTTCCTTCTCCTGCCTAATTGCCCTGGCCAGAACTTCCAACACTATGTTGAATAGGAGTGGTGAGAGAGGGCATCCCTGTCTTATGCCAGTTTTCAAAGGGAATGCTTCCAGTTTTTGCCCATTCAGTATGATATTGGCTGTGGGTTTGTCATAGATAGCTCTTATTATTTTGAAATACATCCCATGAATACCTAATTTATTGAGAGTTTATAGCATGAAGCGTTGTTGAATTTTGTCAAAGGCTTTTTCTGCATCTGTTGAGATAATCATGTGGTTTTTGTCTTTGGCTCTGTTTATATGCTGGATTACATTTATTGATTTGTGTATATTGAACCAGCCTTGCATCCCAGGGATGAAGCCCACTTGATCATGGTGGATAAGCTTTTTGATGTGCTGCTGGATTCGTTTTGCCAGTATTTTATTGAGGATTTTTGCATCAATGTTCATCAAGGATATTGGTCTAAAATTCTCTTTTTTTGTTGTGTCTCTGCCTGGCTTTGGTATCAGAATGATGCTGGCCTCATAAAATGAGTTAGGGAGGATTCCCTCTTTTTCTATTGATTGGAATAGTTTCAGAAGGAATGGTACCAGTTCCTCCTTGTACCTCTGGTAGAATTCGGCTGTGAAGCCATCTGGTCCTGGACTCTTTTTGGTTGGTAAGATATTGATTATTGCCATAATTTCAGCTCCTGCTATTGGTCTATTCAGAGATTCAACTTCTTCCTGGTTTAGTCTTGGGAGAGTGTATGTGTCCAGGAATTTATCCATTTCTTCTAGATTTTCTAGTTTATTTGCGTAGAGGTGTTTGTAGTATTCTTTGATGGTAGTTTGTATTTCTGTGGGATCGATGGCGATATCCCCTTTATCATTTTTTAATGTGTCTATTTGATTCTTCTCTCTTTTTTTCTTTATTAGTCTTGCTAGTGGTCTATCAATTTTGTTGATCCTTTCAAAAAACCAGCTCCTGGATTCATTAATTTTTTGAAGGGTTTTTTGTGTCTCTATTTCCTTCAGTTCTGCTCTGATTTTAGTTATTTCTTGCCTTCTGCTAGCTTTTGAACGTGTTTGCTCTTGCTTTTCTAGTTCTTTTAATTGTGATGTTAGGGTGTCAATTTTGGATCTTTCCTGCTTTCTCTTGTGGGCATTTAGTGCTATAAATTTCCCTCTACACACTGCTTTGAATGCGTCCCAGAGATTCTGGTATGTTGTGTCTTTGTTCTCATTGGTTTCAAAGAACATCTTTATTTCTGCCTTCATTTCGTTATGTACCCAGTAGTCATTCAGGAGCAGGTTGTTCAGTTTCCATGTAGTTGAGCAGTTTTGAGTGAGATTCTTAATCCTGAGTTCTAGTTTGATTGTACTGTGGTCTAAGAGATAGTTTGTTATAATTTCTGTTCTTTTACATTTGCTGAGGAGAGCTTTACTTCCCAATATGTGGTCAATTTTGGAATAGGTGTGGTGTGGTGCTGAAAAAAATGTATATTCTGTTGATTTGGGGTGGAGAGTTCTGTAGATGTCTATTAGGTCCGCTTGGTGCAGAGCTGAGTTCAATTCCCGGTTATCCTTGTTGACTTTCTGTCTCGTTGATCTGTCTAATGTTGACAGTGGGGTGTTAAAGTCTCCCATTATTAATGTGTGGGAGTCTAAGTCTCTTTGTAGGTCACTCAGGACTTGCTTTATAAATCTTGGTGCTCCTGTATTGGGTGCATATATATTTAGGATAGTTAGCTCTTCTTGTTGAATTGATCCCTTTACCATTATGTAATGGCCTTCTTTGTCTCTTTTGATCTTTGTTGGTTTAAAGTCTGTTTTATCAGAGACTAGGATTGCAACCCCTGCCTTTTTTTTGTTTTCCATTGGCTTGGTAGATATTCCTCCATCCTTTCATTTTAAGCCTATGTGTGTCTCTGCACGTGAGATGGGTTTCCTGAATACAGCACACTGATGGGTCTTGGCTCTTTATCCAATTTGCCAGTCTGTGTCTTTTAATTGGAGCATTTAGTCCATTGGTTATTTTGCTTATTAGTTGATGCAGTTTCTTCCTAGTCTCGATGGTCTTTACATTTTGGCATGATTTTGCAGCGGCTGGTACCGGTTGTTCCTTTGCACGTTTAGTGCTTCCTTCAGGAGCTCTTGTAAGGCAGGCCTGGTGGTGACAAAATCTCTCAGCATTTCCTTGTCTGTAAAGTATTTTATTTCTCCTTCACTTATGAAGCTTAGTTTGGCTGGATATGAAATTCTGGGTTGAAAATTCTTTTCTTTAAGAATGTTGAATATTGGCCCCCACTCTCTTCTGGCTTGTAGGATTTCTGCCGAGAGATCCGCTGTTAGTCTGATGGGCTTCCCTTTGAGGGTAACCCGACCTTTCTTTCTGGCTGCCTTTAACATTTTTTCCTTCATTTCAGCTTTGGTGAATCTGATAATTATGTGTCTTGGAGTTGCTCTTCTCGAGGAGTATCTTTGTGGCGTTCTCTGTATTTCCTGAATCTGAACGTTGTCCTGCCTTGCTAGATTGGGGAAGTTCTCCTGGATAATATCCTGCAGAGTGTTTTCCAACTTGGTTCCGTTCTCCCCATCACTTTCAGGTACACCAATCAGACGTAGATTTGGTCTTTTCACATAGTCCCATATTTCTTGGAGGCTTTGCTCATTTCTTTTTATTCTTTTTTTTCTAAACTTCCCTTCTCGCTTCATTTCATTCATTTCATCTTCCATTGCTGATACCCTTTCTTCCAGTTGATCGCATCGGCTCCTGAGGCTTCTGCATTCTTCACATAGTTCTCGAGCCTTGGTTTTCAGCTCCATCAGCTCCTTTAAGCACTTCTCTGTATTGGTTATTCTAGTTATACATTCTTCTAAATTTTTTTCAAAGTTTTCAACTTCTTTGCCTTTGGTTTGAATGTCCTCCTGTAGCTCAGAGTAATTTGATCGTCTGAAGCCTTCTTCTCTCAGCTCGTCAAAGTCATTCTCCATCCAGCTTTGTTCCATTGCTGGTGAGGAACTGCGTTCCTTTGGAGGAGGAGAGGCACTCTGCTTTTTAGAGTTTCCAGTTTTTCTGTTCTGTTTTTTCCCCATCTTTGTGGTTTTATCTACTTTTGGTCTTTGATGGTGGTGATGTACAGATGGGTTTTTGGTGTGGAAGTCCTTTCTGTTTGTTAGTTTTCCTTCTAACTGAGAGGACCCTCAGCTGCAGGTCTGTTGGAATACCCTGCCGTGTGAGGTGTCAGTGTGCCCCTGCTGGGGGGTGCCTCCCAGTTAGGCTGCTCAGGGGTCAGGGGTCAGGGACCCACTTGAGGAGGCAGTCTGCCCGTTCTCAGATCTCCAGCTGCCTGCTGGGAGAACCACTGCTCTCTTCAAAGCTGTCAGACAGGGACATTTAAGTCTGCAGAGGTTACTGCTGTCTTTTTGTTTGTCTGTGCCCTGCCCCCAGAGGTGGAGCCTACAGAGGCAGGCAGGCCTTCTTGAGCTGTGGTGGGCTCCACCCAGTTCGAGCTTCCCGGCTGCTTTGTTTACCTAATCAAGCCTGGGCAATGGCGGGCGCCCCTCCCCCAGCCTCGCTGCCGCTTTGCAGTTTGATCTCAGACTGCTGTGCTAGCAATCAGCGAGACTCCGTGAGCGTAGGACCCTCCGAGCCAGGTGCAGGATATAATCTCGTGGTGCGCCATGTTTTAAGTCCATGGGAAAAGCACAGTATTCGGGTGGGAGTGACCCGATTTTCCAGGTGCCGTCCGTCACCCCTTTCTTTGATTAGGAAAGGGAACTCCCTGACCCCTTGTGCTTCCCAAGTGAGGCAATGCCTCGCCCTGCTTCGGCTCGCGCACGGTGCGTGCACCCACTGACCTGCACCCACTGTCTGGCACTCCCTAGTGAGATGAACCCGGTACCTCAGATGGAAATACAGAAATCACCCGTCTTCTGCGTCGCTCATGCTGAGAGCTGTAGACCAGAGCTGTTCCTATTTGGCCATCTTGGCTCCAGCAGTTTTCAAGAATACAACACGTTGTAATTAGCTATGGTCACCATGTTGCACAATAGATCTCTTGAACTTATTTCTTCAGCCTAACTGAAATTTTGTAGCCTGTGACCAACCTCCTTCCACATTTCCCTTCCAGCCCAGGTAACCACTATTCTACTCTCTAATTCCAAGTTCAACTTTTGAAGATGCTACATGTAGGTGAGATCATGTGGTATTTGTCTTTTTGTGCCTGGCTTATTTTACTTAACATAATGTCCTTCAGCTTCAAGTATGTTGTCCAAAATGACAGGATGTGCTTCATTTTTTAAGGCTGAATAATATTCTACTGTGTAGATATACTAAGTTTTCTTTATCCATTCGTCCATTGATGAACACTTTGGTTGATTCTATATCTTGGATATTGTGAATAATGATGCAATAATCATGCAGGTGCAGATATCTCTTTGACATACTGATATCATTTCTTTTGTATATATACCTGGTAGTGGCATTGCTGGATCATATGGAAGTTCTATATTTAATCTTTTTAGTAACTCCCATAATGTTTGTACTAATTTATATTCCCACCAACATTGTGCAAAGGTTCCTTTGTCTCTACATCCTCTCCAACATTTGTTATCTTTTGTCTTTTCGAATAGTAGCCATTTTTAACTGGTGTGAATTGACATATTGTGGTTTTAATTTGCATCTCTGACAATTAGTGATTTTGAGCATTTTTTCACATATTTGTATATCTTCTTTTGAAAAATGTCTATTCAGATCCTTTGCCTTTTTTTAGTGAAAATACAGAGAATTATCACAAAGTGAAAAGTACACACTCCAGAAAGGGGAGTAAGGGGATTTGGGGTTTCTATCGTTATGGGTTTGTTTAACCAAGGAGTGGAATATCCATGAAGATTCCTGGAGAAAGTGGAGATTTCTCAGAACTGTGGTGCCATCTGTTTTTACACCAAATATGGATGCTCCCAGAACTGATATGGCACTGGTGGGTCTGTAATTTAGTACGCTAATAAGCACATAATGAGGTTATAGGTGAAACCTAGGTCAAATCCATCACCATGTTGGGTTCAGTCTGTCTTAGCCAGCTTGGTCCACACCCCGGTTTTCAGGGTCTTATCGGCCCCTTGCTTATGCAACTGCTTTAAGTTTCCTTTTGCTAGTCATGTGCAACTGCTACCTGGCATTTTCTATTCTCCTGCAACCACCCTGTATTATTCCTATCTCATTTTCCTCCCTCAGAGATTTCCATTCCTTATTCTTAATGGTTGAAGAGGGAGGAGGTCAGTCTTCTGTATCTTCTTCCTGTTGATTAGGGCTGTTGGTCCTCCTAGTGAGGACATGGAATTTTCTGGTTGCCTAGTTTAAAAGTCCCATGGGTGGGTCATTAGGAGAGTGAATCTGAGGCAGATATTGGTTGGCACGCTTGCATGACCAATATTTTGACATGAAACTGTTGCAACCTAGAAGACACAAACTTTACAAGGAGGTTAAACAAGCAAGGACCAAAGGTTAATAGTAATAATATAGCTGTTAAAGGTCACAGGAAAGGTAGGAACCATGTCACATTTGGTAGCCATTATTTGATGGAATCCCAGATGGTTTGAGTGGTGGGGTTATTGAAATTATGTAGCCAGGTAGCCTGCTGTTAAATCTTTTGAACTTGAAGTTTAACCAATCATTAATTATTAATATAAGAACAACTGGTGTGGTTTATTATTGCATAAACCTCTCTTTGTTCAGCTAGAAGCTAAAGTCTCCTGTTCTTTCCCTGACCATTTCAGTGGTTCATGCTCTGACCATGTTAGGATCTCATACAATGGATTAGCAATGAGCCCAAATCCTAGGATCCAAATCCTGCAAAATCCTGCCCTAACCAGAAAAGTTCTGAGTTTCTTCTTCATTTGTGGAGGTAGCCTTTTCTGTTGTTGTTCAATGGACAAGGTATGATTACCTGGACTTAGAAGGTACCCCAGATATTTTAGTTACAGTTTAGACATCTAGACCTTGGATGGAGAGACTTGATACCCTCTTTTTCCCAGGAAGTTTAGGACTTGAGTGGCATTCTTATCTGAGTCCTCTTTAATGAGACTGCATTATAGGGATGTCATTCACGTATTGCAGTATGGCCCCCCTTTCTAGCTATATCTACCTTATTTCTTGTGCCAAGGCATTTCTGAACAAGTGAGGGCTATCCCTAAAGCCCAGTGGCAGTACTGTCCAGGTATACTGCTGGGTAATATAGTTCCAGGATTAGTCTGCTTAAAAGCAAACAAATATTAAGGGTCAGGGTGCAAAGGGATACAAAATGAAAGCATCCTTGAGATCTAGTATCATGAACCAACTGTTGTCTCCCAGTATTTGGGCAAGTATGGCGTAAGTATTTGGCACTATAGGATGTAAGGGAATTAATGCCTCATTAATGGCTCATAAGTCTTGAACTAGACAATATTCCCCATTTGGATTTTGGATAGGGAGGACAGGAGTATTACAAGGAGAGTGACATGGAACCAGGAGGCTATGTTTTAAAAACTTCTCAATTAGAGAGTGTAGACCATGCTTGACTTCTGGTTTGAGAGGATATTGATGCTTGTGTGGGAAATTATTTTTGTCTTTTAAAGAGGCAATCACTGGCTGTGAGTGTATTGCTTTGTCAGAGGTTTCCTGGTCTCACACTTGAGGGTCTACCTGAGACGTTATTTTGAGGGAGATTTCCTGTTTTTCTGAGGTTGACTTAGAAAAAAGAAGCATTGCTAATAAGGGAGGGCTCCCAAAGGCCTGATAAATGTAAAATGACTCAGAGGGTGGCTAGGAAGTTCCATCCCAATAAAAGAGGAAGACACTGGCATAACTAGAAACTCGTGAATGACCACATAGTTTTCTAACCTGCAGCTCAGGGGTAAAGTAAAGCATTCCTGGGGGTGCCATTGACACCTGTGACGGTGCAGCTTTTGGAGGGATAAAGGCCCAGAGTGGCTGTTTAAGACAGAGTAACCAGCCCCTAGGTCAATTAAGAAATTAATATTCTTACCTACCAGGTCAAGAGTGACCCGAGGCTCCTCAGTTGTGATGACCATGCCTTTTATGGGAGCTAACAGGAACCTCAGGCCCCTTCAGTCCTCAGTTTTGGCCATTATAGCATCAGGTGTCCTCCTCTCCCTTTGGAGCTGAGAGCAATCCCTTTTCCAATAGCCCTCCTGGCTTGCAGTGAGGACAGGGTCCAGGTGGGCTCCCCTGGCTGGGACAGTTCTTGCTTCAATGTCCTGGCTTCCCGCACTTGAAGTAGCAACTGCAGGTTTGCTGGAAGCATCCTCCTGGGTGGCCCTGAGGTTGCAGGGCACTGCTTACAGCAACTGCTATCATTTGG
Source organism: Homo sapiens (assembly GCF_000001405.40). NCBI lineage: Eukaryota > Metazoa > Chordata > Mammalia > Primates > Hominidae > Homo > Homo sapiens. The sequence continues at coordinate 216,482,281 of NC_000001.11, read as the reverse complement.
GCTGGCTGTCTAGCCCGTTGTTTGATACACTGGGTCAATCTTTCAGGCTCTTCAACCCTGTCCCTATTATTGAATATCCCAAAAGCCACATCAAACATTTGATGAATAGGCGTTTGGGGTCCCAAAGCCAATTTCTGTCATTTTCTCCTAATGTTGGGTGCTGACTGGCTACTAAAGTGTTTCCCTAGTAAAATTTGGCCAGTACCAATACTGAGGTCGATGTTAGTATATTTTCCTAGGGTCACTACAAGACATCCCTGGAACAAAGCTGGGTTTTCATCCTTTCCTTATTTCTCTTATTTTATCACAGTTTACAGGCTTAGTGGTACATTTTTCCATTCCCGTCCCTAAACAAGCCACCATACGGTTCCTGATTCTTAGATAAGCCTAGCACTATTGGTAGCTCCAGATTGGGTCATTGTTAGGCACAGACGTGGCCCCTGCAGTGTATTTTTTCAGAAACCCCTGCTGACAAGCTGCCAGCATAAGCCGGGGCCTCTACCCAAATACGCTGCTTTGCTTCATGGGTACAAGACATGGACAAGATAATATGAATATCTCCCCAAGTTAACTCAAATGAGAGTGAGGGCCCAAAATTCCTCCATGAATTTAGTTGGGTTATCTGAAAACCGGCCCAGCCTCTGTCTGCATTGTGCTAGATCAGACATTGAAAAAGGCACATATACCTAGATGGCCAGCATTCCCATTGGCCACCTCCCTAAATGGGCGTAACTTAGAATAATCAGGAAGGTAGAAAATGCCAATGCTGGTGACCCTGGCAGGGCTCTGTTCCTTTGGTAGGGAAGGGCATATGGGTTGGTAAGGAGGTGGAATAGCAGGAGTCTGGGGGCTGAAGACGGTGGAACTAGCAGAAGACTGGGGACTCAAAGGTGGAGTTCGGTAAGAAGGAGGAGCTGGGGGTGCAGGAACTGGGTCTGGATTAGAAAGTGTGAGAAGGCTCTCGGGAGGTACATTTTTCAAAGGGGATCATCTAGGATATCTAGTTCCCCATTTAGTTCCCCTAAAGGCGGTATGAGCATAACAAAGGTGGCAATTTCCGTGACAGTCAAAGCTCTGATGATGAGTCATGAAGGTCTGTACATATGATATTTCAGTCCATTTCTCCCAACGTTTTTAAAAAGATCTAATTGCAAGATGGTATTAAAAATTAAGGGTCCTGTTATCTGGCCATTGCACCCCATTTTCTAAATTACAGTTACCCATACCCTTGACTTGTCCTTGGCATGACCAAATGCTGATGGTACTAAAATGGGAGTGATGATGCTCCTGGCTGGTTCACCATGAAGATAATGCTGGTGGATTTGTGGGGGGTGGTCCCCAAATGTGGGTGGGACCTTGACCCCAGCCAGTATCCAGGCTTTTGATAACTTCTGAAGAAAGAATTCAAGAATGAGTCAGAAAATAGTGAAAGTATGGAGATTTATTACAAAGTGAAAAGTACACGCTCAAGAAAGGGGAATGTGTGTGTGTGTGTGTGTACTCAAGAGAAAGAGTCATTCCTTTGCCCATTTTTAAATTGAGTTATTTGTTTTCTTCCTATTGAGTTTTTTGGGTTCCTTATATATTTTAGATACTAACCGCTAATGAGATATACAGTTTGCAAATATTTTCTCTCTTCCTATAGATCTCTTCACTCTGTTGATTGTTTCATTGGCTGTGCAGAAGCTTTTTAGTTTCATGTAATCCCGTTAGTCTATTTTTGCTTTTGTTCTCTCTGCTTTTGGGTTGATATCCAAAAAAATCACTGCCGATATGAACCTCATGGAGTTTTTCACCTAGGTTTTCTTCTTGTAGTTTTACAGCTTCAGGTCTTAGTTTAAAGACTTTAATCCATTTTGAGTTGATCTTTGTATATGGTGTAAGGTAAGGGTTTAACTTCATTCCTCTGCATGTGGATATCTACTGAACTCAACACAATTTATTGAAGAGACTCTCCTTTGCCAATTGTGTATTCTTGGTGTCTTTGTCAAAAATCAATTGACCTTATTTACATGTATTTGTTTCTGGGTTCTTTATTCCTTTCCATTGGTCTATGTGCCAGTACCATGCTGTTTTTTTTTTTTTTGCCAGTACCATGCTGTTTTTGATTACCTTAGTTATTTAGTATATTTTACGGTCAGGTAGTGTGATGCCTTTGACTTAGCTATTTTTGCTCAAGATTGCTTTGGCTATTCAGGGTCTTTTGTGGTTCCATACAAATTTTAGGATTTTTTTTTTGAAAAATATCATTGGTATTTTGATAGGGATTACACTGACTGTGTAGATTATTTGGGGTAGTATGAACATTTAAAACATATTAATTCTTCCAATCCAAGAACAAATATATCTTTCCATCTTCTTCAGTTTATTTCATCAAAGTGTTATGGTTTTCAGTGTGTAGGTCTTTCACCTCCTTGGTTAAATGTATTTGAAGTATGTTTTTCCATGGAATTGTTTTCCTGGTTTTTTTTTTTTTTTTTTTTTTTTTGAGACAGGTTCTCACTCTGTCACACAAGCTGAAGTACAGTGGCATGATCACAGCTCACTGCAGCCTCGGCCTTCTGGGCTCAATTGATCCTCCCACGTCGGCCTCCTGTGTAGCTGGATTAGAGGCACGTGCCACCTTGCCCCACTAATTTTTATATTTTTTGTAGAGATGGGGTCTTGCTATGTTGCCCAGGCTGGTCTCAAAATCCTGGGCTCAAGTGATCAGCCCAACTCAGCTTCCCAAAGAACTGGGATTACAAGCATGAGCCACCATGCCTGGTTTGATATCTTTTGTGGATAGTTAGTGGTTAGTATATAGAAATGCTACTGATTTTTGTATGTTTATTTTATATCCTGCAACTTTACTAATTCATGTATTAGTCCTAATAGTTTTTAGTGGAGTCTTTAGGGTTTTCTATATGTAAGATCATGCCATCTACAAATAGGAACAATTTGACTTCTTCTTTCCAATTTGGATGCCTATTATTTCTTGTACTTGCTGAATTGTAACTTCTAACACCATGTTGAACAGAAGTGTCAAGAGTGGACATTCTTGTTATGTTCCTGATCTCAGAGAAAAAAACTCCACTTTTCACCATGGGGTATGATGTTAGCTGTGGGTTTGTCATATGTGGCCTTTATTGTGTTGCAGTATATTCCTTCCATAAGTAATTTGTTTTATAGTTTTTAGTCACGAAAGGATGGTAAATTTTATCAAATGCATTTGTTCCTCTACTGAGAGGATCATACGTTTTTGTCCTTCATTCTGTTAATGTAGTTTATCACATTTACACATTTGTGTACATTGAACTACCCTCACATCCCTGGGATAAATCCCACTCGATGGTCGTGAATGATCCTTGCAATGTGTTGTTGAATTCTGTTTTTCAGTATTTTGTCGAGAATTCTTACATGTATGTTCATCAGGGATATTGGCTTGTAATTTTCTTGTAAGGTTCATGTCTGGCTTTGGTATCAGGGTATTTTATCTATTATTATATCATATTCATTAGTTGATATTTTTGTAAGAATTTGTCTGTTTTATCTATGTTTTCAAACTTATTGGCATAAAATTGTTCATCGTTTTCTCTAGTTAATGTCTTAGTGACTTCAGGATCTATAGTAGAGTGGTTATTTTAGTTTTCTGTGGCTGCTGAAACAAATCACCACAAACTTGGTAGCTTAAAACAACAGGAGTTTATTTTCTTACAGTGATGGAGGCCGGAAGTCTGAAATAACCTTCACCAGTTTAAAATCAAACTGTTGACAATACTGTGTTCTCTCCAGAGGATCTAGAGCAGGGGTCCCCTACCCCTAGGCCATGGGCCAGTAGCGGTCAATGTCCTGTTAGGAACTGGGCCGCACGGAAGTGAGCGGTGGGCGAGCGAGCATTACCGCCTGAGCTCCATCTCCTGTCACATCATAGGAGAATGAACCCTATTGTGAATTGCACATGCAGTGATCTAGATTGCATGCTCCTTATGAGAATCTAAGGTGGAACAGTTTCATTCCCAAACCATCACCCACCCCCCTGCCCAACACATCCATAGAAAAATTGTCTTCCACAAAACCAATCCCTGGTGCCAAAAAGGTTGGGGGCCACTGCTCTAGAGAATCATCCACAACTTGTTTTTTCCTAATTACGGTGGCAGCCAGCATCCCTTGCATTGTGGCCGTATTAATTCAATCTTCAAGGCCAGTATCTTCAAATTTCTCTCTGCTCCATCTTCACATGGCTTCACCTTTGTGCATGTGTGATATCTCCCTCTGCCTCCTTCTTATAAAGATATTTATGATATCTTAGCACTTAGGCACTAGGCTAGTCTAATATAACCTTCCCAACTCAAAATTCTTAATTTAATCACATCTGCAAAGATCCTTTTCCCAATTAAAGTTACATTTTCAGATTCCCAGGACTAGGACCTCATGTCTTTGGGAGTGTAAAACAAACTAGACAGTGATGTTCCCGTTTTTATTTCTAATGTTTGTTATTTGTATACCCTCCTTTTATTTATTAATCAGTCTCCCCAAAGTTTATACATTTTAAAATTTTTCTCAAAGAACCAACCTGGATGTGTTCATTTCTCCTCTTTTATATGATTGCTGATAGGTTAATTTCTATTCTTCCTCTATCCTTCACTATTTGCTTTGATTATTTTGCTTTTGTAAAACTCCTTAAATTCAATGCTTCCTCATTAGTTTTTATCTTTGCCTCTTGTCTAATACACACTATGAAATTTCCTGGATGACAGCTTTGTCCCCGGTCTTCCTATTCCTTTTTCCTACCTTATTTTTCTCCGGAGCAGTCATCACCACTGACATTTCTATATAACATACCTTACTTAATTATTTTGCTTTTTGCTCACTTTTCTCCTAGAACATAAGCTCCATGAGCAGAGTTTTTGTCAATTTTTCTCATTCCTGTATATGACATGTACCTAGAACACTGTTTGTGACACAGACTGATGAAACATAGCTGGAAATTTCATCACGTACTGGGCACTGTGGTACCTGAGGAAGAATGGGAAGAAATGGGTACATTCCCTGAATTTATATGGTTCTGGGTTAGAAGGAGGCCAGGCTTTGAGTGAAAGATTAAAGTCGTAGTAAGTCCTTAAACAGAGGAAGTACTGCCCACTAAGGAGTATGAAATGAGAGCACTAATTCAGCCTTTGTAGATTGAAGAAGGCATCCCTGAATAAGAAATAGATGAACCAAGGATAACTAGCTGTTAGCTTCCCAGAAGAGAAAGTAGAAGAGAAGAGGAATAAATTGGTACAGAAGATCTTAAGCAAAGCTATCCACCAAATACATGCTGAACGATAACAATTAGAGGTCAATTGCTGATCTCCTAATTGTACCATATTTGATAGCATGGAATCCACTTGGGTGCCATGGGTGTTTGCCTTTCTGATTGGTTCTTTCAACTCCCAGTAACAGCGATGCTTTGCCAATGTAAGTGCCCAGGCTAAAATTATCATACACCTTTAATATATGTTCTAAGGGAAAGCATGAACATAAAGTAATAAATTAAATGTCCTATAAAGCAGTCCTAATTATGAATATATTGAGTAAATTCTGGCTATTCAGCCACAAAAGTTCTTATTTTTAATTTTTCAAGATTGCATTTTGTGCTTTCTTATACAAAATCTATATGGCATTTCTGTCCATAGAGCATTCCCTGGCCTGTGTCAGAGCTTGGTACCATCTGGACTTGCTACTGTTTTCCTTGTGCCAGATGCTTTTTATGGATGGGGAATTTGTTCTCATCCTTTTGCCCACAGCCCTCCCTTCAGTTTAAGAGTTACATTAAGTGAATTCAGATTAAAAAGTAGAGAAGAGATATTTTACTTGAAAGTAGTTCTGTCACTATCAAGCCTTCTGTATACATCCTGTAAACCTACCGAGTGGAATTGGAGAGGGATTTAATTGCTTAAATCAGACTAGCTTTAATAAAGTTATGTAGGAAGCAGTTTTCAAAATTTAATATCTTTGATTTCAAAGAGGCATAGCTGATATATAGATCTTTTCACATCAAATCTATACTTTTTTGGCCTTCATCAAAAGGAGGCAGGGCAAAAGTTTAATCACAGGAAGGAAGCATGGGGCCAATAAAAAGGAAAATTAATAAAAGGGGAAAAAGGAAATAATAAAATTTCAGTGAATCTTTCCAGGACCACTGTGGGATCTGTGTTATCTCCATTTTAGGGGTTAGAAAACAGAAAAAGAGACAGATCAGTCAGAAAGCAGGTTTAAGATTCTAAGATTGTTATCTGGGTCTGTATGACTCCACAGTTTGTGATTTATCCAACATCCCAAGTTGCCTATGAGAACAAATGAATGTCTGAATAAAGCAAGGTGAAGATAAGAGAAACTAGAAAAATGAGAAAGAAATCATTTGTTTCCTTCATATTAAGCTTTCATTCAACAGCTGCATGTAATGAAGTGGATTCCTGGCTATGATGTTACTCTTTGCTAGTTTTATTTGGGAACCAGTATTTTCTCTCCCTTTCCTTCCCTTTCCTCCCTCCCTCCCTCCCCCTCCCTCCCCCTCCCTCCCTCCCTCCCTCCCTCCCTTCCTTCCTTCCTTCCTTCCTTCCTTCCTTCCTTCCTTTCCTTCAGCCTCCCGAGTAGCTGGGATTACAGGCATATACCACCACACCTGGCTAATTTTTGTCTTTTTAGTGGAGACGGGGTTTCACATATTGGCAAGGCTGGTCTCGAACTCCTAGGCTCAATTGATACAACTGCCTTGGTCTCCCAAAATACTGGGATTACAGCTGTGACCCACCACACCTTGCCTAGAAACCAGTATTTAATTTCTGAGTATAATATTGACAGATATTGGAAATTCTTTTTACCTACTTTCTAAAAATTAGAACATCAGTAGAATTTTCTTTACACCAAATAACAACCTCGAATATTTGTGTCCATGGGATGTGAAGACACTTACATTGCAAAAAGTGAGTTGTGAAAAATAAGAGAAACAACACGACAGTCTACTATGTCAAGTTAGAGCAAGATAGAGGTTAAATGGGAGGAAGAATCATAACTCAAATTCTCCTCCATTTCTCTTTACTTCCCAGAAGTCAGAGACAAATGGCCCAGTGTGTTCTTGATCTAGTTCTGGAAGTTGGTCTTCTATAGACAAGAAATAATATAAAATGAAATGAAATAAAAGAGAATGTTTGGTGACTCTTCCACAGAGACCTGTTGGGTGATGAGTGAGTAAGTAGCTGTGTGAGCTTGGCCCTCCATGGATGTAGAGTCTAGGAAGGGAATCAAACACATCCATGTATTTGGAGCTATGAGAGCTCAAAAGAGAAGAATAACCTTTACCAGGGATGTTCAGGAAAGGTCTCAGTGAACATCCTTTGAGGTGACACCATAGTACAGAAAATCAAGGATCAGGATCAGGGAATAATCCCTTAATAAACCTTGTCTGAAAATTAGACATCAAATAGGGTAAATATACCTCGTTTGGAGTCTTCAAATTGTAAAAGTGACCTGAGAACACAGAATGTGTTAAGCAAGTCTTATATAAAGGATAGAATGATACATAGGAAACAGTTAAAAGAATTCATGTCATTAGACAATGGCTGGAGAAAATGACTTACCTTCAAATTCAGTGAGTTTTATCTGGAATGAGCATTGGGTAGCATCCCAGAATATGTGGAGTTTTTTTTCTTTATAATTATACCTGTGACTTTGTACAAGTCATGTCACTGTTTCAATACTTAGTTCCATCATCTATAAAACAAGGAAGTTGCATGCATTATATACATGGTCTCTCCCAGTTGTAAAATTGCATGATTCCAGATATGTAAAGGATGTATATATAAGAAAGTTGATGAGAATCCATTCCAAGTATTCAAAGAAGACAATCAGGAAAACCAATAGGTTTCAATAAAAGAAAAATAAATTACATAATTAAAAAATTAAGAATATTCTCATCTCCTTGGATTTTCATTAGGTCTCCTTAGATATACTATAAAATTATGACACGACCAGTAGCTAGAGAGAGTTTTAGCATAATAGCTACTACCATTTATGTACTTCTGAAGGGTCAGGTGCTATAATTAACACTTTTATTTAAATAACATATTTTATTTAATACTCAGTATCTATGAGGTAGGTTCTATTATTGCCACCACTTTGATAATGCAGAAACTGAAGCTTGCAAAGACGCAATAACTTCCCTTGGGTTACATATAAACTTAAGAGGCAGAGCTGGGATTAGACCTCTGTCTGTCCTATTGCAAAGCCCTTGCTCTTAGCTTTTATAACCTCCTATCTTAGACCAAGAATGGGCCCAATCAATTTGTAAGATCCCTTTTTTGATTTTGCAATCATGAAACAGCTGACAAAATTTGAGCACAACCTTTTTTGCCTTTCAGATGTTACTTATCATGGAACAAATATCTCGTGTTTACTGAAATAAAAGTTCTATTACATTGCTTCATGTCAGAGTATACAGAGGGTTTATGTGCTTCTCTGGGAAGAAAAGGAAATACAGCTGTTTTGCAGGTAATAACAGTTTATTTTATGTCCTATTTTCTTTAACAGTGATTGCTCTTACTTGGAAACTCTCCTGGCATTTTGTAGGCAATAAAGATGTAAGAAGAATGCTCTTTGCAGAGAGTTTCACAAGCCTTGCCCCTATTTTGTAATCTATGGCAGAAGGCATCTACAACCTGATTCCAGGGCGGCTTATCAATACTTCCAACAGACGCACAGGGACCAGGGCCACTCTACTGATGTGTTTCAGGTCAACTCTTCCATCATTGGAGCTACAGATACTCTTGTGAGAAAAGAAGCACCATGCCAGTTTGAGAAAATGCTAAGGAAAATATTTTTTACAAGGCAGAAACAGAAATGAAAACTTGACCATTGCAATGTAAAAATTTGTAATTTGATGTTAATAAGACTTAATTGCTCTCCAATTAAATATCCTCATCCAGGCCCAGGGCTAGGCTAGAGCATAATTATACAACAACTACATTTGATCCCTTGGAAGGTCTGTTTTTAGGTATTCTCCTTGTTTGTTCCTCCTCATTGTTTGCTTCTTCTCCCTTGATGTCTTAAAGGTCCTGTTCCAGGTGGTCCTAGAGGATGAGTCTTGTACTTGCAACCTTTTCTGCTTTCTAGTTGGATCTCATTGAGCCTGACTTGCTACTAAAAAATTAACCTGGATTAATGGACATGGGCATCACTACATTATATGACTTTTTAATTTTTGAAAAAATATAGTATCTATTTAAAAATCACTATTCTATAGTAAAATCATGCTAGGTGTACATATGGATGAGCTTGAGACTTCCAAAATTCCATTGAGAAGGATATTTATGGGAGCGGAATGGAGGCCTACAGAGGTGAAGGGATTTTCCCAAGGCCCTTCATTCAGAAATGAAGCAGGAGATGGTGGCAGCAAAACCTGTGCTTTCCCCACTCTCTTCCATTTCCTCCCCATGATATTTAATCATGGCTATTGGATATATTGGTAAAATTATAGGCTTCTCAGCCTTCAGGCAGACCAATGTGTAAGAGTGAGAAAGAGAAAGGATGCCTAGCAGGTCCGTCTCTCTTCAAGTGAGTTAGCTCAGGGATTTTCTATCCTCCTTGTTCATTCTTTCACTGGCTGCAATGACTAAATAGCATAAAAATAATAATAATACCCTATCACGCTCTCTTATAATTTTAGAATACTTCATTATATTGTTTCAGCTCTCTCCAGAATGGGACCTTGGTCCCAGTATTGTTTGTTTCTCTTAGTCACTCTTTGAAAGTTTGGAGTAGCAACAGCACATTCAGAACACCTTGAATTTATAGAACTTGGCACAGTGGAAATTAGGGTAATTTTATATTAATTATTATTATTTTATCCCACTGCTAGGGAATTTGAGGAAACATTTCACACATGTGAATAGTTGATGTTTGTTTGTTTTAATGGCAGTGGCTCTTCAGGAAGAAATCGATTAAGAAAATGTCATGACCTACTACAAGTTATTGCTATTGAGGTCAGAATGTTCATGAGGATCTGTCAAACAGTATTTTGCAGTTTTTAATGATGTTCTCAGGTAAATTGATGACTAAAGGATAGTGATAGTTTCTGGTTTGAGAACAGGACCTCCTAAGTGACCTCCTAAGCACACAGATTTCAGCATTTTAAAGATCAACTACTAGTTCAGATCACCAAGAGCAACACCCTGGAACACCTTCAGTCTACAAGCATCAGCAATGGGTACCGTAGTACCTTTTCACTGATTAGAACAAGGGCAGCAGAAAGTGCCCACAGGGAAAGTGTGCAGAAGTCCCAAATCATTACCGTGTGGTGAGCAGGAATCCGGCACCTGTGTGCAAGCCCAAGGCAGGCTTCAGAAACATTTGCCTAGATACAAGCTGCTGGGAGAAAAATACAATAACATTTAAGCATTTATTGGCTATAACATCCTGCTGGAGGCAAGCTGACCTTTTTTTATCTACTTTTGCACAAATGGAAAAAAAAAGATCTAAAAATATGGACAGCGGATGTTCAGTGGCAATGCTAGAAACCTGGTGTCTCATGTAAGAATTTCAGAATGGTATAGATGTCTTATTCTCAGAATATGAAAAATGTCAACATTGTTTACAACTTATCTAAGGAGGAGTCTCTCCCTTGCTCGGATATTTTGTTTCCAATAACTTTTTACATTTTCCCATATAGAAGGGTTGCTGGTATCATTAACCCTTAAGAAGTTAAATAGCCAAATCTTAATAAAGTGTCTTTGTAATATCAGCAATGTTACTTGAAATGCAGTGGTTTTTGTTTTTATTTTTTTAAGTCTTGAAGTTCCTGATATTATCCTGCAAATATAGCTCTTATACATTATCTTAATATTCCTAATACTAAAAAGTTATCCCATCCGGGCTAGATGGTTTTCCTGACACTCTTGACCACCAAGTCAAAAAGTCTTACCAGCATTGCTTGGGTAATAATCAGTATATATTTATAATAATAGATAAGTTAAAATACCTTAAGAAAAAGCCAATATCTAGGATGAATGCACGTCTTACATAGGTATACAATTTCATTTGTGATTAACATCATTCATTAATAAAACCACTTCACACAATCTTTGGGTCATAGTAGGACTTAATTATGGTATATGTAAGCTGAAGTGTATACAATTGATAATAACACAGAGTTTTTTTTAAAGGAAAAGCAGATACTACATAATAGTTTTAGCAAGTAGGTCAATTGCCCTGGCAGCCTCAATACAGCAGGGAAGACCTAGATATTAAAGGATGAAGACTGAATATACCCAATAAACTAATATGAAGTATATGTGCATATTTAGCTGAACTGACATGTATATGTGCCAGGTATTACATTTAGAGTGGAAAAATCATAGATAAAAATATAGCCCTATTTCCAAAGGTTTTGATGGGTACTTAGGCACAAGTGTAGAATTTACATTTCACATTTAGTTATATTGCATATTGCATATACACTGTATATAATTTTATATATACAGTTGTTCCTTGAACAACACGGGTTTTAACTGTACAGGTCCACTTATAAGTAGATTTTCTTCCTCCTCTGCCACCCCTGAGACAACAAGACTAACCTCGCCTCTTCCTTCTCCTCTTCAGCCCTACTCTATGTGAAAACAATGAGGATGAAGACCTTTATAATGATCCACTTCCACGTAGTGAGTAGTAAATATATTTTCACTTCCTTATGATTTCTTAATAACATTTTCCTTTCTCTAGCCTAGTTGATTGTAAGCATACAGTATATAATGCATATAATAAACAAAACATGTGTTAATAGACTGTTTCTATAATCAGTATGGCTGATTAGTAGTTTAAGTTTTGGAAAAGTCAAAATTGTATATGGATTTTTGATTGTGTAGGGGGTTGGCACCCCTAAACCCCTTGTTTTTCAAGGATTAACTGTAAGTGTAAAATTGTATGTGATGTCTACATCTATTGATCACCCAGAAACATCAGAGAATGGGAAGGGAAAAGGCGATTGACGATCTGCTAGGCAAATATCTGTTATGAGAAGTATTGTGATATTACTTAGCACATTTACGTACTATAATTCTGATGATAATCCTCATTCTACGAGGATACTGAAGTTGAGAAGAACAAAGCAATTTCTTTAAGGTTATGCCGCTAGTTAATAGAAGTTGTGTTGATATCTTTTGTATTGAACAAAGTATTTCTGGCTTCAAAGCCATTATCCCCAAATTTTACCTCATCCTCCCTTTCCTTCTATCCCTATTGCACCATGCTGTCTCAAATGATTCACACATTTTGAATTTATTTGTTTTGTTTTCCCTTGATAATGCATTTCAAATATCTTTTTGTTTGTTTGTTTGTTTGTTTTAGGTTTTTTTTTATTATTATACTTTAAGTTTTAGGGTTCATGTGCACATTGTGCAGATTAGTTACATATGTATACATGTGCCATGCTGGTGCGCTGCACCCACTAACTCGTCATCTAGCATTAGGTATATCTCCCGATGCTATCCCTCCCCGCTCCCCCAACCCCACAACAGTCCCCAGAGTGTGATATTCCCCTTCCTGTGTCCATGTGATCTCATTGTTCAATCCCACCTATCTTTATTGGCCCACAACACTTGATTTTGCTGAATGTGTGGGGACAAAAGAAGATGAGAGATAGCCCATCAGTGTCTGACTGTGCAAGGCTGAACTGCTGCTAAAAAATGGATAATTCATAAAAGAAATCGAAATTATTTTCTATTTAAATTATAAAATGTAGAAGCTGCAAAGGACCTGAGAAGTTTCCTCTTTCATTTTACAAATGAAGAAACTGAGCCTCACAGTGGCACAGCTAGTTATACTCCATTAACCAATCACATATCAATGCGGCAGCAGATAATTTTATTTGAGCATTTTTCAATGATTTGCAGGAAAATATCTATCATTTGCCATTTGGCTTTTTGGCACCACTTTTAAAACCATGTTTGCTAAAATAAATACATGCCTTCAGAACAAATGAATTACGGGTATGTTCTTCTTGACTGGGATTATGAGTTTCCTAAGTGTTAGATGGAATCAAACTATAAGAAAAAAAACTAGAGGAGACTAATCTTTACAGATTAATTTGGTTCTTCCACCCCAGTTTATGAGGCAGTAATCTTGCCATGCTTATTGATTATCAGACAAGACTACTAATCCCCTTAAGGTCATTAAGTGTACTTAATTAAAGAGCAGTTAGCAAACTTCTCTTTACTAAAGTAATGTGGCTGTTAAAAGTGATTTGTACTTTACCAATACGGTAGCTATTAATCTGAAGGACAATTTGCCATTTATATTTTCCCAAACAAATATATTTGGTAGGTCAAGCGAGCACTGATATTTATTACGAACCCTCTTGATGCACTGTATCTGTAATTGTCAGTTAAGAAAGAAAGGCTCTAATCACCCCGTCTGTTTAACAGAACAGTCATTTCTGTTTTTCTGAGTGCTGCAACCAATTATTGTTTGCTTAACAGTCTGATGCCCTCCTCTTTTGCCAATATAGGGAAAAATGTATGCCAATATAAGGAACAGTGTTGATTTGAAAAATAATGCTATTTCTTTATAACCTGATGTATTTAAAAGAGAATTTGAACAAGAATAAAGGAAACAGCTAAATTCACATTATGGAGTGTTTCCTGAGAATAAGTAAAACATAAAAACTGGGTTGACAGAATTCAGAGTTGGAAATCATAGGCTGCGGTATTTATGGTAAATAACTTCCTGGTGTAGTTGTAGGAATAGTTAGATGATTGAATTGTTAACTGGCCTCCCACAGCATTCTCCATTTCAACTTATACCCTTTTAATACCTTCACACATAATTGTTTCAAGACTATACGGGCAATAAGGTAAATGCTCAATGGCATTGTACCTGTTAACAAACATTCATGTGGATGATTATGTACTAAGGAGCTCCTAACGAAGAGTAATCACATAAAACAGTCCCGGCTTTCATAAACGCCACAGGCTACTCCAACACCGTTCAATTTGAGTTATTTCAGGAAAAAGTGGAGAAGTTTCCCACACTCAGAAAAGTGATGGCGAAACTGGGTGTTAGTAATGAATTACCTTTTAGACTATTTTAATTCCCTCGCTCTTTCTTCGAGGCTTCATTTCTATTTCCCAGTTGGAAAATGAATTCGTAAAGATGACCATCTTATTTGGGAACACATAAGAAAACATTCAGTTCCCTGGAGAAAAGAAAACGCAACAAAGCAACAAGATTTTATTAACAGAGGTTATTTTCAGTCTGTTTCTCCAAATTACAGTTCGAAAGGTTAGACCATGATAAATGGGGAGAGAAAAAAACTGTGTGTTTTGTGAGGTAAGCAGCAGGGGAAAATATATCTAAACATCATGTCATTGAATGATGAGAAGAGAGATTATTGACCCATTTTAACTCCAGATCCCTTTGCAACTGTGACATGCTTCTCCCAGTGGTATCCTCCCTCAGAACTGGGCTAAAATTGTAAAACCTAACAATATAATGGCTGCTGGGGTTGGCACAAACTCCAACCAACTAACATCAATCAGATCTCTCTTTTTACTGTAAGGTATCAGTGTTATGGCAATGAGACTGTCTAGTGATTCTAATTTTGCAATTTGGATGGAGATAAATGTTTTACAATACTTGGTTCTTTGGGACTACCTCTGTTTCTCTTTTGCATTTTTAAGCACAATTGATTTAGCATGCAAATTTAAGATTCAATATTATGGTGCCAGAGAGCAATTTGACAAACTATGACCCAGATTAGGGGGTTCTCAGATGGCCACTGGTGATGGCTTGAACCTTTGGTTTGGAGGAAGTTGGTAAGGCCTATGAACTAGAGGCGTGGTGTGAGAAGTATAACAGCAGGTAGTATTTATTGAGCTTGCTGGCTTCACCAGGAACATGATTACGTCTCTTATCATACAACCAGCTGTGAGAGGGAGTCCATTTTACAAGTTTGGGGGCTGATGCCTAGGAAGATCACACCTAGTAAATTGACTGGAGAGTGAAATGCTTCTCCATTATTTGACCACTTCAAGAAGGGAGAAGGACAGATGAATGAGCACTTAGAAGGGGTAGAAGGAATCATCCCCCAAATACCTACCATCAGCACTCAAATATTGAAGGAATCAAGATGATCATTATTAGTGATCATGACTCTTACTGTTAAGGCGAATGGTGGAAAAGAGGGGTGGTAGCTCCAGGTATGTGTGTTACAGAAGGCTGAATAAGCTCTTTCTAGTCCAGTGGAAGAGTTGACTTCTAAGGTAAAATTAACCAAATTCCAGTGAAAAGCATTTGGCCATGTTTTATAGTATGAGAATGGTGTAATTATACGTTAAAAGCATACTATATTATTCACCACTTTTATAAGTCTGGGGATTGATGTAACTAAGGTTGCTGAAACCAAGACTTAACTAAATTAACCAAATTCTTAACTTTCACCTTGTGAATTGTTTTCCTAGCTGTTTTTTTTTTTTCTGTATATTTCTTTAACTTTCTTTATACACGTTCATGTTTGCCAATGTCATACTCATATCCAGGACATCTCTTTAATATTCCTTCAGTGACTATTAAATTTGATTTAAAAACACATTAATTTAGATATTTTCAAGCTGCTTACCAGTTAGCAGTATTTTTAATGTCCTATTTATCTAATACAGTTGCTTGTGCTGTTTTTATAATCAGATAAGGGTCATTAAACCATTTTTGAGATTAAATAGCACAAAACCATTTTTTCTGTTTATGTGCCCCATTAATATTAGAGCTTATGCTTACTATGGCTTAATGTTTCAATTTTTAAATATCATTTATGTTAATATGAAAAGGCTCTATTATCTAATTGTAAGGATTACTTCCATTACTTTCCAGCATAATCTCTACAAATATTGGCCTCCGTATTGCTTTGAAGCTGACAGATTTATAACCTTGGGCATTTCTTAGGACAATATTTGAAATGCTGTTATTTACTCTTACTTGATCAGTTTATTATGTTTGGTGTTTTGTTTTTTCAAGTGTAACAAGTACCTAAATGCTTAGCTTCTTGTTTTGGTCCAGCTGTTACCTGAAACATTCGTAATAAGAAGGCTCAGTGAACCTTCCTATTAAGTCTTCTGAAACAAGACAGAGAAAAAGCTACAGGCAGAAAGAAAGACCAACAGAGAGCAAGTGGGTAACCAAACAAGTTAAGGCAAGCACGTCTTAAGCAGCCAAGCTTTTGATACATAATCACTCAAACTACACTTTTTCAAAACAGGGAAAAATGTCAATTGACATACAACGTCTCAAATTATGCACATCATAGTAACCAAAAGTCCCTTCCATGACCATAGGTTATAAATTCTCTGGAAAGTTTCTATTTCAAATATTGTCTTCCATTATTGATGTAAATACATCCAGGTGTCCTGTTACTTCCAATTATTACAAGAAACATAAAGTCATTGTAAATTTTATCCAACATCACTTACAATGAATGGAGAGACCTTTTCATGCCAAGACTACCAAAGTGTCTCTTTGTTCAGCCTTTCAATCCACAGAAGTGGGGTTGCTGTGTGCACAGTACACTCTCCCCTAGGTGTAGCCTCCTTAGGTGGCCCTGCTGACTTGGATGTATCAGTCCTACAGGCTAGTTTCTTTCATCGGTGACCCAGGGCACCCAACACTTCTTCCTGTGCACCCAGCCAATGTCATCAGTGAATCAGACTCTTTTTTTTTTTTTTTTTGAAATGGAGTCTCGCTCTGTCGCTCAGGCTAGAGTGCAGTGGCGCGATCTCGGCTCACTGCAAGCTCCGCCTCCCGGGTTCATGCCATTCTCCTGCCTCAGCCTCCGGAGTAGCTGGGACTACAGGCGCCCGCCACCATGCTTGGCTAATTTTTGTGTACTTTTAGTAGAGACGGGGTTTCCCCGTGTTAGCCAGGATGGTCTCTATCTCCTGACCTCATGATCCGCCAGCCTCGGCCTCCCAAAGTGCTGGGATTACAGGCATGAGCCACCGCGCCCAGCCCAGACTCTTTATATATTAGCTGCCTCTGGATAGAGTGGTTTAGTTATAGCTTCCTAAAAGGAGAATAATCCATGTCAAGTATAGTTGAGAATGCAAACATTGTGGCAAGAGCACTTGATTTGGATCCAAGCGCCCTGGGTTCAAATTTCCACTCTCTAATTTACGAGAGAGATCACTTAATCTCTCCAAACTTTAGTATTCTTTCTTAACAATGGTGATCAATATCACCTACTTCCCAGAGCTGTTATGAAGATTAAAATAAGTTAGTATACATAGATACGGTTTTTAAAATTTTAGATACCATGTTAAGTTTGGGTAGCACCAAACTTGCTGATCATAATAACATATGTGTATGTAAACACCTTAGTAGAATCTATTACGTGCCAGACTCTGTTTCAAGTGCTTTGTTATATTATATCTCATCTAATCCTCCTTACATCCCTCAGTAGTTGGTGCAGTGCATATACCCATTGCATAAGAGGGTAAACTGAGAGGTTAAGCAACTTGCTGCTCAGTCACATAGCTAGTAAATGAATGAGCTGAAATTTGACTCCAGGGTCCATGTTCATAACCAGTATACTATTCTGCCTCTTAAACAACATAATAATGATCATGATAATAGCAATTACACTCATACCATATATATACATCTTCTGATGAGTCAGTATGTTTGACATTTTCTCTAACTATCCCGTACTCTTTAATCATTGGCCCAGCTCCTGAGCAAATATTTTTTGGTAAAGTAAGGGAATGACTCAGTGTGTAGAAATTTAAAATACATGTCCTAATACAGTGGTTCAACAATCTCATCTTCCCTCTGGGTGACCGTATTATTAGGAACAGCGAAATTTAAATAGTAATAGAATATTTTCATTTGATATAAAATATTAATGATGGTTTTAAACTATATTTTCAAGGAAATTACTGGTCACATCTGTGTCCACAATATATTCTGCCACCTCTTTTATTTTAGCTGTCTTCAATTTAGAGAAAATGCATTAAACTTGTATTTATCTCTTCTCAGGTATTCATGACACTTTAAAGATTGCTTAGTTACACTTATGCTTGTCATCCTCAGCATGTAGTTTGACAAATGTAGTTACAAAAGATGTGACTGCTGTCTGGTCATACTGTAAAACTTTTTATCTAACACCATATTGAGCTCCCATTCCTCCCAATGGCAGAAGGTGTTTTAGTCAGTTCTGGGTTTTCTCAGTCATTTTAGACTTTAACTTGGTTAATTAAAAAATTTTCCCTCTTTATTCTACTCCCATAAGTAGTGTTTAATGCCTGGGGCTCATGCCATCATGGAGAAGCCTAGTCATGATGCCATCTGCTGAGGTAGCCACGGTTCTGCATCATCTCTGGTCTTCTAGCTTCCTTGTCTTGAACTCAAGGCCCTTTCTTTTGACATTGGCCAACCATCAGCATTTACATAATTCTTTTGGGGGCATAGGAAAGTTGGGGATAGCGTCTTGTGCTTTCTGGGATTTGGGAGATTTGCAGGGGTGAACGTGGGTGAGTTGGGGGTGGACAGTGTCTCCTGTTTTCTCTACCCAAACCTGCCCCTATTTAATACCCTTGACTTCTGCTGCTGTTACCTTTCAGCATAGGATCTCATTTACTTGATTGGGTTCCTATTGACCTTAAAGCCTTCCTATTCACAGGTAATCAAACTTACTGGGGATTCATTCAGCCCTTTCAACTCTGCTCCTCTCCCCTCCCTGAAGGAGGATCTTATTTTTTCTAGTTTGGGGTTTAGAGATGGGCAGAGTACAATATAAAATTGGTTCTGTATGCTTCCACATGCTTACGAATCTTTCCTTGTAGGACTAAGCACTTTGATGTGACAGTCAAGGTGACGATGGTTTTGCCCAGTGATCCCAGTGTAACTAGGTACCTAGCTCTAGGTGCTGCTGAAATGGGAGAGGGTGGAAGTAAACAGAGAAATGGACTGTGCGGGGGTGGGGGGATGTCCTGTCAGTATCCTCTAACCACATCTATTTAATTGCATTTCTTTTCTTTCCCTTCCTTTCCTTTTAAAGACAAATGATGGAGAAATGTGGTGCAGTTTGTGTTGTTTGAAGAAATGTTTGGAGTTCTGCTTTTCTGTCTGATAAAAGTCCTGTTTCAGCTATCTTGTCTGGCTGCTCATGGCAGTGAATTCAATCTCTGTCTCTCTCTCTACTTGGGCTATATTATTTCCTTCCATTTAAATTTTTATTTAATTATGTACATTTATTTTTGTTAGCAACCTAAAGTTGAATTCCATAATTTACTGAATTTTTAGCATTTTAATAAATAAGAATTTGTAAATTAAGGCTCAAATATCCAAACAACATACGCATTGCTTCTTTTTGGCTTATTTATTTTTCAAATTTTTATTGAAGTGCCCATATAATTCCTTATGCCATCATTATGCTGGGTAGTTGAGATATGGCAGTGAAAAAGTAGATTACAGTCTTCACTTTTACGGAGTTTGTAGCCTATCTTGGAAGATGATTACTAGATACTAGCCATAAAAGGTGGTGAGTTCTATAAAGGTGGAAAAAAAAGGTTGTCTATGTTATAGCCATAATTTTCCAAATATGCCATGTGATGTGGTGTAAAAATAGAAGAAGAGTTATCTTGTGTACTTGAGATCAAACTAAGTTAAATTATTCCGTCACCATTCTTTGTGAGTCAGAAGTAGGAATGGAGTTGGAATGTTAAGTAATGTCAACATTACTTAAAAAGATTACAACTGACTACGTTTACATTTGATGCTTCCCAGGGTATTAAAGAGATAATCACTGACTAGGAGACACTTATAATGAAAATACCATCTTTTATTATATAAGGAGGTACAAAATATATTTAAATAAATACATTTTATTTCATCATTAAACGTTCCAGGTGTATAGCATGCTACTGATGAGTTTGACAAAACTACTCTAGAGTGACATGCAGCATATTCTTCTGCAAAAATGGTCCTGACTACATTGGAATTCAATGTTAAAAATAAGCCAGCATGGAAATATGACTCATTTGCAATCAACTGAAAGTTTTTGTTAGGAAACCTGTCCCAATGGGGCAAACAGAAATATTTAGGACACATAGTTGTATGGTACTTCTTGGTGGCATTTGTGCCAATATTTTTAAAATAATCACCAGAAATTTGATTGATTGGCCTTGGACTAGGCAACCAGAAACAAAATCCATTCCTTGGGAGTCCTCGTCACAAATTGTATTTGTTTCTATAACACTTGTTTCTTTTTACCTCCAGGACTTAAAAAAAAAGATTTCCTTTCACCAGAATTGTGCCTGTAATGTGCAGCCGTATCTCTATGAACAGTGCCTGCCCTATGTCTATCCAGATGAATATGCAATTTGCATGTTGCTGATTAAAATGAAAGTCTGCACATGTATATGAATGTCTGGTCACATTTTAAAAGGAAATCTCAAATGCTAACAGAATACCTTCCCCCTTTCTGTACAATCCAACAGCTGGAGTTCTTGTATACACACTAAGCCTTATGCCATATCTTTTAAACAAAGAATGAACCTGTATATGAAAAGCAGCCAGGAAGACTTTGGCTCCATGGCTCTGCATGAAACAAATGCCCCCTGAGAGCCTCTTCCTGCTCCTCTACTCTTGTGCTTCAGAATCCCTGGCTGTTGGTATTTGAGTGATGTGGCAATAGATGCTCTTGGGATTTCTACAGGCAGTGAGAAGCCCAGTTTTAGATTATAATAGACCAGGTACTGGTGAAGAACACAGAATGTTATCAGTCAGGGTTTATATTGGTGTCTTGGGAAGGGATTTGGGGAATGGGGGTGGAGAGCAAAGGAGAAACTGGGTAGGAGAAGATGCTATACCCTGTTAGTCTCCTGAGTTACACTAGGAGACCACGAAGACATTTATTCTAAACTATATGAAAAGTAGCCATTGGTAAGAATTCATGTTCTTTTAAGAAGTGGCAGGTTGAGAATAAGACAGCCACTGCTGATATGGTCAAAAGGGGTCATTTTGTATACTTACATTTTAAAGTGTAATTAGATAAGTGCTCACAAAACTTTTAACTGCTTGGAGTAAATTATGTGAAAGCTCACTATTTTCCTAGAACACATCAAGGCTGCACATATGAGAAAAATGCCCTGCCTTCTAGTTCTGAAGCCAATATGTCTACCTATGTCAGGTTTCCCATTTAGGTCATTTATTCACTTTCTAACTGGGTAATAATAATAATAGTTGAAATGGTCAAAAGGCAAAGTTTCTTCCTCCCTTATCCAGAAGAGATAAGAGTAGGGTTTATTTTAGATTAATTTGTCTTGCCTCTGCTGTCAGAAGAAGGCAATTCCTTTGACCACACTACTTTTTTATATTTACAAAGTGGACCTAGAAAAAAAATGTTACCTGACATATGTTTAATGCTTGGTGGCCATTGTGTAAAGTGTCAGGAATTATTAAAAAAAGAATAAATAAGTAGAAAACTACAATTCATCATCTAGCACTTAGCTGTTGGCTACATCGTAGAAGTTGAATGAAAGTTTATTAATTGAAGGAAGTCTATTGTAGGAATAAAACCCTATGGGTAGCTATAACAGAGTAGTCTACCCTCTCTGAGAGCCAAGAAATCTTTCTTAGAAGAAGAGACATCTGACTTTGGTATTTATATATGATTAGGAATTCACAATTCAGAGAGAGAAAAAAAGAGCAGGTCATGTTAAAATAGAGAGCCTAGAATGTGTGAACAATACGGAAGCACAACACACAGAGCATATTTAGGAAACTCTGGGAAGTGTGGTGTGAATGGAGCATAGGGTGGACGTGAAGTAGGGAAAGAGGATGGGGTTGAAGCTAGAAGGTGTGATAAGGGCCAGGGCTCAGAGAAGGCATGGACTTGTATTTTACTCCCTATTGCACGTTCAAGACAAAGAGTACCCGGTTTTTAGGAGGGGTTGACTATTTGTTGAGTAAATGAATGGATAAATAAATGAATAAATAGATGGATGAAATGATGACAATGAAGCCACTAATTTATTGTTATAGACAGGGAGAGGTCAATGAAGACTTTTAAGCAGGATAGTGACATAAGATATATAACATTTATGGAAGAGTTTCTGGGCTGGTTGATGGAGAGACTGGGGTTAGGAAGGTCCTTGAATTAGCTATGTATTGTCTGCTGATGAATTTCTAAGGAGAATTTTGTTTAACGTAAATATAGTACTGAGAGAGCTGCATATAAAGCAGAATCAATAAATACTGTTGACTCATTAGATGTAGTGGGTGGACAGTTGAGAATGCCTGGCTGAGCAATTGATTCAGACAAGTGGCTTGTAAGGAACCTGAGCAGGTTTTAGGTAGAGATGTTCTATAGGTTTTCAGACACGCAGGTCTAGATGTCACAAGAAAAATGAGAATTCAAGATAGAGCCCCAGGCACCCTTACACTATAGATGATATCTGAGAAAAAATGTGAGGGTGGAATTTTGAGGATCATCAAACAGAAGGGTCTAAAAAGGAGCTAAAAAATGCACTGAAAGGGAGATTACAAAACAACAACCAGGTAAGAGGACCAGGAAGAAGTAGGACCGGCTATTTCTTGTTTGTTCATTAGGACATTCTGAGAAATGTCATCTACTGGAGTTACTGAATGTAAACTCTTTTTTCGGTCAGTTTCCAATTTTCATTTATTATAATGCTCTAGCACTTTTCTTTGGTTGCTCATTTAATGGGATTGTGCCATACAACTCGGCTTAATGAATATTTAGGATACAATGGTGCTTTGTGATAATTTTCAGAAGACTGCTTCATTTTCTTTATCTGTACTTTATCTGTAATACCAGGTGAAAACTTTGCCCCACATCCTCACTTTCAAAGTAATAGTAATGACACAGGTATTCTGTTAAAATCAGGCCCAAACCTGGGGAAAAAAAAAGTAAACATACTTAAGTTAGGACACAGATTATTTTCCAAAGAAAAGGAGGAAGGAGGAGTAGAATTCAGGGGTTGGGCAGGGGGGCAAACCACATCAATCCTTAGAGATTAGAAAATTTCAAGTTTCCTTTCTTTTTTGAAAACTATTTCCCTTTTGGGATTTAACAGCTACTCAGAGTAACCAGGTGAGTCAAACAGTCTCAAGTGGGCATTTGTCCAGATCCCCAAATTGGAAACCATTTAGCACAAATTGTCAGTCTATGCTGAGAATAGCAGGGGCTGCTTTTTTGCAGTTCTCTAGCTCATTTGACAGATCTTTGAGGGGAAATCCAAGCACTTACTGGCACTAAGTCATTAGTCAGTGTTTCAGTCAGCACTGGCTCACTATGTCTTTCAGGCCCTAGAAAGCAATTGCTGCCCCTTCTAGAAAATCAGGGATAGTGTGGCAAAAGGGAAATTAATTAATTTAGCAAATAATAACAAATACTCATAAGGTAAATGAGATCATGGAAACAAATTAAGAAATGTATTGCACTTTTATTTCCGTTACCATACAAATTGGTTTTTATAAATTAGGACATTAATGTATATATAAATCTGGTTGCTGCTTACACTATTAATTCATTATCCCTTCCCGAGACAAATGACAGGGATTTAGATTCTATTAAAAGTGTTAGTTGAATTTTGAGTTCATTTATGAAATGAGAACTAAATGTCCAGTTTCCTTTGGTATAACTATCATCTATTTTCATTCATTATTTACTTTCTGAGGTTAATTAAAAAGATAGTTTTACTGTTATCTTTCAAGGCAAAGTATTTTTTACCTATCTATAAACTTAGAGTTAATATACCAAAATACACAGGGAGAGAGCTTTGTATGGTAGAGTGTTGTGTTATATTAAAGGTTTCCTTTATTGTAGAACCTTGAGAAAGTTTGGCTGACTTAACCCCAACTTAGCCTTAATGTGAACACTACAGACATTCATAGTTTTAGATAAAGTTCCTCCCATTTTTCTCCTCTTTTTCTAAAAATTGAAGTTCCTTACTGATAAAGACAAAAGAGTACATAATACAGTGAAAAATATATTCTTCCATTGAACAACCACTGATTGCCTTCTATGTTTTAGAAACTGTGATAGGAACTATGAATACAACAGTGAATAAGATGTTTCTTGAAGAGTCATGTGACATAATTAGATATGTATAATTATTGATTTATACCAGCTAGAATTTTTAAATTATTAATTAACTTACATACTTGTACTCAGTTTACTCCACAGAATATTTGAAGTGAAACATATGCACACACACACACACACACACACACCCCTTTACAAGAGTAAAAGTAAATAACCAAGACAGCTGAATATATGGGCAGTAAAATAATAAATAAAAACCAGGGGTAAAGTTGCACTCAGAAATGTATATCATCTGGGCCCATGCAGTTGCAGTTACCAAGACAGTCAGAAAAATTGGTCTGTAAGCTTCCCAGAGACCAAGGCAAAGAGGAAAACAGAGTAAACAGTCATTTACAAGATTAAATGCCCACTATTTCAATGATATCATCTGTAGTCACCATTTATATTGGGCACTTATTTTTTTTGTTGATTCTCCCAATAACTCTGATGGAAGAAAAGTTCAGTAATTTGCTCAAGGATCCACATCCAGTAAATGGTAGAACTAAGATCAGAACTCAGGGCTGTTGGACTTCAAAGCCTGACCTCTAACTAACCTATACAGTCCTCTCCTCTAAAGTTCATTGTCTCACAGAGTGCATGGGAGAAGCCTTGCATGGACTCACTGTAAGGTGATATCCTAAAGGAATTTTGGAAATGCTGTGGACACATAGAGAAGGAAATCCTCCTGCTTGTATATGTGAGAAGAGACAGTGAATTTATACAAACATTGGCATATGTGTACATACTTTTAAAAGAAATAATTTGTATGTTTTTAGAAAACAGTTTTTACAATCACTCAGATTCCTTCCTGGTTGTTTTATTTTAGACATGTGAGCACACCACTATACATATCATCCTGTTCTGCTCCCTAAATTTGTCAATGATTCCAGAAGATAGAATGCTAATTATTGAGATTGGCTCACAAATCTCATATTAAAACATAATCTACAATGTTCAGAAGATAGACACAGGCCAAAATTTGGTGGTGACCTGTCATATCTCTTTAATCAATAGGCCAAGCACAAATGTGTTATTTCAGAGCTGGTTTGAACATTGGTAATGAGTAAAATGGTATTTTTTTATGAGTTGTATAAATGCTTTGTGATGTTACTGAAATATCTTAATTGCATTTATGAATGTATTTAATGAGTTCCATTTAAAATGCGATGTTATGTACCTCATGGGACTAAATGACTCATTCTATCCAGACACAGTGCAAACCCAAAGGAACATTGTTTTTTTGCCTGCGGTGCAGGGTGAACCAGAAAGCTCTAATCCAACTGTTAGTCACTCTGCTCTGCCTGTGTGAGCTGTGTGCTGTGCCCACAGGAGATCTGAGCTGGGGACTCTCTGTCCAGGAGCCTCTGGTCTGGTATCCAGGCTTAATTGAATAACAGCAGGGGCTTCAGCTGGAAGAGACGAGATGGCCAGTCAAGATGGCTACAAGGTCAAGAAACAGCCTCAGAGGAAGCAATGTTTATGTCACAGAGTTGGTAGAAGATCAATTTCAGACAGTTAGTGAGTTGCTGAGAAGAGATTTGCTTTATTACAGAATGAGAAAGAGTGAAGGCAAGTGTAACACCTACTTTGCTAGAACCCTGATAATCAGTGTAGTCCAGAGCCAAAACTCTGATTTTTCTTTCAAATCTTTTTTATTCCCATTCCTCCTCCATGACTTTATAGTTCATTTATGATGCATATGCTTAGTAATAATAGCTAATTTAATAAGCACCTACTATGTGCCAGCCACTGCACTAAACACTTTTACGTGCATTATCTCCTATAGTTTTCCCAGCAATTCTATGCAGTACCTATTGCTATTACTATTATTCCAGTTTTATACATGAAGAAACAAAGGCTTGGCAACTTCGCTCAGGGTTATGTAGCTATTAACTGCAAGAGGTAGAATTTGAATCCAACATTTAGCCACTAAGTTGTCTTTTCATTTATATACTTATATTTATTTATTGTTTTGAGCCAGGTTTTTGAGTTATAATTAACATATAGTAAAATTTACTGGACAGTTCAATGAATTTCGAACGGACAGTTCAATGAATTTTGCCAAACGTACACAATCATGTAATCATATCTCAATGAGGATGTAGATGAAAATATTTCTACAACCCCAAAAGTCTCCCTCATGCCCCTTTGCATTGTAGGAATATTTTGTACAGTCCCCTCCTCTCTCACACAGCCCCTGGTAATCAAATTTATTTCCGTGTTTATGGTTTTGCCTTTTCCATATTCTTTTCCATAATAAAATAATACAGTTTTGGTTCTTTGTTTCTGGATTTTTTTCACTTAGTGTTTGTTTTTTGGATTCGTCCATGTTGCATGTATTAGTAGTTTCCACCTTTCCGTTGCTGAGTCATTTTCGATTCTGTGGAGGTGCCACAATATATTTATCCATTCACCATTTGATGGACATTTCCAGTTCTAGGTTACTATGACTAAAGCTGCTATTAACATTTGAGTATAGGTCTTTGTGTGACATGTCTTTATGTTTTTTGAGTAAATACCTAGTAGCGGGATTAAGTTGTGTGGTGTGTGCTTAACTTTATTAGAAGCTGCCAAATTGTTTTTCCAAAATGGCTGTACTATTTTGTGTGCATTTTAGTTACTCCATATCATCAGCACTTCCTATTATCTATCTTTTCACATTTAGCCACTCTTATATGTGTATAGCGTTATCTTGTTGTGGTTTTATTTTGTATTTTCTTCTTTCTTTTTTTTTTTGAGACGAAGTCTCGCTCTGTCGCCCAGGCTGGAGTGCAGTGGCGCGATCTCGGCTCACTGCAGGCTCCGCCTCCCGGGTTCACGCCATTCTCCTGCCTCAGCCTCCTGAGTAGCTGGGACTACAGGCGCCCGCCACCACCCCCGGCTAATTATTTGTATTTTTAGTAGAGACAGGGTTTTACCGTGTTAGCCAGGATGGTTTCAATCTCCTGACTTTGTGATCTGCCCGCCTCGGCCTCCCAAAGTGCTGGGATTACAGGCGTGAGCCACCGCGCCAGGCCCCTATTTTGTATTTTCTTAATGGCTAATGTTGTAACATCTTTTCGTGTTTGTATTTGCCTTCTGCATATTTCCTCTGTTGAAATGTTCGTTGAGCTCTTTTGTCCATTTAAAAACTTGGATTCTTTGTCTTATTATTGAGTGAAACCACTTTTATACATTATGGATATAAATCCTTCTGTTCATTCTGTTATTTATTCATTCATTCTACCTATCAAATAATCAATAATCATTTGTTGACTATTTCTTATCAGACACTTTAGTGGGTTGATTAGTGTGTCCCCCAGAATTCATGTCCATCTGCAACCTCAAAATGTGACCTTAGTTGAAAATAGGTTCTTTGCAGATATAATTCATTTGGGAAGTTCAAGATGACATCATCCTGGATGGATGGTGGGCCCTAAATCCAAAGACTGGTGTCCTTATTAGAAGAGAAGAGGACACAGTGAAACATACAGAAGGTGGCTATGTGAAGACAAAGGCAGAGATTGAAGTTAGACGGACAAAGGACAAAAGCACCAGGAACCACTGGACACTGGAAAAGGCGTAGAAGGATTTCCCCCAGAATCCTTGGAGGAAGTATGGCCCCACTGACACCTTGACTGCAGACTTCTTGCTTCCAGAACTGTGAGACATAAACTTCTGTTGCTCCAAGTTAATGGTAATTTGTCCCAACACCCCTAGGAAATGAATACAGTCACTATTCCTGGAAAATGGGGCTACTACAATGAATAAGATGTAGTAATAAGATTCTGTTAAGAAGTTCAAGGAGAGCTGATATGAAGTAAACTGGCAGCTATTTACAGAAAGCATCTGCAATATTTTTACAAAATTAGCAATATTTGAAATTATTTTTAAAAGGATGATTAGGCATCACTTGGTCAGATTTAGGGTGGGAGGAAGGAACAGAGATGCAAGGTGGGCAGAGCAGACATAGCAAAGAGTGAAGCCATGAGAGGTCTTGGTGGGGAGGAAAATTATGTGTCTGTGAGCAGAGCATAGAGGGGACAGGGCAGGAGATATGGTTGAAGAGTTTGGGAGGTAGACATAATCTGAACGGCTTTGTATGTCATGCTAAAGTGTCTGTTTTATTCTATAGGCAATGTAGAACAAGCCAAGATCTTAAAGATGGAAAACAATGTAATCAGATATCAGTATAGGGGAGTGATTAAGAGCACATGTGCCTGGGCCTGAATCCTGGCTCTGCTGCTTATTAACTATGGAAACTTGAGCAGGTTTCTTATCATCTGTCTTTCATCTATACAATGGAGATAATAATGGCACCTATGGCAAAGTGCTGATGTGAGGAGTAAATGAGTTAAACAGGCATAATTCTTAGCAGTGTCTAGCATATACGAGACACTGAACTGAATGTTAGTCATTATTATCTGGCAAGCATTTTATTAATGGAAAGTTCATCCTGGCAGGAATGTGGAGATAATTTGAGGCAGAGAAAATGTGTATGAGATAGTAGCAATTATTTAAGCAAATGTGTGAACAATGTAGGGAGGAAGGAGAGATTTGGGGCTGTTTCTTATGTACAATCTGAGTTATGCTGGTCAATACACTGTGAAGAATTGGAAAAAAGAAAATACATTGGCTCAAAGATTTCTGCCTTGAGACCGAGTAGATAGATATTGATGCCGTTAGCAGTGAGCAGAATCATAATATAAGCAATGGCATTTGGGGAAGGTATGGCGAGGAGTGGGGAATACATTTTATTTCAGAGATGTTAAGATTAATGTGACTGTGACATCCAGGTAGAGAAGCTTAGAAGGCAGGTTAGAAGGCATCTTCAAAGGACGGGAATAGATGTAAATTCCTAATGTTTCTCAAGGAGGGCCCCTAGAATACTTTATGAGCATCATCTGGAGCTCTTGTTAAAAACATAAATTCATGAACCCTATTTGTATTAGTCAGGGTTCTCTAGAGGGATAGAACTAATAGGATAGATGTATGTATGAGAAAGGCAGTTTATTAAGGAGTACTGACTTGCACGATCACAAGGTGAAGTCCCACAATAAGCCATCTGCAAGCTGAGGAGCAGGGAAGCCAGTCCAAGTCCTAAAACCTCAAAAGTAGGGAAGCCAACAGTGCGGCCTTCAGTCTGTAGCCAAAAGCCTGAGAGCTCCTGACAAACCGCTGGTGTAAGTCCAGTAGTCCATAAGCTGAAGAACTGGGAGTCCAATGTTTGAGGGCAGAAAGCATTCAGCACAGGAAAAAGATGGAGGCCCAAAGACACAGCCAGCCTAGTCCTTCCATGTGCTTCTGCCTGCTTTTATCCTAGCTGTGCTAGCAGCTGATTAAATGGTGTCCATTCCAGATTAAACGTGGGTCTGCCTCTCTCAGTCCACTGACTCAAATGTTAATCTCCTTCGGCAACACCCTCACAGACACACCCAGGAACAATATTTTGCATCCTTCAATCCAATCAAGCTGACACTCAATATTAACCATCACACCATTCAAGTCCTACTGAATTTGAATTGCTGGCAGGCAGTCCTTAAGAATTTGCATTTAAGGACTCTTCTAAGTCATGCTTGTGTATATAAGAATCACTGGCTTCTGGAAAACCTGTGGGCCTCCAATCCTTAGTTGTTCATGAAAATCACCTTGAGAACTTTAAAAGAATCACCTTGAGAACTTAAAAAAAAAAAAAAAAAAAAAACTGATGCCAGGGCTCCACCTCCAAGATAATCAGATTTAATTGGTGTGAAATGGGGGCCACAGCTTCAGGCTGTTTAAAAAGTACCCCAGGTAATTCTAATTTGCAGCCAGAAACTAGAAGGAAAAAAAAGGTAATATTTAAGAAGATGAGAGAAATGACCTGGTGATCAGAAGAGATCCGGATGTCAGGTGAGGAAAATAGTTTTAAAAGTGGGAAGAGGTAACATTACTAAATTTGACAGTGCTGATAGCTGCAAGAGACATAGAACTGAAAATAGGTTAGTGGATTTGACCAACAGGAGTTCAATGATGATTTTACGGAGGGTATTTTCAACGGAGTGGAATAGATACAGAAACGAGAGAGAAAGATTTAAGAGCATGGAGAAAACAAACACAGACTATGCTTTCACAAAGCTTGAAAAGAGATGGAACACAGCTTACAGCAAGGACAATATATTCTCTGTGTGTGTACACACATAAGCACGGTTGACCCTTGAACAATACGGGTATGAACCAGCAAGTCCTCTTATACATGGATTTTCTTTCATTTCTGCCACCTCTGAGACAGCAAGACCAATCCCGCCCCTTCCTCAGTCTACTCAATGTGAAGGCAAGAAAGATGAAGACCTTATGATGAGGAGTAAATATATTTCCTCATCTTTATGACTGCTTCTCTTATTGGTAAGCCTTCTTTTCAACATTAGACCACTAGTAGTTAAACTTTGGAGGAGGCAAAACTTACATGAGGATTTTTAACTGCACCGGTGAGTACCCCAACCCCTACTTTGTTCAGGGGTCAATTGTATATGTTTTTAGAATGAAAATATGTAGAACTTTTTTAGGCAAAAAAGAAAGCACCAGAGGAGAACATGTTGAGGATATAATTTTAAATAGTTTATTTCATGGAGCAAACTCTAGAAAAGGAGAAGAAATTCAGTTTTCGATGTGCAGTAAGTCTTCACTCAACATTGTTGAAAGGTTCTTGGAAACTGTGATTTAAGTAAAATGATGCATAACAAAACCAATTTTACCACCAGCTAACTGATATAAATAAGAGTTATGTTCTTACATCATATTTCTGCTCATAAAAACACCACCAAACCTAGAGGAAGACTACACACACTTCTAATATTAAACATTGAAGTAAATATGATCTATATATCCATTTTAAAAAGATTAATAAAAACATATAAGATAATTATTTACTCAAGTTTTGGTGAGTTAATGAATGAATGTGGTCATAGTGGTGAGTTCAGTCAAGGAATAAATGTTTGTAAGGAGCCCCTCTCCCACCACGTAATTTAAAAACATTAACAAGTAGGGCTGCTCGCTGAGTGCTTTCCTACCATTTTTGTTTTTGTGCATTTGTATGATTATCATTTACTTTACAAATTTTTATTTTATAATAATTTGTATTCATTATTTTCATTTTCTGACATGCTTATTCCAGTTCTGAGTCATGGGTGACTGCTGGGTGCCCAAAGCCTCTCCCAAAAGCTCAGGGGCAAGGTGGGAATCAGCCTTGACCAATACACTATTCCATCATAGGGTGCACTCACACACACCCACACTCACTCAGATAGGGACCAGGTAGACATGCCAATGAACCTAACAGGCACAGCTTTGGTTTGTGGGAGGAAAATGGAGTACCAAGAGAAAACTCATGCAGACATTGGGAGAACGTGCAAATTCCACACAGGCAGTGGCCCTGGCCAGAATTGCTTTTCTTTTCCTCCGTCATCAGTGTTATACTGAAATGATGTTGAATGAAATGACATTATTTGAGGATTTGCTGACCAGAGGCAAAAGACTGTTCTCCCCCTGAGAATAGGAGGTAAGGATAAAAGAACGGGTAGTTTGCTGGAATGGGACAATATTTGCTATTTGTGGCCCCACTTTTCCAGTGCTGTATGAGGTTCAATCCTCTGTGAGAGAAGGGACTGGGGGTCATTGGAGAGCTTGAAGAGGCAACGAATTGTTTGCGTGGAGAATGTGAGAGGAAGCTGAATAAGGACCAATATAAACAGTGCTGGACAGTGTTCGAGAGTCCCATTGGGATGTGAAGTCATAGATTTATAGTGGCAGCAATTCACAGAGCCAGGTGATTTTCTCTAGCAACACTTAGCAGTTCATACTCAGGAAATAGGAGGCTGCCTCTGGGTTAGGACTGGCAGGGGTGGGGTGGAAGAAGAGAAGGAGAAGAACTGACAGCATTGTTAGAGCACTGTTAAAGTGATTGATATAATGAGTTTGTGGTGTGGGCAGGAGAGGCTAGCCTGGGATAATAAAGAAGGATGATGCAAAGAGTAATAGTTTTTAGGAGCTCCTGATATAGGTTTAATAAAAGTAGGAGAGTGAGAAAAAGGTGGAAAGAGTGAAGGTTATGAAAAGTAAGTGGGATCCTTAGTTTAAGATTTCAGAAGGGGTAAAGATGTTGGTAACTATAATGGCCTTGGTTTAGTTAAGTCAGTGAATTGCTGATTATAGCAGAATAATGGTAAAATGGGATAGGAGAGAGAGACACTGAGATCAGATGCCCGGGTTCTTCATGAACTTAGGTAGTAATCTGGTGGGTGCTAGATATGAAGGATAAAAATTTGACAAGGTGTGGGGTGTGGCCCAGATTTGAGCAAGTCAGAAGGAGAGATGGTCCTGCGTTGGAATCCTATCACCACCTGGGGAGTGTTGGCCATGTTATTTCTGTGAGACTCAACTTTTTCATTTATAAAACCAGATATTACAGTAGTTACTTCCTACTGGGTTTTAATTATTTTATTTCTAGGATAAGGAACTTAATACACGTAAAGCACTTAGCACTGATGCTGGTGCTTACAAATGCACATGAAATACTAATTCTCCAATCTCCTCCCACCTCCCCATATTCTTGCGCCTGAGAGGCCATCAAGTAGATACTTACTTGATGAAGTGCTGTGTACTATGAAAATCTGTAATTAAGGTATGCAAAACTACACTTTTTTTTTCTAAGTTTAATTTCAGCTCATGGAAGTTTCTTTCCAAATTGCAACTAAGTTTTGTGGAGCTTACCTAGCATAAGAAAACAGTGACTAAGGAATCCTCTAGTCTAATAGATGACCAGCCTCCAGGTTTTTCTTTGGCTCTCGATTCAAGCATGCTGTATGGAGAGATTCCTTTTTGCTTCTGTTTCAGTGCAATACTTTGGGGTGTGTGAATCAGCCTGTTGCTTCTGGACCATTGAAGGGCAGGAGTAGTATCTGTAAGGGTTTTGATCTTGTTCAACCTAAACTCACTCTGTAGCCTTTCTTTCTTATGGAGCTTGTCACTTTTTCATGATGCCTTCTGAAGGAACAGGGCATAAGATTCTACTGTCAGAGTCTATAAAATGATCTTAGGACCTGAGAACAAAGGACCCATTCCCCTCTCTCATCTTCTGAACTGCAAGATTCTTGTTTTTTTGTTTGTTTGTTTTGTTTGTTTGTTTGTTTTTTTCTCCATCCCTTTCCACCACCCCCACAGCCTCCATCCAAAATACCATAGGTTAGAAGAT
The DNA here is from genome assembly GCF_000001405.40 of Homo sapiens. Lineage (NCBI taxonomy): Eukaryota > Metazoa > Chordata > Mammalia > Primates > Hominidae > Homo > Homo sapiens. The sequence continues at coordinate 216,448,964 of NC_000001.11, read as the reverse complement.
TTGGGAAGGATTGACTGGGAGCCCTACCCTTTACAATTCTCAAGACCCCTGCCTACAAACATTTTATGACTGTCTAGGGAGCTCTTTATTTTCTGAAGTGCTTTAGGGTTTTTGATTTATTTTTATTTTTTGAGATGAAGTCTTGCTCTGTCTCCCAGGCTTGAGTGCATTGGAGTAATCTTGGCTCACCTCAACCTCCACCTCCTGGGTTCAAGCGATTCTCCTGCCTCAGCCTCCTAAGTAGCTAGGATTACAGGCATGTGCCACCATGCCTGGCTAACTTTTTTGTATTTTTAGTAGAGACTGGATTTCACCATGTTGGCCAGGCTGGTCTTGAACTCCTGACCTCAGGTGATCCACCTGCCTCGGCCTCCCAAAGTGCTGGGATTACAGGTGTGAGCCACTGTGCCCAGCCCTTAAACCAGTCATAAACAGAACTCTTTTGCCCACTCACCCCTTTTCTGCCCTATCTAATCTCACCCTTGAGGCAATAATCAAACAGATTAGCCATCCAGGAAAAACAGGATGTGAGGGAAAATAAATTTTGTGGAAAAAATAATTCAGAAGGGTCACTCCACTATCTGTATCTATCTATGTCTCTTGTAAATTGTCCCTCTGTAGTTAATGCACTTTCAAATCTCTTATCTAAGCCAGGCCAGAAAAAGCAGTGATGAAAATTCCAGACACAGGAGATGGAGCATTTTGTAGGTTTGTCAGCTCAATTGAGGAGCTGAGACTCCAAAGAGGGAATGAGAGAGAGACCCTGGAATTAGACTGAGTAAATAGCAACCTATTTGGCTCAGCTTCTACATAGAACATAGGGCTTTTACACTTGATCAAATGGTAAATAAACCTTTAGAGAGATTGTATAATAAGGCTGGGGCACTGTATGATATTGACTCATCTCAGAGGAATGCTTATTTCCCACTTTAAAAATTATTCATCATTATTTACCTTAGAGTAGATGTTTCTTGTTTTTAAAAGTCTAATAGAATACAATAGACAGAAATGGTTTTAAAAACCAAACCTAAAGGGCTTACAGACAAATGATAACAATTTTCTTTTAAATGTTCAAAACATTCTGTTAGCCTAACTAATGTCATCTAACTGCATATCACTCTTTTACCTTAACAAATATCAGAAGAGAAAACGTTACCCCTCTGCTTTTCTTTCAAAATAAACCTGCCAGGACTATAATATTGTACTAACACATGGGATGCTATTTACATTTTATTCTACGTGAGGGTTTTTTTTTAAACTTTATTTTATTTTACTTTAAGTTCTGGGATACATGTGCAGAACATGCAGGTTTGTTACATAGGTGTACATGTGCCATGGTGGTTTGCTACACCTATCAACCCATCATCTAGATTTTACGCCCCACATGCATTAGGTATTTGTCCTAATGCTCTTCCTCCCCTTGCCCCCTACCTCCAGACAGGCCCCAGTGTGTGATGTTCCCCTCCCTGTGTCCATGTGTTCTCATTTTTCAACTCCCACTTATGAGGGAGAACATGTGGTGTTTGGTTTTCTGTTCCTGTGTTAGTTTGCTGGGAATGATGGCTTCCAGCTTCATCTATGTCCCTGCAAAGGACATGAACTCATCCTTTTTTATGGCCTCATAGTATCCCATGGTACATATATGCCACATTTTCTTTATCCAGTCTATCATTGATGGGCATTTGGGTTGGTTCCAAGTCTTTACTGTTGTAAATAGTGCTGCAGTAAACATACGTGTACATGTGTCTTTATAGTAGAATGATTTATAATCCTTTGGGTATATACCCAGTAATGGGATTGCTGGGTCAAATGGTATTTCTAGTTCTAGATCCTTGAGGAGTCACCACACTGTCTTCCACAATGGTTGACAAGTGGGATATAATTAAACTAGAAAGCTTCTTTTAAGACACAATTCTATTCACCTGCTATGTGAAAGAAGCAGCAATGTCAAGAAATTAAGAATGGGGAAACTAGGAATAGCTGTGATGTGAAAGACCAGAACAAGAGCATCAAAATCTATTAAATAGAGATCGAAGTCAAGTTGTCCTAAATTTGTGTAAAATTAGTCTGAAAGACGATTCATATAGCAAATAGCAGAAATAAGGATTCTAAACATTTAAAAAAATAGGACGTTAGATCAGGAAGAGGTAATAGTAGAGAGAAGTAAAGGTATAACTATTTCAACACTTCTTAAAACTGAAGGCAAAAGACCTTTGGTTGTATTAATAACTTTGACAATTGTAAATGTGTTAGGAAAAGTTTTGAGACGTGTGATTCAAAATGATTGAATCATGTTTTAGAGGTAAGGTCGGAGGTGCTATAGCATGTAAAACATGTTACAACACAATGGCATGTGCCTGTAGTCCCAGCTACTCAGGAGGTTGAGGAGAAGGGTTTAAGTCCAACCTGGGCAACATAGTGAGACACTGTCTCACTTATTAATAAGACACTCACTTATTAAAAAATAAGTATTTTTTAAAGTTAGTAAAATGATTAAAAATCAACACAACTACACTGGGAGAAAAAGGATAAACCTTAATGCCAGAAGCTATGGGAGAAAATTAGAGATGGTAAGCAGATGGATCCAGATTGAAGAACTAAATTGTAGTTCAACGCTAAATGGCACCTTAACACCAACAAAGGTGGAAGTAGCACCTGGGAGCAGGATGGGACAGAGAGGCATTTATAGGCTGATGACTTCCAGCTGCACTTGTTGGTCGACTGTTGCATCCTCCTGCCCCTTTTCCTTAGGCTAGAGAGAAGCAACAGATAGAGGGAAGGGAGCTTGAATGGAGCCAACTGGAAGGCAGTGTACCCAGAGCCTCCTTAGATGTGAGAACAGGGAACACCAGCAGCCATAAAACCAGTAACCAAGACATCTTGTTTTTTTTTTTTTTTTTTTTTTTTTTTTGAGACAAGAGTCTTACATTGTTGCCCAGGCTGGAGTGAAGTTGTGTGATCTCGGCTCACTGCAATCTCCACCTCCCCAGTTCAAGTGATTCTCCTTCCTCAGCCTCCCAAGCCCAGCTAATTTTTGTATTTTTAGTAGAGATGGGGTTTCACAGTGTTGGTCAGGATGGTCTCAATCTCTTGACCTCATGATCTGCCCACCTCAGCCTCCCAAAGATTTTTTTTTTTTTTGTCGCTTCGGTGGCCTTTTTTTTTTATTGCAGGAATACAGTGTAGCCTTAAATTCCCTATATCTTCTTAAGTAGGCTGCCCAAATAGAAACTGCAGGCTAATGGACAATTTCTACTAAACCGAATTGTACATTCAGAACTCATCAAACATTTGAGGAAAACTTGCCATTTGAGAGAGGACAGATGCAAAAAATTTAAAAGTTTCTAACAGTTTGTATTATAAAAAATAACTGTAGAATAAATATAACTAATGTCATAACAAATGAACTACAAAAACAGATTAAAGCCAGAGAAATTAAACTTTTATTGTTGCAATAAAAAGCTTAAAACCTGATTGAATTGGCTGAAGGGATATAGCCAAAGAGACCAGTTATAACCTGGAAGATGAACAAAGATTACCCAAGATGTGGCACGATAGATGAATGCAAATAAGTAGGAAATATGTAGGATGAATATGTTGGTTTTTATAATTTGGCTAATAAAATATATAGATGAAAAATATAGAATTATGGAAAAGAGAAACTATGTAAACCGGAAACAGGATAATTTCTAAAGTAGAACTTTCACATTGAAAGGGATACTTCTGACTAGCAGCAAACATTTAATAAATGACCCCACACCTATACTCAACATATGGAAATTTCAGAAAGAAAGCTGTAAAACCCCACAGATGAGCGTGGAGTGAAACCCGCTTAGCTACAAAGTCATGATAATCAGATTGACATCATTTTTCTTAAACTGGATATAAGAAGGCAGAGGAACAAGATCTAAGATCTGGGGACAAGGAACTTTAAACCTAGAATCTACGCCCAGTCAAAGAATCATTTAAGTGCAAGAATGAGATAAATACATAATCAACAAGTAAGAACTCAATAAATCTGGTCATTCACAGACATTCTCTGGAAAGGAAAATATTGCTTCAGAAAGAAGAAAATGAATGTAGGAAGTATAAATCGAATGCAAGAATAAACATTTAGGGCCGAGCGCGGTGGCTCATGCCTGTAATCCCAGCACTTTGGGAGGCCGAGGCGGGCGGATCACGAGGTCAGGAGATCCAGACCATCCTGGCTAAAACGGTGAAACAAACGCAAAAAATTAGCCGGGGGTGGTGGCAGGCGCCTGTAGTCCCAACTACTTGGGAGGCTGAGGCCGGAGAATGGTCTGAACCCAGGAGGTGGAGCTTGCAGTGAGTCGAGATCAGGCCACTGCACTCCAGCCTGGGCGACAGAGCAAGACTGTCTCAAAAATAAAATAAAATAAAATAAATAAATAAACATTTAGTTATGTTAGTAAAACTCATGGGTATGGCCAGGTAAATTTTGGCTATTTATTTAAAATACGACTTGAAACAAACATTCCAGATGGCATTTACATGATAGGGAGAAGAGAGGACAGAAGTAGAAGTAAAAATATGCCAAAGTTCTTGATTTCTTTATGTAAAAGACACAGATTCTGATGAACTCTATACATTTTTCTGGAAAATAATATGTGGGCAAAAAAATGGAATGATTATTATAAGAAAGTGAATAAAATATGTCCCTTTTCATCAATGAGGAAAATAAAATGAATCAGAAAACTTGTTCAAACTGTATAAAGGGAAGAAAGGAGAAAAATAATAGGTAGAATAAATAAATTCCAAGAAAGCAGAAAAAAAAACAAATGTTCATGGATTCAACTCACCCATTAAAACGCAGACAATGTCTGATTGGCTTCTTTCTAAATGTTCTATTGAATTATAACATATATACAAAATGTACCAATCATAAATATATATTATAGAACTTGAATGTTTGTGTTCACAAGCTGAACATACTTTGGAATCACAGTCAAAATCAAGAAACATTTATGGACCTGCAAATGCATCCTCCCTCCTTTGGCTTCATACTTCACCACTACCATCTACCGCTTTAACACTACCTCCATTCAGACATTACCTTTTCCAAGGGAAAGCACTATTTTGACTTCTATTATGACAGATTAGTCTTCCCAGTTTCTGAATTTTATGTAAATGTGATCTACATTATGTAAACTTTCATGTCCAGCTTCTGACACTCAGCATCATATTTGTGAGATTCGAACATGTCATTGCATATAGTTGTAGACTATTCAATCTCAATGCTGCAAAGAGTTTTATTGTGACAATATTCAACACTTTATTATTCATTCCATTGTCGATGAACATTTGGATAATTTCTGGGTTTTGGCTATTATAAATAGCACTGTTATAAACATTCTAATTCATGTAAGTATATATCTTGTGGTAAACATATGGGACAAATTTCTGTTGAGTTGAAACCTAGGAATGGAATTGCAGTACATGAGATCTCTAGTTGCACTGCATCTTTGCTACACTTGGCATTTCTTATCTTTTTAACTTTATTTTGGTCGAGGTGAATTGTTTTTAAATTCTCTGATCACAGGAGAAGCTAAGTACCTATTTGTATTATTGCTGACTTTTTTTTGTGAAAACCTTCAAGTATTTTACCCATTTTTCTATGTTGTTTCTATTTTCTCATTGACTTGTAGGTGTTCTTTATATACTCTGATAATAATTGTCACATGTATGTATTGCAGGTATTTTATCCCACTCTGTGGCTTGCCTTTTTACTCATTTAGTGATGTCTTGGATAAGCAGAAATTTCTAATTTTAATATACAGAAGTGGATTAATCTTTTCCTTGTGGATAATCATTCCATGTCCTGCTTTAAATATTCTCCCTAGCCTAAAGTCATGAGTATATTATCCTACAGTGTCCTCTAGATGCTTTGCTATCCTACTATTCACATTTATAAATATAATTCATCTAGAATTAATTTTAGTGTATAGTACAATTATTATTTTTTCTTTCTTATTATAGCAAGTCAACACAGAATCACTTGTTTTTAAAGCAAAACCAAAACAATAATAAATTTTTCCACTACTCTGAAGTGCATCACTTTCACATTGTGTCTATATATGTCTGAATATGTTTCTGGACAGCCTATTCTGCTTTCTTTGGTGCATTTTTCTATTCTTTTCATCAGTGTCACACTATCTTAATCTAGCTTTATTACATCTTGGTGTCCATTAGTGTTCTTTGTTCTTTGCTTACCCCCATTTCTTCTTCTCCCCCTCCTCCTCCTCCTTCTTTTTATTCTTCTTCTTTTTTTTTTTTAAGATGGAGTTTTTACTCTTGTTACCCAGGCTGGAGTGCAGTGGCAGATCTCAGCTCACTGCAACCTCTACCTCCCAGGATCAAGTGATTCTGCTGCCTCAGCCTACCGAGTAGCTGGGATTACAGGCAACCACCACCACTCCTGGCTAATTTTTGTGTTTTTAGTGGAGACAGGTTTTCACCATGTTGGCCACACTGGTCTTGAACTCCTGGCCTCAGGTGATCTGTCCACCTTGGCCTCCCAAAGTGCTGGGATTACAGGCATGTGCCACCGTGCCCAGCCTCCCGTTTCTTTTTACCTGTCCAACTATATTTTTCTTCTTTATAGTTGTCTTGACTATTCTTCATCCTTTCAGTTTTATATACATCTTGTAATTAATATGTCAGTCCCCACCATCAAACCTTGCTTGGATTTTCTTTGGGCTAAAATTAAATTTTGTTGCTCAATTAAGGGAGAATTAACATCTTTATAACACTAAGTCTTTCAATTCATGAATATAAAGTAGCTTTCAATTTATTCGTGACTTATTTTACTTATCAAAATAAAATTTTAACAGTTTCTGTGTCTTTCATTAAAGTTATCTCTTTGATTTGTGTAAGCTATGCTTATAAAAATTTTAAAATTTGCTTTAATTGCATGTTGGTAGATAAAAATGTAACAGATTTTTCTTTGTTTTGATCTTTTACCCAGCCACTTTAGTAAATTTACTTATTAATTTTAATTGTAGATTTTTTTGGATTTTCTACATGTTCATTAATGTTGTCTGTAAATATTGACAGGTGTATTTATTCCTTTCCCTGTATTTCTACAATTTATTTCTTTTATTTACCTTATTGCACTGGTCCAGATTTTCAGTTTCATGATAAATGGAAATGGTGACAATGGACATCTATATCTTGTTCTCAATCACTTCATTTTATTTTTCACAGGTTTGTATATTTGACCAATAACTATAATATCTACTATAATCCTTTTATTTTGTTGGTATTATTATTAGATGAGGGAATTTTTTTTCAATTCCTAGCTTACTAGAAATTGTTTTCTTTTTAATCAAGAATGAACATTAAATTTTATACAATGATTTTTCTGTAATCACTGAGATGGTCACATGCACTTTCTCCCTAGTTAAGTGGCATATTACACTGGCTTTCTAAAGGGTAAATCAAACTTGCATTTTAGGAATCAACTTGACTGTGATGCTTTGTACTTTATAGACATTACTCTATTATGTATGCTAATATTTTTCCAGATTTTTTCACATTGGAGGAAAGATTAACATGTAAAGTTTCTTTTTTTCATATATCTCCTTTTCAGATTTTAGACTTATAAAACTATTTGAAAAATTTCTTCTTTATATAGTCTCTAGAAGAATTTCTATCTTCTTAAAGGTTTGGAAAAATTTCTTGGCAAAGTCATTTGGGTCAGCAGTTATTTGTGGGAATATTTTTAATTATAGAACTACTTAATTTAACAGACACAGAAATATTCAGCTTTTTGAATGTTTCTAAGCATTTTCTCAGTTCATATAATTTTCACTTTTATTGACATACAGATGTTAATAATGTCACATCTTTTCTGTAAATTTTGTAGAATATTGCTGTGATATTGGTAAATTTTGCTTCTTTTAGTTTTTTACTCATTAGTTATTAATTTTATTAGTTTTTCCAAATAAATAATTTTGGTTTTCTCTATTTTTCTATTATACAATTTTCTTTGCATTGATTTCTGTTTATTGGTTTATTTCCTTTCTTCTACATTTATAAATTTTAATTTATTCTTTTCTAAGTATTTGAGATTAATACTTGAGTCACTGATTTTTAATCTTTTTATCATAAGTGCATTTAGATTTCTCATTTCCTCTTAAGGAATATTTGATGTCTTATTTTGATTATTGGTAAGCTCAAAATATTTCCTAATACTTATTTTCTCATTTTTCTTTGATCCATGAATTACCTTAAAATGTATTGCTACATTTCTAAACTCTTGAGATTTTCTGAGTATCTTTGTCATTGATTTCTGGCTTAATTTCACTGTGGTCTGAAAATATACTCTGATTGACTTAAATCTTTTGAAAGTTCTTGGGAATTGCTTCGTGGCCAAGCACATGATAAATTTCAGGAAACAGGCCATGTGTGCTTGAAAACAGTCAATTCTATTATGATTAGAAACTGTGCTCTCTGTATGTTGAGTGGGTAAAGTGTGTTAACTCTCCTATATTAAAAAAATCATTATTGATGTTTATTAATTACTATGATGGATAAGGTAAAATCTTTTCCATATGGTTGTGGGTTTGTTTATTCTTTAATTTTATGTATTTTTCACTGTATATATTTGAAACTTGTAACTACCAACATATATAATTTCTTATGCTGTTTTTGTGGATTGACCCTTTCAGCATTATACAATGTACCTTTCTATCTCAAACACTTCTTCTTTAAGTCTATTTTCCTGAATATTTTATTATGATTACCACACATTCTTTTAGTTAGCATTTGCTTGGTATATCATGTCCACTTTCAGCCTTTCTAAGGTAAGCAGCATATAATCTGATAATCGTGTCTTAAAAATTTAACTATAAACTCTTTAATTTCATTTAATCCCTCCAAATTTTTGTTTTACTTTTGTTGTTAAATTATTTTTTTGGGGGCTGGGCATGGTGGCTCACACCTGTAATCCCAGCACTTTGGGAGGCCAAGGCAGATGGATCACGAGGTCAGGAGTTCAAGACCAGCATGGCCAACATGGTCAAACCCCGTCTCTACTAAAAATACAAAAATTAGCCGGGTGTGGTGGTGCGTGCCTGTAATCCCAGCTACTCAGGAGGCTGAGAAAGGAGAATCTCTTGAACCCGGGAGGCGTAGGTTGCAGTGAGCTGAGATTGAGCCATTGCACTACAGCCTGGATGACAGAGCGAGACTCTGTCTCAAAAAAAAAAAAAAAAAAAGTTTCAATTTAAATGCCAAAAAACATTACATCTATTATTTTGTACAGTAGGTATTTATGTTTACAAACATATTTGCTTTTCATGTTTCTTTACATTCTGCCTGGCATCTCCCTCCCAAGCTTGTTTTTCTTCTGACTGAAGGACTTCTTTTAGTTCTACTTTAAATGAATGTCTACAGACAACAAATTTTCATAAATTTAATTATTGGAGAATATCTTTATTTTATCCTTGATTTTGAAGGTTATTTGTAATGGGTATAGAATTCTGGGCTGTCATTTACAATCCATCAACACTTTAAAGGTGCTGTTCAATTGTCTTTTGGTTTCCATCGCTTCTGTTGAGAAATCAACTCGCAGCTTTGTTTATTTAAACCTTGTTATTAACTTGTGGTTTTAGTCATTATGGTTGGAGAATGTGATCTCCAAAGCATCTTCTTTTTGTAACTTATAGAAGTTTCCTTGGAGTGTAATATGCAATATTTATACATGTTTTATCATGCTGGAAAGGAATTTTAGTCGCACTAGATACAAATATTAACGTATGTCCATATCAATATATTCTAATTATTTTGAAATTTGTCTATTCTAATGTAAATTTCAAATTTTATATTTAAAATGCATTAGAATAAACACATTACATTTTTTCTTTATATTTAAAATTTCGATCTCAATGTATCAACTTTGGGGAAATACATATGTTAAAATCTCTATAATAATTTTCTAAATATTTCTACTTGTATTTCTAATTATTTTTGCTTAAAAATTTTTGACCTCATAAATCCATGCTAGCTTCATGTTCATTGTGAACTGCACTTTGGAGTAGTTTTTTCTTGACTTATACTTTCTTATCTCTGTTTTTATGTGCTTTATATTATTTTTTTACTTTTGTTTCAGTACAGTTCCATAATGATTAACTTTGGTTTTTCAGTTATGCAGATTGGGTTTCAAATATGACCTCTGTAATTTATTGGCCATCTATTATTGAATTCCTCAGACAATAGTTTTCTCATGTGATAAGTATTCTGAAAAATGAGAAGGTCTGAAATATCTTAGCATAGTAAGTGTATCACAGTGTAAGCACTGTCACAGTGATCACCTATCAGAGTGTAAGCACTCAGTAAAAGGCACTGATATTGTAATTGCCTGAGTAATATTAACATTATTTAATGAGAAAAAAACAGTAATTGAATATGCAATGCCAAGTAAGTCCAAGAAAAGCATAAGGAAGAATTTAATAGGGATAAAACAAAAAAAATGACTAAGAATATAAAAACAGTTTATACATTGATAAATACATTTAAGAATGAATGCTTAAAATAGATAAATTTCTGTCAAATCTAATAGAGAAAAGTAGAAAACCAAGTAACAATAGATAGAGGTCAGTATAATTATGAGACCATTTCTATGGTAATCAATTTAAAAACATTGATAATATACATAATTTTCTAGAAAAATACAAACGTAAAATCATGCCAGAGAAAACATGTCAATAATACTGCGACATTTTAGTTATCCAGTAATTACACCCCCTCACCAAATAAAAGCACCAGGGCCAAATGGTTTTGTTTTGAATCCTTCCCAATTTTCAAGAACTTTTAATCTCTGTGTTACATACACTTTTTTCAGAACTAAGTTGATGAAGGAAGGAAAATCTTTCAAATTATTTCATTTAATTAACAAAACTAATATAATTGTCTTACAAAAAATACCATCTGATGCCATGAATATAAGTGTACAACTCCCAAATAAAATCCTAGCACATCTAATTCACCATCAAAAGAAGCAGCCACCACAATGAAGTAGGGTTTTTCCTTCCATAAATGTATAAAGCGTTTCATTGTTCTGCCAAAATAAAAAAAATCTGTTCACAATATGAAAAATGAGAACACATGGACACAGGGAGGGGAACATCACACACTAGGGCCTGTCGGTGCATGTGGCGCTAGGAGGGATCGCATTAGGAGAAATACCTAATGTAGATGACAGGTTGATGGGTGCAGCAAACTACCATGAAACGAGTATAACTATGTTGCAAACCTGTGTGTTCTGCACATGTATCCCAGAACTTAAAGTATAATAAATAAAAATATTAAAGGCAATATGAATAGCACCCTAGAAATAAAAAAAAAAACACATTGGTGACATTTTAAAAGAATAATTGATTTTTGCAGTCAAACTCTGGGTGTCTTGGCCTTATAGTTTTCCAACGGTGTGAGAAGCATTTATATTACATGAAGGAATAAGATAACAATGCCTGCAGTTACCCTTATTATTAAGTATTGTTCTGGATGTTTCAGTAAATGTGATACTGTATAAAATAAGAGCAATTACTATTAGTATTATTAGAATATAGAGGGTAATATTATCAATATCATCACTGATATTCTGTAATTAAGATCTAAATTAATTAATTGAAAGCTTAATATATGATAATATTGTTCAATCAGGTAGCCAGATACATAATTGTACAAAAAATATCAGTAGCTTTTTCACATATGGCAATGATCATTTTAACAATATAATGAAAATAAATGATCCTTACATAATATGTTTAATATGTAAATTACGTAAGAATAATAAGAAATATGTGAGACTTTTATGAATAATTGCAATAAAACACTTTCCTGGGAATTTTCAAGAAGTCTTGAATAAACAGAAAGAAATATCGTGTTCCTGGAAGAAAAGGATAAACATTTTGAACAATGTTAATTCTTTATAAATTAATTGCATGTTTAGTGTCATCTCAAATATGTTTAATTTCTTTATTCAACTTTGAATAAAGCATTTATAATAATTCTAAAAGAATACATGTGTAAGAAGACCAATGAATTTTTCAAAGAATAGGGAAATAAAGGAGTAACATGTTACTTGTTACAAAAATGTAATACAGCTCTTCAATATTTAATTAAGCAATCTATAAGATTCAGTGGAACACAATAACGAATAAGAGTTCAGAAACAAAACTTAGGAAACGTATAAGGATTTTTGTATATGATAAAAAAACCATTATTACATTTGTGGAAGAAATGGAAGTATCTTTAATAAATGGTGCTCTATTAATCAGTTAACTTCAAAAATAATACTTGAGTTAAAACTTATAACATAAAAATGATTGGAATATATAGATGAATTTCTTGCAGATCATGGGATAGTTTGTTGTTTTAAGCATGAAATAATAAAACAATCACAAAACAAGGTTGATTTGGATAAATTAACATCTAAAGAAATAGAAATTACTTACATTAAAACACATAGTCAATAAATACATAAAAAGATGCTGAACATCACTAATCATTAGGGAAATGCAAATCAAGACCACAATGAGATACAACTTCACACCCATTAAGATAACTATTAAAAAAACAAACAAGCAAAACTGTAACAGTTGTTGGCAAGGATGTGGGTAAATTGGAGCCCTGTATGTCACTTTTGGGAATGTCAAATGGCACTACCACTATGAAAAATTGTATGGTAGTTCCTCAAAATATTAAATAGAATTGCCATGTAATCCAACAATTTAATTTTTGGGTATATACTCAAAAGAATTAAAAGCAGGGACTTGTTATTTGGACATCTATGTTCATGGCAATATTATTAAAACAGCTAAAAGGCGCAAGCAACGCAAGCATCCATCAATAGATGAAAGGATACACAAAATGTAGTATTTGTGTATATAGTGTATTTGTGTATAAAAAGGAAAGAAATTCTGACATATCCAACTATGTGGATGATCTTAGAGAACTCTGCTAAGTAAAATGCACTAGCCACAAAAATAAAAGTATGGTATGATTTCACTTATATGAGGTGAGGTACCCATAGCAGTCAAATTCATGCAAAGTGGAATGGTGATTGCCTGAAACTGGAGTAAATGGGAATTGTGTATTGTTTAATGGGCACAGAATTTCTGTTTGGAAAGATGAAAAAGTTCTGAGGGGAATGATGGTGATGGTTATATAACCACATGAATGCACTTAGTGCCACTGAACTATGCCTTTAAAAATGGTTAAAATGGTCTGGGTGCAGTGGCTCATGCCTGTAATCCCAGCACTACAGGAGGCTGAGGCAGGAGGATCACTGACCAGCCTGGGCAACATAGTTGCCCAGGGTGTTCAAGACCAGCCTGGGCAACATAGTGAGACCTTGTCTCTACAAACAATAAAAAATTAGCTGGCTGTGGTGCTGTGTGCCTATGGTCCTATCTACTTAGGAGGCTGAGATGAATCACTTGAGCCTGGGAGTTCAAGGCTACAGTGAGCCATGGTCACACCACTGCATTCCAGCCTGGGTGACAGAGCAAGACCACGTCTCAAAAAAAAAAAAAATAACAAAGTAACAAAAATGGTTAAAATGATAAATGTTATGCTATGTATATTGTACCCCAATAAATAAAATCACATTCACATTCCTTGAAAAAATAAGATACACAATAATCTAGAGAAAATGTTTTCTGCAAGCATGCCAAATTAACATTCTCAATACATAATATAAACCTTTTTTTGAAAACCTAACTCAACAAACACAAGCAAAGAATATGAACTGATGAAAAAGAGATGGCAAATAATCATAACATGTTCAACTTTACTAGCAAATAATTTTAGAACAAGAATAAGATTTTATTCACCCCCTATCAAGCGAGTGAAGAGTAAAAATTGGTAATATTCGGTGCTGATTTTGGTGAGGTGACATGAACACTTTTACATACTGCGTAAGAATGTCAGTTGGTTATGGCACTTCTGGAAAGCAATTAGGACAATATGTTTTGTATCTTTACAATATCCATAGTCTTTGATCAAGTCGTGTCACTTTTAGGAACTGCATTTAGGACAATTAGTTATAATGGAGGCAAAAATGTTCCTGATATCATTGTTATAATAGGCAAAGATAGTGTTAAATACAAAAATGCTAAAAACAATTAACCAAATTTTGTTAAAAATATACGGACCATAAAGACTGGAAGAAAATGTAACAGTGTGTTAGTTGTGGTAATCTTGGTGCTAGACTTATGGGTGTTTTTTCTTGCAAGTTTTCTGTGTTGAAAAATGAATACTGACGTATTAGTTTTATAATTTCTTCATAAAAGGATTATTAAGTAAAAATATATTCTTCATTTATTTTTATCTTATTTCATCTCTCCTCCTGGCTTGTTAAATCATGCTGGGGAACTACTGCATTTGTAACTGAAGAGGAAAAAAATAATGAAGAAACAAAATGCTATAAGTGGCTTAAGACAGGAGTGTCCCAAGCCTGCTGAAGTGACAAAGTACTGGGTACAGAGCAGTTGCTGCTGGTGCAGACTCTCTCTTTGCACCTAGAGGCAAATTCAGTAGACTTTATTTTTCAATATTTTGTCCTGACAAGAACAAGCTAAGCCAACATGTTAACAATGGTGTAATATTTAACAGAATGCTGACTTTTAAAGGCAATTTTATTTTCATTTTCCCTCTGACTCTTTTATTTTCTCTTTCTTCTCTCCTACATCCCTCTTCACCCTAAGTTGGTGTTTTTAGGAACTCTGAAAGCTATTGAGTCTTGTCGTGGTTTTTTGTTTTGCGGGTTCCTCTGATGCTAAATCTGGAGCCCAGAGCATGGCTCTCAGCTTCTGAGTTGATACCCCAGCTATCATCTGCATTATAGATCTGGGTCATCCCAACATGCAGAGTGGCCCTTTCTTTGACTGAGCTGCTGAGGATACAGTGAGTCCCTCAATCATTCTTCCAGGGATTCCCCTTGTGCCCCATTTCCTTCCCTGTTATCTGTCCCATTTGGCCTTTGCCCACACTACTTGAGTTTTTCTAACTACAGCTACATTTGGTGGGTCATTTGTCGACTGTACTGTTCTATTTCAGTTCTGGTGACCAGCCCTGCAACTGCCTAACAAAGAGCTTTTCTGTGGTCATAGTGTCTTGTCAAGTTAGGTTCCTCTTTATTACATTCTCACTGCAAGCTGCAATTCAAATAGAGAATATTTATCCAAGTAGAAAGAATTTTACAGCCCCTATAGTGGTACTTTAGGTTAAAATTATAGTCGATTCATTTGCCCCTACATAAAGTGATTCCCTTATTACCAATAACTTCAATCGTATCAAGTAGTCATTCAAAACTATGCTTTCCTCCTCATTTTTTCCATCCTTGTGGCTTTTTCTCAGATGATCCTTCTGAAAGTGCTCTACTAATGTTCTAGAACAACAGAATTGGAGGCATCTGAGTACACTACAGTCCAGCAGGGCCACCTTTGTGGATCTCAGTTAAACTAAGGGCTTTCCCTTTTGCCCTAAAATAAAATCCTTTATTTATTTATTTATGAAGCAAAAGGTCAGTGCTTAATTTCAGGAGTTGTCTTAGGGTTAGTATCCGTTCACCAGACAGTAAATATTGACAGTATTCCAGGCACTCTGTTACACTACCACCTAAATTACTTTAGAGGATACATTTAGAATATAAGAAAACGTCTAATCTTAGAATGTTCTTTGAGATTGTTGCTTTCAAGGACAACTGGTATTGTGATAAAGGTTTGGATGGAGTTTGATTTGAATCTCTTTTTTTTTCTTGCTAAATATTAATTGTCAGACTTTAATGAATTATTTACTGTCCAAGACTCAGCAATCTCATATATATGAGTCTCAACATTCATATATATATATTCAAATCTCAACATTCTCATATAGTGGTAGCATTATTGCTTGAGGTTTTTTGTATAGATTAAATGACATAGTATTTCTGGGCTTTTTTTTTTTTTTGAGATGGAGTCTTACCCTGTTGCCCAGGCTGGAGTGCAGTGGCACGATCTCGGCTCACTGCAACATCTGCCTCCCGGGTTCAAGCAATTCTTCTGTCTCAGCCTCCCTAGTAGCTGGGATTACAGATGCATGCCACCACTCCCAGCTAATTTTTGTATTTTTAGTAGAGATGGGGTTTTGCCATGTTGGCCAGGCTGGTCTTGAACTTCTGACCTCAGGTGATCCACCCGCCGTGGCCTACCAAAGTGCTGAGATTACAGGTGTGAGCCAGCACGTCCAGCCAAATGACATAGTATTTCTAACATGATGCCTGACACATACTATGCACTCAGTTAATATTATTATTAGCATTGTTACTATTTCAAAAGGATTGCTTACATACTTATGTTCTTTGATTCCTTTTTTCATGAATATTTTGATTTTACATAGTACTTTAATATGTTTGTGGGTATGGAAGAAGGTAAAAATGCTGATCCGGTCCTCAGGGCACATGGACTTTGGTTCAAGCAGTAAGAGTAATTAGCCCCATCAGAGTTGAGCATCATGTCACTTCTCTCATATTTAATTTTCTTTTCAGTAAAATACCTTATGTCTCACATTGTTTTAATTATACTGATAATGATGGTGTTTGCAAATGTTTAGAAACTGTACTGCCAATGCATTTTGCTCAACTTTTATTATCCTGATCATTTTTCTAATTCTTGCTTTTCTCTTCTTTGAAGGCTTTGTCTACTGAACCAAAAAATCATATTAATAAACCACATGAGTAAATTACATAGAAAAGAATTTACAGAACATTTTTCAAAGAGTTTATTGACAGACCATACTCCCTATGATTTCCTTTCAACTAAAACAAACAAACAAAAAAGCTTTCAAACACCCAATGCTGCTTTTTCTCCCAAACAGAACTATTTTTGTTCCTACCATCATGACTTTTATGTCTTCCATTTCACTCTAAATGTCGCACGTATTTTTTCACTCCATGGGACTGTGTTAAGTGTTATTCAAATGGATTGAGTTTCTAAGACCAAACATACCACCCTTCCTGCTTAGCTTACTGTCCCCTGAATCCTGATGTTTTTGTCACATTTCCTCCCTCAATATATTGTCACCTTCTGAAAAACATTTTTTAAAACCACACACTCATGGGCTTCAGGCAATCCAGTGCATTCACACTTTGTGAAAGGGGGACCATGTCATTGCTAGGAGCATAGCTCTTTGTAGAAACTTGACCCTTAATTACTGCCGATTGCCTGTTTGGCTTGAGCTCAGTTCTGTGCTCCGCTTGCCTGCTGTCCCCCTCCACATTGTGTCATTTTCATTTTCAGATCCACACCCACCTCTTTGTCCTGCTCCCAGCCATTAACTTGCCTGCCGCTACCTGTCCCATACTGCTTCGCAGCTGTTATCTCACTGCCAGGCTCAGACCTCGAAAGCCACTCTTGAATTCACCTGCCAGGCTCAGTCTGGGCCCTTGCCCAGGTTGACGAGAATGAATGGACAGGAATTAGATGGCCTGCCACATGCTATCAAAGGTATCAAGTTCTCCCCTTGTCCCAGGCTAACCTGAAATATCAACGTGAAGCTTTTATGCCTCAGACAAATACAACCTTGGAGTTCCTGAGAGTTTGCATAATTTAAGAAGTATAAAAACATGGGTTGAAAAATTTTGACCAAGCCAATAGAATATGAGCTACTAAGACCCAGGTATTGAATAAAAAACTGAAGCTCCTCCAAATTACTTATAATACATTTGTTAATGCTCTGGAAATTTTCAGAAAAATCTGGAAATCTGGTAAGTTCTACATTTGAGATCTGAATTCTGTTACTCTACATATTTCTATAGAAAAAGTCCCACAAATGCAGTACAATCTTATTCCAAACTCAGTTCATGTCTCATGAAATTCTCATTGTTTTCTCTTCCGTCTACAAAAGTCCTCAACTTTCAAGGCACAGTTCAACACCTTGTCACGTCCACAAAACCTCTGATCAGTTCAGCCTTAGTGCAGGGGGACTAAATGTGTACCAGGCTTAATCTAGATAATCTGGACTTCTTCCCAGGATTTTCCACTTGCCAATGAAGTGACTTTAACTAGGCCACTTAACCCATGGTTCTCATTTTCTTCCTGTGTACACTGGGAGTGATACAGGCTCTGTCCAATTTGTAGTGTTGTTATAAAGATCAAATAAGGTAATCTATAAAAGTGTTTGGTGAACTATGATGATAGAGAAATGTAGGGTAGTCTTTCCTCCAAATGTCCTTATTCTCTCTATTATCTTTAATGTACAATTATAGAAAATGTGGTAACTCTAAATTGGAAAAAGAATACATACAGAGAGCTTTGGTCATTGTTCTACATTCTTCATATTTTTTTGTGTGTTTTTTAAATATTTCTTTCACACATGGATCAGGAGCAACATTCTTCACACTGAACCCCTCAACACCCCTAGGAAGTGGGTAATATTATTCCCACTTTACAAATAAAGAAGCCACAGCCAAAAGAGCTTAACTAACCTGCCCAAGAACACACAGCTAATAGTTGGTTGAGCCAAGATTCTAACCCAGGCTGCAGTTTGCATTCTTTTTTTTTTTTTTCTTTCTGTTTGAGATGGAGTCTCACTCTGTCTCCCAGGCTGAAGTGCAATGGTGCCATCTTGGCTCACCACAACCTCCACCTCCTGGGCTCAAGTGATTCTCCTGCCTCAGCCTCCTGAGTAGCTGGGATTGCAGGCATGCACTACCATACCTGATTAATTTTTGTGTGTTATTTTTAGTAGAGACAGGGTTTCGCCAAGCTGGTCTCAATCTCCTGACCTCAGGTGATCTTCTTGTCTTGACCTCCCAAAGTGTTGGGATTACAGGAGTGAGCCACTGCATCCAGCCCAGTTTGCATTCTTAATCACCAAATGGTCTTACCTCTCATAATGCTCTATGTGATGGAGAGTATATGCTCCATTAATTTAACTTTATCTTTTTTTTCTTTTTTGAAATCTCCCTTAAACATACTATGTCCCTCATTGTCTTCTCTGGATCTTATGGGAGATAAGGCAGAGCAACAACAGCAAGACAGGGTACTTTGCTAGTCTTTTCAGTGACTGCCTCTTCAGGCTGTAAAACATTACTTCACTGTGGCCTCCCTAGCCCTCAATGGTCCAGAGGGCAAGTTTCTGGCTACCCCATCAGTTAGTGCTGTGTCATGTGGCTTGTCTCCTTATGTCTTATTTTATTTTTGGCTGTGACAGGTTCTGAAATTTACGAAGTTCTTTAGAAGGCAAATACTCTCTTATCTGGATTCTAGGCCTGGCTTTGGGGATCAAGCAATTCCAAGAAATCAACTTCCACAGAGCGCCTAGGTGAATCCGTAACCTCCAAGGAGGGAGGCTTCCCTTATGTGGGATACTGGGAGATTTCCTAGAATCATGATGCAGCTTCTGCCTGAGACTTATATGAATGAATGTGGATGGTATAAAGGGGAACTTCCTACTTCTCTACTAGATAGGATGTTTGACTGACAGTTTCACACATAATCCCCCTGCCAATGTTTCTGATTGTTTTCTTTGACTTGACTTTGTATAACCTCTGCTGCTTGAGTTCCAGCCATGCCCATACCTGTCATCTTTTACCCACAGACCTTTGTTTGGAGGTTTCTCTATCTCTTGAAGAGTTTTGCTTGCTAGAATGATATGCTAGTACTTGGTAAAATGAATTATCTCTGTATGTAAGATCCATCTGAGAAGATTGTGGTTAGTTTTGTTTGTTTTAAAAATATGTTTATTCTCCAACCATGTCCAACATTTCTAAAGAAATTCGAGCCACTTGTGGGCCAAAGAGCTACTGCTTCCTCAGCTATAACTGAAAAATTAAAGATATAATCACTCCCTTTCAGGCCTCACAAGTAGCTGCTTCCAATCTGCAAGGTCAGGCCTGTCAGCCAACTGAAGGAAATATGTTTTTGTGGATGCAGATTAGGTAATGCTTAGTGTCCACTGAGTGCATCAAACCTTGCTCCCAAGTCCAGTGGATAGGAGTGTCAGTAATTTTCCTAGTGCAGGTAGAGCAAGATGATGTAATGTAGCAGGCCCTGTGCCTCATATAAGGATAGTCTATATTATCATTACAATCTTAAAATCTGAGTGGTTGAAAACCATATGGGTTTGTTTCTGCGTGGTCTTCATGCTACCTGTTCATCACAGGTCTTCAGGGTGTTCTGGGTATTGTAGTCATTCACAGACCTGGATGGTGGATGTTACATTTCAATATTGACACGTCAGGGGAGAGGACATCTTCAGCACTGGCTCTTCAATTTTTACCTGCAAATGGCACATCACATTTGCTTGAATACCATTTCTTAAATTTTACCTTGTAGGTATTAGCAACCTTAGCAAGAATTCAGAAACAGCATAATGTGTGCATTATTGCTGTTCATCAAGAAAAAACTGATTTAATTTGCTGTCTGAAATTTAAGCACTGCAACGAATTGTACTGGTTCAAAAAAATCACAAAAGAAAATAGACAGGAATTTCTGAAAATAGACTGGCTAAATTTTTCAGAACATTGAATCTGTTTTGTGTTGTATACATGTATTTCATGTGTATAGAAAAAGTCACAATTCTAACAGAAGAAGCATAATGGATAGATGACAGTGGGAGGTGGGTGAAGCCTGCAATTTTGTCTCTCCATGTTGCTTGAAAGAAATCTTTTTCTACAGTAGTCATATATTACTTGTGTAATTTTAAAAGACAAAGAAAATGTATGGGGTGAAGGAAGGAATAAACTGATTTTTCTCACCTCGTTAAATATGCCTTCACATATATTTAAAGCACATCAGTCGGAATGGGTACCCCTTAGCCTACCTATCTCAGATTCTGGGAGGTGTTACCTCACCTTCCTTCTCTGTTTCAGAATCAATCTGCTGATGCTGGCAGTCATACTCCTTTCTGTACTGTTTTCAGTAACAGCTCAGTAATTTGCCTCTATTCTCCCCTTCCCTCTCCCCATTGCCTCTCTCTCCTTCTTTATGGGGTATTCATTCCCTGATTTTAAAATTGCCGACCATGCTTTTGTCTTTCCCGCTATTCCTATGTTATTTAGTGAAAGAGAAAACATAGTAAATGCACATGGTACTTGTAGCTTCACCCTGGTAATGGCACATGTCACTTCTCACATTTCATTAGCTAAAGCAAGTCATATAGCCACTTTTACAATGGGTAAAATGGTATGTGCCTTCAAAAAAAAGTATATATATGTGTATGTGTGTGTGTGTGTGTGTGTATACACAGTAAAAAATTGATGGACAGCATTTGTGATGTGTGCATCTTCTCCTCCAGACACCTAGGTCAAATATTTATCTTTAGACTGTGTTATCTAAAGTGATATACAAATTTGATGATCTCATGTCCAGTACTTTTCCTTTAGTATTTATTTTCCTTATTTTAATTCACTGGCAACCAAAATGTTAAATAGAAGCAGTGGTAGTGGTGGCTTTGTTCTACTCCTGATTTTAACAAAAATGCTAATTATTATAAAGAAGGTTTTTATTTTTCATGATGTTAGTAGTTTTCTTGCAAATGACCTATGTTAAGTTACAGAAACTTCTTTCTGTTTTTAGTTTATTCCATATTTTGGGCCTAAATAAATAAATCCTTTAGTCAGGATTTTGGTCCTAAATAAATCATATGACTTTTTCCCTTTAAGATATTTTATGGTCAATTATAGTAATATATTTTCTAATTCAAATCAGTTTTGCAAATCAAATCAAACTTGGTCAGGAGACTTAATCTTTGTATACATTCCTTGATTCAGCTTGTCTATGTTTCATTTAGAATATTTTTTGTATTTATATATATGAATGCAATTGGCCAGTAATTTTTCCTTCTCATATATTCCTGTCTTTCCTAAATATCAATGTTATATTAGCCTCATCAAATAAGTTGCGAGAAAGAGAAAACAATATAAATTGGGAAATAGTCCCTCTTATTGCTTTAATAAGAGGGTAAAGATTGGAATTACATTTTCCCAGAATGTTTGGTATAACTAATTACATCACTATCTGGACCCATTGTTTTCTTTCAGGGAAGAAATTTAACAACAGACTGCTTATTCAGTGAATAAAATGATTTGTGTTTAATATTTTCATTTTTTAAATAATTTATTTTCTTGAAGTATAATTGGGATCAAGCACACAAATCTTGTGTATAACTTGATGAATTTTTTTCAAATGTGACCCCCTGTGTAACTGCAACCCGTATTAAGATACAGAATACTATTCAAGGCACTCCTGCAGGCTTCCCTGAACCCATTCCCATTTGATCCTCTGCCCTAAAGAGAGTATTATTCTGACTTCTATCACCAAAGATTAACTTTGTCTGTGTTTGAACTTCGTATAAATGGAATCAAACAGCATGTTCTTGATATGTCTGGCTTCTTTCACTCAAACCATGTCTGTGAGATTTATCCACGTTGTTGCTTGTAACAGTAGCTCATTTTTCTTCCATCGTGTTATATTATTGAATTGTATGAATATACCATAATTTATTCATGCATTCTATAGTTGATTGATTGACATTTGGGTTATTTCCAACTCTTTCTTCTTAGAATCAGCTTAGGTTGGAAATTGTTTTAGGTATTTGTCTAATTTGTTCAAGAATTCCAGTTAATTGTCATAAAATTATCTACAATATTTTGTTATATTTGTAATCACATTGTATCTGTAGTTTATGCCTCTATTTTTATATCTAATATTACTTATACACCCACTGTTTTTTATATTGATCAGTTAGGCCAGAGTTAGTCAATTTTGATAGTAAATCCATGGGTGCCAAAATACCCAGGAATAGGGGATACCCCTTGTTTCTTCTCCATTAATAGAGCTAAGCCTCAAGCACTTGAAAAACTAAGCTGATTATAGGCTTATTATAGTAAGCTTTTCCAGACTAATGAGCAGAACTTGCTTATAGTTGTCTAACTAAAATATCATTTTCTTGACTTTTTCAAAACAAGAAAATCCTGATGCAATGTGACTTGATGTTTTTACAACTAGAAAAAGAAGTTGCTAGTTACTCTGTAGTAGCTTGCAAAATGTTCACAAATTCTTTCCGTTCCTGTTAGCTGTGTTCCCCTTTGCAGTGCGACTTTGCCATTCAGTCTTTGATAAGGGGAGTTGATTTCAAAACCCTTGAATCTGTGCTAGGTCACACGACTTGCTCCAGCCAATGGAACATTAGCAAATGTGATGTAAGCAGAGGCTTGAAAATACTTTCACATTAGGGCCTCCCACGTTATGTTGCTGGAAAATTTTCTGCTGCTATCAGAATGAGCCTGCAGTAGACTCCAATGCCTGTCAAACCAACTGCTAAATGAGTGAGGACGAGTCAGACCATCCAGCCCCAGACAAGCTTATGCAGACCAGAACTACCTGGTGAATCCACAGAAATGTCAAGAAAGGAAATAGCCCATGGCTACATATGTTTAACTAGAGGTGCCCTCCATATACATCTACTTTCCTTTTAAAAAATCTGTACTTATTTCCCAGGCACTTATAGGGGTGATGGAACTCTTAGTGTCTAATTCATTTATCAGATGCACCCTCAGGATTGATAGCCCTGAATTGCAAAGGTTGAGGGATATGTGAATCCATTGTTTGCCTTTGCAAATAATAGGCAGAGTTTCTTAATGTGGACTAGAGTTGCTAATCTTAGATTATCCATTTGAGTCATGATTTCCTACTATACAAAGCAGGAGTTGTTATGGGGTAGAAGAATTTTTATCCCAGGAATGACAAAGATAAGTTGAAGCACTACAGTAAAAAATTAGAGTTAGACATGGACACGTAGAAGGGAACAACAGACTCTACAGACTCTAGGACCTACTTGAGGCTGAAGGGTGGGAGGAGGTGGAAGATTGAAAAACTACCTATCAGGTACTGTGCTTATTACCTGGATGATGACATAATCTGTACATCTAACCCCCATGACACACAATTTACCTATATAACAAACCTCCAAATGTACCCCTGAACCTAAAATAAAAGTTTAGAAAAAATGAGAATTAGTTCTTGGATTCACAAGATATAAAGAGAAGCCAGCCATTGAATACCTTGTTTGAAAGTAGGTTGACTTCATGTTTTGTAGCAGGTCTGAATAATCCATTTGTCTAATTCACTGTGCTCTATAATACCTATTTTCAAAGATAGTTTCCCAAGTTCTGAGAAGTCCTTACATATTAGCTGACTTTATACTAAAATTTGGGTTTAAAAAAATTTTTTTTTAGAGACATGGTCTCACTCTGTCATCCAGGTTAAAGTGCAGTGGTGGTGTGATAATAGTTTACTGCAGCCTCGAAATCCTGGGCTCAACAACCCTCCCACCTCAGCATCCTAAGTAGCTGGGACTACGAGTGTGTGCCACCATGCCTGGCTTAAATTTTTTTATTTTTATTTTTATTTTTATTTTTTTTTTGGAGACGTGGGATTTCACTATGTTGCACAGCATGGTCTTGAACTCCTGGCTTCAAGCAATCCTCCCACCTTGGCCTCCCAAATCCCTAGGAGGCACAAGCATGAGCCATTGTGCTTTGCCCTAAAATTTGTTTTAAATTAAAGTTTTTCTGGTAAGAATGTAATAGCGTATTTTGACAAAGGGTGAGAAAGGCTTCTTCTGGAAGCAACTAATGCTAATTGATAAAATTGATATATAAATGGGTTGTGGTTTCCAGCTCTCTTCTGGGAGAGAAATAAAAGGGAATCTAATAAAGAACAATGTTGGTTTTTCTCTGGCTGCTTTACTAACAAGAAACACCATGAAACATTTCTCTCATTTCTAAACATTTCTATAAAAAAGATAACTTATAGAGAACAAAATCACAATCGACCAGTTATTTCCCAAACAAATTTTCCATTTTTACAATACAAAGGGAAAGCTACAAGTATTAGCTGATTTAGAATATTTCTCATCTAGGATGAGATGTCCCAGATGGCAGAGTAGAGAGAGTTTTGGATATAATTGAAACTCTATAGAATTGGTGGCAAATGTGCACATATACACACACACACACGTTCCTATCCAATTAAGCAGCCAAAAAGTCAGCAATCCCATTGCTTCTTTAGTTTAATTAAAGTCACTGATTTTCCAAACCCAACATTTAGAGATCACATCAGATGCTACTCATAATGTAAGGAAGCATGTATTATGGAGAGGTTATCCTGGGTGAAAGGTACAGCAACAACTGAATAGTCAACCGAAACTTCTATCAATGGGCCAAGCTTTGGGAGCATCAATATATAAAAGTTTAGAATTCCATTTTGTATCCTCTTCTCCCCCAAAAAGAAAGAGCACTGGAAATTATTCCTTGTGTGGTGTTTAATAGTGGTAGATCATTTTGATTAAGGAATTAAATGGATTGAGGTGCATGAGAGCAAGAAAGAGGAGGGGCAAGAGGGGGGATTATAGGATAAGGTGTACTGCTACTTTAAAATTATGTATGCATGATCCCATCCAGGTCCCTCCCACTGCTTGAGGTACCAGCGGAAAGCTTGGGCAGCTCAGTTCCAAGAGGGCCACCAAGCAGACCACGCTCTGAGCTTCAGGTAACCAAGTGTTTGCTCTGCAGAATACTTTACCTGGGCACCCAAGTCTTCCTTCCAGCATTCCTGCTGCTACAGCCTATTTGCTGAGTAACCAGGGGTTACAGCAGCGTTGCCAGGCAACGAGGGACAGCGGTCCTGTTGAAGAGCCATTTGTCACACTGAGGGGACTGGTTGAAATGCAATAAAGAAATGGTAACTCAGCTTATTTATCAATACAATTACTTGCACAGTATTAGGGATCCATGTGTAACCTACAAATTCATAGTCATATGAGGAAACACAGAAACATTTTGCTAAATATTAAAGCATAGGACAGACAGATGGTGTTGGGTTTCTAATCAGCTTTACTCTGAGCTTAAAGTTGCTGCACATGCTGGGATAAGGGGAAAGGCCCAAAGTCCTTTGCCAGCTTTATTTTGGGCATCTGTAAGTTAGCTCTGGGTTACAATGTACAGTGCATGTGTAAAGAAAATCTACAAGATTCTTTTCCCTGTTAAGTAGAGCTGGTAATGCCATTGCTAATTCCCTGGGGTGAAGTAACAACACAAAATTATTGTATGTGTAATATATTATTAATAATTATATATATATAAAACACACACATATATTATATAAATATTTATGTATAACTGGTTATAAATATTACTGGTTGTCCTGTGGACTTATAAAGTGCTTGATTTGCCCAATGCAATCAAGAGATTTACCAAAAGGATGAGTATTTTACTCTGAGCACTGTGCTTCAAAATGTTTTTTGAGAAGTTCAGTAGTGTTGCTTCTAGGAGCTCAAAGTCCTCAGGCCTGGGATGAGCTTCAGTTTTAAAGGTGCAGCAGCTTTCCCTTGACGCCCTACGTTTTTGATTCCCAGATACCAGCAGCTACTCATGTCTTCGCCATTGCTAAGAACGTCGTTGGTATTACCTTACTCTGAGAACGTGTCTGCAGTTTCCAGAAAATGGAGTATCGCAACATCACTTAAAGTACCCTGCTTCAAAGTATTGCTGGCAAGTGGCGTGGGCCTGATTATTTATTTAGAAATGCTTTATCAGGAGGAGAATGCTTTTTTGTAAACATGAATTGCCCAGTTCTTTCATTGGGCTCTGGCTTCTTGTTTCAGGTCATTGAAATGTTGATCTTTGCCTATTTTGCTTCAATATCCTTGACTGAGTCACGAGGTCTTTTCCCAAGGCTGGAGAACGTGGGAGCTTTCAAGAAAGTTTCCATCGTGCCAACCCAAGCAGTATGTGGACTCCCAGACCGAAGCACTTTTTGTCACAGCTCTGCTGCTGCTGAAAGTATTCAGTTCTGTACCCAGCGGTTTTGTATTCAGGATTGCCCATACAGATCTTCACACCCTACCTACACTGCCCTTTTCTCAGCAGGCCTCAGTAGCTGCATCACACCAGACAAGAATGATCTGCATCCTAACGCCCATAGCAATTCTGCAAGTTTTATTTTTGGAAATCACAAGAGCTGCTTTTCTTCTCCTCCTTCTCCAAAGCTGATGGCATCATTTACCTTAGCTGTATGGCTGAAACCTGAGCAACAAGGTGTAATGTAAGTAGTAGTGTAGGTATAAGCTTTCATAGGTCCCCAAAACCAGTAGTAGTGAAGATCATTTCAGCCTGAATTCCAAACCGGAAGTGAAGGCTATATAGAATTCATGGTATTGAAGACTAACTCTTCCAGTTGTTTCCCCAATTAAAATTTTTTTCTCTTCTATGGATGAAATGGACCATGAAAAAAAATGTGAAAATAGTTTATCAAAGGCAAATGTGTTTATGCAGGAATCATTTATTTTCTATAGCTTAGCGCGACCTTTGGTCTTAGCCTTCAAAGCCTAAAGAAGACTCAGAGTGAGTTTTAAGGCATGGAAACTTGTAATTAATACAAATAATTAATATTTTCAAAATCTTGAACTGGGTTTATATAATCAACATTTCCTTACTAGGGTATAACATTTTCATTAGGCAGATAGTTCTCCCAGTCCTTGGGACTGTTTTCTTCATCCTCGTTTCCCCAAGAAGAGCTGTTTGTTTGACTCATGGAAGATGTTCAGTAATATAAATTGAATATATAAATAACCCTCCATCTCTAAAAACATATAGCTTTTAGTTCTTTATCTTGTGGTATTTTCATTTTCCAATTAGTTAGGAAATATGTAGGTAAGTGTGAGAGATTCTCAAAAGCTTTCATGCTGTTCATCCCAGAGAAATGCCTTCAATGAGTCTGGGTCTTATTACTGCCATTTTTTGTTATTTAATCACCAGTTTTTCATTCTGTAATCTTTTCTCAAGCTGATATCTAATGAGTTTCTTCTAAATATTTATTGCCAACCTGGAGATTTTAATATACAGGACAGTTTTGAGGAATTTTTGCTTATCTTTTTTCTTCCTAGAGGGCTTTTGGCCCTTTCTCTTGTGACATTTTCTGTGTGTGACAGCGTTGGCTGGATATCTAAAAACTTGTGAAACAAACCAGAAAAGGATTACAATCTCATAAGCAAATAGGACTTAAATGTTTTTGGTGTTTAGTTTCAATTTGCCAAGTGAAAGTTGGCATGTCTTCATTTTGTTTTAAATTTGGATTAATCACAAAATTAATCACAAACCATTCCCATTTCTACATCTCTCCTCAAAGAAAACCTTGTTTTCTTACTGTTTGAAATTCTAGTAAATTCAAGCTACTCAGTTTATATAATTAACATCTGAAGAGTCTTAAAACATTGTCTTTTGACAAATAGGGCTAAGATAAAATATCCTTCTGAGCTTGTAGGGACATATCTGTACCAAATTCATCTTCTATTGACATCATTTTGTATAAATAAGACAGAGAAGTATTTACAGGGTTGGAAGAACATGGTTAATGGTTTTGAGAGTTCCTTGTATCAAGGTCGTTTCCATTTTCAAAATTAAAATACCTTTGGGAATTGGGGGAATTTCGGGGTGTTTGCACTAGATAAGTAAAACAAACAAAACATGGATTATCCAATTATTGTTTATTCAGGAGCAGAATAAATCCAGTTCCTAAATATTTTGCTACCTGCCTTCCTCTCACATTTATTATCTACCAAAGCTAGTATGTTTACAAGCAAACAAAATAGCAAGGAAGATAATCAATAACATATTAAGAAATGCATTTTCAGTAAGCTTGGGAAAATAAGTCTGCATTTGGTAAATACATTCTTGAGTAATGGTCGAATTCTCACTTGTAGATTTAAACAGAAGAAAAATGAATAGGGGCAAACTCTTTTCAGGTTAAGACCTGATGGGTAGGGATAAAAACAAATTCACTTCAGTAAATTAGAAATATTCAACTACTGAAGGGTTAAAAATATAATTTGCAGTAGAATTTATATAAAACTTTTATTTCTACTTATATAAAACCTTTATGTCATCTAAATCTATTTGCCTAAATTAAAAATATACTTGCACTCATAACTTTATACCAAATATACATACAAAATATAGTAAAATTGTGACAGTAAATGAGGGACTATTAGTGTTTTACAATCTTATTCTTACCTCCCAACTCAGGAAAAAAATAGATGCAAGTGATAGATGCAAGTGAGAAGAAATTATGTGTGAAAAACATGCCCTTTAAGGAAAGCTTTAAACCATCTTTAGCAGTAATTCTTGATTGGCTCAATTTTATACATTTGCCTCTCTGATACTTCCTACCAAATTTGATCACAAACTCATCATTTTTTGAGAGACTACTGTATCCTAGGTGTTTGTGTGTGTATCCTCAGAATACTCATGATCTAAATGATCTAATGGAGTGTACAGATGGATGAGTGTTATTACCTAGGCAGCACAGTGTGTTAAGTGAGCACAAAGTGAGACCCCTCAACCGACCCTGAGCAGGAAGAAGGGTGCCAGGACCAAGCATAATCATTCAGATACCAAAGCTAAGTAGGAGGTAACCAGGTGAAGAAGAGACCTCAAGGTCTGAAAGGTGTGTCACTCTAATAAGGGTAGAGATAACTTAAAATAATTTGATAACTGCCCTGACACAAGACCTGGAAGTTTTCTGAAAACTCTTCTAGTTTTTCAAAATCTTATTTCACTGTGTTCTAGAAGGCTGAAGGACCTTTCACCTCAGATATTTAACATGATCTCAGTACCTCAGTTGGACTGTACGGTCATGGAGAGGTAGCCAGTCATCTTACAGACACTGGCTTTGGCTTTGTGCCAGTTGATGATGGGGTGAGTAGAGACTATAGCTGTCCATTCTTCATTTCACCATGGGAATTAAATAGAGTGATTCTGACTTCAGGGCTACCAATTTAGAGCCTTCCATGGACACTAAATTTGCTTTACATTAAAAAAAAATTTTTGCACTGATGACTTAATACTCAAGCGGCCTGTAGTGTGTTGTACCACTTCCTCTAAAAGAAATAGCAGGAGAACTAATGAGCCAATAACCTAAATGTTAGTTTTGCAGAATGATTCAACCACTTTAGTTTCCATCATGAATCTCTAATGAAGGGTGCTGAGGCTCTGGGGAATATATTGTAAATAAGAATTCTATTTTTTATTGAAATAAAGGGGCTTCTTCATTGGAATAAAGCTTTCATTGAATATAATGACATTCAGGCACTTATTCATAGTACACCATTTTGAGCAAAGTTTGAGGTCATTTTAACACCACTGTAACTGCACAATACCTTAGCATGTCTTTTTGGTTGGATGCTGACCTTTTCTCTCTTTTCCGGTTGCTTCCTAAGGTGTGTTATAGAAAAGACAGTAGATGGGCAGATTGTGTTCAAACTTACAATATCTGAGAAAGAGACCATGTTTTATTATCGCACAGTAAATGGTTTGCAACCTCCAATAAAAGTAATGACACTGGGGAGAATTCTTGTGAAGAAATGGATTCATCTTAGTGTGCAGGTGAGTAAAATAAAAAATATTTAACATTTGGTTAAACACAAGGATTTGTCTTCCTTTCTCTCTTTTAAATGGCATCTACTCACAAAATCTGCAGCAGTATCTTTTAGATTTCAGGTGTGTATAAATGACAACTAAAGAAGAAAAATATTTAAATGACCTAATGATGTATCTCTTGATATACTAGCATTTCCTCCCCCAAAATTGCTGTAAAAGCTCTCACAGAAACTTAAAGACAATGCTATCTGTAATTGTAATATCCTCAGAAAATTTTTGTTTTCTTGGGTTCGTATATTCTATTTTGTTTAAAAATGTGTAAGGGCTCATTTGATGTCTGGTACTAATTTTACTAGTCATGGATGTATTAATACCCCAGCTTGATTTTTACATCTGTCTTTCTCAGCAGCTGATGATGTGAATAAAATTTGTCTGTTGCATTAAAATGGTGACCTTAGAACTAATGAACTTTACACTTGAGGCACTCAAAAGGTGTTATATTATTATTTTAGTTGTCAACCACAGTTTGTATGAGCCTTAGAAGCTGCTAAAGGCTGAGAGAGCTGTGACATGTCTGGTATTTACAGTCTCCAGAAGAGAGGCACAGTTCATCCTTTTGTTTTTTCAGGGCACTGGAATGGCCCAATACAGTTAAAGCCACACCTGCCTTTCAAACCAGGTGTATTAGTCCATTCTTCCACTACTATAAAAAATACCGGAGACTGGGTAATTTATTATAAAGAAAAGAGGTTCAATTGGCTCATGGTTCTGTGGGCTATACAGGAAGCATGATTCTGGCATCTGCTCAGCTTCTGGGGAGACCTTAGAAAACTTACAATCACGGCAGCAGACAAAGGCTGAGCAAGCACTTCATGTGGCCAGAATAGGGAGGAAAAGAAAGAAAGGGAGGTACTTCACACTTTTAAACCACCAGATCTCATGAGAATTCTATCAGGAGACTAGCACTAGGTGGATGGTGTTAAAGTACTGATGAGAAAACGTCTACATGTTCCAATAACCTCCCATCAGGCCCCACCACCAAAGCTGGGGATTACAATTGGACATGAGGTTTGGGTGGGGACACAGAGCCAAATCATGTAACTTGGGGTGCTGGGTACCACAGTTTCCAGTATGAGCTCTCATATGAGCATCCATCCAGTGGCTCATGTGAACCTCATTTGAACTAGAGGACATTTACATCCTTGTTCATTTTATAAAAATTATCTTTGATTTCTCACTTTTTTTTTTTTTTTTAATCTTGAAGCAGATAATGAGTGTGCGTCCTCAGAGGGTCTTGATAATTGTTCATTGTTTTGGCTTTCAGATACTAAGATATGAGTTTAGCAAATGTGATTGGCAGGGGTCAGAGTTTTCATACACAACTAGGGTTGAAATGATACACAAAGGGGACGTCATGTCTGACGTCAAGCCTTGTGCATAGGACATGATGGTTTCTGATTCTCAATGCTTATTCTCCATGTGTTCAGTAGTTAACAGATAGGAGACCAATTTGTCCTAGTCTTGAAGTTTCCATTGTCTTGAAGTCTCCATTCTGCCCACTGACCAGTCCTACAGAATTGGGTTTTAATATTAAAAACGTAGAAATAGAAACTTTTAAAGACAGTGCCATCTTTGCAGAAGATGCCAAATAGATATGTTTGTTGCATATTTTTGTATCAACAATGACAAAAAAATTATCTTTACTTGCCTTTATTTTGTGTTATCTGTGAAACTGTGCCATGTTTTGGCAGGCAGTAGTACATTAAAAGCTTCACAAAGAAAGTTTAAAATCTAAATGCAGAGCGGTAACCATGACTGAATTACTCCCTTGGGGATAAAATGCTCTTAGAGTGCCTACTGAAATCAGCATTATCATTTCAATACATGTCAAATATGAGTCATTTACTAGTTTAGGCAA
The DNA here is from genome assembly GCF_000001405.40 of Homo sapiens. Taxonomy (NCBI): domain Eukaryota; kingdom Metazoa; phylum Chordata; class Mammalia; order Primates; family Hominidae; genus Homo; species Homo sapiens. Next base: position 216,416,601 of record NC_000001.11, on the reverse strand, counting down.
AATTTCTTCATGAATCTTTAAATCTTTCTCTTCTTTCAAGAAAAGGTTAAAGTACTTATGATTTAATGAGACTGCTTTATTTCATAACTGTTTGACTATCAAGAGAAAACTTGTCCTTTTCGATTTGTACACTCTTTTATTTATTTTTTTGCATAAGTTTTAAACTATTCTGCATTTTATATTAAAACTACAGAACTAGGCAGTCACAAAATGTTAGAAAACCATTCAGATCTGTCATTTAATCATCTAGCACTTATTAAATATTTGAGGGGTATGCAGCATTATGGGAATCTGGATTTATTCAAATGAAAATTAAAGAGCAATTATTTACTCTAAAATGGAGCTCTATATAAGGTTCCTTTATATTGGACAACAGTCTGAATATGTTTAAGGTATTATGAAATTTATAAAAATCCATATTATAGATTTTTTTTTGAGACAGAGTTTCTCCCTTGTTGCCCAGGCTGGAGTGCAATGGCATGATCTTGGCTCACTGCAACCTCCGTCTCCTGAGTTCAAGAGATTATCCTGCCTCAGCCTCCCAAGTAGCTGAGATTACAGGTGCCTACAACCACACTGGCTAATTTTTTGTATTTTTAGTAGAGAAGGAGTTTCACCATTGTTGGCCAGGCTGGTCTCGAATTCCTGACCTCAGGTGATCCACCTGCCTTGGCCTCCCAAAGTGATGGTATTACAGGCATGAGCCAGAGTGCCCAGCCTAGATTTTGAAAAAGGAATGTACTGATTACTCAAAAGTTGTTATAAGAAATAATGGAGGCCAGGCGCAGTGGTTCATGCCTGTAATCCCAGCATTTTGGGAGGTAGAAGTGAACGGATAGCTCGAACCAGGAGTTCGAGGCCAGCCTGGGCAACATGGCAAAACCTCATCTCTACGAAAAAACACCCTAAAAAAATTAGCCAGGTGTGATGGTGCGTGTCTGTAGACCCAGCTACTCAGGAGGTTGGGGCTAAAGTGAAAAGATCACCTAAGCCTGGAAGTCAAGGCTTCAGTGACCCATGATCATGCCACTGCATTCCAGCCTGGGCGAAAGAGCAAGATCCTGTCTGAAAAAAAAAAAAAAAAAAAAAAAAAGTGACAGGAAGGACAGGAGATTAGGAGTTGGGAAATCTGATTTAGGTTATGCTACTCTGTAGTCTTAAGAATAAAATTTATAGGAATCCATATGATAGTTGTTTAATAAGGAATGTACTAATTGCTTAAACGTTGTTATAAGAAGTAATGGAAGCTGGGCACAGTGGCTCACACCTATACCCTGCCCGCCTTGACGTCTCAAACTGAGTCATTTGACTCAGTTTTCCTATTTACATAAGAAGATTGAACTAGATGAACAAAATGAGGGCCTTTTGAATTCTTCATAAACAAGTAAGTGGAGTGTGGAGTGTAGCACAAGTCATTAAAGTATGGCAAGCTGTTGAGTTGTGTAGGGTTATTTAGGTAGTAAGTGACAGAGCCAGCCCCATTAACCAATGATCAGTCTTGTGCTTTTTTTCTCTTCTCCCATGCTGCTTGGCATTTACATAAAAACATTTTTTTGCTAGATTTTCTGGACAAAATATAGAGAAATGTAGATTGTTACTATTCCATTGTATAACTGCAAGAACATTTCCAGAAAAAATATTTTAGTATAAAATGTAACTTACTGTTGCATGATTATATAATGCATCTAAACTCCATTTAATTTGGGGATTAGGGACTTTTATCATGCTGGGCATAGGACAGAACAAATGATTAATAATCTTGTTTAGTCAAGTTTCAAACTACAAACCTGCACTTTATGTATATGTGGATTTTCACCCATCTTCCAAATGGCCACAAATTGATGAATTTATATAGTGTGTGTGTTTCTGTGCATGTGAAAAAATAAAACATACAACTCTATTCGTGGAATGGCCCAGAAACCAGAATTTTAGTTCGTTGCTTATAGTGATTTTTTACTGGTTAGCTTATACCTGGTGGCATAAAATTAATTAGCAGATCTCAACTTATGCTTTATCTCAGACAGTTCACTTGTATCAGCTTTCCATCAGTAAAATCAGAATTCTAATTTACCAAAATCAGAAAAAAAATTATTTTAAATAATTAAATATCTGGGGGAAAAGATGTCAGGAAATCCAGACATACCAAAATTGGAAATCGAATTTCCTAAACAAACAAATAGACAATATGCTCAATATTGCTATGGTAATGAATCTCACAGCTTTTATTCCAAAACTAGCATTTTAAAGTGTCAATCTGTTGGAAAATGATTAGTGTTTAAATTAATATTCATTTATGGACTTGAATCTGACAGGATTGCCAATTGAAATTTTACTTTGGGGTTTAATATATTGGCTATTTCAAATTATATCAAGCTAAAATTCATTGTGTCATTTTTTATACTAAAACTAGAAAAAATCAATTCATAGTTTTTATTATCATATAGGGAACACTGATCATATTAGCAAAATTTTTAAAGCTTAGTTTTCATATTAAATCAGCACATGCTGTAGTTATAAGATTTCCTTTGGTTACTCTTATAAAAGTTTTGAAATATGTAAAAAAATTTACTTTAGCATTTCGTTATGGATTGGTAGGTAAAACAATATGGAAATAAGTATATGTGTTTAGTGGCATTTCATTTAAAAGTAAAACTTTAGGGTTTTCTTTGACAATATATTTTGCCTTAAGCAGTTCCACACATTTTATAGCCCAAATAGTGTCAAAGAATCATCAGTATAGTCATCCTTCTAGTAATTATGCAGAATTGCAGTAAAACAATTACTACGATTTGAAGCTGATGAAATACTACAGCTGTGGAACCAAGAAATGATTTAGCATTGGGCTTGTTCACATTTTCTATGCTATTTTCAGGGCTCCTTGATACATTGACAATTCAAGAGCCATAGATGACTCTAGCTACAATAGTGTGAAAAAGAGCAGTTCTAATATGATACAATGAAGAAAAAAATGCATGGGTAAATAAAGTTTTAGGAATCAATATATGAAGGATAGGAGTTTCATAATCACAGTTCATGAAGTATGCTCTTTTGATTTATGTATTCAATCTAAGAAAGAAAAACTATTGATAGTTCTGGAGGAAAACAAAATGCAATTTAACCAACATTTGTTAGAATAGATAAACCAAGTCTCTCAATTAATCTCTGAACTGTATGCCCATGTGCACACTTTATAAAGGTGTTTCCATGTTCCTATTGATTGAGGGAACATAAAACATCCATGTCACCTTATGGAAGCCTCCTCATTCAGTTCAGTAAGCTTTATGGCATAGAATTGTCATAGGAATACCATCCCAGCCCCACTCCCATTCTAAGAGAATCTCAACCCATATTATTTCTTTAATATATCATTGCATTTAGCTCTGACTCTGTGTGTGTGTGTATGTGTGTGTAAGTATGCATGCATATGTGTGCTAAATGTTTCTTTGTGCAAAGCCTTCTCTTTATATCTAGCCAGCTGGGTTAACAGCTCAAGTTAGTTGAATAGTTTTGGGTTATTCAAAATAAATTAAGATCAATAGAATATAATGAAGTTTTTCAGAACAATCAGTTACAAATTATCATAGCTGCTATTAATCATTGATTTATGTGCACTATATTAAACATGTTACATATTTGCAGTTATACAATGAAATAGTGACATGCTTGTAACATGTTTAATATAGTGTTAATAATAGCTCTGTGCCACTGACTTATATTATCTCCATGACAGAGATTTTAAAAAATTAGCCTTAGGAAATTTAAACTACCTGCCTACATTTATAGTCCCAAGCTTCTCTGACCTTAAACTAAAAGTAATAACTTGCCATGAACATGGGTCACTGAGCAGATCTAAATAATAGTTTTTAAAATTCTCCAAACCAAAAAAAAAAGGCACAGAATCCCAAAAGAACTGAAAACATATATTTATAATGTAAATATAATTTTGTATATTTATACATATTTGTAATATAAATATTTTCAATGCTTCAGATATTTACATGATTTATACAAATAATTAAAGTCAATATATTTTTTAACTATACCCCTCATTGATACAAGCAATTTAAATGTACAACAGAATGTAATTTTGTATAAAGTTCTGCGCAATATTTTCATGTTTTATGGCAGTTGCGATAGACTACAATGGCTTAAAGAAAGAATATTTCCCTTAAGCCAGCCTGATCACCTGACCCATGCCTTATAGAATCAACCCTTATTACAATAAAATACAAAGAAGGAAGCACTTCCTACTTTATTATGGAAGAGGTAAAACCATCCAAGTAAAAAAGTAATTATTCTCTGTACGTTTTTTGCATGTGATTTTAAAATGCAATATTTAAGCAGAAGGCAAGGCTTTAATTCTTGACCTTTTAGTAAAAAATTGTGCAACCCTGGGAAAACTATGTAACTCCTCAAAATGTTAGGATACCCATTACAAATTGGAAACAAACAAACTTGGCCTATTTAGCTTACACCATAAATTTGAACATATAAAGAAAATATTGTCTACTAAAACACTTTATAGCCTATAACTTCCTGCTATGAAGGAGCTTACAGTCTCTTCAGAGGATAAGCAATCAAATAATTACACAAATAAAGGCAAAATTATAATTGTGGTAAGTGCTACATGATCACATGAAGAATGATTTGGTCAAACCACTGAAGTCAAGAAAAGCTTCCTTGAGTAAATGTTATTGAATATGTGTATTAGTTTTCTAGGCCTGTACTAAAAAATTATCACAAACTGGTGGCTTAACACAACAGTTAATTCATTGTTGAAGAGTTCTGGAGGCTAGAAAGCTGAAATCAAGTTGTTAGAAGGGCCATGCTCTTTCTGAAACCTCTAGAATCCTTCCTTGTCTCTTCCAGCATCTGGTGTTTGCACAGACACCAGAGTATGTGATTGTGCTACCTCCTGGGGTTTGTCTGCCCACAGCAAGGCCGGGAACCCAGAAAAGAAAAGAGGAGTGCCCAGTGTAGCCACCACCCACTGCATGAGAAACAGAGCTGGCAGCAATCCTTGATGCTCCTTAGCTTGTAGCTACATCACTCCAGCCTCTGTCTGCATTATCATATGGTCCTCTCCTCTGATCGTGTGTGTCTTCTCTTCTTATAAGGACATCAGTTGTACTGGATTAGGATTCTTCCTAATTCGGTAGGACTCATCTTAACAATTACATCCAAAAAGACACTACCCAAATAAGGTCAGAGTCACAGGCACATAGGGTTAGGGCTTCAGTATGACTTTTGATGGGACACAGTTCAACTGATAGTAAGATTTATTCAAAAGAATGCATAGGATCCAACTGGGCAAAGAGAATTGATAAGAACATTCCATAAATGCATAGCAAATAGTGTAAATGCCCTTGTATAAAAAGAAATATGTTACATAGACTAAAAAACCAAAGTGGTTAGAGTGTCGCTGGCAAAGTGGGACATGGTGTGAAATGAGGACAGAACAGTAGGAAGAGGCTATGTGTTAAAGAGAATCACTGGATATGTTAAGATTTTTTTTTTAAATGGAACTCTATTGAACTGTTTTATGTGAAGGACAGGAGATGAGGGATGAGGATAAGGAAGGAAAACGTATGATATGCACAGATTATTTTTTCCTAAAGATCACTTTGGCTGCAGTGAGGGAGAATGGTTTGCTTGAAGACAAGTGTGAAGGGTTGTTATGGTATTTTCATGGACCAAGTCAGATGTAAGTGTTACTTACTTACAGCATGAAGACAATAGTGAATATGCAAATGAATGGTCAGCTTTGAGAGGAGTTTAAGAATTAAATTAAAGGGCTTGTTGATGAAGGAATATGTAATATGAGGGAAAGGGAGTTGATGAATCCCAGCTTTCTGGCTTATGTAATTGCAGGTACAGTGATTTCTTTTTCTCAAATAGAAATACTGGAAGAGAATCAGATTTTGGATGTGGAGCACATATGAATTAGATTCCAGTTTAGGGTAATAATTCTCAACTATAGAAATTATTAGCATTATTGAGAAACTTTAAAAAATATTCTGATGTCCATATCCCTTTATGTCTTCATTGGTCTAGGTGGGGCGCAGGCATTATTTCTTTCTTTCTTCCTTCCCTGATGGATTTAAAAAGGTGTAACAAAAGAAAATATCAGTCTACCATTGATGAGCATTTAGGTTGGTTCCATATCTTTGCTATTGTGAACAGTGCTGCAACGAATATACATGTGCATGCGTCTTTATGATAGAATGACTCAGATTCCTTTGGATATATACGCAGGAATGGAATTGCTGGGTATAATGGTAGTTCTGTTTTTTTTGGTCTTTGAGGAATTGTCACACTGTTTTCTGTAATGGTTGAAGTAATTTACACTCCCAACATCAGCCTATTAAGCATTCCTTTTTCTCTGCAACCTCACTAGCACTGTTGTTTCTTGACTTTTTAATAACAGACATTCTGACTGATGTGAGATGGTATCTTTCATTGTGGTTTTGATTGACATTGCTCTGATGATCAGCGATCATATGCTTGTTGGCCACATGTATGTCTTCTTTTGAAAAGGGTCTATTTATGTCCTTTGCCCACTTTTTAATAGGGTTGTTTTTTTCTTGTAGATTTGTTGAAGTTTGTTATAGAGGCCAGCTATCAGACCTTTGCCAGATGTATAGTTTGCAAAACTTTTCTCTCACTCTATAGGTTATCTGTTCACTCTGTTGATAGTTCGTTTTGCTGTGCAGAAGCTCTTTAATTTAATTTGATCCCATTTGTCATTGCTTTTGGCATCTCTGTCGTGAAATCTTTGCCTGTTCCTATTTCCTATGTCCAGAATGCTATTGCCTAGATTGTCTTTCAGGCTTTTAGTTTTGGGTTTTACGTTTAAGTCTTTATTCCAACTTGAGTTGATTTTTATATATGGTATAAGGAAGGGGTCCAGTTTCAATCTTCTGCATATGGCTAGCCAGTTATCCCAACATTTATTGAATAGGGAGTCCTTTCCCCATTGCTTGTTTTTGTCAGCTTTCTCAAAGATCAGATGGTGGTAGGTGTGATGGCCTTATTTCTGGGCTCTCTATTCTTTTTCTTCGGTCTATGTGTCTGTTTTTGTACCAGATTCATGCTGTTTTGCTTACTGTAGCCCTGTAGTATAGTTTGCAGTCAAGTAATGCAATGCCTCCACCTTTGTTATTTTTGTGTAGGATTCTCTGTCTATTTGGGCTCATTTTTGGTTTTATATGAATTTAAAAAGTTTTTTTCTAGTTATTCCAAGAATGTCGTTGTTTGTTTGATAGAAATAGCACTGAATCTGTAAATTGCTTTGGGCAATATGGCCATTTTAACGATATTGGTCCTTCCTATTCATGAGCATGGAATGTCACACAAACCAATGATATCTGTTTGTGTCATCTCTGATTTATTTGAGCAGTGCTTTGCATTTCTCATTGTACAGATCTTTCCCCTCCCTGGTTAACTGTATTCCTGGTATTTTATTCTTTTTGTGGCGATTGTTTCACCTGCTTCTAATCAAATCTATTTAGTAGCTGTTATTAAACTGTGTAGCCATTAGTATACAGTAGTACTCCATTACCCTTGGCTTTGCTTTCTGTTGTTTGTCACCCACAGTCAACCACAGTCTGAAAATATCAAATGGAAAATTTCAGAAGTAAACAATTCATAAGTTTTAAATTGGGTGCTGTTCTGTGTAGTGTGATGACATGTGAGGTGGTCACCATACCTCCTGCCTGGGAGGTGAAGCATCCCTTTGTCCAGCAGCTTCTCCATATTGTCTATGCTCCTAGCCCTTCAGTCACATAGTAGCTCTCTTAGTAATCAGATCAGCTGTTGCTGTATCACAGTTGTAACTTGTGTTCAAGGAAACTGTATTTCACTTCTTAATGGCCCCAAAGTGCAATAATAGTAATGCTGGCAATTTGGCTATGCCAAGAAGCCATAAAGTCCCTCTTTTAAGTGAAAAGGTAAACACTCTCAACTTAACAAATGAAAGAGAAAAGATCATATGCTGAAATTACTAAGAACTTCAGTGTAAGAATGTATCTTCTGTCCATGAAATTCTGAACAATGTATTGTTATAATTATTCTATTTTGATAGTTATTGTTAATCTCTTACTGGGCCTAATTTATAAAAATTAAACTTTATCTTGGGTATGTATGTATAGGAAAAAACATAGCATATATTGGGTTCAGTAATATCCACGGTTTCAGGCATTCACTGGGAGTCTTGCAACATATCCTCAATGGATAAAGGGGGACTACTGTATGCGCAATATATGTATACGCTTAAAAAGAGTTTTGTTTAGCTAGTGTGTGTAAGAAGATTATCACAAGTCACACTGTAGTGTTTGCCTTTTGCCAGTCTGAATGTTATCATCAGTCTAATATTTTATAGCAAAGATTTAAGTTCATTGAAAACTTCCCTATGGAAACACTTCCAATCAAGACCTACAGCAAGCCATGAATAAATTAACATTTAAACATGAAAACTGATATTTGAAGAAGAATTAGCAATTAATAATTTCTGCTAGAAAATGGTGGTTTCTCAGCCAATAGCTATAAATTGTATAATATATGTAAAAGGAAATATATACAAATATCATATGGGACATATATCACATATACTACTAAAATTGAAAATTGCTATAAATAGAAGACTATGTTCCAATGTCCACTGATTTTTTTTTTTTTAACAATCTCTAGTCTTGAAAATGCCACTATGGTAATTCTGTCAAATTTGTAATGGTTGGGATTTGATGGTAGTGCTTTTGAAACCTGTATTATCTAATGGAATTGTCATTTATATTATATCATTTTCACCTAAAAGCCAAATACAATAAGACTTAAATTATTTTTGCTTTTTTTGTGGATAGTCATTTTTGTGCCCAAAGGGCTAACTGATGCCTTCAGTTATACATGAACAATTCGCACTAACGTCAGGAAGAACAGTGTGCATATAACCTAGGGCAGAATTTGGTCTATGGAATGTATCACTCAGTAGTGGAATGGAGATTATGACTTTATTTAAACATGGACTTGAGTAGTTTTATTTTTCCTTACTGTTTCCCTTGGCATTTCTTTCTCTAAAGTGCAACATTCAAAAGTATTCTATGCAGCTGTAGTGTCCTGGATGCATAATAAGGGCATATGTTCAAGGCAAGTTTAAATATCCACATAAGCCAAAGACAGAGTAATTAACATTAAAAAAATTAAGACAACTTTTCCAAGAATGAAAAGCTTTAATAGATTAGCTAATTTTAGAATTATTTAACAACAACTGTGAAAAATTATTAGTATTTACAAATATGTATATATAAATATATGTAATGTCTTATGTTAGACAGCAATTTCATTCTGCTCTCTAATGATTACATGACATACTTCTGAAAAAAGTCAAACAGTGTGTTCTAGAAGGACAAAGAAATAATTGGTTCAGTTTTGCTTATACTTAGTGTTCAATTGTTATCAACCTGGGGTGGGAGGAAGGGAAAGAAAGAGGGAAGGACAGAAGAGAGCAAGAAAAGAAGGAAGGAGGAGAGGAAGGAGAGATGGAAGTCATGTGACATAGCTAGGGATTTGGGGCAAAATTCAAGACCCATGTTTTCCTTGATGGAAAGCCAAGGAACCTGAGAAGGAGAGTCAGCCCATGCCAATTTCACTGTGGTAGAGGTGACCAAGAAAGTTTACATTATGGATGTATAGTAGGTAATTTTAGGTTGTTTTTGTCTGGGATATAAACCCATTGTGTTATTCCAGTTATTTGGCCAAAATGTTCCATGCAACCATTTTGGAGTGCTAGCACTTTAGGGAATTTATAAAAAGGGGTGGTGTTCAGTGTCTGGGTTGAATACAAGGTAGGTAGAAAAGGACAATCAAAGGAATTAGCTGCAAATGAGATGAAATCTATGGGAACATATATTGAGAAAACTAGTGACCATTATAATTTAATCCTCTGAAATACCTGCAACAATCTGAGAACAAGGTAGGTGGCAAGATGCATTTATAAATATTAAAGAAACACAAGACCCCATACACTTTGAAAACTGGGGAGTACCGAACTTGGAGAGGTCTAGTATAGGTAGTGCTTGTTGGTTTGCATATTTTTAAAACCACTTTATTGAGGTCTGATTGACATAGAAAAGTCTGTCCATGTTGCATGTATGCAACTTAATGAGTCTAAAGATAAATATATGCCCATGAAAGTATCACCATAATCTGTGGCATAAACATATCCACCTATTTGTTTATTCTTAATTAAACTTTTTCCTGAGATAATTGTAGGTTCACAGGCACTTGTGAGAAATAATACAGAAGTCCCATGTACCCTTTACTCATTTGTTCTCATCAGTAACATCTTTTATAACTATGGTACAATATTACGACCAGGATATGGACATTAATATAACCAATATTATTCACATTTCCCATTTTTCATATATTCCTATGTGTATATGTTTAGATCCATATGATTTTATTAAAATTTTATCCACCACAGCCGAGTTGCAGAAAAGTTCCATCCCTACAAGGACACCTCAAGCTGCCTTTTTATAACCATGCCCACTGTCTCCCTTCCCCTACTGCTGCCACAGGTGTCCCTAACTTCTGGCAACCACTCACTTGTACTCTATTTCTAAAATTTGGTCTTTTCAAAATGTTGTATACATGACATCACACAATATGTACTCTTTTGGGATTGTTTCTTTCTTTTTTACTCAACATAATTCCGTGGGGATTCATTCAAGTTGTTAAGGGCATTGATAGTCCACCTTATTGCAGCATAGCATTCCACGGTATGTGGGTACCATGGTTTGTTTAACCCTTCACCCATTGAAGGACATCTAGGTTAATTCTAGTTTTGGGTTGTATCAAACACAGTTAAAGCATTCGTGTGGATGTTTTTGTTAACATACATATTCGTTTCTCTGGAATAAATGCTCAAGAGTGCAATAGCGTATGGCAGTTGCATGTGTGTGTTTTAAGAAACTCATTTCCAGAGTGGCTGTTCCATTTTAGAATCCCACCAGTGATGTATGAGTGCTCCAGATTGTGCACATCCTTTGTAGCATTTAAAATAAAGGCTACATTTATTTTACTATTTAAAATAACATTTTAGCCATTCTGATAGATAATATATCACTGTGGTTTTATTTTGCATTTCTTTAATGACTAATGGTGTTCAGCATATTTTCATGTGCTTATTTACCATTCATATGTCCAATTCGGTGATGTCTCCCCATGTCTTCTGCCCATTTTCTAATTTGATTGCTTATTTGTAGCTTGCTGTTTTTATTCTTTTTACAGGGTTTTGCTGAGATTGATTAGGTCCAATTTATCAATCTTTCCTCTTATGTATTGTGTTTTCCATGTCAAGTCTATGAAGTCTTGCCTAACCCTAAATCCTGAGTATTTTTTCTAAAAGATTTTTTTTATTTTATATTGTTAAATTTAAGTATGTGTTTCAGGCCAGGCATGGTGGCTCATGCCTGTAATCCCCACACGTCAGGATGCTGAGGTGGGTGAATTGCTTGAGCCCAGGACTTCGAGACCAGCCTGGGCACCTTGTCTTTACGAAAAATTGGCTGGGCATGGTGCTGTGTGTCTGTAGTTCCACCTATGGGGGAGGCTGAGGTGGGAGAATCAGTTGAGCTCTGGAGTTTGAGACCAGCCTGGGCACCTTTTCTTTACAAAACATTGGCTGGGCATGGTGCTGTGTGTCTGTAGTTCCACCTATGGGGGAGGCTGAGGTGGGAGAATCAGTTGAGCTCTGGAGTTTGAGACCAGCCTGGGCAACTTGGTGAAACCTCGTCTCTACTAAAAATACAAAAACAATTAGCCAGGCATAGTGGAGTGCACCTGTAGTCCCAACTGCTCAGGAGCTGAGGAAGGAAGATCACCTGACCTCAGGAAGTTGAGGCTGCTGTGAGCAGAGATCATGCCACTGCACTCCAGCCTGGGCAACAGAGTGAGACCCTGTCTTAAAAAAAAAAAAAAAAAAAAAGCCTATGTTTCACTTTGAGTTAATATTTTTTTAAGGTGTGAGATTTGGTTTTGAGCAGTGGATGTCCAAATAGCCCTTAGTTGAAAAGGCTATATCCTTCCTTCACTGAATTGCTTTGGCACATTTGTCAAAAATTAGTAGAAGATATTTATGTTGATTTATTTCAGAATTCTATGTATATCCTTCCACCAATTCCACATGTTCTTGAGTACTGTGAGCTATAATATCTAGTAGAGCGACTCCTTCTACTTTATCCTGCTATTTCAATTACAAAAAATAATAAACCTTTTAGGGCCTATGATTTTCCATATAAATTTCACAATAAGCTTGTTGATGTTTTCAAAATATCTTGTTTAGATTTTGATAGGAATTGCATTATATCTATAGATGGATTTGGAGTGATTTGAAATCTTTTACTATATTGAGTCCTCTAATATATAAACATGGTGTAAGTATCACCATTTAGGTCCTCTTTTATTGGCATTTTGTAATTTTTAGCACATACATTGTATTAGTCTGTTCTCACCCTGCTATAAAGATACTACCAGAGACTGGGTAATTTATAAAGAAAAGAGGTTTAATTGACTTGGTTTCACATGGCTGGGGAGGCCTCAGGAAACTTACAATCATGGTGGAAGGTGAAGGGAAAGCAAGGACCTTCCTCACGTGGCGTCAGGAGAGAGAAGAGTGAGGTGTGAAGGGGAAAGATCCCCTTATTAAGCCATCAGATCTCGTGAGAACTCACTCACTATCATGAGAACAGCATGTGGGAAACTGCCCCCATGATCTAATCACCTCCCGCCAGGTGCCTCCCTAGACACGTGGGGATTATGGGGATTATACAGTTCAAGATGATATTTGGGTGGAGACACAGCCAAACTATATCATACATCCTGCACCTGTTTTGTTGAGCTTACCCATAAAGTGTTTCATTTTCTTTTTGGTGATTGTAATTGGTTTTGTGTTTTAAATTTTGGCTTCTGCATGATTATTGTTGGTATATAGCAATGTTATGAATTTTCTAGGGTGATCTTGTATTTCAAAACTTTGCTGAACTCACATTTATAGTAGTTCTGGAAATTCTTTATTTGTTGGAATTTTCTACATAGACAATCATGACATCTGAATTTGGAGCAGTTTTTTTAATCTTTCCAATATGTAGTTTTTATTTCTTTTTCCTTACTGCAGTGACTAGAATTTTTAGTAGTATGTTGAATAAGAAAGGTAAGAGCAGAGATTCTTGCTCTTCTTGTTCCTAATCTTAGGAAGAAAAAGAGTTCAACTTTCACCATTAAGTATGATGTTAGCTGTAGATTGTTTGGGTAAGTGTTCTTTATCAAATTAATGAAGTTCCTCTCTATTCCTAATTTCTTGGAGTTTTGAGTATTAAATATTGTCACAAGGCATTTTCTGATTCAATTGATATGATTATATGATTTTTCTTCTTTAGTCTATTAATGTGGTTGATTACACTGATTGATTTTCAATTGTTGAACCAACCTTACATACCTGAAATAAATCCTACTTGGTCATAGTATACAATTATAGTATATGTAGTATACAATTCCTTTTATATAGTGCTGAATTGATTTGCTCTTCTTTCTCTAGTTTCTTGAGGTAGAAACTTAATGTTTTAAGATCCTTCCTCTTTTCTCATATAAGTATTAGATTTAGCTTAGTGTTGTAATTTAATGTGTAATTTAATTTAGTATTTAATTTAGTTTAGTGCAATAAATTTCCCCTTCCACGCTGCTTTAGCAGCATCTGACATATTTTATTATGTTGTATGTTTGACTCTTGGACAAAATGAGGGCTTGGGGTATTGACTCCCGATGGAGTTAAAAATTTGCATTTAACTTTTGACCACCCCAAAATGTAACTACTAATAGCCTACTGTTGAATGGAAGCCTTACCAATAAGATAAATGGTCCATTAACACATATTTTGCATGTTATATGTTTTACGTGCTGTATTCTTATAATTAAATAGAGAAAGAAAACATTGTTAAGATAATTATAAGGAAGATAAATATATATTTACTATTCATTAAGTGGGAGTGGATCATTATATAAGTCTTCATGCTCATTATTTTCACATTGAGTAGGCTGAGGAGGAGGAGAAAGAAGGGTTGGCCTTGTTGTCTCAGGTGGCAAAGGCAGAAGAAAATTTGTATATAAGTGAATCTGTGTAGTTCAAACCTGTGTTGTTCAAAGGTCAGCTATATTTTCATGTGCATTCAGTTCTATGTTTTTGAAATTTCCTTTGAGGTTTTCAAAATTTTCTTTTACAACTTTCTTTTTGACTCATGGGTTATATAGAGATGTATTGTTTAGTTTCAAATAAATTGGAGATTTTAAATATTATAATTCTGTTATTGATTTCAAATTTGAATCATTTTCAATCAGAGAACACATTCAGTGTGAATTCAGTTCTTTAACATTTGTTCAGGATTTTTTAACAGGCCAGAATGTAGTCTATCTTGGTGAAAGTTTCACAAGTATTTGAAATTAATGTGTATAGTTTGTTTTGTGTTTACACACGCACACAAACACAGATGCATACACATATAAATCTTCTGTTATCTTTTTATTTCTATTTAAAGAACTTCTTTTAGTCATTATTTAAGAGTAGGTGTGAAGAAAACCAATTCTCTTATAAATAGAACTAAGTACATCTACTTTGTATACTTTTCTTGAGTGATTCTATATTGTAATGATGTCCTTTTTACTAGTTCTATCAATTGCTGAGAGTTTGCTGTTGACGTCCCTGATTTAATTGTGGGCTTATCTATTTCTCCTTTCAGCTGTATCAGTCTTGCTTCATGCATGTTAAAGTTCTGTTGTTAGGTGCATACATGTTTAGGATCATTAGGTCTTTCTAGTGGAGATATCATTTTATCATTATGTAATGTCCCTCTTAACCTCTAGATATTTGGTTTGTTCTGAAATCTATGCTATTTGATAGTTACTAGTTATTCCTTTTTTCTTTTGATTAATGTTTGCAGATATATTTTTCTGATTACTAATTTCAACTGACCTGTGTTGATGTCCATGAAGTGAATGTTGTACAGATAGCATATTTTTTGGATACTTTTTTAAAAATTAAGTTTATATTCTAATACACTCTGCTAATCTCTGTCATTTATTTGTATATTTAGACCATTTACATCTGAGATTCTTACTGATATGCTAGCCTTATGTGTGCAATTTTATTTTTTCTATTTCTTGTCTGTTGTGGGTCTCTGCATTTCTCTTTTCTGACCTTGCTGTAGGTTACGTGAACACATTTTAGGATTCTATCTTGGTGTTTTAACAGCATTTTGGGTATATCTTTTTTGTATAGTGTTTTTAGTGGCTCTAGGTATTAAAGTATATGTAAGTCACTTATCTACTGACATGGACATATTACTACTTCCATTAAAGTGTACTTTTATTTCCACTTAGGTCCTTTACTCATTCTACCTTTTCAGTATAATTGTCTTAAGTGTTTCCCCTACATACAGTGAGCATCACATTACACTGAGTTGTAATTTTTGCTTCAACCGTGAAATATTATCTAGCAAACTAATAAGAGGGAAAGTCTAACTTATTTCCCCCTAATTTTATTCATTCTGATATTCTTATTTTCTTTATAAGTTCTGAAGCTTTTATTATCATTTTGTTTCTATTTAAAGAACTTCCTTTAGTCATCCTTTAAGAATGGGTTTGATGAAAACAAATACTCTTATTTTTCACTCATCTGAGAGTGTCTTGATTTTTCCTTCATTCCGAAAGGATATTTTTGCTGGATATAAAATTTATGATTGACAGTTAATTGCTTTCATTACTTGATAAATGTTGTGCCACTCCTTCTGGCTTCTAATTTTTCAGATGAGAAATCTGTTGTCATTTGAACTGGTATTTACTTATAAGTTTTACATCATTCCTCTGGCTGCTTTCAAGGTTTTCTCTTTGCTTGTTTTGTATTTAGCAGTTTAATAGTGAAAGCCCTAGCATGAGTTTCCTTGGTTTTATCCTATTGTATGAGATTTGCTCAGCTTCTTGCATGTGTTTGTTAATGTCTTTTGCCATATTTTCAGTATTTTCAGACATTCTTTCTTGAATACATTTTCACTGCCATTCTCTCCTCTTATTCTAGGATTCCAGTTATACAAATGTTAACTCTTTTGTTTTTAACTCACTGGTTCTTGAAGCTCTCTTCAAGTTTTTTTTTTTCCTTTTAATCTCTCTTTTCTTATTTGTTCAAATTAGGTAAATTCTTTTGATTTCCTTCAGGTTCAGGAATCCTGTCATCTTCCTGTTACCCTTGAACCCATATAGCAAGTTTGAGTTTGTTTCAATGGTTGTATGTTTCAGTTATTTAGTTTCCGTTTGGATCTTTTATATATATATATATATATATAACTTCTATTTCTATGCTGGGGTTTCTCTCATTTTTTTTCTTGCTTGAAAGAATTCACAATTGCTTGTTGATGCATTTTTATTGTATCTGGTTTAAAATCCTTGCCTGATAATTCCAACATATGATTCATATCACTGATGGCATCTGTTGATCTTCTTCTTTCATTCAAGTTGTTATTTTGATGGTTCTTAGTATGACAAGTGATTTTTATTATATCCTGGATGTTTTGGGTATCGTAGTATGAGACTCTGGATCCAAATTCATCTTCTTTTTTTATTCAGAAGCTGTCCTTACATTGAGGTGTGCACAGAGGCCAGGTGGGTGTGTATGTTCATTCATCACCCCGTTGTCACTGCCAACATCATCCAGCAGAAGTGGAGCACTGACTCACACTGCAGCAGATGGGTAGGGTGAAACTTCAGCTTCCCTGTTGACCCCTTCCCAGTGAAAGCGGGCCGCCTATTGCTGCTGCCTTGTTGCCCCTCATGGTGACATATTCCTAACTCCCCACTGAGCCACGGAAGGGAAAAATTCATTGCTTGTTCACACTACTTTGTTGCTGCAGGGTAGGGGTGGAAGCTGAGCTTCCTGCTGGTCTCTGTGACACCAGGGGAGGTGGGGAATGGAGTGTCAAGTAACCCTCCTCCTATCACCTTATTCTGCCTCATTGATGCCAGGTGTGAGAGAAGGTTCTGCTTCTCTCCAGAACTCTCCCAGTTCTTGTGAACTGGGTCCAATTCACAAGAAAGGGAAAAAGGATGTAGAGTATTGATTGGCCCTAACACCTAGCACACAGTCTCACTAATACCACTGGGAGTAGGGGCTCAGCTCCCCTCTAGGCCCTGCTCACTTAGTGAGGGTGGGGTGGGAACAGAATGGAGACTAACCCTGACACACACCACCTCATGTGGTCTTGTGCTGTGAAGAGAGTGGAGAGGTTCATTCCCTCCTTGGTCCCACTGACACCAGAGGTTGGAGTAAAGTAAAGTGCTGATGAGCCCTGACTCTCGTGTCCTTGTTTAGTCTTGTTAATATTGGGTGGATGTTGAGCTTCAGCTCCTGACTGGGGCCCTGCCAGAGCCGGGGGGAATGTAATGTGCTGACTAGTCCTGCCTTGCACCACTTCACTAAGTCTTGCTGCTACCAGGTAGGGGTGGTGGAGATGGTTTAGCTACTTGCTGGGCTGAGGTGACACTAACTTAGTAAAGAGTTGGAGCATGGCTGACTCCTTTCAGACAGGGGATGAAAGATCAGCCCTCTGCTCACTCTGCCAATACTATTTAGAAAAGAGAATCAGAGTGGCACAACTTCCACTGAGCAGAGGACAGAAAATAAGCTCCTTATTTGGTCTCATCAAAACCACCCCTACCTACAGTTAGACAGCTGCCTGTTTCAACAAGTGGAGAATGGAAGATCAGCTCTCTGTTTGGTTTATTGGAACCACCAGGCAAGGGGAATTGGAACACTGACTGCTTCTGCCAGTGGGAATAGAAGGTTAGCTGCCTCTTGGCCCTGTCAACACCACTGTGAAAGGGAATCAAAAACTACTGCTTACTTCTGTTGGGTGAGAGGGTGGGGTGAAAGATTAGCTCCCTGATGAGCTCGGCTGCTGGAACTATGAATGTGTGTGAGTGTGTGTGGGGAGAGAGTGTGTGTGTGTGTATGGGTGTGCTTGTGTGTGTGTGTTTGGTTTTTCCATTGGAGTTTGGCTAAAGTATGACAGGTACTTTTTGCTAAAAAGGTTTTCTCTTGTAGGCCAACATTTTCCTGATCTTCTGTCTAGGAAAATAAGCCTTTCCTTGGAGCTTATTTTGTCTGTGCCTGTTGGTGGTTCTACGTTAGATGTTTCTGGATATTAAAACAACAACGAAAACTAGGGAATTTGCCATGTTGTTCCTCAAGTCCTCAGATTCCTAATTTTTTTTCTTCTACCTACTTCGCAAAGTCATCTTACACTTATTTGTTTTGTTATGTTCAGGGCTTTTTAATTATAGAAAGAGAACTGGGAGGAATAAGGCTGCTCCATCTCTGTCAGGATCAGAAGTCATGTAGTGTTATAAAAAGGACTTTGTCTACCATTTTAAAATAGCTGTTGGCTGTAAGCTCCTTATTGTATTTAAAGTATATTGGCTAAAATTGTGGGAGGTAAGGAAAACTCTTTGTAAAGTGAACTGACATGGTGAAAAGAGAGAGAAGATATGCTTGTCAAATATTGCGAAGTCTATTCAGATCAAGCTAGACATGGTCTGTATTAGTCAGGGTTCTCCAGAAGAAAAGAACCAATAGGAGGTGCATGTCTGTGTGTGTATGAAAAGGAATGTATTAGGGAGAATTTGCTCACATCATTATAAAGGCAATGTCCCACGACAGGCTGTCAGCAAGCTATAGAATGATAGAAGCCACTAGTATGTCTCCCAAGGAAGGTGATACTATGTCTCAGTCCAAGTCCCAAAGCTTCAAAACCAGGGAAGCTGACAGTGCATCCCATAGTCTAAGGCTGAAAGCCTGAGAACCCCCAGATCCCCCAGAGACCACTGCTGCAAGTTTCAGGGTCCAAAGGCTAAAGAACCTAGAGTCTGATGTCTAAAGGCAGGAGGAAGAAAGGGCATTCTGCACTGGAAGAGAAAGAGAGAGGCAGCTCACAAAGCAAGAAAAGCCTGCAAGCTGAATATCCCCCTTCTTCTGTCTGCTTTACTGTAGACACACCTGCAGCTGATTGGATGGTACCCACCTACATTGAGGGTAGGTCTTTCTCTCAGTCCACTGGCTTATATGTCAATCTCCTCTGGAAACACCGCAATAGATACATCAAGAAACAGTGCTTTACCAGCCATCTAGGTATCCCTCAATCCAGTCAAATTAATATTAACCATCACATGGCCTATTCACAATTTAAAAATGTAGCATAAATTGCAGCAGTGGTCAAGTGTATTGGCAAGTTGTAAAGTGCCTATAAGAAACCTATACACGAGCATTTGCAGATTCCCTTAACACTTTTCAGCAAATATTTTGTTACAATTGAAATTAAAAGGCAGTTTGAAATTGTTCCTCTACTAAATATCACACTGGATATGAATAAAATAACTAGATAGACTAACAAGGTACATACTTTATTGCCTGTGATTATTGCAACTACCACTCCTGGTGGAGAGCCATTCTTCTCAGGTGTGCAAGTGGAAGATTAATTCTCAATCAGGAATATAGATTTGATACAAGGAAAGCATTTCACTTGGCATTAGTGTGTCAACATTTCAGCTAATTTGCCTAACCACAAATACTTCAGGGGGAAGAGAAATTGCTAGTGCTTTATATTAAACATTGGATGGAGCTGGCGGAGATAATACAATTTGTACTTTTTTTACATAGTTTCAACGAATTTTGGCAGATATGTCTTTTTGAGGCAACTTTAGATGTTGAAAAGCTGCTTGTGGATATTCAAGACTTGTCTTTTTTTCATGTTACAATGACCATCACCATAGTTTGTATCTGATTTTTTTTGTGTGAATTGAGGAATGTGGAGTCATAATGCAAAAGTCATTGCCATAATTCTTTGCAGATCTTATGACTGGAAATTCTTGTGTATGTAGTTTGATATTCATTTGTAACACATGTAACTGGTTCGTGTAATGATTAAAATAATAAGTAATGCTTGATCATGGTTAAAATAAATACCAAGGATAAATTCTTCTATTAATTAGTGTAAGCTTATCCTAATTAACATCTTTAATTATGGGCTGTTGTTAATTTTTGTCGCAACCTATTAGATATACTGTCCTAAATCATTAACACTAGTGTAACTGAGCATAAACTCTAGGTGACTCACGGCTACAGTGGAAGCGCCCATGGAAAATATATATTTCTAAGTACACAGTTTAGATAATTTCAAGCAGAATCAGAAAATTCTTGATGAATTCTAAATTTAGTATAAACAGAAATGTATTAGGTTTGGTTATTGAGCCAAGCTTCAAACATTGAATATCAGAATTGTGTCCATTTGCAATGAGTAAGCATTTGATTCAAGATTTTTTTTTGTACTCAGACTCATTTTTGTATATCTTTCTGTTTAAGTCATATTGTATTTACTGCGATTACAGATTTTTTACATATTTCTTAAACTGGTTCTATGTTATGCCATTATATAACAGGTGATAAGGAATGTACTGTCACTGCCCCTTGACAATGAAAAGGGGACATCTCTACTAGTGTATGTGTATGTAGCTGTGGAGGAGTTGAAACAGTGTAAGTGAAATGCCTAGAAATTGTCCTGAGTTTTGATTTTGTTTGTGCTTACATTTTTATTAGTATATGTACTTTCTTGAATAGATAATTGATTTGGGGCAATATTTCTCAATCTTGGCACTACTGACATTTTGGACTGGATAATTATTGGTTGTGCCTGGCTTTCCTGTGCATTGTAGGATGTTCAGAAGAATCTCTGGTCTCTACCCACTAGATGCCAGTAGCAAACCTGCCACCTCTCTGCCTACTTCCGTCCTGTCTTGCAATAGTCAAAAATGTCTGCAGACATTGCCAAGTGTCCCCTAAGGGGCATGAGCCTTGGTGGAGAGAAACTTCTTTACAGTCTCATCCTTGGCGATGTCATTTCCTTATAATTTGCGTAGTTAAACATTTTTGTTTTGAGGAGCATAAGTTGTGATACCATACCTGTACAGAAGAGGCTTGGATTTAAGGTTAACCACATTTAACTGAGAGAATTTTATCAAAGCATGAAATAAGAAAAATAGGGGCAAAAAATGAAATTCTAAAATGGCTTATGCAATTTCTAAGGGTAGCTAATAAGAATTCTGAATTGGTGACATTGTTTTTAAAAAAAGTAAAGCATTAAAAGAATTTCAAAGATAAAATATATTTTTTGGAGTGTGAACACTGTAATTAAGGAGACCCAATAATGTTAAGTTACTTAAAGGATGTATTTTTACTTAAAGTAGGATACAAGTTGGAGAAATTAACATTCGGTTGATTGTTAAATATTTTGATTCAAAGAAAGAACATAGAATTGTCAGCCTCAAAAAATATGCTTAAGATAGAAAAATAATTTTGGTTGCATGAAAAGAAAAAGATTTTAGTAAATTGTTGACTTGAAAAGGGGAACTATTTGACAGAAGTCTCAACAGTGTTTTGGAGTGGCATAGTGATTGGGGGGTGACATCAGATGATTAGAGTTAAAAACGACTGGACCGGCTGGGCGCGGTGGCTCACGCCTGTAATCCCAGCACTTTGGGAGGCCGAGGCGGCTGGATCACAAGGTCAGGAGAGCGAGACCATCCTGGCTAACACGGTGAAAACCCGTCTCTACTAAAAATACAAAAAATTAGCCGGGCGTGGTGGCGGGCGCCTGTAGTCCCAGCTACTTGGGAGGCTGAGGCAGGAGAATGGCGTGAACCCGGGAGGCGGAGCTTGCAGTGAGCGGAGATCGCGCCACTGCACTCCAGCCTGGGCGACAGAGCGAGACTCTGTCTCAAAAAAAAAAAAAAAAGACTGGACCAGTTATTAGGCCTTAAGTTGATGTAAACTATATGACAAATTGACAATTTAGAGACATTGTGGGGACATTTCTATGAAACGTCTGTTTATTATTCATTCCTGTGATGATTTTGAAAGGGCAAATAAAATCATAATCACATATTGTATAATGCTTTTTGTCTTTCAAATACATATACATTAAAAATGACTTATATAAAGCAAAATGTACCTTTTTGTGCACAATTCTATTGGTTTTTGTGGATGTATACTGTTGCATAACCACCATCCAACCAATACACAGAAGAGTTCTATAACTTCAGAATATTCCTTTGTGCTACTCTTTTATAGTCATTCCCATCTTCCCATCCCCACCCTCTATTGACCCGTAAACTGTTTTCTGAATAAATATCTGGGAAAAGGATTGCTGTGCCACATGGTAGGTGTATGTTTAAAGTTTCTCAGAAGTTGACAGACTTTTTCCACGGTGGCTGTACCATTTTGCCTTCTCACCAGCAAAATGTCAGATTACAGTTGTTTTGCATCCTGGCCAGCACTTGGTATGGCCACTTCATTTATTTATTTAGCTCTTCTTCTGATAGGTGTTTAGTGGTATCTCATTATGGTTTTAATTTACACTTCTCTAATGATTGATGATTTTCCCCGGTGACTGATGATGATTGAGGATCTTTTCAGGTGCTTATTTGCCTCCCATGTGTGTATCCTCTTTAGTGAAATGTTTGTTCAAATCTTCCCATTTCAAAAAATGTTGGCCCTTTTCTTATTATGAAATTTCTATGGCTCTTTATGTCTTGTGCATAGAAGTCCTCTGTCAAACAGATGTCTGTTTTGCAAATATTTTCCTGATTTGTAGCTTGTCTTCTCAATATTTTAACAGTGTCATTTATAGATCAGAAGTTTCCAATTCTTCAGGTCTGGCTCCCCTCCATAATCTGTTTGCTTTGATTCACTTTTCAGCATCCTCATGTAGTTGCTTTTTGTGTTTGGTCTGAGATTTTACTTGTGATTGGCAGGGAGAGATAGGCTGAACGTGACTGAGTGGAGTATAGCATGAGAAGACTTGCATAATATTTTTTTTAATTTTCAGTGTTTTGCAAACATTATTTTTGATCCATTAATAATGTTAATGATTGCCATTTTATATACGAGAAAATAAAAAAATCAAGAGTCATAAGAGTTTAAGTTCATAAATAATAAAAAGCCACATGGAAATAACCAGTGATCTAAATCACCTGGAACAACTAAAACCTTAAGGTATTATATCCTAGTTTGTGTGTTCCGACCACAAGCCCCTAGAATGCAAATTACTTATGTACCTTATTTAATTATGTTTGCTTTACGTAATTTTAGTACTTTAGGAACTTCCTTGATTAAATTTCAATTCATACATTTGCTGAAAAATAACTAATTTTAAAACTAAGTAAGGTTATTAAGTAACTTTTTTCCATCTGGAGGAGAATTGTTTTTGTTCCAGATTCTTTACTGACACAATAGTAGCACACTCGAATAAGTGCATAGTATGCTTCATGGAAGATCATGTGTAAAAGCCAGGCTTAGTCAATGTTTCTTCTGATAATACATGTGAAAAGTTGAAAAGAACCTTTATGGTCATTTTCCTAGTAAGCAAGTCAATTCCTTTTGCTTAAAGCATTTTAACTTCATTAATGTAAAAGACAATAGATATCTACTATGTATACAACACTTTTTAAGAGATCTTGAGGTTACAGAAGATAGTAAAGCCATGGTGTCTATCCTTAAGAAGCTATACATAATAAGAAAGAAAGAAATCTCACTGTGATATTGAGTATACATTTTTGGAAAGTAATTTTTGAATAAAATCAGATGTTTTAAAAAATCGTAAAAGGTTTTGAATCAACATTTTCAAATATTTAGAAAATAAATGAGAAAAAAGACAGACCCAACCAATTCCTTCCAGTAATTTTGCTCTGATATTAATGTAATTCCCTTCAGCTTTTATGTGCATATTATATATGTTATTAACCATAGTACATCTTTAAAACATATATAATTTTGTCTGCTCACTTTTTTTTAAAAAAACAGCATTGTATCACAGTTTATTTTCATGTACCTTCATAGTTCAAGGTACAAGGGAAGTAACAGAGATTCCCTGAGAGAAGACAATGGATGTTCCTAAGAAAGACCTAGTGTGAGAGTTCAGGGAACTGCTACACTTTGGATTTTTTTTTTTTTTTTTTTTTTTTTTGAGACGGAGTCTTGCTCTGTCATCCAGGCTGGAGTGCAGTGGCACGATCTCAGCTCACTGCAAGCTCTGCCTCTTGGGGTCATGCCATTCTCCTGCCTCAGCCTCCCGGGACTACAGGCGCCTGCCACCATGCCCGGCTAATTTGTTTTGTATTTTTAGTAGAGACAGGGTTTCACCGTGTTAGTCAGGATGGTCGGGATTTCCTGACCTTGTGATCCACCTGCCTCAGCTTCCCAAAGTGCTGGGATTACAGGTGTGAGCCACCACACCTGGCCAGGATTGGTTTTTTAAAATAATGTAGAATGTTTTGTATTTGTCCTTGCATCATGTAAAGATTTATCCTTAAAAGTGCAATTTGTCTTTGGACTATAAACTCTGCGAGGGACAGGACAGTACTTACATAGCATGTTAAAAATTCAAGTATCAATCTACCCATTTAGGTCTATTGGCTCTTTACTGAGTCCAGGGTTTTATTTACATGTATCACTGAATGAATGGCCTTAAGAAGGTACAGATGAGACTACTGAGGCATAGAGAGATTTAACAGAGGCAAGCAGAGCATCACAAGCAGTTTGGAACTCAACACATGTTTCTTGTTTGAAAATATGCACAGACAAAAGAGGGATGGATAGAAAGTTGGTTCAATATAGGATTAAGACCTGGAACAAAAGCACATGGGCACCAGCAGAATCTACTTGAGAGGTCACAGCGCCCAAGGGGAAACAACCCTAGGCAAGTCACTTAACCTCACTCACCTTAGTTCTCTTGTTGGTAAAATGCAGAGTTTATGCAAACTCAATACATGTCAAGAAATATCTGCAAGGCATTGTTTAAAATTGACCCTCTGGATTTTTTTCATGCATGCCTGGTTATTATTTATTAAGATGTACTAGGGGCAAGTCTCAAATGGAAGAAAAAATAAAAGGCACATCTGCAAAGTGAAGAAGTGGGGTTAAGCGCAATGCAACAGAAACTCTTATACTAATCCAGGAGGACTTTACCTGTCAATCAAATCTATATTCATTTTTTTTAAAGATTAATAATGGTTTGTTAACTGAGTAAGCTGGCAGATGGTAAAGTAATGTGATGAGATCTTGGGGCATCTATGACCAGTTGATGACTGACTGACCAATTTCAAAAGATGCTATGAAGGATCATAAAGTTTAGTTCCATGTGGATTTTGATGATAGTTGCATCTATATTTAAAGCCTTCTGTCACTGGAAGCACTCTTGGTGTTGTCAGACTGTCTATTGGACTGGATGAGCTGCAACTTCTCGCAATTGAATGTCAATAAGACCAAAGCAATTTTGGTTGATTCATAGCACCAGCTTAAGCATATTCACTTGCACAGATTACATTTGACAGATAGTTACCTTCAGCTGAACTCTGTGGTTAGAGGCTTGGGCGTATTCTTGACAGTGAGCTTAGAGTTGATGTCTAATGTTTATTTCATATCCTGTTTTTACCTTCCCTAATATTGCATGTGTAAATCTATATTTAAATATATTCACAGCTGATGTTCTTGTCGGTCCACTTGTTATCTCTGGACAGAATGCTGTAATGATTCAATTTAATTATTTTAATAAAAATAACTTGCACCCCTCCAGTTTTAATTTCAATAAATCTGACGAGTAATGATTAATTTTAAGGAGTCTTATTGATGAGCAATTGCAACACTATAATGCAGGAAAATGCCCAAGTGGTGGGAGCATGCTTACATCTATAGTAAACTTAAAACCTTCAAAATTTGGTGTGTGATTATGAACACCGAGGAAATATATCCACATTTATTTACCAAATTATTATTCCTGTATCTTTTTTAAGTTATTTAGGTCCATCAGTTATCTTCAAAGTTTAGGTTTGAAACTATCCATTTCAAGAATATTAGCCTTTTAAGATGATTATAATTTAAATAACATATTCTAAAATGTTTTAATTGAACAGTAGAATGCATGTAACCCAAAACATTATAAAATTTAAAAAGTCACGGCCATTTTTGAATATTTAGATTGGGAAAACACTTAAGATGTGGTTTTATGTTCAAGAAGAGGTGCAATTATGGTATGGATTCATTCATCATTATGGTATTGTATTGTCAACTTTTCAGTTATGTTCAATTTTTAAGATGCTGGGTGGGAAATTTAAGGGACATATAGATCTAATAATCTGAGCCTAAATCTCCTGCTCTATACAAATAACTCTGCAAAGCTTTGGAATCCCTTTATTTGACTAGGTGAATGGCAGTTTTGTTTGCATCAGCCTAAACCTAGCTTGGAAATCATGATTTTAAAGCAAACACGTTTTCCTCACACATTTCCATATTTCCTAGAATCTATGGTTTTAAGATATCAAACAATTCAAATTATGTAGTTATACATTTCACACAGGACAAAAACTCATGCTGAAGTAGGTAAAATATTTTTCAAAATTATTTTCTCTACATTTACTGGCATACTTTCTCTTTCTTACTGTCTTTTAAAACTGACAGTCAGTTTTTTTTATTTTTCTCTTTTACTGACAGCTAGTAAATGTACTGACAGTTCAGAAGCAAGATGTAAATGTAAGTCACTATTATTTTGTTCACCTGATACCTGAGCATTAGTAGAAATGCATGGCTATATTTTAAAATAAAAACTAGATTATTTCCAATGGTTCTGAAGGGAAGATGTATAGAAAAACTGTCCTCTGTAAATAAAAATGTGTTTGAGGCAAGATTGCATTACATTTAGAAATAGCATACTTTCCTCATTAGGATGTGATTGGTATTTGTACTGAAGAAAATGGGCTAATTATTTAAGTAAGATGTATATTTACTTTCTGTTTCATTAGCTGTAAATCTTTATAGCATATAAATCTCCTTTAGAAATTAATGGGAAGTATATAAGTGAGGGAAAGAAAGCAGGTTATGAAGTTAATAAATACCATGTTAAAAATTAGTTTCTACTTAAATATAAAGTTCAAGATTAAAAATTAAAAATTGTTTTATTTTAATTAGAAAAATCTTGCTTAGTTAATTTCTCTGGAAGAAATGCTATATAAGCAGTTAAATGTGGAGAATTATATTCTATTGATAAAAGTATGTTGGGCCAGACTGAACCAACAACATCATAGAAGGACTGATTCCTTACTTCCTTTAAAAAGTGATCTGTCATTTGTCTACATTATAAATAACAGCTGAGTTTTAAAACACAAGGAGATTTTTAAAAAGTGGCAGCATTTATTTATTTACTGCTTAGACAGTATTCACAGTATTTTATTTCATCCTTAAGACTCTTTTTTTGTTTTGCTCCCACATTATTGTTACACATATGGGAATTGGTAAAGTGGGAAAACTTAGCATTTATAGATTTTTATACTGAAGCATGCGATGATAAAGTAGTCACTTTCATCCAAGAACCTTTTCCTCTTTTCACTTACACTAGCTCTTCCAGAAATGGCCCCTTTAGTGCCTTTAATGGTTTTATTCTCCTTCTGTCACTATTTTTAATATTCTTATTCTTATACTGCCATCATATATAACTTTGTGAAAATTTGTCATATAAGGTTAAAATTGATTTGCCTTTAAATACAGTAGTTTCCATTTTCTGTTAACTGTTTGAAGAACACCTATTGAGAGGCAAGGAAAGACCTGCGGGATAAGTTACAAAAGGCAAGAATTCCTCACAGAAAAAGCAGCAGGAGCTTCCTTGTCAAGAGCTTCAGCAAGTAGTGTCAGCAGCTTAGAAGTTGCTATTGGACTGCTGAGTGTTATGCAGATAAATTGTGGCTCTAGCTTGTCCTCCGATGTCATTCTTTGATTTTTCTCTGTTAACACTGCATTTGCATTTGGGTCTCACTGAGAACAAGGACCAGTGCAAATGCCTTATGGCATGTGTAGAAAGCTGCTTTTATGTTAAAAGTGATATGTTTTCTTGTTCACTGTGTTCACAACAAAAATTCATCTTCCGAGTCTTGGAATTCCCTTATGTATTTGTAATTTTCCTTCCAAGTCATAATATTCATATACAAAGAGTGGAAATTTTTCTTTAAAAAAACCTACCAAACAACAAAAACAGTAAAGTTAGTTGGTTACTAGCAGCAACAACTGAAAAGCAGCATCACCAAAACATATGCAATTCATGGGTTTCCAGCAAAAGAGGAAATCTGGAAAGAGAAGATCCTTAAGTATTGCTTTAAAGTGAGCACTGAAGGACAGCCGTTAAAACAATCCCAATTTTTAGAAAAGGTATTATTCCCTGACATTTACTTGTTTTATTCCCTTCTCAATCTGAAGACACATTTTGGACAGATGCTCTTGTCTTACATGAACATTCAATTCATTTGAGAAAATAATGGTTATACTTAAACTCGTGAAGTGAAATGTATGGAAGTCTGTTGCTTTATAACTTTAAATAGCCATGTAACTTGTTCATGGCAGAATATAGTCAAGTCCTGGGCAAGGACTTTTTTTCTCTTCTCCAATAATGCTATTCAAGGGGAAGCTAGTTATTGTGTGACACATGCTTGATTCTCAGGAGGTTTGGACAAAAGAGAGGGTTAGAAGGTCAGGAGAGCCTGACGCTATTCAACTAGATATTTGAGTAGAATTCCCACACCAGAATTTTGCCTCATACCTAATTCAGACAGTGTAATAATGGGGGAAGGGCAGAGAGAGGGAGGGCAGATGGAGGTGTCCTTTCAGGTTAAATGTTAAAATAAGGGTCTTCATTTCTGTCTCTGGTGGCACAGAGCATTAAAAACCCTGTGACACATTTTGGAAGTGTTGCTATAAAATAGATTTTAACGTTTGAGGATCTATAAAGGGTATTATTGAGTACTTAATAGATTCTGTGTTTGCCTACTGAAATCACTACACCGCCGATATATACCTCATTAATTTGTAAAGCAGTTTGGCCCAACTTGAGACAATGTACTGTATTAAAGCAAAGTCTATATCCCAAATTTTCATGGCTAATAATTACAAAACGTTCAGCATCTGAAGAAAATTATCTAAATGTGACAATATTGGTCTTGGATAGTTTAACTTGCGTGAAATATTTCACACAGAAACATTTGATCTATATTGAAGAGTTGTTTCTTTTTTCATCAGATCAGCTATATCACAGTAAATTGTGGAAATAGAAAATGGAAACTAAATTGTTGAAAATGCATCTGATAGTTTGTTTTTATTGCCAAAATGTCATTGTCCTTGAGGTCCATCACTTTGTAGCTTAGTAAAAACAGATTTAGGCATTGCAAGTGAGAAGTCATTGACTGTTTTCCTTGTAACCAATTTATTTATCAAGTTGGTAAGTTTCAGAAGTATTTCCAGTGTTCAGCCTATTTCTTCACTTTTCTATTTTCCAAATTATATCCTATTACTTCAAAGATGTATAAAGTTCACACATTCTGGATTCTTTATCTCTTTTATTGTTTTCTGCTTCATACAAAGTAATTAAATTATGTTCTTGAAGTAATTCCTCCTATCTTACTTAAAATCACCTTCATGATCTGTCAAGAGTTTTCAAGTTGTTCTGTGATAAAGTTCTTAGAGTTTGAGAAGCTAAATGGTGGAGTTGGTGCTTAAGCTCTTCACTGAAAGCTGCAAGAGTATAAACGAAGTCAGAAATTACTATTATTATTATTTTTTTCTCATTGAGACGGAGTCTCACTCTGTCGCCCAGGCTGGATTGCAGTGGCGTGATCTCAGCTCACGGCAAGCTCCGCCTCCCGGGTTCGCTCCATTATCCTGCCTCAGCCTCCCGAGTGGCTGGGACTACAGGTGCCCGTCACCACGCCAGGCTAATTTTTTGTATTTTTAGTAGAGACGGGGTTTCACTGTGTTAGCCAGGATGGTCTCGATCTCCTGACCTTGTGATCTGCCTACCTCAGCCTCCCAAAGTCCCAAAGTGCTGAGATTACAGGCATGAGACACCACACCCAGCATATATATATATATATATATATATAGTTTTTTGGTTTTTGTTTTTTGTTTGTTTGTTTGTTTGTTTGTTTGTTTGTTTTTTTGAGACGAGTCTCGCTCTGTCGCCCAGGCTGGAGTGCAGTGGCAGGATCTCGGCTCACTGCAAGCTCTGCCTCCCGGGTTCATGCCTCAGCCTCCCGAGTAGCTTGGACTACAGGCGCCCGCCACCACGACCAGCAAATTTTTTGTATTTTTAGTAGAGATGGGGTTTCACCGTGTTAGCCAGGATGGTCTCAATCTCCTGACCTTGTGATCCGCCTGCCTTAGCCTCCCAAAGTGCTGGGATTACAGGCATGAGCCACTGCACCCGGCCTGAAATGACTATTCTTTTTAATAACTTCTATTTATTGTTTTGTGTTATTCATAATTGTTGTGCAATTTAATTTATTTCACTAGTAGAACACTATGTACAGGACTGTACTGTGTGGAGGTTTTAGAAGTGACAAAACCAGTTAACTAGGCTCTTGGTCCAAAGGAATTTAGTGAAAGAGATAAGACATAAACACTAATGACTGTAACATTTATGGAATAATAAATAGGAGCTGCTGAAAGTTGTGATTTCTTCTCATTATGATAGTGCTTCTTGGATTATAAAAAATTTAACCTAGAACATGAGGTTTCAAGAGGCAGAGATGGGGAGAGAAGAATTCCAGGTTTGGGACTAGGATGTAGAAAGGCAGAAAGGTGAAAATATTCTTGTGATGATGGCAAACAGTGACTGGTCAAGTTTGCCAAGAGTAGGTTTTATGCAAGAGCGTAGTAAGATGAAACCCTGAAGGAATTTTACTGTCAGATGATAGAAACCGGAATAAAGCTGAGGATACAGTTCAATAATCAAAGGGAACCAAATGAAAGTTTTGAGCAAAGAAGGGATCTTATTAAAACAGCCTTTTATTATTTCTTTTAAGCTAGAGGTAGCTTGGCATTATCTGTGCCAGCTCAGAGTGACCTTCACCCCAAAATTCTAGTTGGATTATGGAGCAGTTAATCTTACAGGCTCTAATAATTCTGTCACCCTTTGTTGTCATTCTATATCTGTGTCCCTTCAGTTATGTGTCTTCTCCCATATTCTCATACCATTATTTCTCTGTCTTTCATTTCTTTACTTTCATCATCCACATCAGGACAATGTTTTTATTCTATAGTAGTTTGTAAACATGTCACATTCTTTAGACTTTCAAGCTCTTTGTCAACAGTTTTTCAAAGTCCTTGCCTTACATAAACACTAATTCTTTCCCTTTAGGGACCCCTTTCCTGGCCCTTCCAAGCAAAGGGTGCTCATTCATCCACTCCTCATGCACCTCATTGCTGGGAGCAAGTAGAGATGTAGGGATTGCTTTCTTCTTTTTCTTTTACCTCATATTGGAAAGAGATGTTTCCTTTAAAGCTCATGTTAAGTTGTTGTGTACCTTTCTTCAATTTTTGCATCAATTTTTGCAAACCTTGCATCAATTTTTGCAGCTGCTGACACCTTGGATACCCCAGCCACCTGCCTGCCAGATACAATGAAAAATTTCACCTCTGACTCACAGTGTTTCTCTGCATCATTATCAGCTTTTGGTTAATGACCATGAAGCTTCACTTTTTCACCTCTTGAAAACTTTTGGCTACAGAATGAAGTTAAGCGCCTAGGTGCTTATATTGTCTTTGAGTCTGTTGGGTTCCTTCTAGGTTCAGTTTCTTCACTTCTAGCCTAGCCCACAAGGAAAATATCTTTAGTAGTCTTTTAACCATTTTCTTTTATTTCATTTTTTTTCATTCTGTTGCCACCAGACACCTATTCTCAAATCATTCACCTGACTGCCTTCTTAATTCCTGTGTATAGATTGCAGAATATTACTGAAAAAAAACAGGTGTGTGGATTGAGGCCACTAAAAATTAATGATTTCCAACTAGAGATGGACCCTTAGTGCAGCCTTAGGGTAAATTTCAGAGGTGCAGCTGATTCAAAGGGTGTGCACAATTTCAGGGGTATATTGACCTACTGTCTTCAGAAAATGTTTGACTAGTGCAGACTCCTACCGAAAGAGAATCAGAGTGCCTATTCCTCAAATTATTGTTAATATAAGGAATTATCTTTTCTCATTTTTTTCTAATTTTATGGGCAAAATAGTATGAGTGTATTCTTATTTCATTTAGCATTTCTTCCCCTACCTCGTACTTATCTTACCTTACATAGGCTTATTAGCCAGCCACATGTATTTTTTGCTTCTGGGTAATAGCTGTGTATTGTTCTCTTATTTTTTTAAATAAAGGGGTCTGCATTTTTATTAATGACTAAGAAATCTTGATATATTTAGAAATTATATGTAAAAATAATTTTAAATTTTTTTTATTCTACTTTAAGTTCTGGGGTACACATGCAGAACTTGCAGGTTTATGTCATAGTTATAAAAAAAGAAAGAAAGCATAGGCAGAGAAGGAAAATCACTCTGGACAGAAAAAAATAATTGGTTAAAATATTAAAGAATAAAATTTGTAGGTAAAAATAATAAATTTTAAAATGACAGTTTAAAAATTTATATGTAGGCTGGGTGTGGTGCCCCATGCCGATAGTCCCAGCACTTTGGGAGGCCTACGCAGGAGGATCACTTGAGTCCAGGATTTCAAGGCCAGGTTGGGCAACATAGCAAGACGTCATCTCTACAAAAAAAAAAAAAAAGAAAGAAAGAAAGAAAGAAAAAAAATTAGCCAGGCATGGTGGTGCATGCCTGTAGTCCCAGCTACTCAGAAGGCTAAGATGGGAAGATCTTCTGAGCCTGGGAGGTCAAGGCTGTGAGCCATGGTCGTGCCACTGCACTCCAGCCTAGGCAACAGAGCCAGATCCTCTCGCAAAACAAACAAACAAACAAATTACATGTGAAAAGAATTATACGTGAAGATAATAATTTCAGACATACAATCCTATGTTAACTCCCATAGAAAATTAAGGGAGTTATCACACCTTTGCTTTTAACAATTCTTTCTCTTCCCACATTCCAGTTTTGTTGAAATAAGCAGAGCTTCTTATCCCAGCTTATTGTAGCAAAATCATTATAGTAAAATGATATTTTTATTTCAAGCATTACAATAGCACTTTATAACTTATTTAAAAATTTATATGATGTTAAAAGGATTCAATACTCATTGAGTATCCTTTCATAACATACATCTCTAATTTCTTAATTTGAATTGAGCTTTCTATTTGGTGAGAGTATTTCTATTCTGAAAAGGAACATGGCCAGTGATGTACCTTCTGAATCTTTGCGTAGTTGAGCCTGTCTTTCTAATGCCTGTACCCATGAACAATGTCTGGATGATGATGGATTTTTTTTTCTTATACCCTTTCGTTTGTGAGCTTTTAATACATTGCATCGTGTTTCTGAAGAGAAATCTGAGACAAGCTTAAGGATTATTTTTCACTGTGGGTGACCCGTTTTTGTGTGCCTGAGTGAGATTCTTACAGGTTTCTTTCTTTATCCTTAAAATCCCAGGACTACCAGCCTATAGTTTGGTGTTAATTAATCTTTGTTTTCTTGAGAATATGGTAAGCTTTTCTTAGCTGAATATTCAGGTCATATTTTTAATCCCTTAATTTTGGTTTCTATCATGTCTTTGAGTTTATATTTTCATTATTTGTTTTCTTCGGGCTTTCATCCTGTGAAATTTAGTGACCAATATAGTTTTATTCCTTTTATGTCCAAGATACATAAGAAGTTGTATGTACTCTAGTGTCCATTCGTTCATCAACTTATTCCAATTACCCCAAACCCCTATTTCCAAGGGCTTTTCTTCTTCCGTTCAGACTCTTTATTTGGGTCTTTTCGTGGTTCCTTGCTTAACACTATGCACTTTTCACGGCACACACTTTCCCTGGGAATTCTTACTCACAACCATGACTCCTAGTACTATTTTCATATGCATAGTTATAAAACCTGTAATTTCTAAATTTATATTGCCACAGTGCTATCAGTGAGCTTTCAAAATTCAAATTCAAGTATGATTTTTCTTAGTTTTAAGATTTCTTCAGTTGGAATGGAGACCCTTAATGACTTAGCTCTGACAACTGTTCAGCCTCATGTTCTGTAAGGTCTCCTCTGGGACCTCACATTCTAGTAACACTGAGCTGTCTAGTCTTTAATTGTATCCATCTTTCTTATGTTGCTACAACTGCACATGTTCTTTACCAAGAATACTCTCCCTTACTATTTATTCCGCTTAATCCTACTTTTTCCTTTCACTCATTTGGCATCAACATTTTCAGGAAGCCTTTTCTTATCTCAAAATCTGAGTAGACATGCACTCATCCTTTCTATGAAATTATCGCAATTTACTCAATGTGCTTTATTTGTGTCCATCACTAGACTCCAGAACTTTTAGATCAAGAATTTTACCTTATTTAGTGTTGTTCCCTTCAGGGCTCGGCATCATGTTTGAATGTGATCCATTCTCAATAAACAAAGTTTGATTGAATGAGTGATGGCATCATCCAGTATTAGAACAAAGTTGATAGGACAGTTTGTTTAGAAGCTCTTGCAAGAATACAGTTGACCCATGAACTACAAGGAATTGAATTGCCCAGGTCTGCTTTTATGTGAATTTTTTCGAGCTAAACACAGATTGAAAATACAGTACTTGCAGGATGTAAAATCCGACTATGCACAGGGCCGACTTTTTGTATCCCTGGGCTCCGCAAGGCTAACTGCGAGACTTGGGTATGATTAGATTTTGGTTATTTATGCCTGGATCCTGGAACCAATCCCTTGAAGACTGTACAGATGAGAGATATTAGTTGATCGAATATGTAGCAGGAGAAAACTGAAAAAGGAAAAGAAATTTATGAAGTAAATTAATGAGACCGCTGCATTTCATTACTACTTTGGAGATTAGAGGAACAATAAAGGTGACTTTAAAATTTTGAACCAACTTCTTTATAACATGGCTTACAAGTGGTAGCTAGAAAGAGGAGGGTTGGTTACTTTTGCTTTGTATATTGCAATACATTTCTGATTGTTCCCTTTCCACTTTTCCCCCTAGTATTGTTGATTACTTTGTCTTTGTAAAAAACTTCATCGTGAAAATTTCTTTCTAAAATGTAAATGTGATTACCTCCTTCCTCTCCTTAAATAAACACTATGCTCACGATTGCTCACACTCCAGAGAATGAAATTTCCTTCCCTTAGCAACATGTTCAAGATCCTTCAAAATTTGTTAGATGGTGCCTCTATAGCTTCATTGTCCTTCTATGTACTTTGAGTTTTAACCATGATATTTTTTTGCCTCCCAAAATCATGTACTTTGTGGTTTTCATGCAAGCTCTTCCTGTTTGCCTTATTCAGTTGCTTCTAGCTTGTACACTTTTCCCTCTCCCTCTTCAACTCCATTTCTTTGTGTACGTATCTCAATGACCACCACAAATACAACTTCCTCTGTAAAACACACTAATTTCTTCTCTCCTTTTCTCCTCTCTGCTCCTATAGCACTTTTTTTTCTT
The DNA here is from genome assembly GCF_000001405.40 of Homo sapiens. Lineage (NCBI taxonomy): Eukaryota > Metazoa > Chordata > Mammalia > Primates > Hominidae > Homo > Homo sapiens. The sequence goes on along the minus strand of NC_000001.11, from coordinate 216,381,055 downwards.
ATTGGCTGTATGACATTTATTACATAGGCATATTTTATTAGATATTAAGTAGGTTTTGCATTAGGTATATTTTTGAATGTACTGAAAGGCAGATACTTTATTCATTCATATGTGCTCAGAAGAGCAAAATATCTCTTACATAATGTATGTTTAATATAAGTAAATATACAAACAAATAGAAATATTGAGTTTGGTAAAAGATGATATTGAGAAAAAGTGATATGTGATAGAATGAAAAGCTACATATATTTTCTAAATGATGGGTGGACATTTACAACTTTGCTAAATTATATATTAAATCATCTCTTTATCCTGAAAAAATTATCTTTTCCATGATTAGTAAGTACTTTACAGTCTCTTCTAGGTTATAAAGCTCAGTACTCTAATTAGTTTTAGAAAAACTGTGACTAAACTAGCAGTACTGTTTTTTCTCCCATATTTTGTCTCACACTGAAGTCAGTGATATTTTTTTCTGTTCACAGATATATTCACTCTTAGCCTTCCCTGAGCTCTATTACAGCCTGGAAAATAACTGGAATTTCCTTTAAAATAATACACATTTTCTTAACTTATCATATTAAATGAAAAACACACAAACACTGGCCTCCTTTCACATTCCCTAGAACTTTTTGTTTTTTCTGTATTTGGCATTTCTGATGTCTTTAATTTTTTGTGATTCTGGCTCTGTATTCTGGTGCCTGGAACAGTGTTGCTTCCAAATAAATAGGCAGTAGTGATAGCAATACTCATAAATATTTTAAGCTATTTGGAAAAAGATATTTTTTAGAAGCTGTGTTTTGAATGACCTTCCCATTTAACTACAGTGAATTTCATTCTTAGTTCCTTCCCAATATCTACCCTCTTGCATCTTCTTTTATGTTGTTTCTAACGTCTTTTGCGGTACCTATCAATTTACTGTCATCTACTGTTTTCATTAAGATTGCTACTTGTAGATCATTAATAAAAAGGTGAAATAAAACTAAATTCCTTATCAATTCTCTCCTTAAGTCAATAAGTATCCAGTTTTAAATGACAGTGCTTGAATTCAAGTTCATATTAAATGTTACTTCAAATAAGTTTGGGAGTTTACACATACATGGCTCTTTGGTTCAATTACATTTGTCTTATTTATTTTGTTTTCTGTTCCCTTGTAGTATTCTTTGATAAACTTGTCCTTTAAAATATATATTCCAACTAAACTCTGCTTAGGGCCTAAGTGGTGTAGCCCTCTGGGGAGGGTCGCAAATGTAATTTGTTTGATTGGATACTCAAGCTTTTCAATTGTTTTCTTTTCCTTAGAGAAATAGAACCTTTCTAGCTTTCAGGTCAATTGATGTAATGGTTGGATTCAGATGGAATGACACTTTCTCCCCATTGTAAGTCTCTAGTTCCTCAGAGAAATCCTTGGGAAATCTGTTGACAACTTGCTGTCATCCAGCTGTTCTGATGGTATAAATGACTTAGACACTGATTCCTGGTAGTTTAAAAGTCTAATGGAACAGTGAAATTTTGAGATCTCAAGTGCATCATGAATAAAGCACTTAAGTAGCACTTGTATATACTTCTTACAATTTGTTAACTGGTTTTCTGCTTTTTTTTTTTGCTGGAGAAAGAGATTTACAGTTTTAATCTGATTAGACATTAGCAGCTGGTTGAAGATGCTATTACTGTGAAGTATGGAAAAGAACACAATCATGATGAAAACTTTTTACTCAAATCCTTAGAAGAAGAAAGCAGATGAAATTAGATTGGCAAAGGAAACCAGCCCAAATTACACACAGGAGAGAAATGTAGCAGAGGAGAGTACTGAGTTGGTGCTGCACGCATAGAGCTTACAGCCTCCATGGGCAGGGGACATGTGGGTGTGACTGCCAGGGACAGGAATTGCAAACAGCATTTGGAGTGACAGTCTGGGTCAGCTTCTCATGCTCTTTCCCATCACCAGGCATCAGCGAGTGGAAAGATTTGACCTGATTTTGGAGCACAGAGTGTGGGCTCTAAGGCCACAGGAAGGCAGGTGAATGGGACTAGGATGTAGTGGAGTCCCCATGGCTAAAAAATAAGTTGTATTGCATACCTGCCTTTGCCCCACAATTATCAAATCCAATCTAGGGTGAATAGAAACACATCTGCAGACAGATCCAATGTCCACCTACAAAAAGTTTCAGAAAATGAAAACAGATGGAGAAAAAAAATTATAAAAATATAAAGAATTCTGGTAAAGTTGCCAAAAGAAATGAGTCTTCTAGTCAAATGGGCTTTGTTCTATTAGTAGATGTTGAGACGAATGCAGTGAATTGATTAGAGCTGATGTTATTTGTTTGGGTGCATACATGTGTGCCTGGTGAGGGGTGGGTGAGGGAAGAAAAAAAACTCAAACAAATAAGAAACATATTGAGAGAAAAATAATACCTAGAGAATTAAAATAGTACACTATAACAAAGTTTGTGAGTGATTATTAAGGCTTGTGTGGGTATTCGGGGGCTCTCTGAGGTGTCAATATGTAAACTGAGATCTGACAGTAAAGACTCAGCTACCTTATATCTCTTCATCCCTACATCTTGTTCTAAGAAAACATCAGAAGTCCTGTGATCTCAGCATAAGTTGAAAACTCGTAAGTAGTCATTCAAAGGTGGATTTGTGGAGGGTAGAGGTAAACTACCTTGATTATATTTACATAGAATGGAAGTGATGCTAATTTAGAAATGTCCATTGCTGTAAGTCTTAGGAGATGTAAAGTACCAATGAAAGATCCTGAACAGTATTATGTGACAGAAAATGAGCGTTACACTTTTAAAAAAATATTAGATGTTGTAACTTTAGTCATTCTCACCTTTACCTTTTAAGTATTTCACCATTTAATATCAACCTTCATTATTGATTTATTTCTAAAGATATCTGGAAATAGTTTAGGCTCATTAATTTTCTTTTTAAGAGTCAAATCGGCATGCAAATGTTTCTCCCACCAAGAAATTTTTTTCCTGGACTTCACCTTCTGAGGCATGTCCACCTTTGAGGCAAGCTAAGCCAGGCTTTGTGAAGGCAGAACCATCCGAAGCACACAGCCCCACCAAATTTCTCTCCCTCCTTCCCTCCCTCCCCTGTTCCTCTCTCCTTCTCTTTCTTTTTTCTCTTTCTTTCTCTTTCTTTCTCTTTCTTTCTTCCTTCCTTCCTTTCTTTCTTTCCTTCTTTCTTTCTTTCTTTCTTTCTTTCTTTCTTTCTTTCTTTCTTTCTTTCTTTCTTTCTTTTTATTTCTTTCCTTCTCTTTCTTTCTTTTTATTTCTTTCCTTCTCTTTCTTTCTTTCTTTTTTTTTTCTTTCTCTTTCTTCTCTCTTCCCCCCTCCCCTGCTCTCCCCTGCTCTCCCCTCCCCTTCCCTTTCTTTCAGCTGCTGCTTACCTGGGGTAACATGGTTTGGGAAGAAACATGTCAGAATTGGAGTGAATAAATATAAATGATAAAAAGACAAAATGAATATTATTTTCAAGAGTAATTACCAGTATGAAGTTCTTCAGATGATAACAAAAACTATTGACTTATTTTGTCTAAATCAATGCCACTATCTTATCTGTGTGATTGTGAAGGGAGGAAAGGAAACTGTTCACTGAATATTCTGCATTTGACCCGTAAATACCTACTTTTGTATTCAGGGATGATATATTCTTACCTTAAATTAATGACTGTTTTCTACTGTTCTTTTTTGGTGCAAACAAATTAAATGTGTGCACTTCTCCATGACTGATTGTGCAAAAACTGCTTAGACAATTACTATCTCTCTAGCTTTTGATCAGAAAGGACTACCTTGAAACAATGGCCACAATAATGGTATTATTCTCAATTCTAGAATTTATTTAAACAAACAATTCAAATCATATTTCATAATACAGTTCTCTGAAGGAGCTTAAAGAGATTCAGATTTTTCCTTTTGTTTAACATGGCTCTTCATTTAGTTTTTGAGGCATATTTTTAATAAATTTTGCTCAGTACTGTCTACTGGAGCTGAAAAAATCTAAGAAGACACAAAATGGCTGAAGCATAGGTACTTACAGAAAAGCATGCCTTTCTTTTAAGAATATAAAATTAATACATTATTTATTTATTATATAATGGGATGTTCTACCCTTGTTGAAGATTTTAGCAGATATAACTCATGCACAGTGTAAGTGAGCATTCACCCCTGTTTTGTTTATATGGCAGGACTATTTCTACAAATTTTACAAATTACTGTTTAGGATCTTTATGACATCCATTGAGTGCTGGCATGATAAATGATTTTCTATATATCTGTCTACATATTGAGGGCCTGATTGATGGCCCTTCTGACTTGGGGTCAGCAGTGAGTTCACATCTCTTGGTATACTTTGGCTTATTCCCTGGAAGTATAAACAGAAATCCAATGACCACTATTTTCATTATTTTCCTTCAGGCATAATCTGACCTAATGATATGTAACTGTATTACTGTGATTTAAGAGATTTTTAAAAAACTATAAACATTTTGAGGAAAAGTGAAAATGGTGATTTTAAATTTAACACATTTAAATATTCATTTTATGAAAAGAATATTTGAAAGAATAGGGATTTATCAGGATCAATAGAAGGCTTGGAGTAACCTAATCATTTTAAATTTTATTCCTTCTTGTTTTTTTCTGTTTTCCCACAACTTATTCACTACCCTCTATATTCTCATACTTTGCTAAATCATATTAATCCTTCAAGAGTTGGTTTAGATGAAGCTTCATTCATTTGATAAAGATTAAATGAGTGTCCAGTAGTTGCTAGCTCACCTTGTTCTGTTGTGCTTCACAGACAATGTGTTTTATTTTTATTTTTATTTTATTTTTTTACAAAGTGAAGGTTTATGGCAACCTTGCTTCAGGCAAACATGTCATATATTAGTGCTATTTTTCCAACAGCATGTGCTCGTTTTGTGTATGCTTCACATTTTGGCAATTCTCACAGAAATTTAAATTTTTTTCCAATCATTATAGCTGTTATGGTGGTCTGTGATCAGTGATTTTTGATGTTATTATAATTTCAGGGGGTGCCATGAACCACACCAATATGATATGGCAAAGTTAACCAATAAATGTTGTGTGTGTTATGACTTCTCCACCGACAGAATGTTCTTCTGACTTGTTCCTTCTCCTTGGGCCTCCCTGTTCCCTGAGACACAACAATATTGAAATTAAATTAGACCGAGTAATAACCCTACAGTGGCCTCTCAGTGTTCAAGTGAAAGGAAGAGTAACATTTCTCTCACTTGAAATCAAAAGCTAGAAATGAGTAAGCTTAGTGAGGAAGGCATGTAGAAAGTTGACAGGTTGAAAGCTAGTCCTCTTGCACCAAACAGCCAAGTTGAATGCAAAGGAAAATTTCTTGAGGGAAAATTAAAGTGCTACTCTAATGACCACAAAAATGATAAAAACTGAAACAGCTTTATTGCTGATGTGGAGAAAATTTGAGTGGTCTGGATAGAAGATCAGACCAGCTACAATATTCTCTTAAACCAAAGTCTAATCCAGACAAGGCCCTAACTATTCCATTATGTGAAGGCTGAGAGAAGTGAGCAAGCTACAAAAGAAAAGTTGGAAGCTAGCAGAGATTGGTTCACAAGGTTTAAGGAAAGAAGTAGTTTCCATAACATAAAAGTGCAAGGTTGAAAGAGCAAGTGCTGTTGTAGAAGTTGCAAGTTATCCAGAAGATCTAGATAAGATCACTGATGAAGGTGGCTACACTAAACAACATAATTTCAATGTGGATGAAAAAGTCTTCTGTTGGAAGAAGATGCCACCTAGGACTTTCATAGCTAGAGAAGAGAAATCAATGCCTAGTTTCAAAGCTCCAAAAATAAGACTGAGTCTCTTGTTAGGGGCTAATGCAGTTGGGGACTTTACTGCACAGGTGGTAGGTGCCCTAACCCCCATATTGTTAAAGGGTCAATGGTTTATAGAAATAATATAGAAGTAAGTGTGTGATTCTATCTAATCTATCTATCTAGTAGTATCTGTCTATATTCATATTCCCTATATATCCATAGTCCCTACAGCCATCCACTGAGGGGAGAGAGTGGGCCTGGGAGTAGTAACACTGAAATAGCACGAATCTACTTAGCACCGAATCTTTGTTCCTAAAGACCACTCATCTCTTAGAGGAACCAGGATTCCTTGGAGAAATGGCTGATTCCAGGGCTGTGGTGGGGAAGTACAAAATGAGCCTAGAACATCTTGTGTCATAAAGTAAGAAGATACTTAAAGAATTATTAGAACATGTCAATATGATCCAGAATGCAGCTGTATGGGGTCTATACTGTCCAAACCTGGAACAACTTGAGCACTGAAATACATATTGAGAGTAATTAATTATATCCCACTGAGTAAAATAGAGACTCATGAGTCTATATAGATAAAAATAAGCCTAAGCATATATTGAATTTTTAATAAGCAATAGGATATTTATACAGTCTTGAAGTATCTGCTCGCAAAATGTTTGCTAATTGCAAAGGGGAAAATTGTATTTTTACAGTGTGGAAGCCTGGCAGATATATTAATGCAAATGATTAAAGTTAACATCATTAATAATGGAACAAATAGAAATGATGTAAGACATGATAAGATATAATATGATCACTGTATCACCTGAATTTAATCATGAGGAAAAATTAGACAAACCCAAATTGAGAGGCAATCTACAAAATAACTGGGCGGTCCTCTTTAACAGTATTAAGATCAGAAAAGCCAAGGAAAGATTGAAGAACTCTTTTTTTTTTTGGGTCGGCACTGCTTTTTTATTTTATTTTATTATTATTATACTTTAAGTTTTAGGGTACATGTGCACAATGTGCAGGCTTGTTACATATGTATACACGTGCCATGTTGGTGTGCTGCACCCATCAACTCATGATTTAGCATTAGGTATATCTCTCAATGCTATCCCTCCCCCCTCCCCCCACCCCACAAAAGTCCCCAGTGTGTGATGTTCCCCTTCCTGTGTCCATGCGTTCTCATTGTTCAATTCCCACCTATGAGTGAGAACATGCAGTGTTTGGTTTTTTGTCCTTGCGATAGTTTGCTGAGAATGATGGTTTCCAGTTTCATCCACGTTCCTACAAAGGACATGAACTCATCAGTTTTTATGGCTGCATAGTATTCCATGGTGTATATGTGCCACATTTTCTTAATCCAGTCTATCGGTGTTGGACATTTGGGTTGGTTCTAAATCTTTGCTATTGTGAATAGGGCCGCAATAAACATACGTGTCTCTTTCAGATCAAAAGAAAACTTAGAGTCATGACAACTAAAGGCAACATGTGATTTGGGGCTGGAGGTGTTTTTTCTATAAAAGACTTTTTGGGGTCATTGACAAAACTTGAATGGGCTTTAAAGATAAAATGGTAATGATATACGAATAACTTTGATGTTTACATCGTGCTTATGTAAAAGAATGTCTTTTTGTAGCAAATACACGTTGCGGTATTCAGGGGGAATGGGTCATTAGGTCAAAAATTTAATCTCAAATGGGTCAGAAAAAATTCTTTGTACTACTCTTGTGACTTTCCTGTAACGTTGAGATAGTTATTTTTTAAAGTAATAAAAAACAGAAACTACTGATTGAGCTGCATTACAGATAGAATGGGAAAAGAGAAAATGGACAGAGGAAGTACAAACAACTTACTTGAGGAACACCTCAATAGAGAGAAGAAGAGTAACAGGGAAATATTTGGTGGAGGAGACTTCCAAGATATTTTCACGTTCTCATCTTTGTTCCTAACCACTTTATTCATATTTATTTATTATATTGCCTCCTTTCATTGAAAGTATTTTATACGCCATTTCTATTACAGATTGTAAATTCCTTGAAGAAAAGGTCTGTGCTTTATATACCCCTTATGTGTAGTATATGTAGCATCACACTTAGCATATCATAATGTGCTTGTTTCATATTCAAACAACAGGACCATTTTCAAACAAGTGATTGGATTTTAGTGAGAGTATGAAGAGCAGTTTTCTTTATAAACATGGGAGACAAAAGAGGTTGACTCACTTTTAAGGAGAGGACATTGTAGTTATAACAAGTAACTTCTAGCTCATTGGGATGTAACATGCTGAAAAAGTTTTCTAAGGTATTTTACAGCTAACTTGATAATCTTTTGGAAATCATCTGTTCTCCATGAGTAAAATAGAAAAAGGCACAATGATATATTGAAATAATTAAGAGTATCTAATATTGTGATGAAGTGTGCACCAAAAGCTTTCTTAAATGTAGAAGTGTACATGACACCTCTTTAAGCAGTATCTACAAAAAACCAGCTGGAACTCTCCCTATTCCTTAGGAATTCAATAAATCAGACTGTTGGCAGATTTTCCATCATGTATATGTGTAAATTAATAGCTTTTTTTTGGCAGTAGAGAGAAGAGAGTAATCTAAATGTGTAGGAAGAAGAGGCCATGAGAGTTTCACATCCAGTCAAGATAGGACAAAAAAAAATCTACTTGCATTCCTATGTTAAATTTTTAAAGATCAATTAAATGGAGACTTGTTTGGTGGAGGTTGCAGTATATGAAGAGCTTTAATAGAGATGAGGGGAGAACAGCAAATCCAGAGAATCATACCCAGGGCACAAATGTAATACACGTAGGCTTTTTCTGTAGATTGCTTCAAGAGCCTGGCTTGGCTTGTCTGAGTTACTCAGAGAGGAAAAAATGAAAGTGAGTGTATATGTTGGTTTGGGGTGTGTGAAGGTGTGGGAATGGAGAGAAGTGGACAGAGGGAAAATGTGTTGAAATAAAACACCAGGAGCTCATGGAAAATGCAAAACAGAAACAAAACCAAGAAAAAATCTTTGAGGGGCATACCTGTGTATGAATTCATTTTTCCATAGCACCTTTAACATAGTCAAAACAAATAAAATTTAAGCAGTTATTCAGTCAAACTAGTAGCAGGTGCACACACACATTCCAAACATTACAAATATTTGTGGGCCACCCACCTGGTTAATTTCTGCCAAAGCAACTATCCCTGAATAATTTCCTCAAGTACTTATTCATATTGTTTGTATAAACGTCACTCAATAGAGAATATTTAATAAACTGGAGCATTTATAATTATATAAAAATTCATGTCAGTAAACAAGGCCACTCTGAAAAGTTATGTGAAGAATCACAGTATGACACATTTTGTTAGAAAACGGTGCCTTTTCTTTATTGCTTAGAGTTGTAACATCACATAGTTCATGTTGTTGTTTTCATTTTCGGGGTATCAATTAGTTGATCAATCAGTTAGTGTTTATTAAGCTTCTGTCCAGCAGGTAAAGCATGCTCATCAAATTTGCAAATGACATAAATGTTAGAGGGATGGTAAAGGCACTGCATGACAGACATAGCATCCAAAAAGATTTTGACAGCTCGGAGCAATAGGCTGAATCTAACAAGATGAAATATAACATAGATAAATATAAATGCCTACCTTTGGGTCCACAAAGCCAACTGTACATGTATAGCATTGAGTAGATGTGAATTAGCTGTTGATGTAAGCAGGAAAAAAAAGACAGTATTTTAGTTAATAGTCAGCTCAACTTAATTTATCAGTTTTAGCTGCATGATGTCATTGCCAAAAATCTAGCCTGCAATTTTGAATTGTATTAAGGTGACAATCCTGTACCAGTTTGACAGGTCAGACCACATCTAGAGATTGTAGTATTTCTGGAGCCACATTTTAAGAAGAGAGACACTAAAAACTATGTCATATTTAGAACATCACAGAAACTAAACACATTTATCCTGAAGAAGACTTAGGAGAGGAATGACATCCTTCTTTACATTTATGTAAGCTCTCACATGGAAAAGGGATTAAATTTGTTTGGTGCAGTCTCAATAATTAGAACTGGAACTTGTGAACTGAAGTTATAAGGAGATACCTTTGGGTTCAATCATTTATAATAATTACATATAATAGTAAAAGCTGTTCAGAGAGAAAGGCGTTCCCAAAATCTGCAGAGGCAGAATACTAGCACAGTTTAGCCTGAGTGTCCTCCTTTGCAAAGTGGGGACAACACCATTGTGAAGCAGCGATCTGGGAAGGCAGTGGGATGATATAGGGAAAATGTTCAGCACAATGAGGGGCATGTAGTAAGTAAGTGGTTATAGTACACAGGGGATGTCACCTTTCCTATTGTGGGAGGTGGTGACACCAATCCTGAATCATCACTGGGTAGAGGTATAGAAGAGATGCTAAATGGATGGATTTGACAAACTGACTGTTACTTCAAAACCCTAACTGACTGCAACTTATTAATTAAATTTGCCATTTAAAACTGTCTCTGAAACCACCAGTCACGCTTCTATAGCACCTTGAGTATTTTTTTTTTTTTTTTTTTTTTTTTGAGACAGAGTCTGGCTCTGTTCCCCAAGCTGGAGTGCAGTGGCGCGATCTCGGCTCACCACAACCTCCGCCTCCCGGGTTTAGCAACTCTCTGCTTCAGCCTCCCGAGTAGCCCGGATTACAGGCTCGTGCCACCATACCCAGCTAATTTTTGTATTTTTAGCAGGGACAGGGTTTCACCATCTTGGCCAGGCTGGTTTTGAACTCTTTACCTCTTTACCTACCTCGTGATCCACTTACCTCTGCCTCCCAAACTGCTAGGAATACAGGCGTGAGCCACCGCACCAAGCTATTCTTTTTTTCTTTTTTTTCTTTTTTTGGATAGAGTCTCACTCTGTCGCCCAGGCTGGAGTGCAGTGGCGTGATGTCGGCTCACCGCAACCTCCACCTCCCCGGTTCAAGTAATTATCCTGCCTCAGCCTCCCAAGTAGCTGTAATTACAGGAATGCACCACCACAACTGGCTAATTTTTTTGTATTTTTAGTAGAGACGGAGTTTCGCCATGTTGGCCAGGCTGGTCTAGAACTTTTCACCTCAAGTGATCCGCCCACCTCGGCCTCCCAAAGTGCTGGGATTACAGGCACGCGCCATTGTGCCTGGCCAAATTTTTGTTTTCAATCCTCTGTGCTTATTTTTAATTATCTTTAAAATGGAGAAAAAGGTAAACCTGCCTTAGGTAACTGTAAAGTTAAAAAGAATGAATATGCATAAATATTTTAGAACAATGTCTGACATACTTTTTTTTTTTTTTTTTTTTTGGCAGAGTCTCACTCTGTCACCCAGGCTGTAGTGCAATGGCGCCATCTTGGCTCACTGCAACCTCTGCCTCCCGGGTTCAAAAGATTCTCCCGCCTCAGCCTCCCGAGTAGCTGGGACTACAGGTGTGTGCCACCACACCCAGCTAATTTTTGTATATATATATATTTTTTAAGTACAGACGGGGTTTCACTATGTTGGCCAGGCTGGTCTCAAACTCCTGACCTCATGATCTGCCTGCCTCAGCCTCCCAAAGTTCTAGGATTAGAGGTGTGAGCCTCCATGCCCGGCCCATACTAGCTTTTTAATATATGTTAACTACTTTTGTAATGCCAAAGTAGGTGGCAAAGGATTATTGGAGAAGAGAGGACTTGAGATGTGTGTTTTGAAAAATACTAAAAATTTAGTTAAGTGCCTATATGGAAATAGCTTGAACACATCATGAGATTAAGTGGTGTGTGATCGTCAGACAGTGAGGAGACTTTACCAGTTAGATTGGAGGTCGGCTGTTGGTGAAGGTTAGAAATAAATTGGGTGAGATGAGTGAGGAAAAATCTCAGAAGGCCTTAGGTTTAGGATGGTAAGCAATAGGATGGGATGTGTGGGGATTCCACGTGTTCGTAGGTAGGGGAATACAACATACATGTGATTTTTAAAATAAACTTATAGAGTTTTCAGGATACATTGCCTTACTTTAGCTTAAAAATTATGGATGGAATAGTGGAATCTTTTTATGCAAATCCTTCTTTCACTTAGAAATAGAAATTTCTATTTCAGGGCAATTTCTATTTCAGAAAGTCCAAGACTTTTCTCCTCCATAAAGTTTTCTCTTCTGATTCATATTACAGTGGTTTTCTTTTTGTTTGAATTTCTTAGCATTCAAAATGATGTTCCTTATATTTGTATCATCCATCATGATCTTTTAAGGGGAAATTTAAATTTAAGATACGTTGTCAAATCGCTTAATGTTAATCTATTAGAAAGGTGTTATTCTGAATGCATAAAATGGTTTTGCTTTAAATGAGGCCCTCCAAATTAATAAAACTGCTCTTCCTGGGAAGCTTCTAAGTTGGTTCTGGGAAAGCAAGTCACACAGAGAAGGTCCAAAAATACGTTATACACCACATATATTAACAAATTAAGACATAATTTCTCAAAGCAACTCCTTGGAAAAGATAATCCTTCTTGACTGCATTAAGATTCAGTATTTAAGTTAGAAACAACCATCATCATTTATAGTGATTCAAACACTATCTAGCATATTAAAATGTATTTTGTTGTCATCATACATACAAGCTCCTTGAGAGAAAGGATCATGACTTAACTCTTGTTGGTGTAGCTCATAGGGCCACTGTGGGTACCGAGTTGATGCTTTATGAATTCAGTTTAAATTAGAAGAATGTAGGCAATGGGATTACCATTTGTCCAGTAACAAATTCAGCACAGGTATTCTGTCTCTCTATTTCCCAGCCTGAGTCAGCAGTTTCTTTTAGTTCTGATGGCCAGCAGGAGTAAAATAGCAGCAAAGATCTGGCATTTCAGTGGCACAGGTGATTGTGGAAAATTACTATAATCTAGGTGGACTCGATTCTATTTTCCCCTTGCTAGGTACTGAGATATTGTGTAACTTTCTGGACTTTTGAATTATACTTCTCACTAATCTAGCATGAGAATGGGTGGATAGTGTCAAGAATTCTACTTAAAAAAAAAAAAATCTAGTGTACTCTTGTACTCAAAGGGATGAGTACAATCTATCACAGGGACACAAATGTGACCAAAAAAGTGGTTAAAATAAAATATGAAACTGAAGAGAATGAAGATTTGAGCATGACCTTCTCTGTATCTTCTTTCCAAAGTGTTTTCGGATCTCTTATGAAGGGGATTTAAAGGCTTTTCTACAACTGCTACTGCTTTTGTCAATTCATTCATTCAAGACACACCAATAAACATGCACGAGCTCCTCTTGTCCTCATAGGGCTAGAGAATGAGATAGGTGCAAAGTTTATTTTAGCAGAAGGCTTTCTTTTCACAAATCAGAAATTCCATTGTATGTATTCCCTTAAATAACTGGCAAGGGGACCATCGGAATGAGCTATGGCAAAAATCCACCTCAGTCTTTACAGCTTCAGGGTGATGGGGCCCCAGATCAGAATTGTAAAATAGTTTAGAGAATCTTGGAACATAAAACATGGTGCAGAAAAACCAAGGAAGATTTAATCTTATGTATGGAAAGGTGGTTGGTAGTGGAGGGGGCAATGGAAGAGAGTGGCTTGGGATCATCATTAATCATTATTTAAGTACCTATAAAGTGAAAATATCCTTCTGGAATTCACTGCAAGTGACACTGAATTCTTCTACTAAGCAAATATGTGATGAGTTGATAAAAAAGAAGGTCCTGAACTCTTGACAACAGATATAATACAGTGAATACAGAAAATCAAAAACATGCTTTCTATCTGACTCAAAATAAAGGTGCACTTAAACTTGTAAAAGACAACATTTTTATTTGAATGATATGACAGAAGTGTCACGGGAGTGTTACCTGCTATAAAGAAAGCCTAAGAATTATTACCTTTATTAGACCAGTGACACTGAGCTTTAGCCATACATTTCTAACTTCTGTCCCTCTACAGAGACAATTTTCTTTTCTTAAATAAACTGTCATGCTAGTGTTAATATATTGTTGGCTCTCTCATGCTCTGAGAATACTGCTGATATAAAACATGTATATGTTAGATTGGTAATAGTATCTTTAGTGTAGCTGACTAGAACAAATGTGTTTCCCTCATGGCTGTGCTAATGTGATAAAGGAAAATTGGCTGTTCATCAGCTTTTGGCTGGGTAAAGACAGTAGAGATGGAACCACATTCTTTTTTATGCATTAATACCACTGAGAACTTTTCACTAGTTATATTTCATGTGCCTGCATGTTGTGCAAAGATGTTGTAAAACATGAGATAATGCTACAAATAACAAAGTAGAAAAGCCTGTATCTTTTATAATGATAACAGTCAAACACCAAATGACAGTAACAGGCTGTAAAAAATGGGATGCAAAAAAAATGCAGCCCTACTACCCAACAAAGCGGAATATATCCAGGCCCTTGAGGACTTGGTATATGATTTGAGGTATATTAAAGCTTTGTTTTAAAATTAAATCAAATGCAACACTAGATCAATGGATTTAAGAAAGAACATAGTTTAAATGAAAGTAGGGTGGTTAGAATGGAGAAAAGCCATTGTGGGTAACTTCTTGAAATAATCCGTATTACCAAGTAATTATTGTAGTAACTTCCTGTTTTTTTTGTTTTGTTGTGTTTTGCTTGTTTTTTTGGGGGGGGACATTGAAAAAGATTTTTAAGGCAATAGTACACATGATTTTAAGATGTTTGAGAATAAATGTTTATCTTCATTAATTATTGCAAGTCTTTTTAACATAAAAGCATTAAAAGTATAACCAGTTTCAGGCTCACAGCAAAACTGAGTGGAAATTTCAGAGATCTCCCAAACATGCTGTACCCCCATGTACCCACAGCCTCCCCCTCTATTAAAGCCCTGCACCAGAGTGGTATATTTGTTACAATTGCCGGACCTACACTGATACATCATTACCACTCAAAGTCCATAGCAGAATAGCATGTTGAATGTTTTGCTATCATTTTAATTAAAATGTTAACATCCAACCTTTCCTTTGCATGACCTTAAATCTCACTCTTTCCTCCCCTCTCTCAACCCCTCCCCTTTCCAGAGCCTTTTATTTGCCATTTCAGCTCCTTCACTAATTAGAGTACCAATTATTCCTTTTTCATTTAAGCTAAAAGCACTTGAACAAAAAGACTATTTGCAGAGATGAAGTTGATGTCCAAACAGCTGATTAGTTTATTTAGAAGTGTATGCAATTAAAAATTTTGTGCAGGTATCTATGGGTGTTTTCCATAAAAGTTTGATAGCATTGGCTATTCTGGGCTCCAGTCGCATAAACAAAAATCCCATAGCTTTTTAATCATGTAATCCAAGAGTTATCAAGCTACAACCTGTGGGTCAAATTGGCTGGCCACCTGTTTTTATAAATAAAGTTTTATTTGGACACAGCCATGCCCATTTGTTTATATATTGTCTGTGGATGCTTTTGCATTACAGCATTAGAGTTGGGCAGTTGTGACAGTAACCATTTGGCCCATAAAACCAAACCATTTGACTTGCAGAGAAAAAAACATTCTCTAGCTATTTACAGAAAAAAAAAATTGCTAATCCCTAATATGTGCAGTTATTAGGCTACTTGCTTGATTGATTAGTCTAGAATATGATTGGCAACTTTTTGTTACCCTACATTGGAAAAGTATATCTGAAAATCACCAACCGGATACCAATACCCAAGACAGTAAATTCAAGAAATATTTGATCCTAGTAACTTGAATTATATCCACATGCAATTCTTTGTTGTTATATCTGGTTTTAATTATTTCTTTCCCTTGTACTCATTTTGCTCTATTTCCAAATATAGCCATAACAAATTTAATTTGTATTTAAAGAAGTAACATATCCTCAAAAACCCTGTAAAACATGGCAACCAGAGCTGTTACATGTATGGGACAAACTATTATGTATACCTGTGAACACCCTGGGAGATATCATCACAGCACAAAATGACACTATATAGGTTTATATCTAGATAAACACATGGAGATATCACTGAGCTATTAAAATAATGTTTTCAGTCTTCCCAGCTGAACAAAGTAAAGAAGAAAGAAAGTTACTTAATAAAAACTGCTGAAATGTGTTTAATATAAAATAAAAGTTTATGCACTTAAACTAATAATGGTGGTAATTTCTTACAGGTGCATCAGACAAAAATCAGCTTCTTTATCAATGGCGTGGAGAAGGATCATACACCTTTCAATGCAAGAACTCTAAGTGGTTCAATTACAGATTTTGCATCTGGTACTGTGCAAATAGGACAGAGTTTAAATGGTAAGTTTCTGACTTCAGAATGTTATTTATTTCATCCAATTACATTGTTCTTAAAAATGCATCAAACAAATAATATTTTAAAATATCTACGTGTATTCATCTTCTAGGGCTACTGAACAAATTACCACCAACTGGATGGCAGATTAATGAAAGTAAAATTTATTTTTTCACAGTTTTGGAAGCTGGAAGTCAGAAATTAAGGGTTCAGTGGTGTTGGTTCCTTCTGGAGGCTCTGAGGGCAAATCTATTCCATGTCTCTCTTCGTGGTAGCTACTGGCAATCCTTAGTGTTCCTTTACTTGCTGCTTCCTAACTGCAATCTTGCCTCAGTCTTCATGTGGCCTTCTCCTCTGAATCTTCTCCCCTTTACCTCTGTTATAAGGACACTTGTCATTGGATTTAGGGCCCACTCACAGTCAGGAGGATCTCACCCTGAGTTCCTTAACTTAATTATACTTGCAAAGACCCTTTTTCCAAATTAAAGTCATAGTTACAGGTTCCAGATGGATAATAGATCTTTTGGGATCTACTATATAACTTACTACATTTGGGAAGCTTTCAAATATAAACTTCTTTATTCTGATCAGTTTTTAAGTAATTTCAATGTGTAATAAACTATATTTCCTTTCTGTCTCTTTTCTGAGGGGTTTGCATTTTCATGTAGAGAATTGTTAAAGTAGAACTACGAAGTATTAGATGGAACCTGAGAAATAGTATTGACATGTAATTAACTGGACTGATGTTTACATTTACTACATTAAAAATGGGCCATATAGTTTAAGAAGATATCATATACTATATATTGAATAAAACCAGAAGTTGAAATAAGAAATTATCTTGAAATATCTAGTACAGTGGTCTTTAAAATGCCTGCATATTAAAATAAAAATAGTATTTTATATTATTATATAATATATGCTCATTATAAAAAAATCTAAACAATATGGAACTCTGTGAAATAGAAAGTATTTTCCATATTTCTATCTTCAGAGATAGATATAATTTAACTTTTTTATACTCCTACAGATTTTTAGTACATTTTTAGCTAGAGATATAGTTATAAATACATTTTTCCAAAAATAAAATTACAATACATATGCTTCCTCTGAGCCTTCTAAAAATAAATACTTCTCCTTCAAATGTTATAAACAACGTTTCATGTCAATGTATCTTCTCATTTAGATATATGTTCTCATTTAAAATGGCTGTATTCTATGCAATTGTATAGTTGCAATCCATGAGATTTCTTAAGCTCCTATAATGAACATTTAGGTTTTTTTAATGTTTCAGTGCAATTAGCAGTTATTTTATGGAAAATATTATATATATATCCACATATATTTATATATCTGTGTCTATATCTACATTTCCATTTATATATATCAACCATCAATCTATCAATCATATACATAGATGTATACATACGTACATATGTATTTGAGCAGTTGCCTGATTGCACAGTTCCTTAATATCCTATTTGGTGCCAACCTGCGTGAATTCATATCCCATTTCCTCACTTACTAGCTATATGGCCTGGCAAGATATTTTAATATCTCTAAAGTGTAGTCACCCCAACTTTAAAATGATGATGATGATGATCATAATATTGATTTCCCATAGGGCCAATGTAAGGAT
The DNA here is from genome assembly GCF_000001405.40 of Homo sapiens. Classification (NCBI taxonomy): domain Eukaryota; kingdom Metazoa; phylum Chordata; class Mammalia; order Primates; family Hominidae; genus Homo; species Homo sapiens. The sequence continues at coordinate 216,363,318 of NC_000001.11, read as the reverse complement.
CAAATGAAGCAATGTCATGTAAAACATTACTGTGTTTCAAGCACCTGGCATGTATTAGATATTCAATATTTATTTGTTAAATGAATGAATGGATGAAGTGCTAAGCACAATGCCTGTATATAAACTATATTTTCTCTTTCTTGGGCATGGGGCTGGATTTTAATGTACAGCATTGTTAAAGTAGGACTGTACAGTATTAGATGAAAACTGAGAAATAATATTAACATATAATTAACTGGACTATGTGGTTTATATTTTCGCACACTAAAAATTGGCCATGTAGTTTAAGAAGATAACATATATGCTATATATTGAAAAAAATTACTAAACTATATCAGTAAATAATAATAATATTATTATTTTATTATTATTTTTTTTTGACAGGGAGTTTCGCTCTTGTCGCCCAGGCTGGAGTGCAGTGGTGCAATCTCGGCTCTCTGCAACCTCTGTCTCCTGGGTTCAAGTGATTCTCCTGCCTCAGCCTCCTGAGTAGCTGGGATTACAGATGTGCACCACCACGCCTAACTTTTGTATTTTTAGTAGAGATGGGGTTTCACCATGTTGGCCAGGCTGGTCTCGAACTCCTGGCCTCAGGTGATCCACCCACCTTGGCCTCTCAAAGTGCTGGGATTACAGGCGTGAGCCACCGCACCCTGCCGTAAATAATACTATTATTAATGTTATTATAATTATTTCCAAAAAATAAATTCATAGAAGTTGAATGGCTGGGTTGAAGTATATGGTCATTTTATATTTTAATACATATTACAGAGATTGCTCTAATGCATAACAATGGGCTACCTCCAGAAAGGTTGTGAAAATTTATAACCTCATTAAAATATATAGCCAAGTACTTGTTTCCTTAAACACTAACTATCCTTACAAATTATCCACTTTTTTTTCACCCTTGACATTCCTCTAAGTGAAAAATATTGTTGAATGCTGACTCAGAATTATTTGGCCATTAATGAGTTTGAGTAGCTTTTTACGTATGTCTTGATCATTTGCATTTCATTTATGAATTCCTTATTCATACAATGTGTCCATATTTATACTCTATAATTCCTTATTTATTTATAAAAACTCATTTATGTTAAGAATATTATGTTGTATAAGTTTTCTTCAGTTTTTTGATGGCTTATGAACTTTGTGGTCTAGATATTTTAAAGTAATCCTTTAATATTTAAGCAAAATAAAACATGTATGCAAGATAGTGCATAAATATAAAAGGTATAGCTTGATGAGTTTTTAATATTTATATACACCTGTGTAACTCTCATTTAAAAAAAGTCGTAGAATATTTCCAGAATCTCAGAGTCCCCTAATGAACATCCACTGTAAAGATAAAAACAGAATAGCATCAATGTAGCCCTCTATAACCATAGATTAATGTTGCCTGTTCTCAAACTATCATACAAATAAAATCATGAAGTAGGTACTCTTTTGTGTTCTTTTTGCTTAGCACTATGCCAATGAGATTTTTCCATAGTGTATGCAGTTATATCTTTAGCTTTAGCAAATAATTCTGTAAAGTTTTCCAAAGTGGGTGTCCCAACAAGCAACATTTGAGGATTTCAGTTGTTCCACATCCTTATCAACTGTTAGTTTTGCCAGATGTTATCATTCTTTGCCATTCTTGTAGCCATGTAGTGCATTTCCTGATCATTAGTGATACTGAGATCTTTTCATGTGCTTATTTGCCAAATGAATATGCTTTTTTGGGAAGCCTTTTGCCAAGTTTTAATTGGACAGTTTGTATTTTTCTTAATAATTTATAGGAGGTCTTCCATATTTTGAATATGAGTTCTTTGACAAATACATGATAGCAAATATGGTCTTCTGGGCTAAGGCTTACAGTCACATTCTCTTGATGGTATTTGTCGATAAGCAGATCTTCTTAATTTTAATGAGTCTAATTTAGTCATTGTTTTATACTTAATACTTTTTGTGTTCTGTTTAGACTATTTTTGCAAACCCTGATATCACGAAGATATCCTCCTACAGTTTATTCAGGAAGCTTTATTATTTTACTTTTCAAATTTTGGTCTATGTTCTATCTGGAATAGATTTTTTGAGGTTATATAAGGTAGGGGTCAAAATTTTTGTCCCACCTGAATGTGTAATTAACCTAGAAAACCTTGCCTCTTGAAACAAATCAATGTTTCTACCATTCTGCAGTGGTAACGTTGTCGTGAATCAGGTCTCTGTATATGTGAAGATGGGTTTCTTTCTGAACTTTCTATTCTGCCCCAGTGATCTGTCTGTCTGTCTATACTTGGGCCAAAATATTTAGTTTTAATTACTGTAACTTCATACATGTCTTCATATCTAGTAGTTCTCCAACTTTTTTTCTTTTAAGATTGCCTTGGCTATTATATATGAATTTTAGAAACAGTTTTTCAATTTTCATAAAAAATTCTGTTGAGATTTAAATTACTCATTTGTATTTAGGAGAATGGGCATCTGAACAATATCAAGTATCCAGCCCATAAATGTAATATATTCCTTGATTTCTCCCAGCAATGTTTTTAGTTGTCTGTATAGAGGTCTCACTCCTATTTGTTAGACTTGTTCAAACATATTCATTGGTTTTCCTTCTTAATAGACTATTTTTTTAGAGCAATTTTAGAGTCACAGAAAAATTGAGTGGAAAGTATAGAGAGTTCCAGTATACTCTCTGCTCCTACACACGCACAGCCTTCCCCATTGTCAATATCCCTCACCAGAGCGGTATATGGTATATTTGTTACAATTGATGAACCTACATTGACACATCATTATCACCCACAGTCCATAGTTTACATTAAAGTTCACTCTTGGTGTTGTACAACGACAAGTATCCACTACTCCAGTATCCTACAGAGTAGCTTCACTCCCTAAAAATCTTCTATGTTCCTCATATTCATCCTTATCTCTATCCTAACCCCTAGCAATCACTGATCTTTTCACTGTCTCTGTATTTTCACCTTTTCTAGAATATCATATAGTTGGGATAAAAAAATCATGTATCCTCAGATTGGCTTGTTTCACTGAGTAATATGCATGTAAGATTTCTCCATGTCTTTCATGGCTTGGTGGTTCATATCTTCTTAGTACTAAATAATATTCCATGGTTAGATATAGCATAGTTGATTTATTCATTCACCTACTGAAGGACATCTTGGTTGCTTCCAAGTTTTGGCAATTATGAGTAAAGTTGCTATAAACATCAGTGTGTAGGTTTTTGTGTGAACATAAGTTTTCAACTTATAAATACCAAAGAGCGCAATTACTGGATCGTATGGTAAGATATGTTTAGTTTTGTAAGAAACTGTAAAATTGTCTTCCAAAATGACTATATCGTTTTACATTCCTATCAGCAATGAAAGAGAGTCCCTGTTGCCCCACATCCTCACCAGCATTTGGTATTGTCAGTGTTCTGGCTTTTTGGCCTGTTGGTTTTCATGCAATTATACTTAGTATTGTTTTTGAACTTCATTTGCTAATTTTGTTACTATTGCATTAAAATCTAATCAGTTTTTATATTTACCTATGTTTAGTGACCTTGCCAAACTCATTATTATGATAGGTACACAATCCTATCATTTGCACATATCAGGAACTCAACTCTTTTTGAATGTTTGTAATAAATGTATATAATGGACATGCCATAAATATCTCCTGTAGATATTTTTGTCTGATGCACTTATTAATTCTGAAATAATATAAAATGTTATTTTGTTTTTCTGTATGACCTGAGTTATTAGACCAATGTCTAGTTTTAAAAAAGAAGGTATATATTTTTGATATTCAAAACACTGTGGTTAAATTGCCAAGCTCTGGTTTAAATATAACCCAGGTGTGCTTCTTTGATCAAAATATTAACTCTCTTTAAGTCTGGTTTCTAATCTATTAAATGGTGGTTTAATATATAATTCATAGGAATCTTATAAGAATTATGTGAGATGATGTATGTTTAGAATATAAGTTGCTTGTTGTATAGTAAATGTGCATTAAGTGGTAACTATTTTTAAACTCTTTGAACATCAATTTTCTTATTGTGAAACAATAAGATAGGGATAACACTATATTTCCATATGATTGTTGTACCAATCAAAAGAGAAAATATGAAGACCGTATTACTTTAGTTTGTGTATGCTCTTAGATCAAGCTAAACTCATGTGAAGAAGCAATATTTTAAGGAACTTATATATTTAGGAACTTGGTTTGAGTAATTAGTATAATGCATAATCTTATAAAATACTCTGCGTGAAGAATTTTTAAATAACACATTAAATCTTGTGAGCCTTATTTCAATATTTAATCCCCATTAGTACTTCTAAAAGTGTTTTATTGCACCAAATGTTGCTCAAAGTATTTGATAGCGCCATAAATTAGTCCCCTATGCACTGCAGGGTTAAAATGGCTTGCTTCTATTCTACTTCAGTATACTAAATGTTGGATTAATGCTTCAAAAGAACAGTGTGAACTGAAGATGATATTTTTAAACTGTGTAGAAATAAATTTCACTCCTGATTAGAAAACATGTAACAGGAAACCGGTTTATTTCAAATATTATTTAGTTTTCATTACAACTTTCTCCTTTATGTTCTTGACATCTGAGAGCTACAGAAGGAAAAGGATATTTTAAATAATTTTTATCTTTATTCTATCAATTTATATGTACAGTCGTACCTACTGTATCTTTTCTCTAATTAGAGATGGCGTATAGACTGGCTCATTACTTCTGCCTAATGAGCCAGGCTCCATGCCACCTCTCTAATCAGAAAAGAGATAGGTACAGAATGTTCCTATGGACTTATTATAAATCATTTTCTTTCTCTTACTTGCTCCTTTTTTTAATCAAAAAATTAAGTCACTGTCCTCCATACTTTTGTCCATATCCAAGATGGTTTCTTTCAAAAGAGGTAATTGTGCAAGCGATTACTGAGCTGAATTAAAGGTGCTCTCATGCAGTGCCAGGCCGGCTGTCTCTGCTTTGGAACAGACACTGCCTCAAACACAAGCACATCAAATGAAGGCCTATAGCAGATCAAGATGGATCTTTTCTGTCTTTCTCTGATTAGGTTTGACTTGGTTCTCTGTTTCTGCACCCAGAAAGTAACAACCTTCCATATGAGTGTTGGCTACTACAGAGCTTTTTCTTTGAGTCTTATCTCTAGCATAACTCTCTAGAAAAATGTGTTGCCAGTGACACTTTCTGTTACTGCAGGACTTGTCTTTGCTTTCCCTGGAAAAGTAATCAATGGACCAAATGCATGCTTTTTACTGAACCCTCATTTATCCTTATTAATGGTATAATCTGATTTGATCAGGCTGAATTTTATGTATACAAATAGAAACACCTTAGACCATCTATATCAACCAAAGTGTGATGGCTCCTTTTTAGAACATTTTCTTTTAGTTGTAGATTTATTTTAGTGCTTCCAATTGGGTATATAACCTGGAGCACTTGTGTTAGCAGATATGTAGTTATGAGGAGTCAGCAATGTCATCGTGGTAATAAACCATACTAGCTCTCCAAATTTTGGATTTAAAATTACAGAACTACATGAATCAAAACTTTTCCCAGTTATTTCTGAACTTGTTTATCAACAGAGTTCTAGTTGCCGATTAAAGGTGAGAATTTCTACATTATACATTCAAATGTGCATAGCACTTTCTTAAGAAGATCATTGGTCATTAAGGAATCAATAAATATTTGTTGAGTGTCTGTTAAAGTGAATATGCAGGGAAGAAAAGGATCATCGTCTAAAGCTAACTCCTACTTGCCTTCCTTTCTGTGTTTTCAACGTTGTGTGTCTTAGCCCATATGCTTGTACTTGATTCTAAAGTTGGAATGCTACTTCTAATTTCTACCAGTTTCCCATGGGTTCACATTTCTAACCTCTGCTAGATACACAAACTCCATTTTAGTTCAGCTGAAATCATGCTAATTTTTTTCAGAGAGAATTATTTTTGGGAATTAGATTTAAAAAAAGCTTAGAAAGTATTGAAATTGACTAAGAGATTGGAATGGAAGAAGAGTATAGGAATATAGTATATAGATAGGAGTTTACTTAGTTTCAGAACATTGCAGACAAGGTATCTAGCAATATTATCAGACAAGTTATGTTGTATATTTAAAATGATGTTAATGTAGCTCTCTCAACCATACTAAGTAAAAACTGCTGATTAATTAAAATTTGAATGCAAAATATGCAATCATAAGGTAGTAGAGGAAAATGAAGGCAAGTGTTTCTATAATTCTAGCATATTAAGGACCTTTATTAGCACGATACCATGTCCAGAAACACTAAAGGAAAATATTGAAACATCTGACTATTAAACTGGGAATTTAAAATTCAAACAACGATTATCATTTTGTACTTGATAGTTTGGCAAGGACTAGAAAAGCGATTATACCGGTGTTGGAAATAGTTTGGGGTAACCTGGCAAACTATCAAAAGTAAAAATGCGAAAACTACTTAATCCAAGATTTCTACTTCCAGGACACTATCTCGAGAATATAATTAGACAAAGACTTAAATACATACTCAAAATGTTCATTGTAGAATGATTTAAAGTAACAAATAACTGGAATCAGTTAAAAACTTCAAAAAGGAATTGATTTAATAAATTATAATTCATGCCTACTGTGGAATAGTATACACCATCAAGAGGAATGAAATATGTCTCTTTCTATGTACATGGCAATGGGTTCATGATGTGTTATTACATGAAACAAACAAGATTGTATAGTACAAAATTCTATAAATTTAATGTATATGTTATAAACATACATATACATATTAAAGTTCTGGAAGGAAATATGCCAAAATGTTCTTCAGAATGTTAGTAATGTTAATCTCTATGAGTGGGATTGCAAATAATTGCTTTTTAAATTTCTTTTTGTGCAATTTTTTTCAGTAAACTATAATTTTATAATAAGAATTAAAAATATTTTCCAATTTTGGACAAAATAATAAATGGAAGCATTTTCAGAATAGATTTATTCTATGAATGTAACAAGTTCAGCCAGAGACACCTAATTTGTATAGTACAGAGGGTGGTCTTGAAAATGTTAGTCATTTAAATTCTGTACTTGTCACATGGATTCAGGAAACACAAGCGTTCATTGGACATTTAACTCATTGTACATACAATTATTATTACTATAATAATTTGTGCCTGAGAAGCAAAGCATGAGATTTAGAATCAGACAGATTTGGGTTTGAATGCTAGTTCTGCTTCTTAACAGCCAAGTGACTTTGGCAAAGAATATAACTTCTCAATCCAATTTCCTAATATGTTTTCTCATTTATAAAATGTGTTTTATACACATACTTTTCAGGGTGATCAGAGAGCTTATAAATAACACATGTTTGATTCATGTTAGGTATTCAATAAAATTTCGCTATCATAAATATTATTGTTAATTTAGTTATTAAGTTTATTGACTGTGATACTTAAAATTTTAACATAATGGCCATGACCATATTTAATTTTTTTTGGCTGAAAATCAAAATTTACTTAGGGTGAGGGAGAAAAAAAGTCCAGTTTAGATTCATTATGTAGCAGATATTTTAAAATTCTGTGTTTTGTCTATGTAAACCCCACAAAATAATTTCTCTCTCTTTTTAAAGATCTGTCCTTTCTAGTGTTCTTCAATGTTTCCTGTTCATCCTCACTTCCACCTGATGCTATTTCTTCTTAATCCGAAGAACCTCCCTTTTCATTGCTTGTAGCTCAGCCTGCTGAAGCAAATTCTCTCAGCTTGTGTAAAAATGTCTTTACTTTTGCAGGATATTTTCATTTGATATAGAATTCTACATTGATTACTGTTACTTCTTTTAGAACTTTAAAGATGTTGTTTCCTTGTCTTCTTGCCTTCATTGTTTCTGGTGAGATATCAGCCACTATTTATATAAATGTTTTCTTGTATACTATATGTTTCTTTCCTTCTTTCTTTCTTTCTTTCTTTCTTTCTTTCTTTCTTTCTTTCTTTCTTTCTTTCTTTCTTTCTTTCTTTTTGAAGCAGAGTCTTTCACTCTGTCAACCCAGGCTGGAGTGCAGTGGTGCGATCTTGGCTCACTGCAACATCTGCCTCCTGGGTTCAAGTAATTCTCATGCCTCAGCCTCCCGAGTAGCTGAGATTACAGGTGTATGCCACCATGCCAATTTTTGTATTTTCAGTAGAGACCGTGTTTCACCATGTTGGCCAGGCTGGTCTCGAACTCCTGACCTCAGATGATCCACCCTCCTCAGCCTCCCAAAGTGCTGGGATTACAAGTGTGAGCCACCATGCCTGGCCTATATATTGTTTTCCACTTGATGCTGTTAAGATTTTATTTTTATCTTTCATGTTATCAGTTTATGATATGCCTAGGAATGATTTTCATTATATTTGTCCTGCTTGAGGTTTGCTTAAATTCTTGGATATGTACGTTGGTGTTTTCATTACATTTGGAAGTTCTGATAGTTGTATCTTCAAACTTTTCTTTCTTTTTTTCCTTTTTTTGCTTCCTTTTCTTTCTTCTGTAATAAGACTCTAGTTAGATTGATGTTAGAGCACTAGATATTGTCCCATAGATATTGGGTACAGTTTTGTTTGTTCCTTTGTTTTCATTTTCCCCACTCTTTTTTGTGTTTCAGTTTGGATACTTTCTATTTGACTTGTCTTTATTTCACTGGTCAATTTCTCTTTTGTGTCTAGGCTGCTGCTAAGCCCATCTAGCAAACTGTTGATTTCTAAATTATACTTTTCATTTCAAGTATTTTCATTTGGCCGTTTTGTAGACTTCATCTATTGGCTCAAATTCACCCATCTATTTGCATGTATTATTCACTATCACCCCTAGATCTTTTAGCATTTATATTATAGGTATTTTCAAATCCCTATTTGATAATTCCAACATCTGGGCCATGTCTGCATCTCCTTCTATTGACTCTTTCCTCTCTTTACAAAGGGCCACATTGTGTTGATTTCTCATGTGTCTTAAATATTTTTATTGTATGATAAACACTTTGCGTAAAAGAATGAAAGAGGTGGAAGTAAATCATATTTTTTGGCGTTTTTCCCTTTACAAAGAAGAGCACTGCTGGTTCTATGAGACCTTTTGAATGGGGGTGGGCAGTAGGAAAGAAAAAATACCAAACTGACTTGAAGTTGATCTGTACGTGGGCTTTACTACAGTTTTAATATTATTTAGCTCACTACTGGTTTCAGATATCTGTGGATAGAATTGAAAATAGTTAGACACATGTCTGGTGGGGCCTCCTTAGAATTCTAATATGTCATTCTGGCCTCTGTATGGCTGCTTCTTTCTTACTCCTTCTATGCCTGAATCCTCTATTTCTTACCTCTGAGCTAAGTATGGGAGTAGCCCTGGGTCTCGTCCAATGAGTTACATGTCCAGTAAATGTTTGTGTTTCCTACAAAAGGCTTATTACTTTCTAGAATTTAATTCATTTAGTTTTTTCTGTGCGCTCTACATTTTGATTGGTTAAAAAATAATGACTTTAGGGCTTATCTGGCTTGTTTTGGTTGTTAGATTGACAGCAAAGTGATGGTCCCTTACAACTTTTTACATTTAAAGCAGATGTTGAACTATTATAACAACATCTAATTTATACCCCTTTTTTTCTTTGGCACAACTCTGTCTATACTTAACTCTCCAACCCTCTAGATTGTTTCAGCTATGGCTGGTCACTGACTCTGAACAAAAAAGGTGCATATTACTTGGCCCCAAAGATTATTTTGGTAGAATTCAGGCATCGACGTTTTAATTACCTCCTCTAATTTTTCATGGGGATTTTCAGCTTTTGTGGGCCCTAATTTATCCCTGACTCTTAACTTTTATATCTGTTTCTTTGGTTTGCCTGAAATCTGTTTACTGCTAATATTTAAAACTGAAACATGTTTTTTTATAAATCTAGCCATTGGATCTTGTTTCACTAATGATCATGTGGCATCGTTTAATCTCGGTGCCCCCAGCGGCTCTGTTTGTTCAGTTTGTATAGCACATGCATCTCTTGTGTTTCTTTTTCTGTCAGATACATAATCATATTGATTAGTGTATACCCCTTATACCCTGAGTCCAAAAATTCCTCATCCCTCCCGGGATCTTCAAATGATTTAACGACTTTCCACTATCTCTCACTTTTTGATGTGGTCTGTTCCCTCCTTACTCAACTTAAGTTTCATGGCCAGTTATTATAACCACTTCTTTTCATGGAACTGGACTTCCCTGCCGTTTTTTCTTCACTTCTACTATGATCTTGGCACTACCACAGCATAGGTTAAATATACCCAAAGAGGACGACTCTTCCCACCTTAAACTCATGACCATGAACTTCCTATGTTTCCTGATGCTGCCCTGTGATCATTCCATATTTCCCTCATTCATTCACTTTCCTGTCTTATGCCAACTATTTATACATTTTCCTTTCTCATTATCCTGATCCTCAGTGATTATATTACCTCCAACTTTACCATAAAAATTAACAAAAAGAATAAAAGAGCTTCTATAGATTTCCACTGCTATATTTATCCACCACTGGCATACCACCTATTAATAGATCTGACCAAGAATATCTTGCCTCATTTTTCCCCAATTTACTGCTGTATTGTAAAATTTTCTTGTATTAATGGAACATTTTCAAGGGAATAAAGGCATGTTGTTATTTTTCCATGAAAAATTATTCTTGACCCTCCCCCATTTCTTCTACTAGCCATTGTCTTATTTATTTGCTCTCCTTTTAGCAAAACTTCACCAAAGTATATTCAACCATAGGAGCCTTTAATTCCTCTTTTCAAATTCCACCATCTACAGTCAGACTTTAGCTCACCACTGCACTTAAGCTACACTTGTCAAATCTCTACTCACCTTCACATTATAAATCTAATAGTTAATTTCAAGTCTTTATCTTTTTGACCTATTAACATCATTTAATGGAGTTGATCGCTCCTTCCTCCTTGGTATACGTTCTTCACTTGGCATCTAACACTCCATCATCTCTCTGAGTTTCTAGTTGCTGCGTCTCAGTTTGATTTACTGGTTCCTCTTCATCTACTTGACCTCTTAGTATTGGTACCCCAAGCCTTAAGACTTAGCTCTGCTCCCGTGTCTACAGACACTCACTCCCTTAAAGATCACCTCCAGTCTTATAGCTTTAAATGTCATCTAAGTGACTTGACCTCCAAATATAAATCTCCCCACCCCAGCCTCTTTCCTGAACTCCAGACGACTCTGTTACATGTATCAAACTACCCAAAGTCTCCATTTGAATGTTTAATTTACATTTCAAAATTAAACTTACTTTTTTTCAAAATGGAACTGGTTTTCTTAAGCTCTCTCACTTTGATCCATATACTACTTCTTCCATGGTCTTCCTCATCACAAGTGAAGGCAATTTCATTTTTCCACTAAGACAGAGAAAAAGATTTGGAGTCATCCTTGTCAATTCTCTTTATCTCATGTTCAACATTTTTTTTTTTGTTTTGCAAAATCTTGTTGGTGTTAGAATCAAAATATATCCAGATTTTGAATCCTTCTTAGCACTTCCACTAGAATCATCCCAGTCCAATTCATGGTTGCTGCTTTGCCGGGATTACTGCATTGTCTTTTAACTACTTCCAGGCACTCCGCTTTATTCTCAACACAGCAGCCATAATTGTTCTGTTAAATATCAGTCAAGCATATTACTTCTCTGCTCAAAATGCTCTATTGTTTCTCCATTTTACCAGAGTGAAAACCACCATTCTTACTATAACCTACAAGACCTAACTGAGCTAACAGCAGTTACTTCTCTGGCTTTATTTCTTACATTTGTTTATTTTGTTCTCCTTGTTTTACACAAATTGGCCTCTTTGCCGATTTTTGACTATGGGAGGTGCACTTCTGCCTTGATACCATTCGCTGTTCTTTCAACCTGGAACTTTTCACCTCCTGATATCCATCAGGCTGACTCCCTTACCTGATTAGGTCTGCTCAATACCAGTTTCTTAAATACATCTTTCTTATCACCCCGTTTACATCTGCAAACACCACCTCCCCACTTTGGGTCTCATTATGTTGCTCTATTCTTTTCCATAGCACTTAGCATCTTTAATGTATTATAGAATTGACTTATTTTTGTTGAATATATCTGTTTTTCCCTCTATAATATAAAAGAGAAAGCAAGATTTTTTTTATTTGCATTACTCACTGATATACCCCAGGATCCAGAAGATTGCCTATCACATGGTAGCTACTCAATACATATTTTCCAAGTAAATGAATCGATGGGCAGCTTCCATGCAGCATTAAGCCTGTGGGTGTGTGGAATGCAAGAATTGAAGCTTGGGAGCCTCTGCCTAGATTTCAGAGGATGTACAGAAAAGCCTGGGTGTCCAGGCAGTGGCCTGCTGCAGGGGCATAACCCTCATGGCCCTAGAACCTCTATTAGGGCAGCGAAAAGGGGAAATGTGGTGTTGCAGTCTCCACTGAGTCCCCTCTAGGACATTGCCTTGTGGAACTGTGAGAAGAGGGCCACCATACTCCAGAACCCAGAATGGTAGCCACTGGCAGCTTTCACCCTCAGCAAGGAAAAACTGCAGGCACTCAGTGCCAGCATATGAGAGCAGCCACTGGAGCTAAGCCCTGCAAAGTCAGAGGGGTAGAGCTTCCCAAGGCCTTGGGAGCTCACTCCTCCCACCAATGTGCCCTGGATATGAGACGTGGAGTCAAAGGAGATTATTTTGGAGCACTAAAATTTGATGACTGCCCTTTTGGGTTTCAGACTTGCATGGGGGCTGTAGCCTCTTTTGTTTGGCTGATTTATCCCGTTTGGAATGGAAATATTTACTCAATGCTTGTATCTGAATTATACTTTGGAGGTAAATAACTGGGTTTTGATTTTACAGGCTCATAGGTAGAAGGGAATTGCCTTGTCTCAGATGAGACTTTGGACTTTGGAGTTAATGCTGGAATGAGTTAAGACTTTGGGAGACTGTTGGGAAGGGATAATTGTATTTTGCAACATGAAAATGACATGAAATTTGGGAGGGGCCAGAGGCAGAATGACATGGTTTGGATCTGTGTCCCCATGCATGTTCAGTTGTAATCCCCAGGGTGGAGGTGATACCTGGTGGGAGATGATTGGATTCTGGAGGTGGATTTTTCATGAATGATTTATTGTGATAGTGAATGAGTTATCACAAGATCTGGTTATTTTAAAGTGTGTGGCACCTCCTCCCACTTTGCTCCTGCTTTCCACATGTGATGTACCTGCTTCTCCTTCACCTTCTGCCATTATTGTGGGCTTCCTGAGGCCTCTCCAGAAGCCAAACAGATATTAGCACTATCCTTCCTGTAAAGCATGCAGAACTATGAGTCAACTAACCCTCTTTTCTTTCTAAATTACCCAGCCTCAGGTATTTCTTTATAGCAAAGCAAGAATAGACTAATACATTATCCTTTGTTACTGATGTCTAAAAATCTTTTTTAAAAAAATTAAAAGCAAGTATATTAAGACAGTAAAGGAATAAAAAATGGCTACTCCATAGGCAGAGCAGCCCCAAGGACTGCTGGTTGCCCATTTTTATGGTTTTTTCTTGATTATATGCTGAATAAGGGGTGGGTTGTTTGTTAGTTTTCCCTGAAAGGGGTGGGCAATTCCCAGAATTGAGGATCCCTCCCTGTTTTAGGCCATATACGGTAACTTCCTGATGTTGACATGGCATTTGTAAACTGTCATGGTACTGATGGGAGAGTATCAGTGAGGACAACCAGAGGTCACTCTTATTGCCGTATTGGTTTTCGTGGGTTTTAGCTGGCTTCTTTACTGCAATCTGTTTTATCAGCAAGGTCTTTATGACCTGTGTCTTGAGCCAACCTCCTATCTCATCCTGTGACTTAGGATGACTTACCCTCTTGAGAATGCAGCCCAGTAGGCCTCAGCCTTATTTTACGGAGCCCCTATTCAAGATGGAGTTGCTCTGGTTCAAAAGCCCCTGACAATTACCCCCTCCTTTTTAAAAGAAAGCTCTTAATCTTAAGAGTTGTAGAGGGATGAAGATCCATCTTCTCTAACTTCTTCAAGCTGAATAGGGGTGATGATATTCCTGCCTAACAATTAGGGTCTCTTGTCTTTGGGATAGAGAGGAACTCAATCAGAAAATGCTGGTATGTCAAGGTCCATTCAGAATACTTGAGTTCTGACAAAAGTTGATACCTGGAAGATTAATAAGTATTTAATTTAAGAAAACATTCGGTAAGCTTATCCTACACAAAGAGTATAACAGCAATACATTCCGCAGCAGTAAAGCAAAATAAATAAAATTATCACAACTAAACTAAATTAGAAGACTTTCCATGAACTGGGCAATTGTTAGAACCAAGCTAATATGTGGTTGCTAGTAAATCCCAGTATGTGCCCAGAATTAGAATATTGATCCAGATTTTGACATTGCCCATTCATTTTGGTTTTTTTTGAATAGTAGTCAGAGATCACTTGGTGGTACACAGAAATAAGCAGAGTCTGTCTAAATTACAGAAAAAAAACCTTAAACACAACTAATGAGACTAGAATCTAATAACAGGTGTACCATAGTTTTTGAAGCAATTCTTTTTCTTTTCAGTCTCTCATTTTTACTAAAGACAAATTATAATAGAATCGATTTGTGCGCAAAAATGAGCTTTAGTCTTATACTTGGCCTGATTACTTGTATAAAATGCTAAAAAATAACTATTTTTCACATAGGATTTTAAAATTGGCTTTGATGGAACTTTGTTCCATAAAAAGGAATCTCAGATAAGACCTTTTTAAAGCTGAGCCCAGCCCTGGGTTTGTACAATCAAATACCTATGAGTTGGGTTAATTCCTTTACTCTTGAGGTCCTAAGATATCTTCGGGCCCCTGAGTCTATCAGAAAGTGACATTCTTTACTTATCACAGGTCAGGAACCCTGTACAGGGCATGTGTAAACAAAGAATGTGACCAGTTTTCCCAAGGGGTTTTTATTGGCTTTATAAGTCAAGATTGATTCCTTAAAGGAAAGCACACCATTCCAGTGAAAGTCTTGGTAAAATAACAAATTTTTCCAATTGTGTCCTGTTACAAAATAAAACAGATGCTTATTGCACTTATGCAAATATCTATTGTCATAAGTTAAGAATACTCACAAATAGTTTCTAAATTCTGAAGAAATTAGGTAGAATCAAATATGCCCCAAATTTTGTTTACAGGAGTAAAATTTACTCAATTGTTAAAAAGCTGTAAATAGCTTAAAAGAAAAGTTGCCTTGGCTCTGATAGCAAAACAAAGGATCAGCAACATTTTAAGCAAAAAGTTTTAAAAGATTACTTCAGCTATCTATTATTCAGCCCATGCAGTTAACTCTTGTTCAGCTTGATATTCATGAACATTTCAGCTCTCCATCAGTACTGAAAGTTTTATCCTCTCTTCTAATGTCACAATCTTCAAAGTTATTAGAAACGTGCATTCAAGAGCACCTGTCAAAATCCTATAGCTGACTCTAAACTTACTTTTTAAAGAGGATTAAAACAGGTCAACAATTTTCTATGGATGACAAAAAGTTTTAGAACGACATATATTAAAGCCACAATTGATAAAGAAATTTTGGTTAGTTCTGTGACATACAATGATTTTACTGACAATTATAACTATTACTGATAATGTACACTAAGTCATATCAGAATTACAGGACTTTCCCATAATTTTGGAACACAAACCAATAACATATTTTTACAAATACAGTCCAAAGAAAGCAAAGACCATTTCATATTTTTCTATGCTTCCTGTATGATATTTATACCAAATAACCTGAATATGCCATTTTGGACTTTAGGCCACCTAATAGCTAAGAGATTAATTAGGTCAGAAGAAGACATACTTTGTAATTTTATTTTGGAAAGCTTGTCAAATATTAAAGGTTTAAAACACTGGATATCACAAAATATAATTCCAGGTCATCATAAGTCATTCATTAGGCCAAAATAATAACTCAAAAATATTTAAAGGGGAAAAACCTTTACTCATTAATAGAGGGAAGACTTAGATCTCCAAACCATCTGTCTCTTTTCTTTCCTTTCCTATATAAAATTTCTTTTTTAGAAACAACCTCTTTGCATAGTTGGGAATATGGCTAATTCCACATGTCCCCAGGCCTTATCTAGAATCTAAAGTCTCCAAAGTAGGTAAATTGAACAATTTTCAAAAGTCAAAGAAGCAGTTTCTGACCTTAAAGCATTTAGTAAACTTAATATGTGACCTGCCTAATTTAGACCAAATGTCTTTATTTTATCAATAATTTTTAAAGCTGTTTTTATTTCCCAAACATTCCTAAAGTCACATGAACTAAAAGTGATTACACTTTTTACTTTTCTGACAAAATATTTGATTTAGACACTTATTATTTTTAAACCGATTAATCAAAGCTCTTTTATATCACATATGCAGCACATATAAATACACAGACAGAAAAAGATCCAGTAAGATTTTTCATTTTTCGGTTTCTTAACTGGATTACTGGCTTCAGGGTGGAGCCTTAGAGGAACAGAGCCAAGAATGCGTGAAATTTCTAAAGCCTAATAAGCAGGCACAGCTGGAAGGCAAACTAGATCTTCAGGAATTAAGGGTTCCATTTTAATAGCAGATTCTGGATCCCAAAAAGAGGGAATTAGCCCATCTCCCATGGGAGTCTTACCTCTCAGTGGGGAGTGGGGGCATTTCCATAACTTCTAAGTGACCAAGAGCATGCTTCTCTGATCCAAATGTGCAAAGAGCCAAGTATTCCATAACTGCCATTAGCCATTCTCAAAAGTGTATTTCCTACCTAGTTATTGCATACCAAAGCTCTTTCCTAATGTAAAGTGATTTCTGATACCCCCAAAAGTAAAAAACATCAGATAACGCAATGCGAAACACAAGACAGCCTTAGATTTTGAGAGGGATCTATCCATTTCCAATTCCTGGGATTTCATGAGGAAAACAGATGTTTTTTCTCAAAATGGGGTCTGTGGTGCTCCTTTTTTTCCCAAGGAGTCCCAGGCTGTTAGAACTTAAATATCTGCTTTTAATTAAGCTGACTTTTAATGGTACTGCTGTTTTTAAAAAGTCCTCTTAAATTTCTTATTACCTGACTTTAGCCAGGCGAAACTGTCAATAATTCTGGCTTTTGAACTTTATCAAAGGTAACCTCCCAGGTGTTCAGAGAAAGGAAAATTCAAGACAGACCATTGAGGGGAAGAGAATCAACAAATGTTCATGCGCATATCAAACCAGAAAGGACTCATTCCCTAAGCTGGGAATTGAACCCTGAACCTGGGTCACCATTGTGAAAAGAAAGCCTCAGCTACTGAGCTACTCACTGGGCAGTTTCCATTGCTCTTCCCAGAAGGAGTCTAGAGCAGCAGATTTTGAGCTTGCAAAGGTTTTAAATGCTCAAGATAATTTTGTAGAGCTAACTATGACATGAACCCCCAAATTCCTGTTTTCTGGATGGTAGAGACCTAGAGAAAGTACCGCCATGTGGTCACAAGGTCAAGCTCCCAAGGACATAACTAGCCAGTTTGCTGGGCCGTCTTGAACAGTAGGCTTATGGGGTCCTAAGCTTGTGTTCTATCCTAAGGTACCCCTCTTTCTAACAGAAATATACAGGAAGACAAATTCACAGTGCAAAGTACAACAGATTCACTGTAGCTTAAAACTAGCCTCACAAATCCTTTTTCACATTAATCAGAACTTTACAGAGGAGATAAACAGTGATTTTTACCATTCTTTGAACTAGTTTGCACAGAGAGAAAGAGAGAGGACAGAAGTCTCACTGGTAAGAAATTCTTACCCTTTTGCTGGCATGCCAGGCTTCTGGGTTCCCTTTCCCTGAGCAGTCCTAGTGACCCAGCTTGACGCATCATAGCCCTGGGGGCCAAGCTGCAACACAAAGGAAAATTGTCTTTTTTTCTGTCCTGGCCAGAGCAAAATATGTGTGACATAGACATTAGCCACTCTGCTCAGCATCCAATATCAAACTAACAAGGCTCAAATTTGCCCCTGGTTGGACCCTGTCATCATTAATCCAACCTCTGACCAGAAGTTTCAACATGTGGTCTCTGGGCAAGATGGTCACCCTGAGTAAGAGAAAAGGTAAGAAAGGGAAAGGAGAGAAAGAAAGAAAAGCATTGGCTGCATACAGCAGGGTGGGGAAGGCAAAATAATCAAGGATACCAGAGAAAGACCCTCCCATTGCGCAAAAGTTCAGGCTGCCGCTTGAAGGGATCTGTCATGAAGGGATCTTTTCCAGTAGTCCCATTAGCTCTCAAACATCCCCCTTTTGGGAGGAAAAAGCTCCCCAAGTCCCACATTCACATGCATGCCTAATTATGTCACCCACAGCCATCAGCAAAGAGGGCAAGGCAGATTAACCCAACGAGAATAGCAGTTAATATCTCGTATTGCCAAACCCATTATTAGCTGAGAGGGACTTTACTGAGAGGGGCCTGAAACCCCCTAAATCTTAGGAAGGACTCTAACCTTCTTAAGTTGGGCCTTGAATCCATGTTCTGTCAAGTGTCCTTGTCTTTTATTAAGAGGGGCCTTTAACCACCTCTGTCTTAAGAGAGACTCTAACGCCCCTAAATTAGGCCTCTAACCCATTTCCATCCTTTACCCAAGCAAATGTACCCCACTTACCCAGAGTCAGCCAATAAGTGCTGAAGTCTATTTCCTTTGGGTCAGGGGAGTCTCCTCCGTGTTGTCCCTTCCATGGTTCACCAGAAAGATGTTACCAGAAAGAGGTCCAGATCCAGACCCCAAGAGATACATTAAAACAAAGCAAGTTTTCCTTTTGAACTTGTCAAAAATTCCATCTTGTAAAGGATATTAAATGTTGCTTTAAGCTGAACCTTGAGCAAATTAGGTGGTTTGTGTGACCATACATGTATGTGGTGGCTTCTTGTTTGCAACTTCAAGGAACAAGTATTAATAGTTCAGTGTATGATGTTGATTTGAGTTGAGCATTTGCAGTTTGGATAATCTTAAATTTTGACAGACACTAGCTGTGGAGACTCTTTCTGTTACTAAATCCTTTTGTTTTGAAGCTATTGCCATTCGTCTTTCTCTTGTCCTTTATATTTTTTGTCTGTTTCTTTAAGCTTTTATTGGAAATGTGCATAAGTAAAGAATTACTTGTGTTACTTGCCAAGCAATGCACATTTCATAGTTTTAAATCTGTAATCAGCAATAAAAATCCTAAAATATGTATCTAAGAACATCTTAAAAAATTCTTTCTCACTCAAGAAAGAATTCAAGGTGAGTCCATAGAGTAAAGTGAAACCAAGTTTATTAAGAAAGTAAAGGAATAAAGAATGGCTACTCCGTGTAGAGCAGCACCCCCAATGTCTAAAAATCTTAACAATGATAATAAAAGCAGAAAACATATGGTAATTTTTTGGCATAAAACCCTTACTGCAGTGAGCATTAAAAACAAATAAACTGCTTTGGTTCTTCATTCTAGAGACATCATATTTAAAAACTTAGATTTCATTATTTGATTTTCATTTTGTTACAAAATAAAATATTCTTAGTGTCACACTAAACAGAGATCAGATAATTAACCTGACCCCATGATGCATAATTTTAATTTTAATTTCAATTTGAGTTCTTAATAGAAATAATGAAAGGCTGTTATCATATTTTGGTTGAATGGACACAGATCTATTTTTTTATGGTACCACATTGAGAATTTGTTTTTTTACATATATAAATCTATTAATGGTATTGTCAAAATACTGTCTTTTTTTTTTTTTTTTAAGATGTAGTATTGCTTTGTCGCCCAGGCTGGAGTGCAGTGGCATGATCGTATCCTAGTGCAGTCTCAAGTAATCCTCCTGTCATAGCCTACTGCATAGCTGGGAGTACAGGTGCACACCACCATGCCTGGCTAATTTTTTTTTTTTTTTTTTTGTAGAGATGGTTCTTACTATGTTGTCCAGTCCAGTTTGAAGCAATCCTCCTACCTCAGCCACCCAAAGCATAGGCATGAACCATCAAGCCCAGCTAGTCTTTTAAGCTTTGTTGTTTTGAAAATAATGAGGATTATTACTTTGATATCATATTAGAATTTTTTCTAAAAATTTAACAAGAAATTATCTTTAGTTCTGTATAATCTGTGGGCAGCTATATCTATTTATAAGCATCTATGCCAATTATTACTTTACTTCTAGTTGTAATTTAAATTTGTTTTAGTTTTCAAGGACACAGCTAGTCTTAATAACTTGATTTGTTTTTATTTCCATTTATTGAGTTTAGCATTTATAATAACTTAAAAAAAATTTTATTTCACTTTAAGTTCTGGGATACTTGTGCATAACGTGAAAGTTTGTTACATAGGTATATGCGTGCCATGGTGATTTGCTGCACCTATCAACCTGTCATCTAGGTTTTAAGCCCCACATGCCTTAACTGTTTGTCCTGATGCTCTCTCTCCCCTCCCCACACCTGAAAGGCCCTGGTGTGTATTGTTCCCCTCCCTTCGTCCATGTGTTCTCATTGTTCAGCTCCCATTTATGAGTGAGAACATGTGGTGTTTGGTTTTCTGTTTCTGTGTTAGTTTGCTAAGGATGATGGCTTCCAGCTTCATCAGAGTTTCTGCAAAAGACATGATCTTATTCCTTTTTATGGCTGCATAGTTTTCCTTGGTGTATATATACCACATTCTCTTTATCCAGTCTATCATTGATGAGAATTTGGGTTGGTTCCATGTCTTTGCTATTGTAAATAGTGCTGCAGTAAACATATGTGTGCATGTGTCTTTCTAGTAGAATAATTTATATTCCTTTGGGTATATGCCCATTAATGGGATTGCTGGGTCAAATAGTATTTCTGGTTCTGGGTCTTTGGGGAATCACCACACTGTTTTCCATAATGGTTCAACTAATTTACATTCCCACCAACAGTGTAAAAGTGTTCCTGTTTCTCCACAGTCTCACTAGCGTGTTGTTTCTTGACTTTTTAATAATTGCCACTCTGACTGAAATGAGATAGTATCTCATGGTTTTGATTTGCATTTCTCTAATGATCAGTGATGTTAAGCTTTTTAAAAATGTTTGTTGACTGCATTAATGTCTTCTTTTGAGAAGTGTCTGTTCATATCCTTTGCCCACTTTTTGATGGGGTTGTTTTCTTCTTGTACATTTGTTTAAGTTCCTTGCAGATTCTGGATATTAGACCTTTGTCAGGTGGATGGGTTGCGAAAATTTTCTCCCATTCTGTAGGTTGCCTACTCACCCTGATGATAGTTTCTTCTGTTGTACAAAAGCTCTTTAGTTTAATTAGATCCCATTTGGCAATTTTTGCTTTTGTTGCAATTGCTTTTGGCATTTTTGACATGAAATCTTTGCCTATGCCTATGTCCTGAATGGTATCGCCTAGGTTTTCTTCTAGGGTTTTAATGATTTTGGGTTTTGCAATTAAGTCTTTAATCCATCTTGAGTCAATTTTTGTGTAAGGTGTAAGGAAAGGTTCCAGTTTCAGTATTCTGCATAAGGCTAGCCAGTTTTCCCAGCACCATTTATAAAATAGGGAATCTTTTCCCCATTGCTTGTTTTTGTACAGCTTGTCAAAGATCAGATGGTTGTAGAAGTGTGGTGTTATTTCTGAGGTCTCTGACCTGTTCCATTGGTCTATATGTCTGTTTTGGTACCAGTACCATGCTGTTTTGGTTACTGTAGACTTGTAGTATAGTTTGAAGACAGGTAGCATGATGCCTCCAGCTACGTTCTTTTTGCTTAGGATTGTCTTGGCTATATGGACTCTTTGTTATTTCCATATGAAATTTAAATTAGTTTTTTCTAATTCTGTGAAGAAAGTCAATGGTAGTTTGATGGGAATAGGACTGAATCTATAAATTACTTTGCGTGGTGTGGCCATTTTCATGTTATTGATTCTTCCTATCCATGACGATGGAATGTTTTTCCATTTGTTTATTTCTTCTCTTATTTCCTTGAGCAGTGGTTTGTAGTTCTCCTTGAGGAGCTCCTTCACGTCCCTTGTTAGCTGTATTCCTAGGTATTTTACTCTCTTTGTAGCAATTGTGAATGGGAGTTCATTCATGATTTGGTTCTCTGCTTGTCTATTTTTGGTGTATAGAAATGCTTGTGATCTTTGCACATTGATTTTGTATCCTGAGACTTTGCTGAAGTCGTTTATCAGCTTAAGGAATTTTGGGGCTGAAACAATGGCGTTTTCTAAATATAGAATCATGTCGCCTGCAAACAGAGACAATTTGACTTCCTCTCTTCCTGTTTGAATACCCTTTATTTCTTTCTCTTGCCTGATTGCCCTGGCCAGAACTTCCAATACTATCTTGAATAGGAATGATGAAAGAAGGGATCCTTGTCTTGTGCCAGTTTTCAAAGGGAATGCTTCCAGCTTTTGCCCATTCAGTATAATATTGGCTGTGGGTTTGTCATAAATAGCTCTTATTATTTTGAGATATGTTCCATCAATACCTAGTTTATTGAGAGTTTTAACAAGAAGGGGTGTTGAATTTTATTGAAGCCCTTTTCTACATCTATCGAGATGATCACGTGATTTTGTCATTGGTTCTGTTTATGTGATAGATTACGTTTATTGATTGTGTATGTTGAACCACCCTTGCATCCCAGGGATGAAGCCAGCTTGGTCGTGGTGGATAAGGATATGCTGCTGGATTTGGTTTGTCAGTATTTTATTGAGGATTTTCGTATTAGTGTTCATCAGGGATGTTGGCCTGAAGTTTTCCTTCTTTTTTTTTTTTTTGTCATGTCTCTGCCAGGTTTTTTGTATCAGGATGATGCTGGCCTCATAAAATGAGTTAGGGAGGAATTCCTCGTTTTCAATTTTTTGGAATAGTTTCAAAAGGAATGGTACCAGCTCCTCTTTGTACCTCTGGTAGAATTCAGCTGTGAATCTGTCTAGTCCTGTGCTTTTTTTGGTTGGTAGGCTATTAATTACTGCCTCAATTTCAGAACTCATTATTCGTCTATTCAGGGATTCGACTTTTCCTGGTTTAGCCTTGGGAAGGTTTATGTGTCCAGGAATTTATCCATTTCTTCTAGATTTTCTAGTTTATTTGTGTAGAGGTATCTATACTATTCTCTGATGGTAGTTTGTATTTCTGTGGGGTCAGTGGTGTTATCCCCTTTGTCATTTTTTATGTGTCTATTTGATTCTTCTCTCTTTTCTTCTTTATTAGTCTAGCTAGCAGTCTATTTTGTTTGTTTGTTTGTTTGTTTTCAAAAAAAACAGCTCCTGGATTCATTGATTTTTTGAAGGGTTTTTCGTGTCTCTCTCTCCTTCAGTTCTGCTCTGATCTTAGTTGTTTCTTGTCTTTTCCTAGATTTTTTTATTTGTTTGCTCTTGCTTCTCTAGTTCTTTTAATTGTGACACTAGAGTGTCAATTCGAGATCTTTCTAGCTTTCTGATATGGGTATTTAGTGCTATAAATTTCCCTCTTAACACTGCCTTAGCTGTGTTCCAGAGATTCTGGTATGTTGTTTCTTTGCTCTCATTAGTTTCAAAGAACTTCTTGATGTCTGCTTTAATTTCATTATTTACCCAGGAGTCGTTCAGGAGTAGGTTGTTCAATTTCCATGTAGTTGTGTGGTTTTGAGTGAGTTTTTTAATCTTAACTCTAATTTGATTGCATTGTGGTCTGAGAAACTGTTATAATTTCAGTTCTTTTGCATTTGCTGAGGAGTGTTTACTAATAACTTTTTAAAATATCAGTGATTTTTCCAGGTAATAGACATTTATGGCTTTGAAATTTCAAAGTATGTTTAAACAAAAAAATTCATCAACAACCTCCTCCCACATTCTGCATTTACATTTATCATTATCATGTGTGTTCTTATACTTTTATTATTAGATTGAAAAATATACAATTGCCATTCTTATAGATTAAAAATGGTCAAACATTGGCTATTTCAAATAGTTCAATATGTAAGTATCTCAAAATAATATAACACATGCTGTTATCTTTATGTTGTTAGTATTTATGTAAGTGCTCATATATATATATGCACATATATAAAAATACAGAGTATATCTTCAATTTGCCTTTTTCATAAATAATTTTTCTGAGAATTACCCATTTTGATATTTTGTTCATTCATTTTAGTTTCTCTATTAGTATTCCACTTTATAAAAAAAAGTATGGATTATGTATTTGTTTCCATGTGGAGAGTTAGCTTTTCTCTTTATATAATTTATAGAAGATTGCAATTAATATTTTGTATGTCTCCTTGTGTGCATTTGTGAGAATTTGCACAGAAAAAGCACAGTGAAAGGTATCATAGGCTTCTTAAGTATTCTTATCTTCCATTTTGATATATCGCCAAACTGTTATCTAAAGTGGTTGAACCAATTTGCCTTCCTATGGCAACAGGTAAAATACCCATTTGCCTGTGTTATCAACATGTTTTGTTTTCCAACATTTTTGCCAAAATCATGAGTATAAAATACTCCCTTATTTTCGTTTTAATTTTAATTTCTTTAGTAACTATTAAAATATTGAAACATATGGCATTTGAGTTTTCGCCTCTGTGAATTGCTTGTTCTGGTATATCTTTCATTAAATTTTCCATTGCATTTCCTTGTCAGTAAAAGTTACACTTATAATCTGCATTTTACATGTTTTAATTATATTGATTGTAAAAATATTTCCTTCAGTGGTTTGACTTTTAAAATTTTTTGTATTTTTGGTCTGTCACACAAGAGTTTTAAATTTTAACATTGGCGAATATATCAGTTACTTTTTATGGTTCAGATAGTTTTATATCTTACTTAAGAAATTCTCTTTTATCATGATATATATTGCCTTCTATTTTTTCTGAAATTAATTTTTGTATAATGTGTGAGGTAGAGATTTAATTTTAACTTATCTTTATTGGCACATTCTTGTCCCACTGATTTTTATTGAACACACATTATTTCCTCACTGATTTTTAAAGCCACCTCTACTGTATCTCAAGCTCCAATTTGATGGTAGTGTGTTTAACATCTTGTTTCAGAGGTCAATTTGATTAACTTCTTGCCAAAAGCTATAGCACTTGATTATCTTTTGATATCTTGCAGTGGATTCCTTCTTACCAGCCTTCTTCAGCTATTGTTAGGTCTTACTCCTCCAAATGAATTTTAGGATCAGTTTATATAAAAATGTTTATTGAGATTTTTTATTGGAATTGAATTAAATTTATACAACAGCTTAGGGATAATTTATATTGTTATGCTGATTTTTTTCATCCATGATCATAGTATATCATTCTATTTATTTAGATCTTCTTTTATGTCTTTTAGTAAATTTCTATAAATAAAATACTCATAACTTATAATAAAAGGGATAAATATAAAATTTATTCCTAGGTATCTCAAGGTTTTGGTGCTATTGTAAATAGTATCTTTTATTAAATTGCATTTTATATTTATTGCTGATATAAAGAAATATTATAAATTGTTATATATCATTCTTATTTCCAACACCATTTTGGAACACATTAATTCGAATATTTGACTATAGATTTATTTGAATTGTTGAGGTAGAAAACCATGTAATTTGCAAATAATATATTTATGTCATTCTAATTCTTATGGATTTTACTTCTTTTCTTTGTCTGATTGTGAGGTCTAGACATTCCTTTAACAATCTTGGAAAAAAAAGCAGTGAGAGCAAGCATCCTCAACTTGTCATTGCTTTAATGGAAATGGCTTTACATTTTTTCCTTTAAATAAGATGTTTGCCATATCACGTTAAAAACTTTCCCACCTATTCCTAATTGTTTAGGGTTTTCTACTTGTATATTATGTATTTTTCAAGACATGGCAGATTTAATTTGTTGAGATATAATTTTCATGCCTATGCTACCAAGTGAGATTGGTCCTGTCGTTTTCCTTTCTCTTAATGTCCTTGAGAACATGTTTCAGCTCTCCCATTTATGACCTGTTTTACCTTGGGCAAATTTCTTAATATCTATATGCTTCAGTTTCCTCATCTTTAAAATTAGCATCAAAAGAATATCTTTCCATAGTGTTTTTATGAGGATTAAATAAAATAATATACATAAAGCACACAGAACAGGGCCTGCTACTCAGTATGCAATAGTTATTAGCTGTCATTGTCATCATTAATATTAAGATATTTTAAAACACTTTTCCCCTAAAATACTTAGAGTACTTTGATGCATATCCTAAGATCTGTCTCTGGCTGCTATTTCTGGACATTTCTTTGTTGTAATATTTCTGGTAGCTCTTACTTGTGACTGTGAATTGTAGACATTTGATGCCCACAGACTATTCAGCTCTTTCAACTTCTACCTTGTTCCTAAGGAAATCTGAATCAATTCATCAGGGTCTTTCCTAAAGAAATTTGTCGAAGTTATCCAATCCAATGCCACGATTATATTTCTTCTTGTATGATTGTGTTTTTGTTGTTTGTCAAAGAAATTTTTGCCCAAGTCAAGGTCACAAAGAATTTTCCTGTAATTTTTTCTAGCTATATTATAGTTTTAGGTTAGTTCTATTATCCATATTGAGTTAAACTTTTACATAAGGTGCATGATATGTTTTCAGGTGCTTTAAAAAACATAAGATATCCAATATTCCAGGACCGTTCTTGGAAAGAAGAGTATTCTTTTTCCATTTAATTTTCTTTGCCACTTAGTTAAAATACAGTGGACTGTGTATGATTTTATTATCAGCATTTTCATTGCTACTGAAATGCAGTAGGTATGCAATTGATTTTCATGTATTGATATTGCAACTTGCAACTTTGCTGAACTCATTTATAATTCCTAATAGATTTTAGTAGATTTCTTAGAGTTTTCTATGTACAAGAGATAGTTTTACTTCTACTTTTTCAATATGGAAAGATTTATTTCTTCTGCTTGCCTATTTGCCCTGTCTGGTAACTACAGAAAAATGTTGACTAGAAGTGGCAAAAGTGGACATTGTTATCTTGTTCCTGATCTTAGGGAAAAAGCATTTTTTCACCACTAAATATGATGTTAGCTGTTGGTTTTTCACAGATACCCTTTATTAGATGAGGAAGTTGTCTTCTTTAATAGTTAGTTGCTTTTTAAAAATTTTATCATGAAGTGTTAACTTTGACTATGTAGCTATTAAGATGATCATGACGTTTTTGTCCTTTATTTTTCCAAGTTTGTGTATTACTTGATTACTTTTCGTACATTGAACCAGCCTTGCATCCTTGTGATAATTCCACTTGCTCATGATGTATGATCCTTTTTGTTAGTACTGTATTTGGTTCACTAGAATTTTGTTGAAGACTTTTGCATCTGTATTCATAAGGCATATTGGCCTATAGTTTTCTTTTGATGTCTTTGATGTTTTTGGTATTAGGGTAATACTGGTTTCATAGAGTAATTTGGAGAGTGTTTCTTCCTCTTCTATTTTTTGGAAGGGCTTGTGAAGTAATGGTGCTACTTCTTCTTTAAATGTTTGGTAGAATTCGCCAATGAAAGCATCTGGTCCTAAGCTTTTCTTTGTGGAAATTTTTAAAAAATTACTAATTTGATCTCTTTTAGTGGTATAGATCTATTCAGATTGCTAATTTCTTCTTAAGTCAGTTTACATAGTTTGTGTGTTTCTTGGAATTTGTCTATTTTATCTAGGTTGTCTAATTTTTGGCATACAGTTGTTCATAGTATCCCTTATGATCCTTTTTTGTGACTGCAAAGTCAGTTGTAATTTCCCTTTTTTAATTCCTGATTTTAATCATTAGAGTCATCTCTTTTCTTGGCTAGTCTAGTTGAATGTTTGTCAAATTTGTTAATAATTTCTAACAATCAACTTTTGTTGTTTTTCTTGTTGTTTTTCTATTCTCTATTTTATTTGTCTGCTCAAATCTTTATAATTTCCTTTCTTCTGCTAGCTTTAGGTTGAGTTTGTTTTTCTTTTTCTAGTTTCTTAAGGTAGAAGATTAGGTTATTGATTTAATAAATTTCTCTTTAAATATAAGTGTTTACAGCTCTAAATATCACTTTAAACACTACTTAAATCCCATAAAGTGTGATATGTTGCATGTTCACTTCCATTAATCTCAAAGGATTTTTAAATCTTTTTGTAATTTCTTCTTTGATCATTAGTTATTAGGAATGGGTTAATTTTCACACATTTGTTAATTTTACAAATTTGCTTCTGTTATTGATTTCTAATTTTTTCTATTGTGATCCAAGAATATACTTTGCATGATCTCAGTTATTTTAAATTTATAGAGACTTGTTTTATGGCCTAACATATAATCTATCCTGGAGAATGTACCATATGCACTTGAGAAGAGTTTGTATTCTGTTGTTGTTGGGTGGAGTGTTCTGTTGGTGTCTATTAAGTCTAATTGGTTTATAAAGTCATTCAGGTCTTCCATTTCTGTTTGTATTCTGTGTAGTTGCTCTCTCCATGATTGAAAGTAGGATATTGAAGTCTCCACTATTGTTGTTAAATGGTGAATTTTTCTCTTTAAATCTTTAAATTTGTCATTTTACTGTTGTTAGACACATACATGATTATAATTGTTTTATTTTCCTGATGGATTGATATCTTAAAATATTCTTGTCTCTACTAAAAATTTTGTCTAAAGTCTATTTTGTCTGATGTTAGCATAGGAGCTCAAGCTCTCTTTTGGTTATTGTTTACGTGGTGTATCTTTCTTTTCATTCTTGAACATTCAATCTATTTGTTTCCTCGAATGTAGAGTTTGTCTCTTGCAGAACTCCTATAGGGGGTCATGTTTGTTTGTTTTTCCATTTTGTAAATATCTACTTTTTGATTGAAGTGCTTAAGCCATTTACATTTAGCACAGTGACTGATAAGGTAGTTACAATGTCACTTTGCTGTTGGTTTTTTAAAATATGATTTATGTCTTCTAAATTTCTCTATTCTTTCACTGTCTTCTTTGGGTTAAAAAGTTATCTTCTAGTGTATAATTTAATACCCTTGTCATTTATTCTACTATGTTTGTTGCCCAGGATGTTATCATTAACATCTTAATTCATAAAAATCTAATTCAAATTAATACCAACTTAATTTTAAGAGTATGCAAAATTTTGCACCTATATAGTTTTTGTTCACTCTGCTTTCTTTTGTGCCGTTATTGTCTATGGAGATTTTTTACATTGGATGCCCATCAACACAGATATATAATTATTGCTTTATAAAGTCATCTTTTAAAACAAATGTGAGAGAGAAAAAGAATTACAGTAAAAATACATTTATAATCTTTTTAAATATTTACCTATTTAATTACCTTTACAGGTACTCTTTATTTCTTCATCTGGATTACATTGCTCTCTAATATCCTATCATATCAGCCAGAAGGACTTCTTTTGGTATTTCTTGTAGAGCAAGTCTGATAGTGATAAAACCTCTCAATATTTCTTTATCTGGAAATGTCAATTTATCCTGCATTTTTGAAGGAGAGTTTTGCTAGAAAAAATAGTTTTTGGTGTACAGTTTTTTTTTACGACTTTAAATATGTCATTCTTCTCCCTTCTGGACGCCATGGTTTCTTCACAAGAAATCTGTGGTTAATCTTATTGAAGATCCCATGTAGGAGATGGCCTTTTCTCACTTGCTGCTTTCAAGATTTTCTCTTTGTCTTTGTCTTTCAACAGTTTGATTTTTAATGTGCCTAGGGTGTGGATCTATTTGAATTTATCCCACTTGCAGTTCATTGAGCTTCTTGGATGCATAGATTAATAGTTTTCATCAAATTTTGGAAGTTTTTGGTAATTATTTCTCTAAATATTCTTTCAGTCCTTTTACCTCTTCTCTGAAACTCCCATTATGCCTATGCTGGTACTCTTGATGGCGTCCCACAGCTTTCTGGGGCTTTGTTAATTTCTCAACATTCTTTCTCTTTCTATTGCTCACACTGAATAATCTCAATTGACCTGTATTCAAGTTCATTAATTATTTCTTCTGATCATTTAGATCTGCTAGTGAGCTCCTCTAGTGAATTTTTCATTTGAAAGTTTTCTATTTTCTATTTATTTTTTCTTTTTTTGATGAAATGAGGTCTCACTACGTTTCCCAGGGTGGTCTCAAACTGCTGGGCTCGTGATCCTCCCACCTCAGCCTCCCAAAGTGCTGGGATTACAGGCATGAGCCACCATGCCTGGCTAAAAATTTTCTATTTCTTTTCTCATATTCTATATTGTCTAAAGCATCATTGTCATACTTTGCTTTAGTTCTTTGGACACTTTGTTTTGTTTTGTTTTTAGTTATTTGAACATATATAAAATAGTTGATTTAAAGTCTTTGTCTGGTAAGTTTAATGTATGAGCTTACAATTGACCCATTTCCATTGCCCATTTTTCTTCCCCTGTATATTGTTTGTAGGAGTTTCTTTGCATATGCCATATTCTTTGTTGAAAACCAGACATTTTAAACACATAGTGTAGCAAATCTGGAAATCAGATTATTTCCCTTTCCAGAGTTGTTTTGTTGCTGCTATTTGTCACTATTACTACTGTTTGCTTGTTTAGTGGCTTTCCTGAGCTAATTCTGTGAAGTCTGTTTCTTTGTCATATGTGATAAATGAAGTCATTGTTTGCTCATCTTAGTAGTCAGGCAATGACTGAACAGAGAATTTCTTAAATGCCTAGAACCAATACATTTTCCAGTCTCTGGTGAGAGATCTGTACGCATGTTGCAGAATGCCATCAACACTGAGGCAGTTTAACACTCTCCTTTAGTCCCCACTTCCTGCTTGTGCAGAGCCTCAAAGTCGAGCTGAGGTGAGACCTTAGGACTTTCTCAGGTCTTTCTTTAGCATGCGCATATACCTGAGCACATACTTAGCCTTTTGCATGTTCATAATCTTGTAGATTCGCAGGCATTTTTTAAGGATTTGCAAAGCGTTTATGGACATGATGTTTCACATCTTCTCCTTTTAAGTATTTTGGATTGTTTGTTGTTTCTTCTGACTGTTGTTACTGCCTGGGTCAACTGCAATGTTAAGCAGTTGCCAGTGATTATTTTTAGCAAATAATTGTTTTAAACAAACAGAGTAAATGCTGTTTCCAGTGGATGAACTCTGAGTCAATTCAAGCCTTACTAGTGGGGCTTTCCATGGTACTTCCAGGCAGATCGAATAATGACAATCATCTGAGGATAGAGCTTTGAAACAGCTCCACTCCCATTCTGATCCTCTAGCAGTAACTAGGCTGCTGGTTTTCACCCTGATTGCAAACTGTTCATTTTCAGGGCTTCCAGAGAGTGGCAGAGAGGAGTACGGGAATAGGAAAGCTAAAATGCCATAGAACATGTTGTTCTTACCAATATTCAGTCATTTAAAAAATAAACACTGTCCACATTGTTGCAAGTCTTTGCTTTATTTCCAGAGTTCTCAATAAGTTGATGTGATATTCTTTGCCAGTGTTCCCATTGCTTTTATGGAAGACAGACTCTTCCATTGTTTTCACTCTGCCATTGCTGATGTCCTTTTATTCGTTTCCTCAATGTCTTATAGTTTTTACCTATATACATTGCCTTGCTTTAATAGATTTATAACTAATATTTCACATTTTCAGTGCTAATAAAATAGTATTTAAAAGTTTTAATTTCCATTGGTTAATCACTAGTATATAGAAATTAAATTATTACTCATTTAACTTCTATCAAACAAAATTAACTAATTCACTTGTTATTTCTAATAGCTTTTATGTACAGTCATGGAAATTTTCTGAGTAGATAATTATGCTATCTGCAAATGAGAGTTTATTTCTTTCCTTCTGATTGTTGTGACATTTGTTACTTAGCCTTATTATCTGTTTTTACCCTGATTTATATGTTGGATTACTTAGTTTTCCCATTTGACTAATTTTGTTGTGCCACCCAGTTGTAATGCATAACAACTTCTTTCCAGTCATCACCTGTCTATTTTCTGACTAGACAGCTATGAGGTCTTTCTTGTATGAGTCATGTCTATTTCCTTGATCAATTTATATAATTTAGACATATCTTTGCCATATGAATATTTTTCAAAGAAGAATTTTTATGGAATGTTTATCCCAATGAATATCTGTTGTTAAAAAATTGGCAAGTAGCAAAGGAATAAGTAAAATTTATTTCTATGGCTGTCCTTGAAATATTTGATAGTATTCTCACCTCAAATCATAATTCTTTTATTTGGGATGGATGATTCACATTAACTCTAGGTCTTTAGAAAACTTGCTGTAACTCTTTTTTATGAAGAATTTCTTCAAATATGAATTCTTTAGCAATGGATATGATTGCAAGCTCCAAAATTTAAAACTAAAATGGTTTTTAAAGGTTATAAAACCCAGCCCCTTTATTTTATAGATAATAAAATAGATTTCATTATCCCCCTGCAGCAGAGCTTCCCTTTAGCTATTATTAAAATATAGGGAGTGAATTCTAATTTATCAGCATTGAAAGGTACACCTCCACTTCTAATACCCTGGTCTGACTGCCAACATTTTTCACACATATGACTGTAATATCCTCCTAACTGGCCTCTTGGCTTCTACTCTTATCTTCCTATATTCTAGTCTCAGAACTTTTGAATAATCCTGAGATCACATCACTCCTCTTCTCAAAACCCTCCAATGGCTTCCCATTTTACTCAGACCAGAAATCAAATTTCTTACAGTAGGCTATTAGACTTTGTATATATAACAATTTGTACCTCCATCCTCCCCTCTCCCCCAGCCAGCTACTTGTCTGACCTAACCTTCTAATAACCTCCCCCCTTTTATTCTGCTCCAGGATGCTAGCTCCTTGCACCTCCTCTAACATGCCAAGCATACTGATTTAGAGGTCTATGTGCTTATTAATGCCTGCCTGGAACATTTTGCCCCTAGATATACGTATGACTCATTCCCATTCCCCTGTCAATGCCACATTCTCAATGAGGCCTCTCTTGGACATAACATCCCCACTAAAATCTAGCCATGCTCTCCAACCTGCTCTAATCCTTCTGTTTTTCATAAAATGTATTGCATTCTAATATACTATATGAATTTCTCATTCATTATGTTTATCTACGTGAATGCAAGCTCCATAAAAGCAAGGGTATTTTGTTGTTGTTGTTAACTGATTGTACTTTTGGCACTCGTGAAAGTGCCTGGCACATAATAGGCTTCCAATAAATACTTGTGAATGAATCAATACGTAAAAGAATGAAGCCACCCTGACATTTAAAGCCATGGTTCAGGCTTTAGCAACATCACAGTGTTCATCAGTTTTGCTGTCTTTCAGTTATGGTAAGTCTTTCAAAATTATGAATGGCTAGCCCCTGTTTGTTATGATCTGGGTTCTTTGAGATAAAACACTTCCCTAGAGGTTATATAAAATATTTTAGACAATATTTTATCCTGAGAAAGCAAATTGGATAACATGAAATGCAGGTAATTTCTTTTTTTCTCCTTGATATCTCATTATGTTGGCAAAAATAGGAAATGAAGACTGTCAGTTTTCCACGGCTGCCATGCAAAAGTACTGCAAACTGGGTGGCTTCTCCCAGAAAGAGAATGCCTAGGACTATAGCGGGGCACAGAAAGTTCCCCACAAGGAGTATTTCAAAGCTGAGACATTAGGGGCTGTATGAGGCAGAAAAATTGGAAGCAGAGGCAAAATGGGAACCTTAGGGCTGAGAGAGCCTGAAGGTTGTGGGGCATTAAAAATTCATGCTGTAGATTAACAGTGTGGGGTGTAAAGGATGCTAGGAGAGGAAGAACTGAGCATGGTTAGGGATAGTTGAAGGTAAAGAAAAAACGGGACACAGGCCCAGCTTCCTTGACAACATTATCTCTTACCTCATAAATAAAATTTATGCTATGAGGAGTGACTTTCCTATTCGTCTTTCCTATTCCCCAAATAAAAGCATAGGCACACAATGGCTTTGCTGTATTTGCATGTATTCTTCTCATCTTTCTTCTAAGAATGACATGTCCATCTTTCTACCATTCCCTCTTTGTTTAACTTTAGATCCTGGATCCAGGTCAATTGATCATAAATCATGTTGCCTGGATGGCCAATTAACTGAAAGAATATTTTACCATGTTTTCTTATTTCTTGTAACTAATTATAAATTTTAGAACAATTTGTGTTGGAAATCTTCTAAAGATTTCTGCAAAGTTTTAGTAGATTTAGTTTTGTCTTCATAACACCACTTGGAGGAATAATTCTTTGCACTTGTGCCAGCTGCCTGTTTTAGGATAGATAGAGTAGAGAAACTCTCCCTACGGGAAAGTCAGAGCAGGAGGCTGCCTAGAGCACATCTTCTTGTGGGCCTCAGCTCATGGGGTATGTGGAAGACTGAGACTAATGGGTAGAAAGAGAGAGCCTATAAGTGTATTTTTCTTAGACTACATCAGCTGAGAATACACTAATGAAGAAATATTTTTATATGTAATATTTTGGTTATTTTCTCAAATATATTATTTAATATAAATATAACATGTAAATATATGAATATACACAAATATATGCATACACACACTCACACACAGACACATACTCTTTTTAGGCTCCTAAGTCTCACACTTTGCTTGTGAGTTTCTTCCTGATTCTGAGATCACTATCTCAGACTACTTCGTGTGCTAATTCTCCTCTCCATGTTTTATTTATCAGCCATATCCTCACTCTGTCCCAGTTTCCTCCAAGCAACCACCAAGGAGCAGCAGAAAACATAAATCAAACATTCTTTAAAACTCTATCAAGACAGAGTGAAAACTGAATAGTTAAAAGAAAAAACACATTGGGAAAATGGTCATTTGATGATTAAAATTGCTCCAATTTTATTTTTTTAGAACTATTGAAATAAACAATTATTGAAATAAATTTTGTTATTAAAAATATAACAAAAAACTTGGAGTCGGTAGTTTTTCTGCTTTATTCTGTCTCCACTCTCTTGGGCTTATTTGTCTCAGTAAGTTCTGAAAAAATATTTGCCAAACAAATAAAATAATACCATGTGGATTAAGGTTGATAGCTACATTTGCCTTGAAAGGTCACCTAATTCAAAGTAGATTGGTCTTTGAACCTGGTTTTCTTAGAAGATTTTCCCTGAGGCAATAAAATTCTGAGAGTGAACTATGATACTATTGATATATGTGAATGACACAGAACCTACAAGTAGGAAGTCTTCGATGAGTCCTCATTTGGAGATTTTCTAGAACAGACATTAATTTAACTTTAGAGAGAACCCAAACAGATAGCCTGGAGCTTGGAGCTATAACAGGTGGGATGTGAGAGTGAGGAATCTTCCTTTTGGCATTGCAAATACTCTGGAAATTGCAATCAGAAGCAGATGACAATCAAATTTAGGGCTGATGAGATAATATATCTATGGAGTTATAAACTAGAGAGAAATTTGACTTGGGAAGGGACTTCTGGAGAAAGCCATGAGTTCGATCAGTAAATAGGCTGGCCAAAGTATTCACTTTGACTTAAGTCCTACAGTGTCCATGGAGATAACTATGATTATTTTTGTTATTAATGTGGAATTAGCAAACTAGAGATTGATCTGTAAAAGTTTCAAAGGGCAGTGACATAAATATCTTTTTAACCTTAACATCTTCAAAGGAATATCACTTAAATACTTGTCAGGTATTGCTTGGTAAACAGAGACTTCTTATATTATGCACATGTGTGTATTTGCAGGTTTAGAGCAGTTTGTCGGAAGAATGCAAGATTTTCGATTATACCAAGTGGCACTTACAAACAGGTAAGCAGATGTTGCATTGTAAACCTCAAGAACCGAAAGGATAAATGCTGAATTCACTTAAATAAGAATACTATGTAGATTATACCATTTTTTATCTTTATACCATTTGGCAAACTTCACCTAATTAATGTTTACAGTGTTTGCTTTGGCTTAGTCTATGGTTGTTATTCACTAGTGCTACTCTTGAGGAACTCCTTGTAATATGAAATTGATCACATTTTTCCTAAGGATATTCTGTAAGAAAACTTGATATTTGAACATTTTATAAAACTTGGGATACAATGCTTAAATTTTCTATATGAGGTAGTTTCTATTAACAATACTTGAGAAACTTCTACATCTGCCTTTTTTAAATTGGTTTGTTGACTTTATACCTACTAGAGAATGTAGAACAATAAACGTGATTAATTATTTTGATACATGGGAAATTCTCAAGAGACTGATCTATTAGACTTGGAGACAAGAAGAATGAGCATTTGAAGTATTGTGATATATTTTTCTATTTTCAGTGAACAAATAATTATATAGACTCAGGCTAGCTTTAATGACATTATTTCCTTATCTTGAGAGTAGATGGGAAATCTTTCTTAGGGCTTCTTAAAAGCACACAGAATTTTAAAAAATTTAAGTGAAATTCTGCTTAGGATGCCTTTGAACTTTCTTCTTCAGCTTATGATATCATGGTATAATAGTATATTGTTGTATGGATGAGTTGATCTTATTTACTTCTATTAAAAATCAAAAAGAAGAATGTTCATTCATATTTCTTCAAGGCAGATATAAATTAGTGTGGTGGGTTTCCAAATGAGAAGACTAGCCCTTGTAAATTTAGAAGCATTGCTTTTGATGTGGTTCTTAGTCCATGGCAGATCATTAACAATATAAACATTCTTTCTTACCAGGCTATATAATCAAGGTATGCCTCAGTAAAGGGTGCCATGGCCCTGGAACACAGTGTTAGGTGTATTTACTGCCAAAAGCCTTACTATATTTTAGATCACCTTTGTCTAAAATGCTGAAGGGCAATGTTGTAGTAATTCTTTGGGAATAAAGTTTTTCCTTGGGAGTGAAAGATTTTATACTGGATTCTATACTGGTAGCTTTTGGTCCCATTCAAAACTTGGTATCAGTTGAAAAGAATTGATGAGATTTAAAGAAGGTATGACTTCATGTGATTTAATGAATGGAAAAGCTGCCTGACTCCTTCACTGCTCCACTGGGGTCTGAGAGGAAAAGCCTGGTTTCTCTGGTAAGACCTTGATTACTAATTTTGGCCTACCTGAAATGTCTGGGAAGGTGCTATGTGGAAGAATGCCTATAAATAGAATGACTAATTCTGGTCTAGAACAAGTATATTGCCCCTAATGGAAAAATTAAATATATCTACCTGGAATTGGCATTCTTTGACTGTTGGCAGCCGCCATATGATCTGAAGCCAATGAAGCATTACAGGATGTCAGGATCTGTACTGATGAGTCACAGGAAACCATTGACAAATGGCCTTGGCCTCAGTCCTTCACTTAAAACAGAAGCAGATAAAATGATACTTGCTTTCGTACTTCTTTCCCATGGATGAACTGAAAACATTATCTATAACTCTCATTGTTCTCCATATATTATTGTTCACTCTCAGTAGTTAGTTTAGCATCCTAAGTAAATGTGATCATTTCTATATTATCACAAATAGACACGGTAAAATATTGTGGTATTTAAATAAGTATCTTAATAATCAGACAAGGGCTTATGCATGCTTCTTGATATAAATAAAAAGTTAATATTAAAATGTGTGGGTTTTGATATACATTTTATGATAATGAATTTGTTTATTTGGCCAAAAATAAGTTTTATTTTATGTTTCATGCATCAAATTATTAAAACTAAATGGATACTCATGAAAGCACTAAACGAGTGACATTCATTTGTAACGACTCCTAGAAGTTCTATTACTGTTAAGCTCTTTGTCCTTACAGTCTCCCTCTTGACTCCCACAGAGAGATTCTGGAAGTCTTCTCTGGAGATCTTCTCAGATTGCATGCCCAATCACATTGCCGTTGCCCTGGCAGCCACCCGCGGGTCCACCCTTTGGCACAGCGGTACTGCATTCCTAATGATGCAGGAGACACAGCTGATAATAGAGTGTCACGGTTGAATCCTGAAGCCCATCCTCTCTCTTTTGTCAATGATAATGATGTTGGTACTTCATGGGTTTCAAATGTGTTTACAAACATTACACAGCTTAATCAAGGAGTGACTATTTCAGTTGATTTGGAAAATGGACAGTATCAGGTAATGAGAAACGATAAGGTGTACATTAATTTCCTGTGGTTATTGCAACAAATGCCCACAAACTTCATGTCTTAAAACAACAGAAATATATTCCCTAACAGTTCTGGAGATCAGAAATATGAAATCAACATGTTGGCAGGGCTACATTCCCTTAAAGATTCCAGAGGAGGATCCCTCCTTGCCATTTGCAGCTCCTGGTGGCCCTTGGTGTTACTTGGCTTGTGGCACCACAACTTCAATCTCTGCCTCCATTTTCACATGGTGTCCTTCCTTGTTTCTCTGTGAGCATCAATTATCCCTTTTCTTTCTCTTATATAAGGCCCACCCTATTAGACCCAGGATGATCTCATATTGACATCCTTAATTATACTGCAAAGACCCTATTTACAAATAAAGTCACATTTACAGGTTTGGACAGTAGTACTTGGACATATCTATTTGGGAACACAATTCAACCCACTACAAGGTGAAAACTGAACTAGGCAATTGAACCTTGCCTCAATAAAGTAGTGTATTATAATGTATACAATAAAAATATCTAAAAGACAACATGTAGGACCTTATGTTTGAGATTTGTATCAAAATGATATTTATGAAATGTTGAAAATAATTATTTTTATTAAGTAGCAAAAATTAATACAAACTAAGGTGCTTTTTCTAAATTAAGAAGTCTCTATATATGACATTTATTTCATAGAAGTAATGTTCTTTGTTTATGTCTTTATTTGCATGTTGATTTATAAAATCCTTGAGCAAATGAACAGATACACAATTATAGAATATGTTGCTTTTACCACAGGGCTATGAAGTTTCTGGATGTCTAATACATATTTGATAACTATAATTATGATGAAGTGAGCCAATATATTTGAATCTAATAATTCCATGGTTTGATATATACTGATGGTTAAACTTAAAACTTTAATTACATTAATTAACTTTCCATTTTCAGGTGTTTTATATTATCATTCAGTTCTTTAGTCCACAACCAACGGAAATAAGGATTCAAAGGAAGAAGGAAAATAGTTTAGATTGGGAGGACTGGCAATATTTTGCCAGGAATTGTGGTGCTTTTGGAATGAAAAACAATGGAGATTTGGAAAAACCTGATTCTGTCAACTGTCTTCAGCTTTCCAAGTATGAATATTTTTAAACAATTAATTTAATAGACTGATTGGTTATTAATAATGTACAAGTATGCTAGCTCTCTAGGCTGGTGGAGACTTCCCTTCACCACCAACTTCCTTGAGGCAGATTCTCCTAAGTCTTATCCCTAAATTGGGCTTAAAACTATGTTTAAAGTTCTTGTAAAAGACATTAGAGTGACTCTTATTTCAATCTCACTGATGTTTCACAATCTGATTTTCAGATTGTTTGGCAAGTTATCTATGTAAATAGAATTTTCATTATGTTTTCAAGGAACTGTTTTAGTGTGGCTTTCTATGATAATCCTGTATTGTTTATATATGAAATATATGGAATATGCTTTTCCTAGAATGAATAATTTAAGCTTTTATTGATACTGTGTAGTAATTTCTCAACATTTTGATTTCTGTTTTGCCAAAAATGTGAATAGATTTTCATGACATCGAATTTCTTTCATTAACAGTTTTACTCCATATTCCCGTGGCAATGTCACATTTAGCATCCTGACACCTGGACCAAATTATCGTCCTGGATACAATAACTTCTATAATACCCCATCTCTTCAAGAGTTCGTAAAAGCCACGCAAATAAGGTTTCATTTTCATGGGCAGTACTATACAACTGAGACTGCTGTTAACCTCAGACACAGATATTATGCAGTGGACGAAATCACCATTAGTGGGAGGTATTATTATGAATTTTGTTTTCAACAAGGTTTTTGTCATACTTACTGTCTTAACAGCACATTAAGATGTCAGAGCAAGCCAGATTTCAAGCTTTACATTTTGAAATGATTTCATACTCTAAGATTTTAGGGGAAGATCTGTATGTGAGTCTTTTCTCTATATAACATTGTTATATATATATATATATATATATATAAAACGTATTTTATAAATAAATATATATATATTTATATATACAGGAATTGATTTTCAAAAGCTGTTGCTTTTAGAAGCTATGATACTCTGAATCTGACTTAGAAGTGATTTATCCAATATTTTACTTGATTTGTTCTGGAATATAATTTTCAAATATTCTCAAAAGCAAAGAGATGGAGCTGAATTTGGAGTTGTAACTATAGCACCAGAGAGTTTTTAAGTACAGATCTTGATCTACCTGAGTTCATAGTGCACAGTTCCATGGGTAATACTTGTTTTTCTTTAGTGGAAAGATCTGATATGCCCTAAGTAGTTTATAAATGTCTGATCATAATTGAGAACATGACTCACAATATTTAAAAAGAAATGACAGCTGCAAACCTAGGCAGCATACTGTCTAATATAGAAATGTACATATAGAGTATATTTAGAATGGATTGTTCTGGAGGAATGATAGGCCTTGTGAATAAAATATGTCTTTAAAAGCAGACCAAAATACCAGTATATAAGCATTGTTTGTTTGCTAAGTCATAGCATAATGAACAAAGCAATACTATTAAATATTCATCATCTAACTTTGGAAAAAAAAATAAAAAAATTGAAATATGTTAACTGCATTCTGCAGTTTATTGTCAACTTTATATTCTTTTTTCTTTCTTTTTTTTTTTTTTTTGACAGGCTTTTGCTCTGTCACCCAGGCTGGCATGCAATGGCATGATCATGGCTCGTTGCAACCTCGACTTCTGGGCCTCAAGTGATCCTCTCATCTCAGCCTCCAAAGTAACTGGGACTACAGGCATGTGCCACCATGCCCAGCTGATTTTTTTTTTCACTTTTTGTAGAGATGGGGTTTTGCCATGTTGCTCAGGCTGCTCTCAAACTCCTGACCTCAAGTGATCTACCCGCCTGAGTCTCCCAACATGCTGAGATTACAGGCGTGAGCCACCGTGCTCAGCCTGAACTTTATATTCTTAACTGTATTTTAAATAGTGTAGTAAATGCCTTCCCTTGGTACGTGGTTGGTATAGATATAAAAAATTCCATTTCCCTTTAGAGGTTGGCTTGAAAATTATCTTTACAATACACGGGTTTGGATATTGGTGACAGTCCTTCTGACATTTCCAGATAAATTAAAAACGTGTATGGATATCCACACGATTAAGGAGAAACTGATTTTGTATCAATTAAATATACAAAAATCTTCCCTGTTAAATTCACATAATGCATATAGTCCTAGGACCTTAAATATATTCACAGTTGAGTTGGTGTTCCTTAGGAGTGTGTGATGCTCATGTTTGCAGATGTCAGTGCCATGGTCATGCCGATAACTGCGACACAACAAGCCAGCCATATAGATGCCTCTGCTCCCAGGAGAGCTTCACTGAAGGACTTCATGTGAGTTCTATTTTATGCATGGAAATCTAAAAAAAAAATAGTAGAGATGGTGACTATAAATTCTATGAACTTAATCTTGGCCTAACAAATGAAAATAAATTTAAAAACTGATATGAACTTAAAATGTCAATTATTGCAGATTTTTTAAGAAAAATAACAGCCATCAATTAAGTTGAAATTGTAGTTTTTAAAAATAATTTCAGCCAGAGAAATTACAACTGAAACCAAACCCTAAGGTTCTTTTCTCTTTTGTTTTTCTTTCTTTGTTTCATCAGCATTATCATGTTTTATAAAACAATTTTTAATGTGTTTGGATAGCATGGCACTAAACAAAAAATAGTTTGATTCTTACTAAAGGGTATTTATACAAAAGTATCAATAAACAAAAGCATCGTTAGATGAAGAACAATGTTTATGTATTTATGTCAATCAAGGTTCATTTATTGCTAATATCAGGCATTTTAATTAATTGAAAATCTATAGTAAAATGATTTATGAGTTATGTTACTTTAGTTTTCTGTGACGATCAGGGGAATTCCATAGTTGAGGTGGAATTTTAGCTTCATCTTTAGGGAAAAGAGGTAAGTGGAAATAAAATCAAGAAACATTCGTTGGTAGGAATATCTAGCAACAACATCAGAAATAGCTGATATGAAAGACGGTTCAGCAGCAGTAACAATTATACCAATAATGAGAGTAGATAATATAGACTCTTCAGTAAATATGTTTAAGACAACTGGCTGCTAATTTGCAAGAAAATAAAATTAGAGCTCTACTGATTGTATGTACAAAAATGTATGTGGCTTAAACTTTTAGTGAAAAATAACTATAAATATATTAAAATAAAGATTAGAATTCTATATCTTAAGTTGAGGGCTTTTATCAGCTAAGCAAATGAAATACAAACAGAAACAAACATCTGGAGCTATGAAGGAAATTAATGACATATTCTGTTATATAAATATTTAAAATTCTACACAGTATAAGGGTTAACATAAATGTAAGGTAGTGATAAATGATGGATTGATAGAAAATATTTGCATCATGTTAACAGGTAAAGAGTTAAGATTCCTAACACACAAACATTTACAAAATATTAAGAAAAATATAACAGTCTGATAAAAATGAGCAAATATATGAACAAGCAATTTACAAATGAACAAATTGTAACTTTAATAAACATATAAAAGATTACCCAACCTCAGTTTTAATCATATTCAACAATTGTTTTTAACATTTCAAATTAGCAGAAAATATAAAGATTGGTAATATTTAGTACTTGTGGGAATATAACCTTTAACACATCACTGATGGGATTGCCAATTGACACAATAGTTTTGGGGAAAATTTGTCCACCTCTACTAAAATTAAATTTTCAAATATAGTGAACTACATTATATAATTGCTG
Source organism: Homo sapiens (assembly GCF_000001405.40). Classification (NCBI taxonomy): domain Eukaryota; kingdom Metazoa; phylum Chordata; class Mammalia; order Primates; family Hominidae; genus Homo; species Homo sapiens. The sequence goes on along the minus strand of NC_000001.11, from coordinate 216,320,474 downwards.
TCATTCTGAAAAGCAGTTCTTCAATGACAAGTGTATGGAATGGTGTATTAGTCTGTTTGCATTGCTGTACAGGAAGACCTGAGACTAGGTAAATATAAAGAAAAGAGGTTTATTTGGCTTGTGGTACTGCAGGCTATACAAGCTTGGTGCCAGCATCTGCTTGGTTTCTGGTGAGGCCTCAGAAAGCTTACAATCATGGCAGAAGGCAAAGCCAGAAGCCAGCCTCTTTTAAACAGCCGTGTCTAAACAGCCATGAACTAACAGAGTGAGGTCTCACTGCTGAAGGGAAGGCACTTCATGAAGGATCCACCTCCATAACCCAAACATCTCCCACCAGGCTCACCTCCAACACTGGGGATCACATTTCAACATGAGATTTGGAGGGGACAAACATACAAACTATATAAAATGCTTATATTTCTATCATTTTGTTACATAAATATGGGCTTATATGTTAGTGCATTTTAGCTTTTCAGATGGTAGCACTGTCTCATACACTCATGTATGACTTGTGAACATCTCTGCCTCTTGGACCTTGCCCTACACTTGTGTTTTAGTTAGTTACTTCACTTCTCTGTGAAATTTATTTTAGGATATTATAGAGCATCTTGCTTTTTAAAAAACCATCTGTAAAGGTTTTGGCAAATTCCATTTCTGTCTTCTGATTCTTACTCTGATCTAATTTGCTTTTGACTGTAACATTAGTGAGAATAGTTCAATGGTAAGAATATTATCTATAATGCAGACTTTCTCTAGCACATTCAAAACGTAGTCCCACTCCTCAGTTTCAACTAAGAGTCTTTGATTTAGTTATGGCCTACTTTCTTTCTTTCTTTCTATGTGCTCAGACCAAAACTTTCATGTTCTAATTTAGATATTCTTTTGAATTTATTTTCTAGATCACTACTTTATATACATCTAGTCCTCACCATTAGTCAATACTTGCTTTAAAAGAAGAAATCTTTTATGGTTTTCTTTTGGATTTCTAATGCCTAGAGTCTTTGCATTTGATTTCATTAGTATATTATGAGGAAAAATCTTTTAGAAGAACTGATTTTAATATGCTTGATTGTATGGCTTATCATATTGTCACAGAAATGAAATTAATTGGATTAACTTGATTGATTTATTCTTCACTGAGCCATAATTGTGTGTTTAAATTTTTGCCAATTTTATTTGTTCTAGATTTTAAAGTTAAAGCAACATTTATTATATTTTTCTACTGTCTTCTTTTGATCCCTTAAGATGGACACTTACTTCCTTATAATCAGTGATTTCTTTCATTAACCTTGTCCTCTCCTCCACAAAGCCACTAACACCCCAATTAAAAAATGCTTTGGGATGAATTTAGCAGGGCACCTTGAACTGAATATGTCTAGTATTTGCAAGCTACAGTTTGGCTAATACCTTCATATGATATGTTCTTTTCTGAGCTTCTCTTGCTTTCTGTTGACTAGTCAGTCGGTATTAGTCTCTCTCATTTGCTTGTGACGTCCTGTCTTGTTTTATCTTTCTGTCTTTAATTGCTCACAGTTAAGTGTTGGATATTTTCTGATTCTTGGATGATTTCATGCTTCCCCTTAAAAATAGAGCCATTAAATGAATGAAGGCTCATGATTGGTTTCAGAAGACAAGTTGGGATTTTCAGACTTGGTCTCAGGTGGTGAATGTTGGATTATGAACTAGTGAATTAATTAACTATAATTTGGGTTGAGAATACATTTTAATGCTTCTTATTTAGACCTTAAGTACCTTTTGAAAACAAAAATGAAAAACTAAACTTTTTTTGTTATTTTCCTCCTTGACATATTTTGATAGTTTATGAATTTAGCCATAAATTTTAAAAAGCAACAAATATAATTTACTTAGCAAACTTTGGCAAATGCAAATGCAGCTGCAGGGAAAAAGTCAATAGACTGTTAAGTTGAATGATTTCTCAGTCCTATGATATTTTCAATAATGTGTTGAAAATGAAAAATGATTTTATAGAAACATTCATAGGCATGACATTCTCCTTTGTTACCATTCAAAGTATTTTAATACAAGTAGAGACTTACATATCTGAGAAAAGTCGTCTTACGGTAATTTGAAAATATACCTATTCTAATGCTTTTCTTGTTGTTCTACTTTTTAAAATTATACGTTTTAATATAAGCCATTCACTTCCTATTGGGATCCATGTTCTTTTTAAGACCTGGACATAATCCAAAAAGAATGTCTTCAATTCCACAGTGTTATGCTATCCATTAATAATATTACTTAATAAACAGGGCTTTTGTGAATTATATTACAGACATTTGGCAAACAGATGAAAATGTAAGGACTGAAAATATGCCAATTCTTGGCAATTGTCTTTCCTATGAGAAAGTGTTTTTAGTAGAAACAAAAATGAATGAAGTTGAGAAAAGGTGAATGGTGAATTCAGGGGCAGGTTCACATATTTAGCCATCCTAAGGAATTTTCCGTACAAAATACTATTCATTTGTTTATAAGGTCAATGTCACAAATTGGTGGCTCACAGGTAGAAACAGTGTTTAAACAGTTTTAATTTAATTTTCTGCAAGAGTTTTCACTTTAAAATATTTATTTATTCTTCAATCTTTTTTATTTATTTATTTTTTTGAGAGGGAGTCTCACTCTGTCACCGAGGCTGGAGTGCAGTGGCATGATCTTGGCTCACTGCAACCTCAGCCTCTCAGCTTCAAGCAATTCTTCTGCCTCAGTCTCCCAAGTAGCTGGGACTACAGCTGCACACCACCACACGCGGCTAACTTTTTGTATTTTTTTTTTTGTAGAGATGGGTTTCACCTTGTTGGCCAGGCAGGTCTTGAACTCCTGACCTCAAGTGCTCCACCTGCCTCGGACTCCCAAAGTGCTGGGATTACAGGCATGAGCCACCACTCCTGGCCCTCAACTTTTATTTTAAGTTCAGAGGAACATGTGTAGGATGTGCAGGTTTGTTACTTAGGTAAAGGTGTGCCATGGTGGCTTGTTGCATAGATCATCCCCTCACCTAGGTATTAAGTCCAGAAACCATTAGCTATTCCTCCTGATGCTCTTCCCCCCACAGCCCCCACCATCCCTAAGAGGCCCCAATGTGTGTTGTTCCCCGACATGTGTCCATGTGTTCTCATAATTCGGATCCCACTTGTAAGTGAGAATACGTAATGTTTGATTTTTTGTACCGGCATTATTTTGCTGAGAATAATGACTTCCAACTCTATTCATGTCCCTGCAAATGATTTATATTTCTGGTAATACACAGTAATGGGATTGCTGGGTCAAATGGTATTTCTGCCTCTAGATCTTTGAGGAATTTCCACACTGTCTTCCACAATGGTTGAACTATTTATACTCCCACCAACAGTGTAAAGGTGTTCCCTTTTCTCCACAACCTTGGAGCTTCTGCACAGCAAAAGAAACTATGGTCAGAGTGAACAGACAACCTATAGAAGGGGAGAATATTTTTGCATTCTATCCATCTGACAAAGGTATAATATCCAGAGTCTAGAAGGAACTTAAACAAATTTACAAGAAGAAAACAACCCCATTAAAAACTGGGCAAAGAACCCTGAGTTAGCGAGTTGTTGCCAGGGGAGGACATTAATGTCTTCTTTTGAGAACTGTCTGTTCATGTTCATTGCCCAATTTTTAATGGGGTTGTTTGTTTGAGAACAGTTCTCAAAAGAAGACATATGTGTGGCCAACAAACGTATGAAAAAAAGCTCAGCATCACTGATCATTAGAGAAATGCATATCAAAACCACAATGAGATACCAGCTCATGCCAGTCAGAATGGCGATTATTAAAAGTTAAAAAATGACACAAATTTTTAATTCCTCACTTCTCTTAATCAGAACATAGTCTAACACTGTGTCCATTTCCTGCCATCAACAACTCACTGATTCAGGGTGACATTTACCACATTTACAACAGTATCACTCTTGGGCTTGCTACAACATTCACTACTATGTATATCCTTATACATGGGCGACATCACTTTGGTGAACTACCTGGCCTTGAAAGACTCGGAGCTTCTTAACCTCCTAAAGCAAAACTGATGGATAGATTGAGACACTAGAAGCTAGAATACATTTTTAATTATTCTGAGTAGAGAAAGACCAGCTGTTCATTGCTATATTCATTGTTAACTCCTATTTCTTTTACCCCTTTATAAAAATAAAAACTCACAAATAACCGAAAACAACTCAAGAAAATCTATTAGCAAAGACACTGTTTACTCTGAGATGAAATTAAAGCCATGCTTACTTTTTTTTTAATTACATTTTTGACATCTAAAAACATTTACCTTGGGGAGCCTCACTGATTCTCCTCTGCACTCTTTGACCAGGAACTCCGATACATTTTTGTATTGTACTGGCAATTTTAAGGCCTTGACTTTAATGTATGATACATACCATAAATACTTCACTCATAGAGAATACTTTTAGAATACTTGTCGCATTTCTTTCCAAGAATGAAAAAAAAGCAGTAAATGCTTAATTTACTAGGCTCACTTTAGAACTGATTTAGGGTGAAACAAATCCAAAAGCCTAGATGCTATTCATTAACTTTCATACAAAGTTAAATATTTCAAAGTAGAAATTAGAAATACATGGTATTGAACTTGCATGAATCATTATATATCTCACAAGTTACAAACATGTTATTTATAAATGTTTAATTTCATTTGAATAAAAAATAGCCACTGTTACTTGCATTTTTAAGTAAACTTTTAATTTTGAGATAATTATAGATTTATATACAGTTGTAAAAAATAATATAAAGACAATTTGTGTACTCTACCAATTTGTCCCATGGTAACATCTGGCAAAACTAGTGTTTTTTTCTTTTTACATCAAAAGTGTGATTTGTGTACAATAAAATATACCCACTTAAAAATATATAGTTTGATGAGTTTTGGCATATGTGTACCCTGTGTAATCACCATCCCTGTCTAGAGATGGAATGTTTCACTCTCCCAAACGTTCTCTTATGCTTCTTTGCAGTCAGTGCTGTCTCTGAACCCCCAATCCCAGGAAACCACCAATCTTATTTCTATCAATACAGATTAGTTTTGCCTGTTCCAAAATTTCTTAGCATAGTGTTATTTGGTATGTAATATTTTCGTACATAGGCTTTTAAATCCCACCTCACCCCCACTTTTAGATCATTCCCTAATTACATGTGCTGTTAGCTTTACTGCAACATGGTATCTCTGGCCCACTTAATCAGAAATCCATTATAAGTATCAAAGTGTATATATTAAGCTCATAGGTACATAATACAAGCTAGGAATTGGAAGCCTGGGTTTATCTGTCAACTAACATATTTGCAAAGCTATAATATATTTATTACTTCTTTTTCTTATCTAGTACTTTCTTTACTTGATCTAAGAGTTCAAGTGTTGAATAGAATCTAGTTTTAAGAAAAGTGTTGTCAGTTGAAACTTGAATCCTTATGAGTTGTCTTTTTCCTTTAATAACTACATTTACCTTTCGGGGCTCTGGCCAAGAGTGATGCAATGATCAGTGTCTCAGCCAAGCATTGGCACTTCATTGGCTACTTAGCTATTCTTTCGTCATTTTGTGACATCATTACCTGCAAGGGTAGCCAAGCCTTCACAGAGCAATTTATTAGTAACCATGAACACTTCTTATTCTTTGGCTCTAACTTATGACCCTTTTATAACATTAATCATAGATCTTATGAATTAACTACAATCAAACTATCAGTATAAATTTTTGTTAGCATTATAAATAGCACAGCCAGCTTGAAACTTTTTATATAATAAGCCTTCCTACCACTCAATAATTTGAATGGTGCCAACATCACACTCTAGAATGCTTATTATATAAATGAATATTTCTGTTATTTTTGAAAGATTCCTTTAGAGCACCAAAGTCCAAAAGTATGAATCATCATGACTAATTTGTGTCATATTTATATTATATATCAGGCTTTACCACTGCTTATTTTTTCTCTGTTTGTTCGCAGATTTTACCCTAAATATATTTTATTTATATTTTAATTATTGTAATGCTAGTAAATTAATTCATTTTTATATAACTAGCATTCACACAGTTCATATTATAGGATCTACATTTGATATATGTTTAGTAAGTCAAGGTAAAGAATTTTCTTTCCTCACTGACATGATGATATTATTAATCTTTGAAAAACACTTGTACTAGTTCTTTCCGTGAGATAGGTATGTGCATAAATGCTTTTAAAATATAAGTTGAAAACATGAAAAAGAGGTTATGAGCATGGAGATAAATTAAGACAGCCTTACAGAAGAAGCAAATAGAGATAGTGAAAGTATAAACATAGTAAAAGAAAAGATAATATTTGAAGGGATAAGAGTAAAGAATTATCTAAAGGTGAGGAATGACATGATTTTTCTGAATCCCAAGTAGGCTAAGAAAAGTAAATGCATACATAGGTATAATATAATGAATCCAATAATCACCAAAGACCAAGCAGCCAGAAAGACAGAAATCTGATAATCACCAAAGACAGAACAGCATCCTAAAAACAGCCAGAGAGAAAAATACAAAGTGTAAGAAATTAATTTCTAAGACACTACTGATATATTTCTCAACAGCCACAATGAAAGCCAGAAGACAGCAGAGTAGTGCCTTTGAAATGCAGAGAGAAGGCAACCAAGAAATATGGAATTGTATTTGTAGTAGTACCATCAATTAGAAACAAGAAAGAAAGAATGCATTTTTAGTTTACAGATATATATATCAATATTATCACCAGCAGACTCTCAATAAAAGAATTTTTCGAGAATACTTTTCATAAGGATATATAATGTTTCCAGAAAATAGGCCTGGTGTGAAGGAAGGAATTGTGAGCAAGTAAACCAGCAAATATGTGGATAAATATAGAGGAAAATTTACTGCGTTAAATAAAAATAAGGTTATATGTAAGAAAGAGTATAAAAAGTAGCAGGATACCATTAAATGGTCATTAAAAATAGCATTTAAAGGGAAGGGGTAAACTCCAACTTCAGCTCCCTCTAGCCATTCTGTTGCACCTTGGGGTAAGAAGAGCAGTTACTGAGAAATACTTGTAAAGTTCACAGCCAATGAGCACAGGGCTCATTAAAAACTGAAAACTAATCCTAGAATCATAGAACAGGGGTCCCCAACCCCTGGGCCACTGGTCAGTAGTGGTCTGTGGTCTATTAGAAACCGGACTGCATAGTAGGACGTGAGCAGCTGGTGAGCTATCATTACTTCCTGAGCTCTGCCTCCTGTCAGATCAGCAGTGACATGAAGTTGTCATAGGAGCATAAACCCCATTGTGAACTGTACATGTGAGGGATTTAGGTTGTGCACTCCTTCTGAGAATTCCTGATGCTTTGAGGTGGAATACCTTCATCTTGAAACCATTCCCCATGTGCTGCCCTCACACCCAGTTCGTGGAAAAGTTGTCTTCCACAAAACCGATCCCTGGTGCCAAAAATATTGGGGACCACTGCCATAGAACGCTTTCCCTCCCCTCTCATCTTACCACCACACCATGAAAGGCCTGTTTGCCAGAGTTCCCTTTACTCAGTACATCATGTCTGGATTTCAACAAAAAGTTACAAAGCACACTAAAACACCAAAAACAAACAAACAAAGAAACAAACAAACAACCTCACAGTTTGAAGAGAGAGAGCAAAAATGAGAATGAGACTCAGACATGGAAAGGATATGGAAATTATCAGACCAGAAACTTAAAGCGGCTCTGATGAATACACTAAAGGCTCTAATGGAAAAAGTAGACAACATGCAAAAATAGATGGCAATATAAGCTGAAAGATAAAAATTCTGACAAAGAAGCAAAAAGAAAAGCTAGAGATCAGAAACACTTTCATAGAAATAAAGAATGCCTTTAATTGGATCATTAATATTTGGGGACAGCTGATAAAAGAATCTGAGTTTGAAGATGTGTCAATAGAGACTACCAAAATAGAAAGGTAAAAAGAAAAATGACTGAACAAATAGAGCAGAATATCTAAGAACTGTGAGACAGCTACCAAAAATGTAAATACATATAATGGGGAAGAAGAAGAAGAAGAGAAAGGAACAGAAGAAATATTTGGAACAATAATGACTAAGAATTTTTCATATTCCAAATGCAGAAAAATCAAAGTTAGGGAAAAATATCTTAAAAGGAGCCTGGCTGAAGGGGGAACATCTAGCCTATGAAAAAGCAAAGATAAGAATTACATTCTACTTCTCCTCAGAAAGCATGCAAGCAAGAAAAGTGGTTAAATAGTTAGGTGTTGACAGAAAAAAAAAAATCCACCTAGAATTCTGTATCTTGCAAAATTATCCTTTAAAAGTAAAGGAAAAATACTTTCTCAAACAAAAACCAGTAGACTTTTCTTGCCTTGCAAGAATGTTAAAGGAAGAACTTCAGAGAGAGAGAAAAAATGATACAGGTCAGAAAACTCAGATTTATGTAAAGAAAGGGAGAACATTAGAGAAAGAATAAATAAAATAACTTTTATTTTTCTTATCCTTAATTGATCTAGTAGATACCAGTTTGTTCAAAATTATAATAAGAACAATGTATTTCATTATTATAGCATGTGTGTAAGTGAAATGAATGATAGCAACAATACAAGACACCAGAGGGAGGAACTAGGAATACTTTATTATTATTAGGTACTCATGCCACCTTTTAAGTGGTATCGTGTTATTTAAAAGTCAACTTGGAACTCTCGCATGACATTATTTTGTCTTGATAGTTCAAGCTCCACCTGCGGTTCTCCCGTCCTCCATGCCAGGTGTCAGGGGCTGCTCTGGATGTTAACTCTTCCGCCCCATGACTTCCAGTTCCAAAATGGCGGCACAGAAACAAGCTGCCATGCCACAACCCCACCGCGCCCCTCTCCCGCCAAAAAGAAAAATTAACAAATATACATTGCTGAGATTATCACCAGAAATTGTCACGATAGTCCAGAACTCAAATATGAAGATATAACTGTTCCCAGGGCCATAAGGAAATGAGAAACACCAAGTGGATGGTAAGAAACCTGACTTTCACATTTGTAGCACTCGTTACCCCATTTTGCCTGACACCAAATATGCAGAAGATTTTCCTCCAACTCACTTTTTTCTACACTGGAAAAATTAAGATTGAGGTAAACAACCAGCTTCCCCAGCCATTCTGGGTTACCGGAAAGAGACCTGTCCTATCCATGCCTCAACCCACTGGAAGCGTCATGAGTGCCTAAAGGGAGACATATTCCTGAAGATAGGCAGAGACAAAGGGGGATGTAGGTCTGTCATCCCCAGCCTGGGAAAGTCTGCTCTGTAACTTGACCAATGCAGACACAATGTCAGAGTAGCTGCTTAGCAGCACTATGATGCAGGAGGATTATTTCACTGTTCTCCTCGGCACAAACCCTTAGGCAGCCTTCCCATACTGTCAGGATATTCCCTTTGGGACCTCTCTTGTTAAGAAGGGCACAATTGGATTGTTTACTGAAGCCAAGGCGAACCTGGGCTTAAAGCGCCCCCTATAGCTCCCTAGAGGAAGCAATTTAGCAGCAAAGACATAGATGTATGTCCACAAGAAAAACAGCAGTAGGAAACTATGATGTCTCCAAACAGACAAAGCAGGGAACCAGGGACTGGCCCTAACAAGACAGTAATATGTAAGCTCCCTGACCACGAATTTTAAAATGCAGTTTTAAGAAAACTCAGTGATCTCCAGTAGAACACAGAAAAATAATTCAGAAATTCATTAGAGAAATTTAACAGAGATTGAAATTTTAAAAAATCTATCAGAAACCTTGGAACTGAGAAATAAATTTACCGAACTGAAAAATTCACTAGTAGCTCTCACCATCAGAATGGATTGAGCAGAGGAAAGAATCAGTGAGCTTGAAGACAGAATATTTGAAAATATATGGTCGAGGAGAAAAAAAGAACACAAAGAAATGAAGATTTCCTACAATATATAGAAAATTATTAATACCTCAAAAGGCCAAATGTAAGAATTAATGGTATTCAAGAGGGAGTTGAAGAGGAAGGATTAGAAATCTTATTCAACAAAATAATAACAAAAAATTCCAAAATTTAAAAGTATACTTGGATTAGTTATAAATGTATATTATAAGCTTTATAGGGCAACCCCCAAAAAAGTTTTAAAAAGGTATAGTTGATATATTTAATACTTACAAAGGAAAGAAAATGGAACCATGTAAAAATGCTCAACTAAAACCACAAAAGGTAAAAAGTATATAGAAAACAAGAATAGAAACAAAGAACAAGGGCAATGAATAAAAAGTAGTAGATATTAATCCAACTATGCCAGTAACTACTTTGAGTGTCAATGGTCTAAATATACCAATTAAAAGAGAGAGATTGTTAGAATGAATTGAAGAATAAAACCAGCTCATTTTATAATGCCAACATTACCCTGTACCAACATCAGACAAAGAAATTACAAGAAAAGAAAACCACAGACCAATAACTCTCATAAAAATAGATGCAAAAATTCTCAACAAAATATTCAAAATAAAACTATTAAGCAATGTGTAAAAATAATTATATATCAGAACCAAGAGGGATTTATCTCAGGTTTGCAAGACTGGTTCAGCATTCAAAAATCAGCTAAAGTAATTCCTCACATCAACAGGCTAAAGGGGAAAAATTACAAGATTATATCAATAAATGTAGAAAAAGTATTTGACAAAATCAAGCATCCATTCATGATCAAAACTCTCCACAAATAAGGAGTAGAGGAGAACATACTCAACTTAATAGAAAATATGTATAAAAACCTAGAGTGAACATCATACTTAAGGATAAGAAACCAGAATCTTTCCTACTAAGATCAGGAATAAGACAAGAATGTTTCCTCTCAGCACTCCTT